>NC_000006.12:113820790-115070790 GCF_000001405.40 Homo sapiens | reverse complement strand
GCTATCCAGTTGGCTAGTGATTTTCACACTAAGTTTGCACATCAGTTTGTGCAGGTGAATTATGGGGAATACAGAAAATTCTGTATTATTTTGTATCTGCATTTTAATGTCTATTATATTGCCTGGAATATGACAAAAGTATTTGATTTAGTAAATAAAATATTTGCAATGTTATAATGCATTAAAGAAGAACAATTATTGGTATATATCATACCCTATGTCATATGGAAAAATGTTGTTTAAAATATATATGCACACACAGACACACATACATATATTACACTAATAATACCTTTACTTGACTTCTTAGGTTGCATGGGTTATTTTAATAAAATGGAAAATAATAATGTTAAAGTATAGATTTTATAGCTACAAAAACTTATATTTACATTTTCCAGTGATCCTCAGAACAATTTCATAGGTACCATTCTGGATAGGTATTATATCTATTTTATATATTAACAAATGAATGGGAAAAATTGCCTCAGGTCTAAACAGGAAAATGGAATAATAAAAAATAAAATAAACAAACAAACATCTCTCCTGATTATTAACTTAAATTCATGTTCCATCCATGTCATCATAATGCTTTTCATTTGAATTTGGTCTTTTAGTAATTTGTTAGTCTACCTAATATGAGTATGTTCAAAACCAACCTTTCCTACAAAGCTAGTAGAATTTTCAGGTCAAACCAAATCAAAAGCCTCAGCATAATACAGTTGTGTCAGATATAAGTTTTTTTTTTTTTTTTTTTCTACCTGGTATTTCTCCCTGGCAGAGAATTAAATTATTCTGGTATAATTTGCTTATCATGAAAACATGCTAGCTGCTATTTAGTATCCTAAAAGTTAATATATTTTAGAAGGATCTGATGAGTATTTGTTATAGGTGATTGATTGTTGGCAAAAGCAAATGGAGATATTTTAAATCTTCAAGAAGAAAAGATAAGTATTTCAAAGAGCTTAATAAAACTTAATGCCCATTTTCCTTTTCCAATAATTAACTTAAAAGGAAGCCAAAAGAATGCAGAATAGAGAATCACCATGAGAACATAAATTTGATTATCAAGAGAGTTATTTTCCATGTGTTAAGGCATTAGAAAAATATTCACAAGTATTCAGTGGCTCAGAATGTGTATCATGGACACAAAAACTGCCCCCCACAAAAAAATTACATCAGAATGTAATTTAGCCAACTGAAGAATGAGGAAACAAAAGGAACTAAATAATGGAGGAAAGGTGATATAAAAATTATTGTAATATTCACTCAATGCTTTTAAATAGGATCAACTCTATGAAATTTTATACATATGGTTATAAAACAAGTCAAATGTCATAATAAACCTTAAAAGAACAATACACATAATATAAAAATAATTTTAAAATAATAAATTCATTTACAAATTCTGATACAACTATAGAAATTTGAAATGGAAGAGATGAGGATGAGGAAAAAAGTTCGTGTTAGTTTTCTCATCTTCCTTGAGGAGAATTGGATAGATACACTCTTTCAAGTTTTGCCATTGTTATTTATAACATGTGTTCATATATTTTTTAGACCCTTTTTAGACCCTCAAATGTAACCAACAGTAGGATTTAAAACATAAAATATATCTTTCAAATGAATAGAAATGAAATGTGGAAAGACAAAGCTCATATAACAAAATATACAAACCATAGGAACTTATTCCAAACAACAGAAAGGAAAAGGAAAAGTAAATAGAACCTGTAATTATGAGGGTCAGCAAGCTACTTTCCATGGGTCAAATCTGGCCCACCACCCCTTTTTGTAAATAATGTTTTATAGGAACTATACCCATTAATTCACAAATTGTCTATGACTGTTATCATGCTATAATGGCAGAGGTGAATAATTGTGGCAGAAACTGTAAGGCCCACAAAACCTAAACATTTACAACCTGGTAATATTTTATAAAATAATTCACAGAAAAGTTTTGCCAGTTACTGATCTATGGTAATAAATATATATAGGATTATTTCATTACAATAGCTCAAGTTAACAGGGTAAGAGAAGAAAAGGTAAATAAAAACAATAATGTTATATATATTTTGAAAGGACATTCGCAAAATGTGCCTAGAATAACTAGGTAATGCTAATTTCTCAAGTCCCTTCCTTTTCAAGCAGTTGAATGATGAGAGTTTCACAGAGCATGTGTTATTTTTGTTGGATTTTGAGTCATAATTACAGGTTTTCTAAGCAGAGGACAGAAAAGTCATCCTAGGCAGAGGAAATAGCATGTGAAGACATGAAGGTGGGAAATAGATGAATATTTCAGGGGCAGCAAAAAGTGATCAAAACAAAAGAAAATGACTCTGCAGGTCTTTGCAATGATTATTCCTTCTCCTTGGTTCTTTCTAAAGAATTTGTCACTTTCTGAAATGATCTTACATGCTGATTAATATAGTCAACTCCATCCTCCAGAAGATAAGCTTAATAAGTATTTGTTGAATGAATGAATGAGTGAATGAATGAATGACCACATTCATTTGTCATGTGGTCCATTAAGCATAAAAGACTGCTGGGGAGTCCCAGAGGTCAAACAACATCACTGCCCAGTCACACTGATTTTATCACTTCGGTGTTATTGCCATACCGAATAAATTTCCTCTGAGCCATGCTTGTTCTACTCTTCCTAGTCTGCAGACCATTTCCTTTAATAAAGATGATAAAAGCAAAAAAAGGAGTTGACTAGTCTGCTTCCTCTCAGATAGTTACAAGCATTATTACATCCACTTTTGACCAAAGTAATTTTTCTTCTAGCTACAAACATAGTTAAAAAGTCTTTTTCTACAGTTTTGTCTGGCTTTGTTCAAAAAGAGTCAAACCTGCCCTAGCCGCTTACTCAGCTCCTCAGATCTCTGTGGTCAATCGTTTCAGCCTTAGCCTGTGGCTGATAAGAGCCGAATTAGAGGTCCAAAGTGTCAGTGGTCTACTTAACTTTTGGCTGTTACATACCCACAAACTCTAGTTACAAGACAGTCCTTAGTAATGCAGGTCTCTCAGCATGAAAGACCAGGTGAGAGTCGATAGACAAAACTTTTGCTAATTTATCCTTAAGCTGAAAATGACAACTTCCTGCACAGGCCCTATCATTGATTGAAAAGTGATATTTTACCTTTTTTTTTTTTTAAAAAAAAAAGCAGCCATCATAAATTATTGTTACTTTGATATTTACACATATTATACACACATTAGCTTAAAAGCTAATATTTTCTTTTACAAACAATATAGCTATATGCTTTATATAATTGATTGGTAAGTTACATTGTTTTGTTTTTTATGACTTCTCAGGAATTAAGTAATCAGAGTAGGAATAACAGTTTATTGTAGATGTATTCCTAACTTTAAATGAAATGTTAAATGCATATTTACCCTTATACAATAGAATTGTCTCTTTAATATAATTTTACTTTTATCAAGAGACAGATTTTCCTTAGTTCTACCTGCTTTCTAATAGTACCTAACAAAATTAGTTATAATTTTCTTATGCAATTATCAGGTGATGTTCCTCTGTTAGACAGGAACCCTTTCTCTTGTTTACAGCCTTTCTAAAAAAAAAAGTGACAATTCTTGTAAAACAGCCATACACATGGATTGTGATTTTCATTTTCAAATAAGATTGCTCCTCCTAAGAAGAAAGGAATCAAATTCCATTTCAAATTACACTACTACCTGTATTCGAGTATGGTTGGTTACTCACCCATGCAAACCTGCAGGTTTATGCCAGATGAAACAATTCTGAATGTAGGATTTTCAAGATTTGTAGAGGTAACCCAATTGTTAGGGATGTGTTTTGCCTTGAGATTATCCAAAGCTTCAGGGGAGAAAGAAATATGATAACAGGGTTTAGTATTTTAAATCCAGAATGAAAATACCTCAGAATAAACCAGGATGCTTTGTTGAGACTTTTCGTGTCCTTATACCTCTGAGAAAATGAGAGAATTGTGGATACTGTGAAAAAGATGAGACAGAAATTAAAAGACAAAAAAGATTTGGGCGAATATAAATCAATACCTAAACCTTCCTACATCTACAGAAATGTATCATTTTAGAGTGTTTTTCTCTATCTTTATGCCTCTAACACTTAGGTTTCAGGCTTGTTAAATAAGGTGTTACTGAGAATCTTTACAGAATTTTACAACAGTGCCCTAGAAGCCATTCTACGCTTGTTTTCAGTAGTCCCTGGGGCGGAAAATATGCTTGCAAATGATTGAGCACTGAATTTGTTGCATATTTTGTCTAATAAAAATTAGTTTATTGAAACTTCCACATTTATTAAGTGTTCCTGACCACTTAGTCCTGGGGCTCTGGCACATGCCCACCCTCCAAGGGACACGGACATGGAACTGCCCATGATCCTGCCCTTGGGAAGTTTCCCATCAGCTCTGGGGTTATCTCATGAGTCAAGGGAGGTACAGACCCTGTCTACACATTCCCGGACCCTACATTTATTTCTACAAAATTTCTCAAACTTTTTTTGAGGGTCATAGGCCTGTTGTTACTTCCTGTTTGCTACTTTGAAATGAATCTTCTGAACTGAATTGGAATACAAAGCAAACTAGTTTCAGAGACCAACAGGCCATTCTGAGTTATGAATGATAGGCTGATATTTTGAAACTCTTGTTTCCTAAAGATGACTTTCTGCAGGAAAAGAGCTTTGAAAGCAAAATCATATATGTTTCAGTGAGAGTCCAATTTTTCTCCATATGCCTTTTTGCAGAATCTATATATTAAACACCTTTCGCACATTTTTTTAACATACCACGAAATTCAATGTTTGAAACAGAACAGTTGTTTATTATTTGCCAATGGTCATCGGGATTTTATGGCTTCATGTTCTTATGTTCTTTCCTTTTTTTTTTCTTAAATAATGGTCATTATAATTAAGCAAAGTCAGCAGAATATAACATAGATGTCAATTTTCTAAATTAAATAGAAATTTTGTTAAAATATTCACAGCAGCCGGGCACAGTGGCTCACACCTGTAATCCCAGCACTTTTGGAGGCCGAGGTGGGCGGATCACAAGGTCAGGAGATTGAGACCATCCTGGCTAACACGGTGAAACCCCATCTCTACTAAAAATACAAAAAATTAGCCAGGCGTGGTGGCAGGTGCCTGTAGTCCCAGCTACTCGGGAGGCTGAGGCAGGAGAGTGGCGTGAACCTGGGAAACGGAGTTTGCAGTGAACTGGGATTGAGGTGGAGCTTGCAGTGAGCCGAGATGGCGCCACTGCACTCCAGTCTCAAAAAAAAAAAAAGTGTATATATATATGTATGTGTGTATATATATATATATATGTATGTATATATATATATATATATATATATATGTATGTATGTATATATACATATATTCACAGCAGATCAATAATTCATTTCATTAGTAGGTTACTTTAAAGCACGTCAGGGAATTCTCTAGAGGATTCACTTTGTACAAAGGTGTTTCAGAGGTAGAACTTCTAGAGGAAATTAAGGGTTTTTGTTTATTTGTTTTTAAATAAGACATTATTATTCCTGGATCTACCACACGATCCCATTAATTGTTAGAAATTTTCATCCTGAAATTTGATATCCTCATCATTAGTTTTATTTACTCATTTGTTTAAATATGCAGAATTAGAAAGACTTTATTCTGGACACGTGTTTGCTTAATACCACATTACAGAATAGTCTCTAAATACACAGAGAAACTGAGATAAAAGGCGCTTTGTAAAATCAAACTATTTTAATATACTGTTACCATATGAAAGAAAATGAGAGCTATTCCATGAATAAAGACTCTGCAGTCATTTTCTTACATAGTTTCAGGACCCTGTTTACACCTACACAGCTTACAATGGATGATATTGTTTCTCTGTTCAGTGTGAAGTAATTACGTTGCAGTTTCATTCCTATGAGATATTTCCAGATGCCATCAAGATAAGAGAACTAAAGTCACATCACCACAGGCAGCAGACAAAGGCAAACAGTTAATCAAACCATGACTGTGATTAGCCAGAGAAAAAGTGACAGTTTTTAGCAGTTCTGCAGCACCTGCATTTCTTCAGAATCTAGCTTTGGAGCAAGTATGGTTGGCTCAGCAAATTCCAATATCACAATTAGGAAATAAAGCATTTCATAGAAGAAGATTAAAAGAAGCACAAAATGCAGACTGCAAGAAAAACAGTGTTTAAAAAATTATATAAACTTATAATTTTTTATATAAAATGGGGGAATGTCTGTAATAAGCTCAGGAAATTATCTTTAAACTGGGAGAACGACAAGAATTTGAAAGCCACGGTAAGGCTGATAATCTTGCAAAATGAACTGCCAGATAGGAAAAGAAGAGATGTGGGGATTCCTATAAGGCATCTGAAGAATGTTAATGTGGATTAAAATTGTATTAACATAAAGAAATAACCACTCAGGCCTGAAAAATGAATATTGCCCTTTCACTGTTTCTAATAATTAAGTCATCTAGCAGCAGGCAGTTGCTTGTTTGCATTACACACATCCGACACTGTAATGCTTCTTATCTTTATGTCCTAAAATGTGAAAACTAGAATGTACAGGTGTTCATTGCAAGTTCTGCATAGAGGATTTTGGAGGTCACTATAGAACTCTTAAGAAATTGAAATGTTCAAGGCTGTGATGAAGAATTGAACCGTAATATATTATCTTTGTGCATATTCAAACAGAGCAATCTAGGAGACCAACAAATTCATAAAAATGTAAATCAAAGTCTATGATGTAGGATTCTCTACTATAAGAGCACCTACATTTTAAGAAACTTTATTCATTTATAAATGAACATTCTGAATTTTAATATATACTCAAGTTTTAGACACTGAGTTGGCTTGACAAAGGAATTCAGCTACTCCACAACCCTGATCTGCCAGCCATAGGCATTTAACAGAGTTTCAGGCCCTTAAAGGGTTTCAAAGTAGCGTAAACATTTAGCACAAAATAGCACCTATGCTGCCATCAATATCTTAGGGGTGCACAGAGCCGCTGATCTTAGGCCTAGAGTTTCACAAGTCTAGCAATAATTTTCATAGAAATAAGGACTCGAACAGTCTAGTCCCTACCTAGACTCTAGGTAACTCCTGAGAATTGAGGTTCAACAGTTGATTCTAGAGTCATGAAGACAGGAGTGCCTCCCAAAAAACTGAAGTTCAGCTCATCCACCAGAGTATCTTGGGTTTCTCCAATCATACTTGCTTGGAAGTTTATTATAATCAACAAATATTTGTGGGAAAAAATGTTGTGAACAACGCATATGTTTGACACTGTAAAAGATTCCAAGAATTGCATATATTGGCATGATTATTTTCAAATATTTCTTACAATTACAACTTTTCATCATTAAGAAAATACTAAAGAAAGGAAAATGTTATTTCATGTTAGTTATTACAGTGAGCAATGGTTCTAACATATATTTTATATTCAGGTTAACTTTTTAACTCATTTAAATATTTAATTAAATACCTAATTGCACAGAATATTGTATCAAATTTTGTACAAGTTGAATTTAATGACCATCCTCTATGAATTGGTCATCTCAAAATACTCTGCAGCAGATCACATTATTAAGTTCTCAGGGGGCCGGGCGCGGTGGCTCATGCCTGTAATCCCAGCACTTTTGAGAGGAGGAGGCGGGCGGATCACGAGGTCAGGAGATTGAGACCATCCAGGCTAACATGGTGAAACACCGTCTCTACTAAAAATACAAAAAAATTAGCCGGGCGTGGTGGCGGGCGCCTGTAGTCCCCGCTACTCAGGAAGCTGAGGCAGGAGAATGGTGTGAACCCGGGGGGCGGAGCTTGCAGTGAGCCGAGATCACACCACTGCACTTCAACCTGGGTGATAGAGACTCCGTCTCAAAAAAAAAAAAGTTCCCAGGGACACTGTCTATATTCTCACTTTTCATATATGTGTGGAAAATATATATGTAAATAAAATTACACTTTCTTTACCATTTATCCATTGACAGACACAGGTTGGTTTCATATCTTGGCTATTATGAAAAATGCTTTAATGAATATGGGAATGCATATATCTCTTAGAGATACTGAATTCATTTCCTTTGGATATATACCCAGCAGAGAAATTGAGGGATCCTTTGGTAGTTCAATTTTTAATTTTTTGAGGAAGTTTCAAACTTCTGTAATGGCTGTACCAATTTATATTCCCACCAACAGTGTACAAGGGGTCCCCACCCTCACCAACACTTACCTCATAAGGCACTATTATGAACAATTATGTGCCAACAAATTGCAAAACCTAAAAGGAATGGACATATTCCTAGAAACATACAATCTACCAAGACTGAATTAACAAAAATAAAAGCCGGAACAGACCAATAATGAATAAGGAGTAATAAAAAAACCTTCCAGCAAAGAATAGCTCAGGACCAGAAGCCTTCACAGCTGAACTCCATTCAAGGAGGAGCTAATACCATTCCTTCTTAAACTCTTCCAGGAAAAAGTAGATGAAATACTTCCAAACTAATTTTATGAGGCCAGCATTACTCTTATACCAAAGCTAGACAAGGACACTATAGGAAAGGAAAACTAAAGGTCAAAATCTCCCATGAACATAGATGCAAAAATTTTCAATAAAATACCAGCAGACTGAATTCAGCAACATTTTACAACAGTTCTTTTTTCTTCATGATCTCACCCACACTTGCTATTGCCTGTCTTTTTGATAATAGCCTTCCTAACATGTCAGATTGAGCAGGGTTGGGCAGCCAGTCAATATTACTCTGAGTTCTCAAGAAATTGAATTTTAAAACATAAATCAAAAAAGTAGACTGACATCTATTTCTGGAGAATATTATAATTTGCAAAACTCATAAAATGAAACATCTTTTCTATGACTATTGCCTTAAGTCAGAGTGATAGTTTTTTCCTTAAATTTTCACGATGTCCTAAATTTAAAATTATATTTCCACATGTAGCTTGAGGTTACCGTATTGGACAACACAGATTGGAATGAATTACTTCCTAGATTCATTTACTTTGGAGATAAGATTTTCACAATGGTTTGGAATATTTTTTACAGTTCAATTTATGTAGTTGCTCTTCATAGCTATCCAAATCCCTTAATTGCATATCATTCAGGATAAATTTTCTCCAGTTGGTGAGAACATTCTTAATCCCTGCTAGTGAATCAGTGACACCAGAACATTATGGTATAAAATTAGTAAATGTGTAGAAAAAACTAAGATACTTCTAGACCTCACAGAAGTATCCACTTAGTGGCTTAGCACAAGAGTATGGACCTAAAGATCCTGATTAGTTTCTAAGTGCCACCATTATGTAATGTACAAATTATTTTCCTCCTGGGCCTTAGCTTTTCCATCTTTAAATGCCAAATTTCTGCCATAAAATGATTTTCTAAAAATATGAGAATAAAGGTATGAGAAAAGTGTGATAAATACTTTGAGTCATGGCTTAATAATAATAATTATAATAAGAAGAATTATCAGCAATATTTACCAAACTGCTCATATTTGAATAGAAAATATTATTTCTAGTACAAAAAATAAGGTTAGGCAATCAAGTGTTGTGCATATATAGGCACGTTGTAATGTCACCCGATATTAGAGATTAGTTGATTACAACTTCCTTATTGATGCATTTCTTTGCTCTGAGGTTTTGTGTTTTAACCAAAAATCATTTAACCATAGTATGTAAAATGAGAATATAAAATAAAGGAAACATTTATACTGAAGGTTTTTTTTCTTGGAATTATTTCTAGCCAAAAATGTATACCTCATATGAAAAACCTTTAGTTGCCAGAGTAATATTCATTGGAATTTAATCATTTACTTGAAGACAAAGGGGAATAAAACTTTTCCAGTAAAAAATAGTTTAAATTATTTTAATCAGAAACTAAATACCTTAAAACAGTGACTCTTTAAAATGTAAAAAATTAGACATGATTTAGTTTTAAGTCAGTCAACTCTACCATGGGAATAGCTTTATTGTGGAAAATTTAACTCAGAAAGACTGGAAAGTATAAAACACTTGTTTGAGAATAATTTTGTACTTTAGGACACATTTTTGGCTGTCACTACTTGCAGAAGAGGCATTACTGGAATTTAGTGAATAAAGACTAGGGAGACTGCTAAACATCCTGCAAAGCATAGCTTAGCTCAGCTCCTCACAACAAATAACTATGTGGCCCAAAATGTCAATAATACAACTGTTAAGAATCCCTGCATGAAATAAAATTGGTGTATTCTTTCATCTCCTTTTTTCACACCTGTCTATTTCTTGCTCTCGCTAGACTCTCAAGGTCTCTCTCTCTCTCTCTGTTTTTTTTCTCATTCTTTCTTTCTCCAGTGAAACCTCTTTAATGAAGGCTCATTCATATTGTTGATGGCAAAGGACAGCTCCTTGTAATTAGAAATGAGACACGAAATCCTCAGAAATAAGAAATTCAATCAAGAAAGAGTATAGTACAAGTTGCATCAGCAATATAAAAAAATAATTTGAATCAGCAATACTACTTTTAAAGATAATTTAAATTGCCATAGTGATGAATTGAAGCATACTAAGATAAAATATTTCATGAACTTTAAGAAAGTTAGTCTTAGAGGCTGTAAACAGGAATGCCAACAAGTGTCAGTGAGCAGAGGGGACTGTACATTTGTCTAACACTTTTAAGTGTTTCTTCATTTTTTTCAATTAACCTTTGTGAGAAAACTACTGGATTTCAATTGCTCACATTCCTTTGTCTTCTGTCATTTGTAACCAAAAGTATGAAAACTATAATTTCCTTTTTATTTATGATTTCATAAGATTATTCTCCTGACTTTAACATGTTATTTTTCATTTTGCAATGTGGTAAATGAATGAAATTCATCCAACATTTTGAAAGAAATTACACAAAGTATGATAATTTTGGCCATCACATTTTATAAATTTATTTTACTCATTTAAATTCTGTTCATTATCTTTTCCTTTGGACTTAATTGTTCTCTATAGAAAATTTCTCTTAAATTTGACTTCTCATTCATTTACTGCATTAATTAATTGAAGACAAGGGTATAAGAAAATGAGAAAGTCGCATTATTGAATTAATTGAATGAGGAAGTTGAGATATGAAATAATGAAAGGAAAGTGAAACGTATTTCCACAATCAATTGATCATTTTATAAAATTCCCTCCTAAAATTGTCTCATTCTTCTTATTAATTACTTTATTTACTTCTGCCACATATCCTTCCATTGTTTCTTGTCTGATCCAAACACAGGAGGTTGAATTTCTCTGTTCTCTACTTCTGCAGTATTCTCACAGGTGCAGGCAGAGCCATATCTACTGTCTTATTTCCTGAGCCTTATGACCTTTCACATAGGTTTGAGTAGAGGTCAGATTTCCACATTAGTAAAAGATGGGATTTGCAAGGAATTGATTGGCATTCAGAACTCACAGACTGAGCAGGGCATCCCAAAGTCAAACACCTACAAGGGCCAAGACAATTTTCCAGGAAGGGCAGGTGTAAGTATTCAGGTAAGTGGAAAGGACTGGAAAATGAACAGGTTAAGGCCCATGTGAAAAGAAACCAGCTGCTACTTAAAGCACAGTGTTAAATTAAATTTAGTCTAAAGCTGCCTCCTTACATATTTTGAGCTAATTCTAAAGGTTTCTCTATACATAGTGAACCGTAGCCTAAATGGTTGTGTAAACAGGCTGTTACTCTTGTAGCAATCACTGAGTTTCAGACAATCAAAGGTGGCCAACTGTTCAAAGCAAGTTCAAATAAGGCAAATGGCAAACTGTAACCAATCCAGCTGTTTCTGTTTCTCACTTCCATTTTTTGTATGTCACTTTCCTTTTCCTGTCCATAAATCTTCAACCACTCAGCACTGCCAGAGTCTCTCTGAATCTATTCTGGTTTGGGAGGCTACCTTATTCATGAATCGTTCTATGCTCAATTAAACTCTGTCAAATTTAATTTGTCTAAAGTTTTTCTTTTAACAGCAGTGTCACCAACTATTCTGTTCTTTCAAAAGAAGCCAGAAAACTTATTTTCATATAAAATTTCATTATTTTTAAATGTTTGCAAAATTTAAAATCTCTGTAGACCAAACAAAACTGGTCTTCATGCCAAATGAGTTTTGTAAACCTCCTGTTTCTAACTGTTGACCTAAGCAGACACATTTGTTTATGTTAGGCTGTGTAAACAGAGAAGCAGCTGTCAAAGTTCTGTTAAAATAGTATTAGTAGGTTCCTTCATTCTACCATAAAGACACATGCACATTTTTGTTCATCACAGCACTATGCACAATAGCAAAGTCATGAAATCAACACTAAGGCTCATCAACAATAGACTATGTAAAGAAAATGTGGTACATACATATCACGGAATACTACACAGCCATAAAAAAGAACAAGATCATGTCCTAAGCGAACTAATGCAGGAAGAGGAAACCAAATACCTGCGTTCTCACTTATGAGTGGGAGCTAAACATTGATACACATATTAGGTAGTATGCTTATTACCTGGGTGATAAAATAATCTGTAAACCAACCCTGTGGCATGCAATTCACCTAGTAACAAATAGTATGTGGTACATACATATCACGGAATACTACACAGCCATAAAAAAGAACAAGATCATGTCCTAAGCGAACTAATGCAGGAAGAGGAAACCAAATACCTGCGTTCTCACTTATGAGTGGGAGCTAAACATTGATACACATATTAGGTAGTATGCTTATTACCTGGGTGATAAAATAATCTGTAAACCAACCCTGTGGCATGCAAATTCACCTAGTAACATTTGAACCTAAAATAAAAGTTTAAAAAACAGTAGTAATAAAAATATAGTAGGTTCTTGGGAGAGAGAGCTTAAATGCTCCTACCGTCTCTACTTCTAAATATACTTTAATGTTAAGTGAAAACTTGTGGTTAAGAATTTTTAGGTTTTCACTGGAAAAGTTTTTCTCTTTCTAGATATCACATTCTTTTTTTTTCCTCTCTTAACTGTTCTTTCTGTCACATTTAGGAGACTTTGGAACCACCAAACTTGCTAATTTTGATTATATCTGTATTTAATTCATAGAAAACTTAATAAATGTTCATTTTTAAACAGTATTTCATATTTCAACATGTACATTAAATATGATGGAATTAGTATGATCTTAGGGTTTTCCAGAGAAATTGAACCAACTGGGTATGTGTAGGCGTAAGAGAATATTTATTATGGGAATTGGCTCATGAGATTATGGAGGCTGAGAAGTTCCATCAGATGCCATCTGTGAGCCGGAGAACCAGGAAAGCCAGTGGTGTAATTCAGTCCAAATCTGAGAACCTGAGAACCAGGGGAGCCAATAGTGTAAGTCTTGGTCCAAGGCTGAGGGCCCTGCAGGTTGTGGGTGTTTGGGGGACACACTGGTTTGAGTCCCGGACTCGAACCAGGAGCTTCAGTGTCCACAGGCAGGAGAAGATGCATGTTTCAGCTTCAGAAAAGAGATGAAAATTTGTCCTTTCTCCACCTTTTTGCTCTACTCAGGCCTTCAACAGATGAATAGATCTTCTTTACCCAATCTACTGATTCAAATGCCAATCTCTTCCTAAAACATCCTCACAAACATACCCAAAACTGTTTTACCACCTATCTAGAAATTCCTTAACCTACTCAGTTGACACACAAATTTAACCATTATAAGTATGTTTTAAATGAACACTTCTTATTTTTTAATTTTTCATTTGTACAAGTATATAGTAGGTATAAATGATTATGGAGTATTTGAGATATTTTGATACAGGCATGCAATGAATAATAATCACATCAGGAAAAATGGAGTATCCATCAACTCAAGCATTTACTCTTTTTTTGTGTTGCAAGTAATCCAATTATATTCTTTTAGCTATTTTAAAATGTACAGTAAATTACTGTTGACTGTAGTTACCCTGCTGTGCTATCAAATACTAGATCTTATTTATTCTAAGTATATTTTTGTAACCATTAACCATCTCCATTCTATTTTTTATATATACAATATATAATGGTATATATTTTTAGTGCATATTGCATTCTCTTTGCTCAATATTTCTGCTTTTCAGATTACTAAATTTTGTTTGCTTATTTGAAAGAACCATATTTTATTCAATTTTCTTCTTTAGGTTTATTTTGTTAGCATGCATTTCAATCCTGATGTACAAAATATTTGAGCTCTACAAAAGTTATCCAATTATTAAAACTTAATGAAGAGATGACATTTAAAAGGATATTATAATAACTATTTTACAAAACAAATAATGAATTTCTGTTTAATTCTTTGTATAAAGGATTCTGTAAATGTTACATTTGTTCAAAGCAAATATTCATCTCTCTGACATCTTTCTTTAGACTATAATTTTTAAAAGACACAGAAGTTGTCTTATATCACTGAATTATTCAGAATTTCTTGCCTATAGTGTACGTACTAATATCCAAAGTCATTCCAAAAGTATCTGATCATGTTCATTCACACACACACACACACACACACACACACACATTTTCCTACTCAATCTCAGGGCAGCATTGAAAATTTCCTGGAGCAAAGATCTATTTCTGTTTGCTTATTTTAGATAATTACTGTAGCTAAAAATTATTTTCAGGGGGCATCTATAGCTAAGCCGCATTAGCAGGGGGCAAAGTTGGTGGTTCTCTTTGAATATATTCTACTGTCAAGACTTAATTTCTTTTCTCAGGACTGACATTTAATATATGATTGACCTTTACCTCGAATTCTAAAATTGTCAATTTTCTTTGTGGTAGCCTCCAATAAGGAAATTAATCAAAAGTTTAGGAAAATAAATGAGTTATTTAACTTTTGTCACCCAGTTAGTACTAAAAGTGACATGAAAAAATTCTTTTTACTGCCAAAAATTACAGTATATGTGGTTTCTTTTTGTCTATTTTGGTATTCCTCTCACACTGCCCTAATTATCTTCAACTTCTTCAAAACACTGACTTTCATATTAGCCAGCTGAGTCACTCACATAAGCACTAATAGTATAGATTTAATTATCAGTTGAAAACTTTCTTTGGATAACCTACTCTGAAATCTCACTCTTTGACTGTGCCTCCTAATGTTTTATGTAAATTTCTACTGAGTCATATCTTTATCTCTACCAAAATGGAGATCTTTAGTTGTCCAAGTCCTACCATATTCCTCTCCATCTCCTAAATCTGGCATCACCTCTCTCTTTTTCAAGTCATTGTTTTACAACCAGTCATTCAATATAAACTTTACTATTATTTTGTCAATCTAATAGTCTTTTATAATTCCAGTTATGGAAATTTGTTTTATCTTATTATTATGGGCTTTCTGGAGGATGTCACAAAACAATGATGAATGAGCCTAGGTACTATTGACCTGTGCTTATCTTCAAACTCAGTTAAACTCTCATTTTTGCCTGACCATCCTGTTATTCATATTTTTTCATTGATTCTTTATCAATAGCTGTAACACTTTTGTAATATCAATTGGAAACAGTCCATTCATTCATTCCCATATCCTTTTTCTAAGCTCACTTAATATTTTCACTGTCTTAATCTTGTCCTCAACAAACCTGCAATCTTACTTAGATTAGCCCACCTTTTATTTCATTGCTTTTAATGATAGAAATGTCTTTCCTTTTACCAAAGGAAAAAGGCCAATATTTCATATCTTCTTTGAAGCCCCATCCCCTTGACTCTTCTCAGAACTTTGTTTCTTTAATTTTTCCTCTTTTTTTCTTCTCTTCTTTGGCAATCATATCAGTATACCAGAATTTTCTGGTGTGTTCAGCCACTGTATAAAAAAGAGGTAAAAGAAAACATAATACAGCAAAACATCCAATTTCTCACTATCTCTAACTATTTGCTTATATTCCTGAACTCTCCTAAAGCCAACTTGCTCAGAAGATTGGTCTGCACAGGCTATCTTCAATTGTTGTTTCCAGTTACACACTTTGATCCAACACAATCTTAACTATTTTCCTACTACTCCATTAAAAATGTTTCTGTTAAGGTTGCCAATATTTTTAATGATGTTTCTGTCCTCACCTTACTCAATTTCTTACCAAGTCAGCCACACTCATATTCTTAAAACTCTCTTCTCTCATGGCTTCCAAGACTCTAACATCCCCCACTTTTCCCCCTTACTTCACTGATTGTTGGGATTCACTCAGGATGGTGGCAGAAATATTAAAGGGAAACATTAGGGAAAGTTATAGGGAATAGTCACAAACCTTTTTTACATAGCTTGTAATAATTGAACAGGCTGAAGGCAGCTGGTCCCTACCTTAGAGCATTAGGTCATAGGGTAAATACTAGGGACAATAGAGGCTTCCCCAGTTAAGTCTGTTTACCCTACTTCCATTAACTAACCTTTGAGCCAGATGGCCCTCTTGAGTGGGAGGGGGGGCTGGGGGGCAGGTCGACCAGGGATGTTGCCGCCTAATGGTATTTACTCTAAACCACGGTACCTGAGCTTTATTCATTTGTAGAACTATTCTCTTAACCATGTTAATTATCCACAAGTGTGTTAACTCAGAGCATCCGTTGTTAATTGTATACTAAATAAATGCCTGGAGTGCAAACTGCTCAAGGCCAGCCACAGTGACAAACCTTTCTTGGTGGGCAGGCGGTTGGACACTCAGCAGGACTGGCAAAACAGAATATCTGTGTGTCAGTGTATGTTTTATTCATCCATCATTTGGGTCAGGGTCTGCGGGCAGACCCCCGCAGCTAATGCCTTCTTGTGAGGAGCAATACCTCAACTGATCCTCTTCAAGAGTCTCATTTGCTGTCTTCTTTACCTGCACTCTCCTTCTACAGATTGGAGCCATTTGTGGTTTAAACTTGGACCCTCTTCTCTATATAAACTGTTTCCATGAAGTTTTTTATCCCACTCAGAAATAGTAGTCAACTTATACATGTGGTTTTGAAACAAACACATTGCGTATTTGAGTAAACTAATATATGTCCTACAATCAACATGTCTTTTAAGTTTTTGGTCTTCACAATGCTTCAGTTTAAAAGACTCCAGGAAATAAAAACTGAAAATTTTAGTCACTAATTAAATAAATTGAATGGTTTCTTGGTCTCTTCATTGTAAGCATTCATAACAGAACTATGATTCAAAATGACAAGAAATAGAGTATGCATATATTCTTAAATAAGAACTCTACCCACCTGCCTAGTCTTCTATTTGAGTTCTTTATATATTTTTTTGTGGTCAGCAGAATGTACACATTCAGGACTTTTTGCAGTCTTCTTGAAAATGTCTACTTCAATAAAGTGTTTGAGTATTAAAAAACTAAATATTTCCTGCCAAGTAAAAGTGTAACAAACATTTCTGTAAGAGAAAGTTAAGGAAATGAAAGTCTACAAATTCTGATTTCTCTACAAGTCAAATGAAGCCATGAACCTTAAACATGACGTGCACTTTCTATTCTCTGTTTCTCACAAAAGAAAATTCTCATCCATCATTCCTTTGAATAAATAGCATTTCTTCCTAATTATGTCTTTTAGATATTTTTTGAATCCTGTTTGGTTGTGTTAAATTTTCGCACTTTTTCTTAGAACTTTCTAAATCTCTCTTTTGTATTTCTCATATCTTTAAATATCTGAGATCAATAATGGAAAATTCTTCAACTATATTATCTATTCACTCTCTTTTTACTTGTCTGTAAGTGTGTTTAACCCATTTATTTCATTTTTAATTTGAATGTTTATGTATAAATATATATAATTATATATAAATCAAATTTTATATGTATATATATACACACACACATATATACATATATATCTCCTTGGTTTGCTTTTTATAATCTTTTGTTGTTGACATATATTTTCAAGATTTTTGAAAATGTATTTTTAATATAGTTAATACAAAAATGTATTTTTTCAATATATTCCAACTTTGATGATTCAAATTTTTTGGAGCCTTTTTTAATCTAACAAGGCTAATTATTGTGTTAGCTAATGCTCACACATGGTGACTTGTTTTCTTTTATTGTGCAATATTTTAAAAAATCTGTGACCCACTAAGTTTTTTTTGGTACTTTAACTCTGAAAATTATTTGTGGCTTATTTATTATTTACTTGATTTCTTACATCTTAGAATATTTGCATTTGCTTTTGCCAATTCCCTGTGGGAAATATCAATCCAGGACAACTTAAAACAAAATTTTCAACTTTAGCTGTTTGTACCACTAAGGTACTTGAGTTCAATCATTAAAATTATTTGAGAACTTGTTTATGTAAATTGTGTAGGGAAATGTTTTTCTTATTTCTATTCTTGTTTAATATCAAAACAGGCAAGTTTCCTTCTTTATGAGCCATTCAGTTCTCAATTACGCTAACACTGAAGAACAGAAATGTTAGAGTGAATTACCTTACCAAAATATCATAATAATTAAGAGATAAATCCTAATTAATTAAGTGTTTTTTTTGGCACAAAGCTAGAGAAATTAAAAATAGACCAGAATGGCAGTTCTGTATAAATAGAACTTGATGCAGGAAACAAATGGCCTTTCAAATTACAGGGTAAATGATTTTCCACCTTCCATTGAATATGTAGTGATGGAAAATAGGTTACCTATAGAGAAAAAAATTAAATACCTACTTTACTCCATATAGAGATAAAAATTTTAATTGAGTATGATTTACTTACGAAAATGACCCATTTAATGTTTGAGAAACCATACACATCCATAGTGCCGTGTAATTCAGAAGATCATTTGTAATTGCATGAAATTAACTCACAACAAAGGAAAATAGGTTGAGGCTTAAATGGTGTATATACATTTTACATTTCTCAAAAATTCCAATTACCAGCTATAGTATCAAAAGTATGCTCAAATAGCTTAAGCTTCCAACTACTTTTTCCCCATTTCGTGGTTGTTACTGGTAAGCGCTCCTAGGTTCTTGTCTGTGCCTGTCTGACTGCTCAAATGCAAAATTTCTGATAGTACAGCAGCAGTGATTGAGCAGATGACTAAAAGGAGTATTCAGAAATACTTGCAGTGGCGTTTCAGCTCTGAAATTGATTTCTAAGTTAGATATAAAGGCATATACTGGTGGAAACTTTGTGAAGTCAGCCTCTGTTTGAGACTAATTTCTCAGTATAAAATGTATATTATTGGATTTTACTTGAATTTTTTAAACCAAAAGAAGAAGGCTTTTTTTTTTTTTTTTTTTTTTTTTGAGGGAGTTTCGCTCTTATCCCCCAGGCTGAAGTGCAATGGCGCGATCTCGGCTCACTGCAATTTCTGCCTCCTGGATTCAAGAGATTCTTTTGTCTCAGCCTCCGGAGTAGCTGGGATTACAGGTGCCCACCACACCTGACTAATTTTTTTTTTTTTTTTTTTTTTTTTTTTTTTTTTTTTTTTTTTTTAGAGACAGGGTTTTGCCACGTTGGCCAGGCTTGTATCCAACTTCTGACCTCAGGTGATCCTCCCACCTCGGCCTCCCAAAGTGCTGTGATTACAGGCATGAACCACCACGCCCGGCCACTTCATACCTGAAATTCTAAATTTCCTCTGCTTTCCTTGAAAAATAATTATGCTTTAATAAGAACATAACTTGTTCTAAGCAATCATAGTTTGTCTTCATCTATCTTTTTTAAGCCTGTTTCTGCATCTTCCAAGGGGTAGTTCCAACTGCTATGTTAAATCTGGAAGTGCGAGCACCAGCTTTCCCAAGAGCCATGCCAAGGCACACACCACCTCAAGAATTCTCCTCGAGAATATTTCACTTCAAGTGATTCAAGCCGGGTACCCCAGTGTGGACTGTCATTCCACCTTCTCTTTCAACCTGTAATCAAGCTTCAACTCCCACTGATGCTAGTTCCTTTATCTTAGCATCCTTCTACATCTGTCTTTTTCCTTCCATTCCTATGGCTTCTAGCCTAGGACAGGCCCTCTTAACCATTTCACTGGACTATTGCAATAACTTGTGGGCAGGCTTTCACCTTTAATTTGGATCCAATCCTCCATACTCCAACCATCCGTTCTTCACATCACTGATAAGATTGCCTTCTTCGATATTAAGGAGATCATTCTCTTCTCCCTTAAAAAATTAAGTCCAAACAGCTTATTATTGTAATTAAGGCTTTCACTAAATCATAACTTACATGTTTAAAGATTCTGTTTATATTACTTTTAAATACTTTATATTTAATGATAGTTCATCTTGGCAAACATATTCCAAAGAGCAAACAGATAGAAATGTATAAATCACCTTCTATTTTTTATTTTCATTTTTCAACTTAACTCTTCAAAAAATAATTGATGAACTCCAATATTAACTGAATCTATTTGTATATTTCCTCATTAGTTAAATGAAATATTTGTAGTGCCTATTAATGGCAGTTAAAGTACAGTTTATGTCAGTGGAAAACAAAAAAATAAGTATGCTCAATTTAAATAATTTTTAATATCAAGACTATAATTCACCAAGTTGAACATTAATCATGAAAATTTTAAAAAAATATATGTAAGGCAAATTTTGAATCTTGCTATTGACCATCTTGCTTCTAAAAACATATTATGGAAAGAATATTAGGCATAATAAACTTATTTTTAAGGTAATGAATGGGAAATTATATTTTCCAATTGCTTTCCTATGGAAGGTGACTACAGAGTATTCCAGTCATACCGGCAACATCCTGAGCTTATTCTGTTTTTAACAGGAATAACAACATTTTAATATATATTGAGAAATTCCTTTTCTAACACAAATATGCAGAGTAAATGCTGTTTTTTTAATCTCTCTTTTGCAGTCTCTTTTGGCCAAGAAAACATGCTCACTCTCAAAAGTATAGATATGTTTTCATGTCACTGACCAAAATAATTGGAAGAGAAGCAACTGAATTTTTTCAAAATCCTACACAATTTAAAAAAATAGCTCCACTTGCGGACAAGTTGGTGACTGCAAAATCGTCAGTTTTCTAATTTCCACCAAGTTATGGACCTCTCCCTGGAATCAGGCACTTCAGTGAAACTTTACTAGGTTATAGTGTGGCAGCTGTATGGATCATGTAGGTTTGCATTCTGAACATTTATCCAAACTTATAAAGTCTTTTCATGCCTCATGCATAAACAACAGATTGTTCTCTCCTGTTGTCAGTGTTTTCCAATGCGCTAGTGTTAGTCTCAGTGGTGCTGCTATCTCACTTTACCAAAGACCAAGACTACTATAAATTATTTACAAATGAATTTATTTGGACATAGATTGGAGAAATTTTACCTGAAGAATGTGCCTTCTCTCTCTGCCTCTCTCTCTTTCTCTCTCAACATTCCAGTAAAACAGTTTTCCAGAAAAAAACACTGGACCAATTTGGCTTAAGTAGTTTTTCTCTGTAGCAATCATAAATATTATCATTGCTCCCATTCATTTCACTAATCATATATTCACAGGTATGAAATACTGATGTCTATACATTGATCTCTAAGGAAACTTTATACTTGTGTTGAATAAAGCTAACTCATAGACAAACTGACCATGGTAGTGGATCATGTATTATTATTCTAAAAAAGGAAAAATATAGAGGAATTTAGAATCTGAATATGGACCCTCAGTATGGAATAAACAGCTAGCATATTGCATAATCTTTCTATTGAAGATGCAAGTTAGAAAGAGACCGTCTCATTTTCCTGCTCTCTCTATCAGTAGCAGGGCGTATGTTATTTTTATATCAATCAACACATATGTGCTTTTGGGGAGTGATTAGTTATGATGAGTTTCTCCTACTCTTCCTGAGAAATCAAATGAATTTCAATTGCAAACTCTTTGTAGGCAAAATTAGTATCTATCTTGATTGACCTTGTATCATCAAGGATGATCACCATCACTTTGACACATTCTAGATATCAATAATTATTTTTGAAAGAATTAATTGATAGACAAGTTTTGAGCCAGCAAATAGATTTTCAAAGTGCCATCACCTACTATGTTTAACGGACTCACATACAATGAATTAAAAATAATATAATGAGATACACAACAATTATTTTCAATGTCAGCAGCAAATAGAAGGCTTGCAGTGTTAATTTACTTTACTTCCTCTATCACCACTGCTGCTCCATATAAGACCACATCTCCCAACCCCACCAAAATCATTATACAACCTAACTAAAAGTGGTGTAAACAAAACATTTTGACAAGTCTCCTAACTCTCCATTCCAATTAGACATCTTATTATAAAAAAAGGGAGGTGTAGAAAGGCAAGTGAATAAAGTGAATAGCTTCTCTTCCTGAATGATATATTTAAACACAGGCTGAGCTCTCAGGCGCCGTGTCCCTTTCATATGCTTCTCCAGGTGAAGACCTGGTGAAGTTTGGAGAAACTAGCTCCTGTGCACCTGCAGAATTCCATGCCTAGAATGAGGTCTTCTTTGAACTTAGTCCTATATAATTCAAGGGATAACTATTTATCTTCACTGTAATTCTATCTATATGCACTATTAAAAACAACAACTGTTATCACTGCAAAAAAAAAACTTCTTGGGAATAAGTTCTAGTGTTTTATAACATTGTAGGGTGACTACAGTTAACAACAGTTTATTGTATATTCAAATAGCTAGAAGAGGGGATTTTGAGTGTTACCAACACAAAAAAATGATAAATGTTTGAGGTGATAGATTTGCTAATTACTCTGATTTGATCATTACGTTGTACATATGTAACAAAATATTACACTATGCCCCATAAATATGTATCAATTAAACTAATAATATACGTAAGTAAATTTTAAAAATAAAACCCCTGAGAGAAGTATATTTAAATCATTATCTCATATCATACTATTCACCTGTTAAAAGAATTATGTCCTTCTCTGCCATGGTACCATTCCTAGAGTATAAGCCCAATGAAGCTAGGGCTGTGGCTTTATTATCTTTGTATTTCCAAGTAACATGCAATACTATAGATTATATTAAATGCTTCTTTAATAAATGTCTGAGTGAAATTCTATATTACATTTAAAACCTCATGAAATATCTATTTCAATAATAACCTGGGAATGTCAGTGTGTACTACATGGAATTATACTAAGTGCTTTACAATTACCGTCTTGAGGCTTCAAACAACTTTACAAAAAAGCTATGATGATCATTACTTTATCATTAATTGAAGCTCAGAAAAAAATAAGTTGCCCAGGTCATATCTTTAAAGGCAGATTCAGTATTCAAGCTGGCTCATGTTTGATTTCCATTTACATCATGTCTACTCAGATAGTCTTCAGTGAAATACCCAGATAAAATTTGTTTTCAGTAAACTGTCTATTGGTATATTATGTGCATATGCACACATGCAAAATTAGGTTACACATATGCTCATGATATACATATGTATATATGAGTTATATACATATATTTATAATGTATATAGTAAATTTTCACTAAAGTGCCTGTATATATATATTGCAATTATATATATAAACTTAACTATATCATGTCTATGTAATTGTGATTTTATATACATAATTTTCATTTTATTTTCTCATAAAAATGTTGAAACAGTGAATGAAATTGCCTGAAAATGACTCTAGGAGCCCATTCTAGGTTGACTAGATGACATGCTAGTTGGGACCTGCTCCTTCCCTCAGTGGCAGGGAACGTACCCAAGCTCAGCTTCTCAAAAAAATAAAACTGTCTCCTTCTAGCAGGGATGACCACAACATTCTATAGACCCCAACAACATCTGTAAGAGGTGAGCAACTGGCATTTCCATTAGTCTCTTGTAAACAGCTGACACCACACTTCCAGGCTTTCTGGCAGCTTGTTTATTCTTCAAATGACAAAAAAAATTTCCTATACTTTTCCCTATACGATGGGAAACTCATGGGAAAAATGGCCTCTTCACTAAAATGGAATTTTAACCTTATTTAGTAGATGTTCTGGTATGTGTCATGATGGATGATGAGATCCTGGGGTGTGTGAATCTTTATCTTGCTTACCTTGCCTTGAGAGATACCCGTTCCCAGATGACACCGATAGCTTAACTCATGTAATATGATGTTGTGATGTCATTATGGACTCTAGAATGCACCTGGTGCAAAATAGAGAAATGATTTCAATAGGGAAACAATTTCAAACAATAGAGAACTGATCACGAAGGCATATATTGACCAAGATTGTAAGATGATAGAACCAGACAAAAGTCCCTTATCTTTCTTTCCTCTTTATAATTAATCTTGCCTTCAAAAAGACAAGCTGAAATCCAGGCTTACCTTTCTAAAGGTTTTCCATCATCTGTGAAAGGCTGAAGTCATAAGGAGAAGAAAAAGGGAGAAACAAACAAAAGAAAGAAGGAAAATAAACAACTGTTCGAGTTCCCTAATAAACATAGTTCACTGCTGTTGTCAGTGAAAATTCAATGACCATTAACATCACCACTCTAAAAGAAAAATTACCCTCACTTCATCTATCAAATCAATATCTGCACAGAAGAGGGAAAGTATCATAGATTTTAAACAGCAAGCAGCTCAATAAATTGTCTGAGGTTCCCAAGCCACATTAATCAGATGCTTGTTTTAACTGATATTACTGCAACACATTCAGAAATTGCATTGGATATTAACCCCTGTTATTTCAAAGATATTTTTAAAACCCCTATTATTTAAAATAATAAACTTATGTTTATAATTATATGGAGGTGAGGGACAAGGGTGGTGAAGCATTTACATATCTCCTTAGTAACATTCAAAGTTTATTTAAAATTTTATGATGCATGAATTAAATAAATATATTAATTCTGAGAAAAACATTGATTTATGTACTATCATTAAAATGATGCAGCATTGTTTTGTCATATTGGATACTTCATTTTTCTTTCTTACTGATTCCAGTTCTGTTATTGGCACATTGTATATGTTTCTTGGACTTCAGTCATTGAATGCCTTTAAGATATTTAAAAGGAAAATCTCCTTTTTACTTATTTGTTTTTTCCTTCATAAGTTATCAACATTTTCCCAGAATATACTGATGGGGGCCTCACCTGGTATGAAGCTATCATTAACTAAACCACCTGGGCCCCCTGCCTGATGAAGTGGGGTAATTTGAACCCACTATGTCCTCCCATATACCTTCAAGTGCAAAGCCTGGATTTCTCTGAAGTGAGATGTTTGCTCACACAGTGCCTTTCTTGAATGTACTTTGTTCTCCGCTGGACTCACCTTTGCTAGGGGCCAGTTATATTCCTGCTGAGTATGGGTATACATAGAAAGGGCAAGTAAGGAATGTTTTGCCTTCTGGAAATAGATTATTAATTGTGAACAAGGAGATGAGACACAAGCACTAAAATGCTGAATGAAATTTATAAGACATTAGGCATTTGCAAGGAGAAAGTTGTTTTGCAGACAAAGATATGATGTGACTATTTAGAGCTAGATGGGCCACTTTATTAAACAGTTTCCTTGGTGCTCAGGGAGGGAAAGATAATCTTTCCAGAGATTCTGTGAGTTGGATTTCTGTTGGTTCTTCTAATTTACTCAAGAACCTGAGTGACCCAGGCCATTGATGAGGAAGTAAGTGCTAATGACTGATAATGGGCATCAAGAATTGGGCCAGGTGAAAAAGTAGCATAGACATTGTCCTCTCTTTCTTGAAGCTTTGAGTATGACAGAGAGAACAAGTCATTTAACTAACGTAAAAAGAAATAAGAAAATATTATAAGTGAGTTAAAACTCATGTATCCCGGTTTCTAAAGAGGGAGCTTTGATGCGACTGGTAATTGGAATGATGGTGACTGGTATTAAATTTTTGTTGTTATGTTTTATTGTTCTTATTGTTTGTGATTTTACAATATGCTGAGATTGGCCTCTCAATTGGAAATAAATGTTCTACAAAGGCCCAGTAACATTAGATTACATAAGCAATTGAGAGGAAGCATGGAAAGGGAAATAGAAATGTAATAAAAGCAGAATACAATGGCACATGCAACATTTCATGACAAACAGAAGGTGTCTTAAAAAAATTATGTTTCCAGGCAAGGTGGCTCATGCCTGTAATCCCAGCACTTTGGGAGGCCCAGGCGGGCGGATCACGAGGTCAAGAGATTGAGACCAGCATGGCCGACATGGTAAAACCCCGTCTCTACTAAAAATACAAAAATTAGCTGGGCGTGGTAGCGGACGCCTGTAATCCCAGCTACTTGGGAGGCTGAGGCAGGAGAATCACTTGAACCCGGGAGGCGGAGGTTGCAGTGAGCTGAGATCGCTCCACTGCACTCCAGCCTGGGAGACAGAGGGAGACTCTGACTCAAATATATATACATATATATATATATGTATATATATATACACATATATATGTATATATATATATACACACACACATATATATACACACACACACACACATATATATATATACACATATATATATATGTTTAAACTTATACCTCACATGTAAATAAGAATTACCCAAAGTAAGGTAGTAGGAATGAGTGTCTCACTCAAAAGATGTGTGAAGGTCCAGAAATGAGAGGAAGTTCTAAATATTAGAGGAACTAAGAGTATCTCACTTCCTTATGGTCAAATTTATTGTATATTGAAAGGGAGGGAAAGTAATGGTAGATTATGTCAGAGATATAGTTAGGGCTAAGTCATCATGATAGGATAAGTTTAGAATTTTTCTTGAAAATTATGAGAAGCCACTGAATTTGAGAAATAAAGGAAGTGTTAAGATTCGTGTTTTAGAAAGATTACTGTAGCTGGGCCAGGGGCGGCGGCTCAGGCCTGTAATCCCAGCACTCTCGGAGGCCGAGGCGGGCGGATCACAAGGTCAGGAGATGGGGACCATCCTGGCCAACACGGTGAAACCTTGTCTCTACTAAAAAAAAAAACATACGAAAAATTAGCCGGGCGTGGTGGCAGGCGCCTGTAGTCCCAGCTACTCTGGAGGCTGAGGCAGGAGAATGGCGTGAACCCGGGAGGCGGAGATTGTAGTGCCACTGCACTCCAGCCTGGGCGACAGAGCGAGACTCTGTCTCAAAAAAACAAAAAAACAAAAAAAAAACACGAAAGAAAGATTACTGTAGCTGCAGTATGGAAGTTTTGAAGTAATGAAAATAGTGGTATCCATCAGGACCCATCACAAAATCAAAATTTGTTCTAGATATTACAACCAGAGAATATACAGTTGACCCTTGAACAATGTGTGGGATTGAACTGAGTGCTGCCATAAATATGCAGATTTTTTTCAACCAAATGCCAATCAAAAATACATTATTTTCTTGATGTGAAACCTATGTATATGGAGGACTGACTTTTAACATATGTGAGTTTGGCAGGGCCAACTGTGGGATTTCAGTAGTGCAGGTTTTGGTATGTGCAGGGGTCTTGGAACCAATCCCCTGTGTAGACTGAGGGACAACTGTAATTTTAAGGGCTGGGTTAAATAGGGGTTGAAAGATTGAAAAAGCCAAAAAGAGAAGATCAAGATAACACAGACCCCCGGTAACTTCGGTATGTAGCTACCAGGCCTTGGGCTGGGAAATCATATTTTGAAGTTATCAATATGTAGAGGATTGAAAAAGAGCATCAAAGTCTTTTTACCTGAGGTTTCTAAGGAGTGGATGCCACCCAGTTGGTACTGATACCTTGGAGCTTTGAGAAGAGGTCTTGCAAAGCTATGACTCAGACTTTGGGGAAAGCAGCACAGCCCTTATTGTGTCTATACCTCTGAGGAGGTCACAAAGAAGCTGATTCTGGAGGGACAAATGGAAGTACCAGCCAATGTCAGGGTAAAGAGCTGTCAACAGTGACAATGTCAGGAGCAGCAGATAAACAGCAAAGAGCAAGTTCTTCCTAGTTTCCTCCTGTCTTCCTGCTATACCCCTATTAGCAGAATCTAATAGGAAGACAGCTGACAATACAGAAATACAGTTTTTGGAATCCTACCTTCATCGTTAGAAAGTAGAACTTAGAAGGGCCTATCAGGATCTGAGAGACAATGGCATCTTAACTGGCACAGCCCACTCTTGTGGCTATTCAGCACCATCCTATCCTTTTACACGTATTTGGATTTTCATACAATGATTCCAGCCCTATGTTTTCACTTTACAAAATGAAATCATACTCAAATCGAATCCTTTCACAAAAAAAAGTGGAAATATAAAGTCTCCAGAGTCATTATTTCCCCTTCTGTATGGTACTCATAGTATTCATCTCTGGATGATCTTAATTATTTCTCTAATTCAGTCACTGTTTCATCTGAATATTCCATAACCTGAAAAAATGGTATTGCAGCTAATAGGCTTTCAAGTAATTCTCATAAAAAATATGTTTGCTAGGAACAGAAACATAATAACGAGGATGAAGATAATTTAAAATGATTCCAGAAATGCTTAGGATTTGCTTAGACATAGTGGGTAAAATAGGAGATGTTAAGAATGATGCTCAAGTTTGCTTTGGGCAACTGGTGATTGTTATTGCCATTAACTAAAACAGATAACACCAGAGGAGGAGTAAGTTTGGCAGGGAAAATGAACTCAACTTTTAAAATGATTTTTTAAATGTACTTTAAATTAACATGTAAAGTGGATTATTCAGTTTATAGTTATATGAAATGTGACCAATGCAAAAGGCTGTGTAACTACTGCGTTGAAGATATAAAATATTTCCATAACTTCCAAAATTCTCTCATTCTACTCTTTTGTAGTCAAATACTCCCTTTACTCCTAGCCCCTGAGCAAAAATTGATGTTTTTGTCCCTAGAGTTCTGCTTTTTCCACAGTGTCATGTAAATGGAATCATACACTTAATATAACTATTGTTAGTATACTGAAAGCCCAATATCAGGGTGAAGGGCTACTGATAGATTTACACTGACAGAAACAGCAGACAATAATTATTATAGAGTTATGCAATCATCACCACAATCCAGTTTTAGTACTTTATATCTCCTCAAAAAATTTTCTCAATCTCATTTGCATCAATTTCTTGTAGCACCCTGCAGCTCCAGACAACCACTGATTTGTCTTCTGTTTCCATAAATCAATCTCTTCTGAGCATTTCATATAAATAAAATTATACAATATAGGGTCTTTGCATCTGGCTTCTTTTACTTAGCATGTTTTTTTTGCAGATGAACCATGCTGTAAGATATATCAGAATTTTGTTTATTTTTATTGCTGAATAATATTCTATTATACGAATACAGAACATTTTGTTTATTTACCAGTTGATGGACATAGTGCTTATTTCTAGTTTTTGTCTACTATAAATAATACTGCTGCAAATATTCATTAACAAGTTTTTGCATGAACATATGTTTTTATTTCTTTGGGGTAGATTCTTAGGAGATTAATTATTGGGTTTCATGGCAAGCTTATACTTAACATTTTAAGAAAATGACAATTTTTTTTTTATGTGGTTGTAAAATTTACATTCCCATAAGAAAGGTATGAGAGTTTCTGTTTCTCCACACCTTGGCTGACATTTGGTGTTGTCATGTTTTGTTAAAGCCATTTTTGGTGCACAGTGTTACCACATTGTGGTCTTAATTTGCATTCTCATAATAATATTGAGCAACTTTCCATATCCTTATTTAGATCAGTATACGTTTTTTGATAATGTATCTCTTCAAATATTTTGTCCATTTTTGTTTGCTTTCTAATTTTGAGTTTCAGAGTTCATAATATATTTTGGATACAAGTTGTTTGTCAGATATATGATTTGCAAATATTTTCTCCAAGTCTAGCTTGTCTTTTTATTCTGTTACAGGTCACATGTTCAGATTAGAATCAGAAAAATACAGATTCTACACATATATTTCTAGATATATAGTTAAGTATTTTATTTCTTGAACGTTATTTTAAATGCTACTGCCTTCTGAAATTTTGAATTTCAATTGTTAATTTACACAAATTACAAATAGATTTAAATCTTGTATTTTGACCTTTTGTTTTCTGGCTAAACTTGGTTATTCGTTCTGGGAAATTTTTGTAGATTTATTTATTTTTTATTTATTTATTTTTTTTTACAGAGACAATCATGTTTTCTTAATAGACATGTCTTTTGTTTTTCTTGCCTGATTGCACTGGCTAGGACATGCAATGCAGTGTTGAATAGAAGCGTGCAAAACAGACTCACTAGTCTTTTTTTTATCTTAGATGGAAAACATTCTGTATTTTACCACTGAGTATCATGTTCACATGAGGTTTATTCATAGTAGTTATTTATCAAGTTAAGGAAGTTCCTTTCTATTCATACTAGGTGGAGAGGTGTTTGTTTGTTTAAATCAGAGATGGATGCTGGGTTTTGTTAAAAGCTTTTTCTAAATCTATTTATATAATTATGTGGTGAGCTACATTTTTTTGCATTTATAGGATAATTCTTATTTAGTCATTACGTATTATCCTTTTTTGTATATTACTCACATTCAATTTGTTAATATGGAACTTGAGTCTTCATTAGGGGGATTTTACCTATAAATTGAATTCCTATAATTGACACAGGACTATTCAGGTAAGGTTATCCTTTTTTTGAGTATGTCTTGATAGTCTGTGTCTTTCTTGAAACTTATTCATCTAGGTTGTCAAAATTTGTAGCAATAGAGTTGTTTATAGAACTATCTTATTATTGTTTTCATGTGTGAAGGATCTGTAGTAATAATCCCTTTTCATTCCTAATATAGGTAATTTGTATCTTCTCTCTTTTTTTCTTGGTCATTCTGGCTGGGAGTTCATCGAAGAACATTATCAAGAACAATCTTTAGGATTCATTGATTTTTTTTCCTATTGTTTTTCTGCAGTCAACTTAACTATTATCTGCTCTTATACTTATTACTTTCTAACTTTTTCTTCCTTTGGGTTCAATTGCTTTCTTTTCTCTAGTTTCATTATGTGGAGGCCTGGATTTATAATTTAAGAACCTTTTATTCCTTTCTATGATAAGTGTTTTAAAATAAGTGTTCCTTTCTATAAGTGTTTCTGTAACCATGCTACAAGTTTCCCTTAAAACATGACAGTCTACAAATTTTGATTCCTACTAGATTTGGTTATTGTGTCTTTAGTTTTATTTGGGAAAAATATTTTCTAACTTCCTGGGTCTTATGGGTTATTTAGATGTATGTGATTTTACATACATCTAATTACATGAATTACATACATATTAGATGTATGTAATTTCCAATATGTGTGTAGCTTCCAAATACATTTCTGTTATTAAATTCTAGTTTAACTCATTAGTCCCAAACCATAGTTTGTATGATTTTAATACTTTTAAATTTATATTAAGGCTTGTCTTATAGCTTATGCTATGATCAATCTTGGTGAATATTTTATGTACAATTGAAAGTGTTTTCACACTGGGGCCTATCAAAGGGTGGAGGGTAAGAAGAGGGAGAGGATTAGAAAAAACAACTAATGGGTACTAGGCTTAATACTTGGGTGATGAAATAATATGTACAACAAACCCCTATGACATAAGTTTACCTATATAACAAACTGGCACATGTACCCCTGAACTTAAAAGCTAAATTTAAAAAAATAACATAAAGAAAGTGTTTTTTCTTTCACTTATTTGGAATAGGTCTATGTATAAAACAATTAGGTTAATTAGGTTGATGTTTAGTTCTTCTATAATCTTGTTTATTTTTTGTTAACTTGATTGACTATGAAGAAAGAAATGGTGAAATCTTCATTTATAATTGTAGATTACCCACATTTAATTTCAGCTTCATCAGTTTTGCTTTATATCTCTTGAACTTCTCTATACAAACATTTAGTATTATGTCTTCTTGATGAATTTACCTCTGTCATTACGTAATCTCTGTCTGTATTCCTGATGATTTTCTTTGTTCTAAAATTTAATTTGTCTACTGCTGATATAGCTACTACAGACTTCTTTTGATTAATGTTTGCATAATTTTTTTCTTTTTTCTTTTTTAGCAAGTTAGGATTTTTATTTTATTTTACTTCAAGTTCTGGGGTACATGGGCAGAATGTGCAGGTTTGTTACATAGGTATACACGTGACATGGTGGTTTGCTGCACCCATTAACCCGTCATCTACATTAGGTATTTTTCCTAATGCTATCCCTCCCCTAGCCCCCCACCCCCTGACAGGCCCCGGTGTGATGTTCCCTTCTCATTGATCAATTCCCACTTATGAGTGAGAACATGTGGTGTTTGGTTTTCTGTTCTTGTGTTAATTTGCTGAGAATGATGGTTTACAGCCTTATCAATGTTCCTGCAAAGGACATGAACTCATCCTTTTTTATGGCTACATAGTATTCCATGGTGTATATATGCCACATTTGCTTTATCCAGTCTATCACTGATGGGCATTTGGGTTGGTTCCAAGTCTTTGCTATTGTGAACAGTGCTGCAATAAACATACATGTGCATGTGTCTTTATAGCAGAATGATTTATAATCCTTTCGGTATATATCCAGTAATGGGATTGCTGGGTCAAATGGTATTTCTAATTCTAGATCCTTAGGAATCACCACACTGTCTTCCACAGTGGTTGAACTAATTTACATTCCCAGCAACAGTGTAAAATCATTCCTATTTCTCCACATGCTCTCCAGCATCTGTTGTTTCCTGACCTTTTAATGACTGCCATTCTAACTGGCATGAGATGGTATCTCATTGTGGTTTTCATTTGCATTTCTCTAATGACCAGTGATGATGAGCTTTTTTTCATATGTTTGTTGGCTGCATGGATTCTTCTTTTGAGAAGTGTCTGTTTATAACCTTCACTCACTTTTTGATGGGTTTTTTTTGTTTTTTTCTTGTAAATTTGTTTAAATTCTTTGTGGATTCTGGATATTAGCCCCTTATCAGATGGATAGATTGCAAAATTTTTTTCCCATTCTGTAGGTTTCCTGTTCACTCTGACAACAGTTTCTTTTGCTGTACAGAAGCTCTTTAGTTTAATCAGATCCGATTTGTGAATTTTGGCTTTCGTTGCCATTGCTTTCGGTGTTTTAGTCATAAAGTCTTTTCCCATGCCTATGTCCTGAATGGTATTGCCTAGGTTTTCTTCTAGGGTTTTTATGATTTTTAGGTATTACGTTTAAGTCTTTAATCCATCTTGAGTTAATTTTCATATAAGGTATAAGGAAGGGATCCAGTTTCAGCTTTCTGCATATGGCTAGTCAGTATTCCCAACACCATTTATTAAATAGGGAATCCTTTCCTCATTGCTTGTTTTTGTCATTTTCATGCGTGTCCGTGTGAAGAGAACACCAAACAGGCTTTGTGTGAGCAACATGGCTGTTTATTTCACCTGGGTGCAGGCGGGCTGAGTCCGAAAAGAAAGTCAGAGAAGGGAGATAAGGGTGGGGCCGTTTTATAGGATTTGGGCAGGTAAAGGAAAATTACAGTCAAAGGGGGTTTGTTCTCTGGCGGGCAGGAGTGGGGGTCGCAAGGTACTCAGTGGGGGTGTTTTTGAGACAGGATGAGCCAGGAAAAGGACTTTCACAAGGTAATGTCATCAGTTAAGGCAAGGACCAGCCATTTACACTTCTTTTGTGGTGGAATGTCATCAGTTAAGGTGAGGCAGGGCATATTCACTTCTTTTGTGATTCTTCAGTTACTTCAGGCCATCTGGGCATATACCTGCAAGTCACAGGGGATGCGATGGCTTGGCTTGGGCTCAGAGGCCTGACATTCCTGCCTTCTTATATTAATAAGAAAAATAAAACAAAATAGTGTTGAAGTGTTGGGGCGGCGAAAATTTTTGGGGGGTGGTATGGAGAGAGAATGGGCGATGTTTCTCAGGGCTGCTTCAAGCGGGATTAGGGGCGGCGTGGGAACCTAGAGTGGGAGAGATTAAGCTGAAGGGAGGTCTTGTGGTAAGGGGTGATATTGTGGGGATGTTAGAAGAAACATTTGTCTTATAGAATGATTGGTGATGGCCTGGATACGGTTTTGGATGAATTGAGAAACTAAATGGAATAACAGAAGGAGAAAAACAGGTATAAAAGGTCTAAGAATTGGGACGACTCAGGATATCTGATTAGAGAGTGCTTAAGGAGATTCGGCATAGTCCTGCCAGCAAAGATTATTTATTTATTTCAAGAGTTAAGAGTGGCAGTTTGGGGATAGCACCAGGAGATATCAGCTGTGATGGCTTGGAAAAACAGTGTAAACTGGCAGTGTAAACAAGAGTAGGGCATGTATGAGTAGTTGAGAACGGTGAATAGGAGTATGACTAGACAGAAGATAGCAGGGAAGACAAGTTTTTTGGGGCACAGTCTAAGTTGGTCTGGTGTCTGGAATGAGACTGGGGCCTAATAAAAAGGAGCGTCTATATAGGAGCTTAAATGGGCTGTACCCTGTAGCATTCCGAGGACAGGCCTGAATTCTGAGAAGGGAAAGTGGTAAAACTATTGTCCAATCCTTTTTGGTGGCTGAGCTTGGTGAGGTGTGTTTTTAAAAGACCTTTAGTCCATTCTACTTTTCTTGAAGATGGAGGACCGTAAGGGATATAAAGGTTTCACTGAATACTAAGAGCCTGAAAAACTGCTTGGCTGATTTGACTAATAAAGGCTTGTCTGTTATCAGACTGTATTGAGGTGGGAAGGCCAAACTGAGGAATTATGTCTGACAGAAGGGACGAAATGACTGCAGTGGCCTTCTCAGACCCTGTAGGAAAAGCCTCTACCTATCCAGTGAAAGTATCTACCTAGACTAAGAGGTATTTTAGTTATCTGACTCAGGGCATGTTGAGTAAAGCTAATTTGCCAGTCCTGGGTGGGGCAAATCCTCAAGCTTGATGTGTAGGGAAGGGAGGGGGCCTGAATAATCCCTGAGGAGTATTAGAATAGCAGATGGAACACTGAGAAGTTATTTCCTTGAGGATAGATTTGCATGATGGGAAGGAAATGAGAGGTTCTAAGAGGCGGGCTGGCTTGTACTATAGTATAACCTGCCTTTGCTGGTGTGTGGCGATTAGGCCTGGTGGAACCGCCATCAATAAATCAAGCGTGATCAGGGTGAGGAACAGGAAAGAAGGAAATGTGGGGAAATGGGGTGAATGTCAGGTGGATCAGAGAGATACAGTCATGGGGGTCAGGTGTGGTTTCAGGAATAATGTGGGAGGCCGGATTGAAGTCTGGGCCAGGGACAACAGTAATTGTGGGAGACTCAACAAAGAGTGTGTACAGCTGAAGGAGCCAGGGAGCAGAAAGTATATGTGTCAGGTATGAGGAAGAAAATAGATTTTGGAAGTTATGAGAACTGTAGAGAGTGAGTTAAGCATAGTTTGTGATTTTGAGGGCCTCTAAAAGTATTAAAGCAGCAGCAGCCACTGCACGCAGACATGAGGGCTAGGCTAAAACAGTAAGGTCAAGTTGTTTGCACAGAAAGGCTACAGGGTGTGGTCCTGGCTCTTGTGTAAGAATTCTGACCGCGCTAACCACGCCTAGGAAGGAAAGGAGTTGTTTTGTAGAAGGTGCTTGGGTTTGAGAGCTCAGTCAGACACGATTGGCAGGGAGAGCACGTGTGTTTTATGAGCATTATGCTGAGATAGGTAACAGATGAGGAAGAAATTTGGGCTTGATTGAAGTAATGGGGGCTGTCTGTGAAGCTTTGCGGCAGTACAGCCTAGGTAATTTGCTGAGCTTGATGGGTGTCAGGGTCAGTCCAAGTGAAAGCGAAGAGAGGCTGGGATTAGGGATGCAGGGGAATAGTGAAAAAAGCATGTTTGAGATCTAGAACAGAATAATGGGTTGTAGAGGCAGGTATGGAAGATAGGAGAGTATATGGGTTTGGCACCACGGGGTGGATAGGCAAAACAATTTGGTTGATAAGGTGCAGATCCTGAACTAACTTGTAAGGCTTGTCTGGTTTTAGGACAGGTAAAATGGGGGAATTGTAAGGAGAGTTTATAGGCTTTAAAAGGCCATGCTGTAGCAGGCGAGTGATAACAGGCTTTAATCTTTTTAAAGCATGCTGCGGGATGGGATATTGGAGTTGGGTGGGGTAAGGGTGATTAGGTTTTAATGAGATGGTAAGGGGTGCATGGTCGGTTGCCAAGGAGGGAGTAGAGGTAACTTATACTTGTGGGTTAAGGTGGGGGGATACAAGAGGAGGACGCAAAGGAGGCTTTGGATTGGGAAGAAGGGCGGCAATGAGATATAGCTGTAGTCCAGGAATAGTCAGGGAAGCAGATAATTTAGTTAAAGTGTCTCAGCCTAATAAGGGAACTGGGCAGGTGGGGATAACTAAAAAGGAGTGCTTAAAAGAGTATTGTCTAAGTTGGCACCAGAGTTGGGGAGTTTTAAGAGGTTTAGAAGCCTGGCCGTCAATACCCACAACAGTTATGGAGGCAAGGGAAACAGGCCCTTGAAAAGAAGGTAATGTGGAGTGGGTAGCCTCCGTATTGATTAAGAAGGGGACGGGCTTACCGTCCACTGTGAGAGTTACCTGAAGCTCGGCGTCCGTGATGGTCTAGGGGGCTTCTGAGGCGATCGGGCAGTGTCAGTCTTAAGCTGCTAAGCCGAGTAGATCTGGGAAGGAGTCAGTCAGAGAGCCTTGGGCCAGAGTTCCAGGGGCTCTGGAGTGTCTGCCAGGTGAGTTGAACAGCCCGATTTTCAGTGGGGTCCCACACAGATGGGATGCGGCTTAGGAGGAATCCCGGGCTGCGGGCATTCCTTGGCCCAGTGGCCAGATTTCCGGCATGTGTAGCAAGCTCCTGGGGGAGGAGGTTCTGGAGGAACGCCTGGCTGCTGCGGTTCAGGCGTTTGGAAGTTCTTGTGTGCTGGAGATGTGGCTGGGGTTTGTCTCACAGTGGAGGCAAGGAATTGCAACTTTTTTCTGTTATTGTACACCTTGAAGGTGAGGTTAAGTCCTGTTGTGCGGTTTGAGGGCCAGATTCCAATTTTTGGAGTTTTATTTAATGTCGGGAGCAGATTGGGTAATAAAATGTATATTGAGAATAAGACGGCCTTTTGACCTTTTAGGGTCTAGGGCTGTAAAGCCTCTCAGGGTTGCTGCCAAACGAGCCATGAACTGGGCTGGATTTTTATATTTGATGAAAAAGAGCCTAAACGCTATCTGATTTGGGATAAAGAAAAAGGAGCATTAACCTTGACTATGCCTTTGGCTCCAGCCACCTTTTTAAGAGTAAATTGCTGGGCAGGTGGGGGAGGGCTAGTCACAGAACGAAACTGTAAGCCAGACCAGGTGTGAGGAGGGGAGGCGATAAAAAGATTATAGGGTGGAGAAGCGGAGGCTGAGGAAGAATTGGGACCTAGCTTGGCCTGGCAAGGAGGGGAGAGGTCAGATGGGTCTGTAGAAAAGGAAGATTAGAAAGACTGAGTGATGCTTGGGGTTGGGACTGAGGGGACAGGCGGGAGGGAAAGAAGGAAGATTTGGGACGAGTTGCACTGGGCACAGAGACTAGGAAGGGACTGATGTGTAAAAGAATGCCTGGATATCAGGCACCTCAGACCATTTGCCTATTTTACGACAAGAATTATTTAGATCTTGCAGGATGGAAAACTTCAAAGTGCCATTTTCTGGCTATTTGGAACTACTGTCAAGTTTGTATTGGGGTCAAGCGGCATTGCAGAAGAAAATAAGGCATTTAGGTTTTAGGTCAGATGTGAGTTGAAGTGGTTTTAGGTTTTTGAGAACACAGGCCAAGGGAGTAGAGGGAAGAATGGAGGGTGGAAGGTTGCCTATAGTGAAGGAAGCAAGCCTAGAGAAAAGAGAGAGTAGAGAAATGGAGGGAAGGGGTTCGGGGGTTCTTACCTTCCAGAAAAGTGGGAAAAGGGGTTGGGGTGCAGAGATAAGAGGTTGGGGCATGGAAATAAGGGATAGGGCACAGAAATAAGGGGTTGGGGCACGGAAATAAGGGGTCGGGGCATGGAAATAAGGGATTGGGGCACAGAGATACGAGGTTGGGGTGCAGAAATAAGGGACTGGGGGTTCTTTCCCCCTAGAAAAGCGGGACTTGCCACTAAGGGTGAAAGAGAAGGGGTTGAGGGGTACTTGCCCCTGCCCCAGGAAAGCAGGACTTGCCGCTAAGGGTGAAGGAGAAAAGGGTTGGGGGGTACTTGCCCCTGCCCCAGGAAAGCAGAGAAGGGGTAGAGAAAAGGAGAGAAGAGGTTGGGGTACTTGCCCCTTCCCCAGAAAAGCGGGACTTGCTGCTGAGGGTGAAGGACCAAGGTAGGCATCACTGCATGGTCTGACACCTTTGAAACATGGGTGAATAATCAGAGAGGTGTCCCTGCAATGATTAAACACCAAGGGAAGGCTGCCTTCCCAGTCTGTGACCAGCGCCGGAGTTTTGGGTCCACGGATAAAATGTGTCTCCTTTGTCTCTCCCAGAAAATGAAAGGAATTGAAATTAAGAGAAGGGAGAGATTGAAGAGTGGAAAGGAGAAAGTGGTTGAGGGACAGTGAGAGGTTGGAGAAGAGAGTAAGAAGAGGCTGCTTACCTGATTTAAAATTGGTGAGATGTTCATTGGGCTGGTCGGTCTGAGGACCTGAGGTCGTAGGTGGATCTTTCTCACGGAGCAAAGAGCAGGAGGACGGGGGATTGATCTCCCAAGGGAGGTCCCCCGATCCGAGTCACGGCACCAAATTTCATGTGCATCCGTGTGAAGAGACCACCAAACAGGCTTTGTGTGAGCAACATGGCTGTTTATTTCACCTGGGTGCAGGCGGGCTGAGTCTGAAAAGAGAGTCAGGGAAGGGAGATAAGAGTGGGGCCATTTTATAGGATTTGGGTAGGTAAAGGAAAATTACAGTCAAAGGGGGTTTGTTCTCTGGCGGGCAGGAGTGGGGGTCGCAAGATGCTCAGTGGGGGTGCTTTTTGAGCCAGGATGAGCCAGGAAAAGGACTTTCACAAGGTAATGTCATCAGTTAAGGCAAGGACCGGCCATTTACACTTCTTTTGTGGTGGAATCTCATCAGTTAAGGTGGGGCAGGGCATATTCACTTCTTTTGTGATTCTTCAGTTACTTCAGGCCATCTGGGCATATATATGCAAGTCACAGGAGATGCGATGGCTTAGCTTGGGCTCAGAGGCCTGACAGTCATGTTTGTCAAAGATCAGATGGTTGTAGATGTGTGGCAGTATTTCTGATGCCTCTGTTCTGTTCCATTGGTTTATATATCTGTTTTGGTACCAGTACCATGCTGTTTTTGTTACTGTAGCCTTGTAGTACAGTTTGAAGTCAGGTAGCGTGATGCTTCCAGCTTTGTTCTTCTTGTGTAGATTTTTATCTTTGATTTTTCTGTAGTATATTTAAAGTTTTTTTAAGATAATATGTCATTGGCTCTTCTTATTTTACACAGTCTAACTTTTTTTTGTCTTCTAATGAGTGCACTTAGACCATTTAATTTTAATGTAGTTATCAATGTGGTTATATTTTTTATCCACCATTTAATTATTTGTTTTAATTGTCTTCTCTCTTTTTGTTCCTTCTTTCACAATTTCCTATTATTTTTTGAATGGTTTTTAGAATTTTATTTTAACTTATCTACTTGCGTTTTGTCTATTTCTCTTTCTATTATTTTTAGTATATATACTAAAAATATATACATTTAGTATGTATTTAGTATATACTAAATATACTAAACAAAATATACTAAAAATATATACATTTAGTATATATTTAGTATATATACTAAAAATATATACATTTAGTATATATTTAGTATATATACTAAAAATATATACATTTAGTATATATTTAGTATATATACTAAAAATATATACATTTAGTATATATTTAGTATATATACTAAAAATATATACATTTAGTATATATTTAGTATATATACTAAAAATATATACATTTAGTATATATTTAGTATATATACTAAAAATATATACATTTAGTATATATTTAGTATATATACTAAAAATATATACATTTAGTATAAATACTAAAAATATATACATTTTAGACCTATATACATTGAAAACATCACCCCTGCAGTTGAAAACCCATGTGTAAGTTTTAACTCCTCAAGATCTGAACTACTAATAGCCTTATGTCGACTGGAAGCCTTACAGATAACATAAACTGTCAATTAGCTCATATTTTGTGTGCTATATGTTTTATTTACTGTATTCTTACAATACAGTAAGCTACAGAAAATAAAATCCTAATTAGAAAAGTAATGAGAGAAAAATATATTTACTATTTGTTAAGTGGGAGTGGATCATCATAAAGGTCTTTATCCTCACAGTCTTTATTTGAGTAAGCTGAGGAGGAGGAGAAACAGAAGGGGTTGTCTTGCTGTCTCAGGTGGCAGTGGAGGGAAAAGGTGGCGGAGGTGGAAGGGGGGACAGGAGAGGCAGACATATTCTTTGTAACTTTTATTGAAAAAAATCTGGATATAAGTGGACCCATGCAGTTGAAACCCATGTTGTTCAAGGTTCAACACCATATACTTTTTGCTTTGTCTTTCATATTTTGAAGGACTCAAGAGGAGAAAGTCTATTCTAATTACCCAGAAGCATACCATTTTGGTTACTCTTTCTTCATTCCTTACATTCCAGGTTTTCTTCTGTTAAAATTTCCCTTACATTTGAAGAACTTTATTTAGCATTTCTTTTATATCAGGTCTGTTGGCAACAGATTTTCTTAATTTTTCTTCATCTGAAAATTTCAAATTTGTTTTTCCTGAAAGATATTTTAAATGAATATAGAACTTTGTGTTGACATTTTTGTTGTTGTTTCAATACTAATACCACTTAAGAATGGTATATTCTCTCTCTGTCTTCTGTCCTCCTTCATTTTTTCCTGGTAAGTAATCTAAATGAAAGTGCAGCTCTCTGATATGCAGTGTGTCATTTTCTCTGGTTGCTTTCAAGGTTTATTCTTTATGTTTGGTTTTTAGCAGCTCTATTTTGATGACTCTGAGCATGATTTTCCTTGAGTTTATCCCTTTGAGTATCAGATGAGCTTTGAATCTGTATGTTTGTCTTTCAACAAATTTGGGGTGTTTGGCACCATTGTTTTGTAAAATATTTTTTCTGTATCAGTCTCTTTTTATTTTACTTTCCTCAGTAATTCAATGTTAGAACTTTTGATATTGACCCACTTTTCACTGAGTCTCTGCTCATGTTTTCTAAAAAATCTTTGTTGTTTCTGCTCTTCAAAGTGACTGATTTCTATTGATCTAGCTTTAAATTCATTGATTATTTACTGTTATCTCTCCCACTTAATTGAACCCAGTGAATTTTTCTTTTAGATCTAAACTTTTCAGTCCTTTAGTCCCTATTTGTTTACTTTTTTGTCTCTCTTTCTCTCTTTCACACACACACACACAGACACACACACCACTCAGCAAAACATATTTATTTCCAAAAATTTCAGGAATCCATCTTTATCTCATAAAGAATGATTATAATGACTGCTTTTTAAGTCTTTGATAATTTCTGGTTTTGGCATCTGTTTATGTTTTTCCCCTTCAAATTGGTGAGATTCTCCCCCTTCTTTTGGATTATGTTCTAGATATTTCATATCATGTTGTGGAGCTCTAGGTCCTATTAAAACTCGCAAAGAATGTTAATGTGTGTATGTGTGTGTGTTTGCTGTCTGTAAACCCAGTTAGATTTAGGATCCAACTCTGATCTCACCATCTGTGTGCTGTGGTTATAATGTCAAGTTCAGTTTTCACACTCAGTGATATGTTTTTTAGATCTGTACTATGCATATACCACCCTAAGGTTAATCTAGGCATGGTCAGTGGTTTATATAACAGCTTGTGCTGTGTTTGTTTAGATCTAGCCCATGCATGTGCGGCTGAAGACTTGGTATACCCATGAGTCCAGGACTTGAGTTTTTGTGCACACAGAATTAGTGAATAAAATTCTTTAGCTTCCTCCACTTTTTCTTTTTTATTTTTCTCTACATTTTCCATATCCCAGAATGTCCTTTTCTTAGTTAATCTAGTTAGAAGGAAAGATTTATTTCAGAGTTTTAGTTCCTGTGCACTTGTACATCTGTGTGCAACTGGGCTGCCCTATAGACAACATAGTAATTAAAAAGAGTGAAAAAAAGAGTTTCCAACACATATAAGCTGGTTCTCAGGAGACAATTTTCTTGATTTCTCTGGCCAGAGGGGTTGATTTTTCTCTCTGGATTTCACATACCCACACTATTATTTTTATTGGGGTAGTGTAGCTGGCAAAGAGATTAATCTCAAGTCAAAGCTGGAAATTAAAGAAAAAAAATAAACAGGAAAGTTGACAGTGATTTTTGTTTTTCAACTTTTGACTTCTCTTGCCAATTTTCCTGTTATTGCTTATTTTTATGTCTTCTGTTAGCTGTTTTTCATATTGTGCTCAGTTGACAGTTGTAATTAGTGAAGGGCATAGGCTGTAGTGGGCCTACTCCATCTTGATTAGCACTAGAAGTAAAGAATATGATTTTGAAGGACCTATGAGAGATTCAAATAATTATATCTAGTGAACAATATGAGTCTGGATCTTTGAGTTTCTATTGAATTCAATTTGGGATTCATATATAAGTATATGCTAATTACATTTCTAGGAATGACTGAGAGTACCCAATTGGTGAATGTAAATGAATAAGAAGAGAGCACAATCTTGGTGCCAGCAACATTTAGGTAACATTTGAAGAAAGGGATGCATGCAGTCAGGCTGAAAGGGAATGAGAGATATTTGTGCATTACAAGGAAATCACAGAGTATGAATTCTTATCAACTAGAATGTTGCATGCTACAGAAGCTAAGAAAAAGAAAGCTTTATAAAGCAAGAAATTGTTAAAAGTTTGAAATTCTACCCAGAGATCAAGAAGCATGACATCTGAAAAGTATCCATTTAATTTAGGGACAAATATATCATTGTTGGCCTTGAGAAAAGCAGTTTAAGTGAAGTTTTGTGTGCCAAATAAAAGTAATTTGACTAGCGAGAGGGAGGTAAAGTAGATGCCACAAGTTTAGACAACACAAACAAGAAATTAGTCTGTAAAGGGAAGGAGATAGGGCAGCAGGTAGAGGGGGAAGTTGCTTTTGGAGAGAGTGAGAGATATTTCTGGTTTTATTTTAGTAGATTGTTTTATTCCTGAACTGGATTTGGCCTTAGTATAGTACCTGAAAGTGCCAATGAGGAAAAAAAAACAGTATATAAGAAAAGGTTAGAGGCAGAGAACAAAGAGAAAATAACACAAAGAATGAAATCCCTGAGATGATGGTAGGGAAAGAGATCATAAGCACAGGGGGAGATATTAGTTAAGAATGAACAAAGGACAACTCTTCCGAATAGCACTGAAAGTTTTTCCTCAGAGTTCCCAGTGGGATTTCTTGGCCTTATTCTCTTTTCCACCTTCTTACTGGTTTCTTCTGGGAGCACTTGTCTAATGAATTACTAGCATATAAATTCTCATTCCAGAGCCTGCTTCTGGGGAATCCAATCCAAGACAACCCTAAATTTATTTAGCCCTGATTTCAAATTTTTTACAGGATTCCAAATTCATCCATCCAAATGCCTATTTCATATTTCCACTTTTAAAAAATAATAAGTATCTCAAACATAGTATGTTCGTATTAGTTCATTCTCACACTGCAATAAAGAAATACCAGAGACTGGGTAATTTATAAAGGAAAGGGGTTTAATGACTCACAGTTCCACATGGCTGGGGAGGCCTCAGGAAACATACAATCATGGCAGAAGGTGAAGGGGAAACAGGCACTTTCTTCACAAGGTGGCAGGAGACAGAAGTACAAGCAGGAAAAATGCCAGAAGTTTATAAAACCATCAGATGTTGTAAGAACTCACTCAATATCATGAGAACAGCATGGGGAAACCCACCCCCATAATCTAATCACCTCCCTCCCTCGACACGGGGGGATTACAAGTCTCTCCCTTGACACGTGGGGATTAAAATTCCGGATTAGATTTGGGTGGGGACACAGAGCCAAACCATGTCAATGCTCAAATACAACTCTTCTGAGGTTTTTTTGTTTTGTTTTGTGTGTGTTTTTTTGTGTGTGCTTGCTGTTTTTCTTTCAGTCTTTCTCCTTTTGGTAAATGGAAATATAATTTCCTCAAGACAAATAGTCATCTTTAATTTCTCCTTTCCCTTTAACCTACAACCAATGAACAAATAGAATTGACTGAGAGTTACAGAATTTGTTAAACTCCATACGCATACTTTCATCTGTACTGCTACCACTCTTGCCAATCCCCATTACTTTCTACCTGTACTATTCCAATAATCACCTAACTGATTATCTAATATGTGCATCCCTCCAATCTAATTAATAGAATATTAGCTGGAGAGCTCTTTGTAAGTGTATCTCAAATGATGTCCTGCACTGCTGTGGTTTTCTGTTTAACTTAGAGGAAAATCTCTAATTATCACATCTACATTCAGGGGGATATGAAACATGTAACAACAGGTGTAGAATAAGCATTCACCCGACAGAAGACATATTGGTCATAATATGTATTGCTGAATCAGTACATATTAGCAGCATTGTCTATAAGGCTCTACAAAACTATTCTCTCCTTCACTCATTCTGGCCAATCAGGAAGTCTTTATTCCAAAGGTTCCCTTTTTCCAGAATCTCTTCATGGCTTACTCTCCCTTGTTGTTCACGTACTATCTCAGATATTACATACTTAATGAGATCTTTTCTGACCAATCAATGTCTAGTCCTTACCTAGTCCAAGTAGTCACTATCACACCTGTTTGTTCCATTTTTTATAAGACTGAAAAATATATAGATTTATTTAGTACACTTATTTATGTATTTTAACCTACCAGTTGGAATTTAAGTTCATCAATAACTGAAATTTTATTTTGTCTTCTCACCAGTGTATCTACAAAACCAAGGAGAGTGCCTGACATGTGGCAGATATTCAGTGCTCACCTGTTAAATGATTGAGTACATGAATAAATAAATGTAATCATAGATGGATAAAAGAAAGTGGCTACACAATCTAGAAAGTAAATTAGATTATTATTTTGTTAGCTTAACTATCATTTTTTATTTTTTGCTCACCAATGGGTTGCAGACCTATACATCCAAATTCTTATTAGAATGCTCACTGTCAGCTAATTCTGGATATAAATTCATTCTTTTACTTTGAGGTATTTCTCTTTTATTTCCTGTCATGACAAATGAGGTATACTCATCCTATCATGGGGTGCAATATGGTTTAAAAAGTAGGTTCTGAATTTAAATCTAATGGGTCTAAAACCCATTGCTGCCACTTATTATCTATGAAGAAGTTATGTAACCTCTCTGTTATTCAATTTTCTTTATTACAAAATAGTGATAATGAAAATATCTGCTTCATAAATTTGTTGGGAGGATTATATGAGTTAATTTATATAACCCCTTAGTACTATGCCTGGTAAAGAGAAAGCACTCTCTATATCATAGGTATTAGTATTTGCCAAGCAACAAGTGTGAAAATAATCCTATATCTCTCTAGGTCTCTTACTTTCCCTATCTGGTAGGAACACAGTATCTGCAAATTTTGCTATCCTACATGTCTTGAATTCTAACTCTAATTGCCATTCATATCTGCACCACATCTTGACTATTTACCACACAATACAGAATACTCCTGTATTCTTCATCATCCCCTTACTTGTTCATTTTAATCCTAATGATCTTGCCAATATTAAAACTGATATATAACATCCCTGTGTATCATTTCTCAACAGCTTTCTATAGCCTTCAAGACAAAACCTAAACCAAGCATCAAGAAAAGCCTGTCATTTCTCATCACTTCCCTCTGGAAAATCTATTCTTCAGCCACATTGAAGGGTTCACAATTGATATTAGGTGTGGTATTATAAGTGGGGGTATTAGTTAAGCTTCCTAACTAATTTCCAGCTTTCCTTATGTTCTTGAGTCTTTTATTATACTGTTCACTGCTTGGAAGGGAAGCACTCTCTTGACATTCTCTTTCTTCTCTTTCTCCTTTGAATACCTTTATTATTTTTAAAATAATATTTAAAAAATTTTTATTTTAGAATCGGGGGAGGAGTGTACATGTGCAGGTTCATTACCAAGGCATATTATATGATGCCGAGGTTTGGAGTATGAATGAATCCAACTCCCACATTTATCTTTAAAAGTAGCCTTTACAATTGATGCAAGTTCTCATAACCTTTTTACTGAATGACTTAATAATGAACAAAAACTCGTAAAGGCCTATTTCATGCCAAAGTACTTGTGGTTATTATTGCCTCAATATTGCCAATATTCTGCAAGCTAGGTTTCTTTTTCTAGGCCTCCTTTTGTTTGTCCCAGAAAATCCTACATTTGACTTAACATTTAAGCCCATGATCTTTTTGTGGCTAAGATAATTCATGTTTCCAAGTGAGTTTTCTTTTTCCAAACACCTTTAATTTTATGTATTTATATTCTCTCCTCCTAACACCTGAAATTGTCACTGAAAATCTTCTTTGCTAACTTCTAAAATATCATTTTCAAGTTCCTAAGTTTATATGAAGTTTTGTGAATATTAAACTTGGAACAGAAAATACTGATGTTTGAATGGTTATATAATAGTTTATTTACAGTTATCCAGACTTTAATGAATAAGAAAATTATTATAGTTGCATTACAGGTAGAACCTTGATTTTTTGTTAAGTGGGAAGTAAGCAATGATGATAATTTAAGTATGGTTGGTTACATCCAGACTGTGTAATTTTTATTTATATTTCTGAAAAATAAAACTAATGAAAATAACTTTGTTAGTCATGACAGTTCTCTCAACATGTTTAGTCCAATTTCACACCTATTTTTAACAATTTAGGCACATCAAACTCTAAGCTGCAGGCATCATAAGACTAGTAGAATGATAACTCCCTGGTGATAAAAGAATGCATTGCTCTTGGCAACGTCTCATCAATAAGCCAGAATGAGACATGTTAAGGACCACAGTGTGATACACAGCTTGTAAAGTGGCAAATGTTATGTTGCTAAGGATGAAGAAATTCAGGTGTAAACTAGAAACTAGAAACTTTTATTCTCTGGTGAAGAATCTTCCCAAGGTAAATTACATAGAACTTTAGAAAAAGAATTAAGCTTCCAATTTATCATGAAAATAAATGGAATCTTGAAACTATGGCAGTAAAAGACCTGCTACTTGATACCATCCTCCATATTACCAAGGGACTTCCATACAATCATTAAAAACTGGTGAATGTTTGCTATCAACATCTTTGTACTTCCAAACTAATGTTTTCTCTTGGCAGGGTTCTCTCCAGTAAGGCCGTGAAATAGTTATCATAGAATGCATAAATGGCACATTATCCAAAATATAGGGCTCCAGATTGTTTTCTTGGAGTCTAAGGGGCTTCACAAAAGTAGCTCCATGGCTGTTGTAGTTGGAGAAGTGCTGGGACAATGTTGAGCAGATGGGACTCCAGTCTAAACCAGTGGTTCTGCCAAAATGGCTGTTCTCTTACCTGATTACATGAGTGATGTTTACATAGACTTTGAAAAACGAATTCAAAGATGTATTGTAACTGGGATGGGGGCTAAGCTATTGAAGTTACCTTATACTTCAATGCCTTAAAATATATGCATGTATAACTTTTGCAAACCTATTTAAGAAAAAATGAATTCTAAGGCTATTGCAAGTCTTAAATCCACTACTCTCAAGTAAGCTCATTCACGCTTTAAAGTACTTCGGAAGCCACTTAAAACACTAACAATTTGAAGGTGTTTATTGGAGAGTAAGCATTTTCTTTTACATTACAAATAGTATATTTCTTTTTAGTGAAAACTGCATAATCAAAATGTATAACTTAAAATAATGTAAATGTGTTTAGTGTGATTTGGACCAGTTATAACTATTTCATAAGCCATCTATATAATATAAAGCTGTAGGCAGATTCCAATGCTCTGTAATTATGTAACAAACATTTCACAATATAATGCATAATCCTTAAAGTAACTCGAGTGGTTTCTGGTGTGTTATAATTGTTCTTTGCTGTAAATACTACATAAACAATTTGTAAGCTTTTTATGCAGCACTACATTTTCTTTCTTCCATATGTGGTAGCTATTCTAAAATATATCTCTTTTTGTTAACTGGGAATGTATCACTAACATTTCTGAAAATGATTATCTCAAGTCTTTGGAAATTACTTATACATTGGTATATAAACATATAACTCTGGATTAGGACTAACATGATAAGATTCAAAGTGAAGAACATATCTCATCTGATATTTGTGAAAGGGACTCACTATCAATTAATTATTTGTGTCATATACACGTCTACAACATATTAAGCATCCTGGAAAATTTGCGAGTAATAAATAATATGATGTGGCTTCTGCACCCAAAACCTTATATATTGTTTAAGGCAATAACTATTAAACATGAAATAAGGATACAACAATGATGTATTCGACTAATCTCTCATTTCCAGTATGTCACTTTTTTTAGTTGATCGGCAAAATTACTGATAGGGTAATATGGTTTGGCTGTGTCCCCACCCAAATCTAATCTTGAGTTGTAACTCCCACAATTCCCATGTATTGTGGGAGGAACCCAGTAGAAGGTAATTGAATCATGGGGGCAAGTCTTCCCATGCTGTTCTCATGATAGTGAATAAGTGTCATGAGATCTGATGGTTCTAAAAAGGGGAGTTTTCCTGCACAATCTCTCTCTTCTCTTGTCTGCACCATGTGAAACGTGCCTTTCATCTTCTGGATGATTGTGAGGCCTCCCCAGCCACGTAGAACTGTAAGTCCAATAAATTTCTTTTTTTATTGTAAATTGCCCAGTCTCAGGGATGTCTTTATTAGCAGCATGAAAACTGACTAATAGAGTAAATTGGTACCAGCAGAATGGGGCACTGCTAAAAAGATACAGGAATATGTGGAAGCAATTTTGGACCTGGGTTACAGAGAGAATTGGAACAGTTTGGAGGGCTCAGAAGAAGACAGGAAAATATGGGAAAGCTTGAAACTCCCTAGAGACTTGTTGAATGGCTTTGACCAAAATGCTGATAATGATATGGGCAGTGAAATCCAGGCTGGGGTGGTCTCTGATGGAGATGAAGAACTTGTTGGGAACTGGTGCAAAGCTGACACTTGTTAAGTTTTAACAAAGAGACTGCTGCCCTAGGGATCTGTGGAACTTTGAACTTGAGAGAGATGATTTAGGGTATCTGGCAGAAGAAATTTCTAAGCAGCAAGGCATTCAAGAGGTGACTTGGGTGATGTTAAAAGCATTCAGTTTTATAAGGGATGCAGAGCATAAAAGTTCAGAAAATTTGCAGCCTTAAAATGCAATAGAAAAGAAAATCTCATTTTCTGAGGAGAAATTTAAGCCAGCTGCAGAAATAATTTGCATAAGTAACAAGAAGCCAAATGTTAATCTCCAAGACAATGGGGAAAATGTCTCCAGGGCATGCCAGAGGTCTTCACAGCAGCACCTCCCATCACAGGCCCAGAGGCCTAGGAAGGAAAAATGGTTTCATGGGCTGCACCCAGCATCCCATGCTATGTACAGCTTAGGGACTTGGTGTTCTGTGTCCCAGCCAATTTAGCCATGACTAGAATGTGCCAATGTAGAGCTTGGGCCATAGCTTCAGAGGGTGTAAGCACAAAGCCTTGGCAACTTCCCCATGCTGTTGAGCCTACAGGTGCATATAAGTAAAGAATTGAGGATTGGGGAACCTCTGCCTAAATTTCAGATGATGTATGGAAATGCCTGGAGATCCAGGCAGAAATTTACCGCAGGAGGGAGGCCCTCATGGAGAACCTCTGTTAAGGCAGTGTGGAAGAGAAATATGGGGTCAGAGCTCCCATACAGAATCCCTCCTGGGGTACCACCTAATGGAGCTGTGAGAAGAGGGCTATTGTCCTCCAGACCCTAGAATGGTAGATCCACTGACAGCTTACACCATGCACCTGGAAAAGCCTCAGACACTCAATGCCAGCCTGTGAAAACAGCAGGGAGGGAGGCTGTACCCTGCAAAGCCACAGGAGTGGAGCTGCCCAAGACCATGAGACCCCACCTCTTGCATCAGCATGACCTGGATGTGTGACATGGAGTCAAAGGAGATCATTTTGGAGCTTTAAGATTTGATTGCCATGCTGGATTTTGGACTTGCATGGGGCTGGGGCCTGTAGCCCCTTTGTTTTGACTAATTTCTCCCATTTGGAATGGCTGTATTTACACAATATCAGTACCCCCATTGTATCTAAGAAGTAGCTAACTTGCTTTTGGTTTTACAGGCTCATAAGCAGAAGGGACTTGCCTTGTCTCAGATGAGATTTTGGACTGTAGACTTTTGAGTTAATGCTGAAATGAGTTGAGACTTTGGGGGACTTTTAGAAGGGGATGATTAGTTTTGAAATGTGAGGACATGAGATTTGGGAGGGATTGGGGCAGAATGATATGGTTTGGGTTTGTCACCACCCAAATCTCATCTTGAATTGTAATTCCCACAATTCCCATGTGTTGTGGGAGAAACCTGGTGGGAAGTAATTGAATCATGGGGGCAGGTCTTTCCTGCACTGTTCTCGTGATAGTGAATAAGTCTCATGAGATCTGATGGTTCTAAAATGGGGAGTTTCTCTGCACAAGGTCTCTCTTCTCTTGTCTCTTCTCTTGTGCTCTTCTCTTCATTTGAGATGTGCCTTTCACCTTCTGCCATGACTGTGTGGCCTCCTCAGCCATGTGGAACTGTAAGTCCAATAAACCTCTTTGCTTTTGTAAATTTCCCAGTCTTGTGTATGTCTTTATCAGCAGCATGAAAATGGACTAATACATAGGGACTACCATGAATTCATGCTACCTGAAATCAATAGGCTCTCAATGCTTTTTGCCAAATATTTTATGCATCTCTTTCCTATCATAGTTCTTGTAAAATTGTCCCAAATATTCTTTGCTTGTCAATAGATTTTAGTTCTACTCCCAAAAACCATACCATTTGGAGATCAAATATGATGTATGAATGGAAAAAAAATCAAGGCCCTTAGACAAATATTCCAATTCATTCCTTAGCACAAACATACAAAATACTCATTTTCTTTATGTTTATTTGCTTCTCTTGTAGCAGATAGATAGGCCTACTCTTTGTGAGGTGAATACTTTCACATGCAACTTATTTATAATTCTTCTCTTCTAAAACTCTGATTCATAATTTTCTTCTGTCAGTACATCCTCCAGGTTCTACCTATCAGCTGCATCCTCCCCTCTTATCAGAAAACAAGCCCAAATCTCAGCCATAATGAATATACATAGACAAAAATCAATCACAACCAAAATAAACAAATAATTTTTTCCCTTTAAAGCAAAGGCTCTTTCCTCTCTTACAATCAAATTTTGAAAAATCTACCTGCCAACTCCACTTCATCCCCATCACTCTTCATTTTTCACTTTAGTGTCTTCCATAACCACTATACTGAAAATCTTCCATAAAGGTTACCAAGGTCTTATTAATAATTCTACTGTAATTGTGTTCAAGATATGTGAAAACTAAGAGACACAACAATATTTATTTTGCGAGTATCTCTTTAAGCTATGTAATGCTGTTACAGAAATGAGCAGGACTTAGCACACTAGCCTTTAATAAATATGTGCTGAATTAAAAGAAATGAAATTCATCCATCTATGAAATCCAAGAAAGCAATAAAATAATCAAATCAATGGCCTTTGCCTGATTTTTAATCATTCAACATTTTGAATAGCATTTCTGACTGTTGAACCATAATCTTCTCCTTGGAATTTTTTCTTCTATTGACTTTTATGAAATTATTCACATTTTATCAGTCAGAACAGGATTTGGCAGAATAAGCTCATTTGGGAATTGATGCACCAAACTAAAAGTTTTGAAACAACTTAGAGGTAGCCATTGGCATAGTAGCAGGTTTCGTTTATAGACTGAGAAATCAGGAAACCTGATTGTACAGTGGGGATACAAAGTACAGTGGATACAAGGTTAAACAGTGGATGAGAGTTGAGTCAACCGGGCATCATAGAAGAGGTTTATCACAGGGGATTATCCTGAGATGCATATTCAGCCTGGAAAGTGGTGGTCAAGAAATAGGCAGATGGTTAAGATGCAGCAAGAGGCCCATACTGCATCAGAGATTAAGGCAGTAGGGAGTCTCATATGTAGGCACAAACCTATATCTAGAGAAACAGCTAGCAACCTGGGAATACACTATCAACAGAAAAACCCAGGTTTGGGCTTAAGATCCAATTTCTTCAGTTGAATACAGAGCCAAAGAGCCCAATTGGTAAATTTTTGATTTGTATAAGGTATCTGTTTACTGAGCTCTCAAGGCTGGGCCTAGGGTGAGGCAAACAAGGCACTTGCTTTCAATACAAAATTTGAGAAGAGGTTAAAAAAATTGAATAATCAAGATAAAGAAGATTTTAAAGTAATATTCTAAATAATAAAATTAATGCAAAATTAATAAAGAACAAAATATTACAGATTTAGACTCTTAATCTCTTTTAACTTTGACAGCAACATAAGAGATACAACAAGATATTAGATACCTAGCTGCCAAATAACTGATATAAAAAATAAATATTATAAGCACATAAAAAGAGAATAAAACTCTAGATCTGTGAAGAGTGAAAAGTCTTTGGAAGTGAGGCAGAATTTGCTGGCTAGTATTGAAGACAGTTAATACAGCCATTTTTCTTAATTATCTCCACCTACACATAAAATGATAGAGTAAGTTTTATTCACCAGATTCTCTCTTGGAGATAGCATTGTATGTTTTTGGAAAAGTTACTGTAGCCTTGTAGTATAGTTTGAAGTCAGGTAGTGTGATGCCTCCAGCTTTGTTCTTTTGGCTCAGGATTGACTTGGCGATGCGGGCTCTTCTTTGGTTCCATATGAACTTCAAAGCAGTTTTTTCCAATTCTGTGAAGAAAGTCATTGGTATCTTGATGGGGATGGCATTGAATCTATAAATTACCTTGGACAGTATGGCCATTTTCACGATATTGATTCTTCCTACCTGTGAGCATGGAATGTTTTTCCATTTGTTTGTATCCTCTTTTATTTCCTTGAGCAGTGGTTTGTAGTTCTCCTTGAAGAGGTCCTTCACGTCCCTTATAAGTTGGATTCCTAAGTATTTTATTCTCTTTGAAGCAATTGTGAATGGGAGTTCACTCATGATTTGGCTCTCTGTTTGTGTGTTGTTGGTGTATAAGAATGCTTGTGATTTTTGTACATTGATTTTGTATCCTGAGACTTTGCTGAAGTTGCTTATGAGCTTAAGGAGATTTTGGGCTGAGACAATGGGGTTTTCTAGATATACAATCATGTCATCTGCAAACAAGGACAATTTGACTTCCTCTTTTCCTAATTGAATACCCTTTATTTCCTTCCCCTGCCTAATTGCCCTGGCCAAAACTTCCAACACTATGTTGAATAGGAGTGGTGAGAGAGGGCATCCCTGTCTTGTGCCAGTTTTCAAAGGGAATGCTTCCAGTTTTTGCCCATTCAGTATGATATTTGCTGTGGGTTTGTCACAGATAGTTCTTATTATTTTGAGATACGTCCCATCAATACCTAATTTATTGAGAGTTTTTAGCATGAAGGGTTGTTGAATTTTGTCAAAGGCCTTTTCTGCATCTATTGAGGTAATCACGTGGTTTTTGTCTTTGGTTCTGTTTATATGCTGGATTACATTTATTGATTTGCATATATTGAACCAGCCTTGCATCCCAGGGATGAAGCCCACTTGATCATGGTGGATAAGCTTTTTGATGTGCTGCTAGATTTGGTTTGCCAGTATTTTACTGAGGATTTTTGCATCAATGTTCATCAAGGATATTGGTCTAAAATTCTGTTTTTTGGTTGTGTCTCTGCCCGGCTTTGGTATCAGGATGATGCTGGCCTCATAAAATTATTTTGATTAGTATCATAGGGGTATTAGATTTTAAATAACAAAATATGATTCATTGATGCTTGTGTGTAAGGTGTTTAACTAATAACCTTTTTTTTATGAGGACTGAAGGTGGTCTGGGTTACTATTATAAAGTTTGAAGATAGAAGCCGGGTAGACCTGAATTTTCTCTGTGTAATTGGGCAGCAGGGGGCAGGGAAAGCGTGCATGTGAGAGCATGGGGACCAAAGGCAGTAAATCTGAGGAACATATTGTGTAGGAGCAAAAAGAGAAATCTTGGTTTTGGGACAATGCAGTGAAGTGTTTTCATTAAGCAATTTAATAAAAAAATCCCAGTTATTTTGTTTGTTTTTGCTATTTGAAGTGTACTGTTATCTGCCTTTTATATGTCCCCTAAAATATCAGCATTGTTCATTAATGTTTTTATGGAAGTCAGTAGTGCATGTAAACAATCTTAAGAAGATCAAAAGAGAGTACATATTTATATTACACATGAAACAAGTATAAAGAGCCTATGACATGCATGTTTTGTTGGATATTTTTCATAAGATGAAAAAGGGGTGCAGAGAGTGTTTTGACTCAATATGGCTAAATTATTCTTATATATCTCCTTCCAATGTTTCCATAAAATTGCAAGAAAACTGGCAATAGCATTGATAGCTAAAGAGAAGGTCATTGGTGGTTATTTGGGAAACTTTGTGCTACCTCCATTGTGGATGGTGTGAATCATAAAACAACACTTCCTTGACTGTATCCTTGTGATCTATCCTTCAAAGCAGAGCAAGGCAGGTATCTTAAAATATATATATATAGGCAAAGACCTTCAAACTCTTCCCTACTGTAAGTTCCTACCTCAGAATACAGTAAGCACACTGAATAGAAAAAGTTATATGCTTACCTCGTATATAATAAAGACATTTTATGGGACAGGAAAAAAATTCTGATACATTTTCCCAAAATTGATCTTCTAAGGCATACAACTAGCTGAAAGAGGAAAAGTGAACACAGATATACAGGAAGTTTAGTTAGGGGGAAAATTGAAAATAAAACGGGAAAACATAAAACTGCTAGAAAAAAATAGAAGTGGAGTGTAGTCTTTCATTCATTAAATTGCTCAAAATAGACTCCAAATGCCTCCGTACTCTTAGAATAACTGACCATAAGTGTCAGAGTAATTCTGTCTTTATCCAGCAGCCCTGGAGAGGTTCATTGATGCTTAGGCATTGCAATTGGGCTGTACACATTAACCTGAACTTTGTTTTTATACTGCAAAGTTGTGAAGGTATTGAGAAAAAGACACTGCCGGGAAGATGCCCATCCCACCTCTCTAAGCTGTATGGAAGCAAGAGGTCCTATAAAATCTCATTCCAATTCTAGGCTAAAACCAAAATCAGATAGATAATCACTCAGTGACATTGAAAGATATTGAGCATGAAAGAAAGTATTTGATGACAAAAGGGAAGAATACATTCCTGCAAATAATTTCATATATAAACAGAATAAATTTAGTCTTTTTTTGGTCCAAAAATTTTCATAACTTTTAAACATTAAATGCATAACACAACACAAAGTGCTAAATTACAATGGAGAAACAAACATCAAGTTTTGCAAAGAAATGATTGTGTCCCAAGACTTTTATGTCCAACCAGATTGTTGATTATGTATAAAGGTGACCATGATGTGACTCAGAACCTGTAACTCTAGTGCATATTTTTTGAGACTGTATTCATAGATCAAACCAACTTAGAAGCTAATCAAAGTCAGAAACTCAAGCATAGAAGTAGATTATTCAATTGCATGAGTATAGAATAGAATGAAGGCAATTAATCTCATATTGCTTAGACTGACTACATTAAATTAAACTGGTCATTGTTGAGAAGCAGCTGTTGTATCACTGGTTAAAGCCCAGATTCTGGAACTAGGCTGCCTGAGTTCCGATTGGCATGAGCCATTACTAGCTCTATGTATCAGTTTTCAAATCTATAAAACAAGAATATTAATAGCATCTACCTCCCTAGGTTGTTGTGAAAATTATGTATAAAATTATATGTATGTCACATAGCAAGTGCTTGATAAATGAAAGATATTCTTATTGTGGGATATTTAAATAGTTTTTTTCATTATTATAAATACTATTTGATTGTTTTGGTATGTTTATTAATATAGGTGCCATTATTCTTATTGGACAACACTTAGAAATAGAATTTCCAGGTCAGAATATGTGATCATTTCAAAGGCTTTCGATACTAATTCTCACCAGAAAGATACCCAAGAACAGATGTAAAAATTAATTTCTCCCTCTTCCCTTTAAAGATAAGTCTTACAATTAAAAATGCATATTTTAATTAACAGGTAATAATTAATATGCTCATATTTACACATGGAATTTGTAATTGTGATATCATTAGTAGAAATTTGTTTTCTTTTGTAAATTGCCCATTTCTGAATGATAGCTATATTTCTTTTTTTTTTTTTTTTTTTTGAGATCAGAAAATAGAGTTGTATTTATTTATATTTTTTTTATTATTATACTTTAAGTTTTAGGGTACATGTGCACATTGTGCAGGTTAGTTACATACGCATACATGTGCCATGCTGGTGTCCTGCACCCACTAACTCGTCATCTAGCATTAGGTATATCTCCCAATGCTATCCCTCCCCCCTCCCCCCAACCCACAACAGTCCCCAGAGTGTGATGTTCCCCTTCCTGTGTCCATGTGATCTCATTGTTCAATTCCCACCTATCAGTGAGAATATGCAGCATTTGGTTTTTTGTTCTTGGAATAGTTTACTGAGAATGATGGTTTCCAATTTCATCCATGTCCCTACAAAGGACATGAACTCATCATTTTTTATGGCTGCATAGTATTCCATGGTGTATATGTGCCACATTTTCTTAATCCAGTCTATCACTGTTGGACATTTGGGTTGGTTCCAAGTCTTTGCTATTGTGAATAATGCCGCAATAAACATACATGTGCGTGTGTCTTTATAGCAGCATGATTTATAGTCCTTTGGGTATATACCCAGTAATGGGATGGCTGGGTCAAATGGTATTTCTAGTTCTAGATCCCTGAGGAATCACCACACTGACTTCCATAATGGTTGAACTAGTTTACAGTCCCACCAACAGTGTAAAAGTGTTCCTATTTCTCCACATCCTCTCCAACACCTGTTGTTTCCTGACTTTTTAATGATTGCCATTCTAACTGGTGTAAGATGGTATCTCATTGTGGTTTTGATTTGCATTTCTCTGATGGCCAGTGATGGTGAGCATTTTTTCATGTGCTTTTTGGCTGCATAAATGTCTTCTTTTGAGAAATCTCTGTTCATGTCCTTCGCCCACTTTTTGATGGGGTTTGTTTTTTTCTTGTAAATGTGTTTGAGTTCATTGTAGATTCTGCATATTAGCCCTTTGTCAGATGATTAGGTTGCAAAAATTTTCTCCCATTTTGTAGGTTGCCTGTTCACTCTGATGGTAGTTTATTTTGCTGTGCAGAAGCTCTTTAGTTTAATTAGATCCCATTTGTCAATTTTGTCTTTTGTTGCTATTGCTTTTGGTGTTTTAGTCATGAAGTCCTTGCCCATGCCTATGTCCTGAATGGTAATGCCTAGGTTTTCTTCTAGGATTTTTATGGTTTTAGGTCTAACATGTAAGTCTTTAATCCATCTTGAATTGATTTTTGTATAAGGTGTAAGGAAGGGATCCAGTTTCAGCTTTCTACACATGGCTAGCCAGTTTTCCCAGCACCATTTATTAAATAGGGAATCCTTTCCCCATTGCTTGTTTTTCTCAGGTTTGTCAAAGATCAGATAGCTGTAGATTTGCGGCGTTATTTCTGAGGGCTCTGTTCTGTTCCATTGATCTATATCTGTGTTTTGGTACCAGTACCATGCTGTTTTGGTTACTGTAGCCTTGTAGTATAGTTTGAAGTCAGATTGTGTGATGCCTCCAGCTTTGTTCTTTTGGCTTAGGATTGACTTGGCGATGCGGGCTCTTTTTTGGTTCCATATGAACTTTAAAGTAGTTCTTTCCAATTGTGTGAAGAAAGTCATTGGTAGCTTGATGGGGATGGCATTGAATCTATAAATTACCTTGGGCAATATGGCTATTTTCACGATATTGATTCTTCCTACTCATCAGCATGGAATGTTCTTCCATTTGTTTGTATCCTCTTTTATTTCCTTGAGCAGCGGTTTGTAGTTCTCCTTGAAAAGGTCCTTCACATCCCTTGTAAGTTGGATTCCTAGGTATTTTATTCTCTTTGAAGCAATTGTGAATGGGAGTTCACTCATGATTTGGCTCTCTGTTTGTCTGTTGTTGGTGTATAGGAATGCTTGTGATTTTTGCACATTGATTTTGTATCCTGAGACTTTGCTGAAGTTGCTTATGAGCTTAAGGAGATTTTGGGCTGAGACAATGGGGTTTTCTAGATATACAATCATGTCATCTGCAAACAGGGACAATTTGACTTCCTCTTTTCCTAATTGAATACCCTTTATTTCCTTCCCCTGCCTAATTGCCCTGGCCAGAACTTCCAACACTATGTTGAATAGGAGTGGTGAGAGAGGGCATCCCTGTCTTGTGCCAGTTTTCAAAGGGAATGCTTCCAGTTTTTGCCCATTCAGTATGATATTGGCTGTGGGTTTGTCATAGATAGCTCTTATTATTTTGAAATATGTCCCATCAATACCTAATATATTGAGAGTTTTTAGCATGAAAGGTTGTTGAATTTCGTCAAAGGCCTTTTCTGCATCTATTGAGATAATCATGTGGTTTTTGTCTTTGGCTCTGTTTATATGCTGGATTACATTTATTGCTTTGCGTATATTGAACCAGCCTTGCATCCCAGGGATGAAGCCCACTTGATCATGGTGGATAAGCTTTTTGATGTGCTGCTGGATTCGTTTTGCCAGTATTTTATTGAGGATTTTTGCATCAATGTTCATCAAGGATATTGGTCTAAAATTCTTTTTTGGTTGTGTCTCTGCCCGGCTTTGGTATCAGAATGATGCTGGCCTCATAAAATGAGTTAGGGAGGATTCCCTCTTTTTCTATTGATTGGAATAGTTTCAGAAGGAATGGTACCAGTTCCTCCTTGTACCTCTGTTAGAATTCAGCTGTGAATCCATCTGGTCCTGGACTCTTTTTGGTTGGTAAGCTATTGATTATTGCCACAATTTCAGATCCTGTTATTGGTCTATTCAGAGATTCAACTTCTTCGTGGTTTAGTCTTGGGAGAGTGTATGTGTCAAGGAATTTATCCATTTCTTCTAGATTTTCTAGTTTATTTGCGTAGAGGTGTTTGTAGTATTCTCTGATGGTAGTTTGTATTTCTGTAGGATCGGTGCTGATATCCCCTTTATCATTTTTTATTGCATCTATTTGATTCTTCTCTCTTTTTTTCTTTATTAGTCTTGCTAGTGGTCTATCAATTTTGTTGATCCTTTCAAAGAACCAGCTCCTGGATTCATTAATTTTTTGAAGGGTTTTTTGTGTCTCTATTTCCTTCAGTTCTGCTCTGATTTTAGTTATTTCTTGCCTTCTGCTAGCGTTTGAATGTGTTTGCTCTTGCTTTTCTAGTTCTTTTAATTGTGATGTTAGGGTGTCAATTTTGGATCTTTCCTGCTTTCTCTTGTGGGCATGTAGTGCTATAAATTTCCCTCTACACACTGCTTTGAATGCATCCCAGAGATTCTGGTATGTTGTGTCTTTGTTCTCGTTGGTTTCAAAGAACATCTTTATTTCTGCCTTCATTTCGTTATGTACCCAGTAGTCATTCATGAGCAGGTTGTTCAGTTTCCATGTAGTTGAGCGGTTTTGAGTGAGATTCTTAATCCTGAGTTCTAGTTTGATTGCACTGTGGTCTGAGAGATAGTTTATTGTAATTTCTGTTCTTTTACATTTGCTGAGGAGAGCTTTACTTCCAACTGTGTGGTCAATTTTGGAATAGGTGTGGTGTGGTGCTGAAAAAAATGTATATTCTGTTGATTTGGGGTGGAGAGTTCTTTAGATGTCTATTGGGTCCGCTTGGTGCAGAGCTGAGTTCAATTCCTGGGTATCCTTGTTGACTTTCTGTCTTGTTGATCTGTCTAATGTTGACAGTGGGGTGTTAAAGTCTCCCATTATTAATGTGTGGGAGTCTAAGTCTCTTTGTAGGTCACTCAGGACTTGCTTTATGAATCTGGGTGCTCCTGTATTGGGTGCATATATATTTAGGATAGTTAGCTCTTCTTGTTGAATTGATCCCTTTACCATTATGTAATGGCCTTCTTTGTCTCTTTTGATCTTTGTTGGTTTAAAGTCTGTTTTATCAGAGACTAGGATTGCAACCCCTGCCTTTTTTTGTTTTCCATTTGCTTGGTAGATCTTCCTCCATCCTTTTATTTTGAGGCTATGTGTGTCTCTGCATGTGAGATGGGTTTCCTGAATACAGCACACTGATGGGTCTTGACTCTTTATCCAATTTGCCAGTCTGTGTCTTTTAATTGGAGCATTTAGTCCATTTACATTTAAAGTTAATAGTGTTATGTGTGAATTTGATTCTGTCATTATGATGTTAGCTGGTTATTTTGCTCGTTAGTTGATGCAGTTTCTTCCTAGTCTCGACGGTCTTTACATTTTGGCATGATTTTGCAGCGGCTGGTACTGGTTGTTCCTTTCCATGTTTAGTGCTTCCTTCAGGAGCTCTTTTAGGGCAGGCCTAGTGGTGACAAAATCTCTCAGCATTTGCTTGTCTGTAAAGGATTTTATTTCTCCTTCACTTATGAAGCTTAGTTTGGCTGGATATGAAATTCTGGGTTGAAAATTCTTTTCTTTAAGAATGTTGAATATTGGCCCCCACTCTCTTCTGGCTTGTAGGGTTTCTGCCAAGAGATCCACTGTTAGTGTGATGGGCTTCCCTTTGAGGGTAACCCAACCTTTCTCTCTGGCTGCCCTTAACATTTTTTCCTTCATTTCAACTTTGGTGAATCTGACAATTATGTGTCTTGGAGTTGCTCTTTTCGAGGAGTATCTTTGTGGTATTCTCTGTATTTCCTGAATCTGAACGTTGGCCTGCCTTGCTAGATTGGGGAAGTTCTCCTGGATAATATCCTGCAGAGTGTTTTCCAACTTGGTTCCATTCTCCCCATCACTTTTAGGTACACCAATCAGACGTAGATTTGGTCTTTTCACATAGTCCCATGTTTCTTGGAGGCTTTGCTCATTTCTTTTTATTCTTTTTTCTCTAAACTTTCCTTCTCGCTTCATTTCATTCATTTCGTCTTCCATTACTGATACCCTTTCTTCCAGTTGATCACATTGGCTCCTGAGGCTTCTGCATTCTTCACGTAGTTCTTGAGCCTTGATTTTCAGCTCCATCAGCTCCTTTAAGCACTTCTCTGTATTGTTTATTCTAGTTATATATTCTTCTAAATTTTTTTCAAAGTTTTCAACTTCTTTGCCTTTGGTTTGAATGTCCTCCCGTAACTCAGAGTCATTTGATCGTCTGAAGTCTTCTTCTCTCAGCTCGTCAAAGTCATTCTCCGTCCAGCTTTGTTCCATTGCTGGTGAGGAGCTGCGTTCCTTTGGAGGAGGAGAGGCGCTCTGATTTTTAGAGTTTCCAGTTTTTCTGTTCTGTTTTTTCCCCATCTTTGTGGTTTTATCTACTTTTGGTCTTTGAAGATGGTGATGTACAGATGGGTTTTTGGTGTGGATGTCCTTTCTGTTTGTTAGTTTTCCTTCTAACAGACAGGACCCTCAGCTGCAGTTCTGTTGGAATGCCCTGCAGTGTGAGGTGTCAGTGTGCCCCTGCTGGAGGGTGCCTCCCAGTTAGGCTGCTCGGGGGTCAGGAGTCAGGGACCCACTTGAGGAGGCAGTCTGCCCGTTCTCAGATCTCCAGCTGCGTACTGGGAGAACCACTGCTCTCTTCAAAGCTCAGATGGAAATGCAGAAATCACCCATCTTCTGTGTCGCTCAGGCTGGGAGCTGTAGACCGGAGCTGTTCCTATTTGGCCATCTTGGCTCCTCCCCTGCCAGAAAATGATATCTATGTTTCTATTGGAGTATTTGTATTTTACTTGATGATGACTAATCCAAAAGTTAGTTATTGCTGAAAAAAAGAACTGTATTATTAAAGAAAAAATTATGTACTAATAGATTAAGTATATTACTGTATATTAAATTTACAAAGATTGAAAATATTGAGAGAAAGTTTTTATCTTTTATAGTGAGAAATCATAAATATATTCTCAACAAAAATAGTAAGAAACAAATACACACCTAGCAAATCAAAAAACAAATTAATGAGCAAGGCAGCTAAAAAAACAAATAAAAGAAAAATAGAAAACTTGCCAACAAAATGATGACAGATGTTTGAACATATTAGAGATGCCAATAAAGTTAAGTAAATTAATCTCATTGAATGGTTAAGTTTCTTAGGATGGGCTTTAAAAATAAAATGACTCAAGTACGCAACAGTTTTTAAATAGAGGCAAAATTAAAATAAAATCTTACAGACAAAATAAAAGTATACATGTAATTTAAAGAACATTTGAGAAAGTTTTACAAAAGAGAAAAAAAATGAAAGGGTATTTTCAAGCTATTTTTAAGTGTATGAGTCCAGAAGTTTTCTTTTTTCTTTTTTTTTTTTTTTTTTTTTGAGACAGAGTTTTGCTCTTTTTGCCCAGGCTGGAGTGCAATGGCACAATCTCGGCTTACTGCAACCTCCATCTCTCCGGTTCAAGTGATTCTCCTGCCTCAACCTCCCGAGCAGCTGGGATTACAGGCTCCTGCCACCACACCCAGCTAATTTTTGTATTTTTAGTAGAGACAGGGTTTCGCCTTGTTGGCCAGGCTGGTCTCAAACTCCTGACCTTGTGATCCGCCCGCCTCGGCCTCCCAAAGTGCTGGGATTACAGGCATGAGCCACCACAGCTGGCCTCTTTTTAATTTGATATTAGAACAAAATAAAAAAATTAGATCGCATAGTCTGTAATATAAACATACCTATATGGATGTATAAGATTGAATAATAATTAAGGAATGAACTGTTCAATAAATTTAGTATTGGGGAAAAATCAAGTTTGCTGGCTCGCAATTCATACAACACCAAATTGAATTCCATGTTATTTAAATATTTAAAAGTGAGAAATGAAAGCACAATAAACTAGAAGAAAGTAGATGTAAATTGTTCATTGATTCTGGGGTGGGAAAGTTTTCCTAAGCTTACACAGAATGATAAAAAGTATCAATGTAAATAGGCAAACTTGGCAATGTATAAACAAAAGCATTTAGATGCAAAAGAACACCATAAATAAGTTATAAGGCAATTTAAAATCTAGAAACATATGGGCCACAAATATGACAAACGTTAGGTTAGTGCCTTATATAAAGAGGTCGTAAAATAGAGAGGAAAGCACTAATAAACCACTAAAAGGGCCATGAACAGACAATTCCCAGAAGATCCATCTTCACTGGTAATGAAAGAGATTAATATTAAAACAACAATGACATTGTTTCAATGTAAAATTAGCTAAAAATTTTGTAATTTGTAATTCTCAATATGACTGAAGAAAAGGTGAAACAGTCACTCTTCTACCCTCCAAGTGAGAGTTCATTACATGAACTTTTATTCATTGGGAAACACATGTGAAGAATTTTTAAAAATCTCCTCACTTGCCCTTTTATCTTCAATATTTTCTAAAAAATAAATCACATATGGCCAGGCACCATGGCTCACACCTGTAATCCTAACATTTTCGGAGGCTGTGGTGGGCAAATTGCTTGAACCCAAGAGTTCAAGACCAGCTTGGGAAATATGGTGACACCCTGTCTCTACAAAAAAAAATTCAAAAAATTAACCTGGCATGGTGGCTGACACCTGTAGTGCAAGCTGTCCAGGAGGCTGAGGGAGGAACACTTGAGCCCAGCAGGTCGAGGCTGCAGTGAGCTGTGATTGCACCAGTGCACTCCAGCCTGGGCGACAGAGTGAGACCATGTCTCAAAAAAAAAAAAAAAAAAAAGAAAAGAAAAGAAAAATAAATAATTATATATAGATTTATATATATGACTTTTGTATAGAATAATATTTGTTGAATTATTATTTATAAAAGAAAACATTAGAAATAGTTTCTATAGGTTCTTGGTAAGTTATAGAACATAAATATAAGGGAAAGGGAAAAGTATATTCATTAAAATGTGTTGAAACAGTATTTAATGGGATGGACATGGAAAAATGGACAATGGAAATGTTAGTTATGTAATATTTAATAAAAAATATATATAACCATCTGCAATAGTGATACAAATATATATATCTTGAGGGAAAAATGGAAGAAAATATGCCAATATATGGATCATTACTTTTGAAATGTTAAAACACTGCTAATTTGTGTTTTTATTTTTATGCCTTCAGTAATTATTCCTAATGACGATGACTTTTGTTATCAGGAAAAAGTAGCATAAAATACAAATATCAGGAAAAAAGGTGATATGGGCTGGAGAGCAGACATAGCCTTCAGAGGCCAGGTACCATGATGGCCCATGGCTGCCCTCCAGAGCACCTACACAGCTTATCACTTGCAGCCACTATCACTGCATTCACATCAGAGCCAGAGTGCCTAGGTGGGGGCAAGTGCTCATAGTCAGCATATTTGCCACCCTTAATATATTTGTTTGTAACTTAATATATTTGTATATATGTACATATATACATAACACACATTCATAAAGGTATACATTTCTCTCTTTTTTTATATATATGTATATTTCTCTTTTGTGAGTACATATGTTAGGGAGGGATTCTACACATAAACTACTGAATTTATGAGTCAGAGGGCATCAAACATGGCTAAACGTCAGAATTACCTGGGAGACCTTTAAGTAAAAAATGACATACCCAAGCCTTATCCACAGATATTCACATTCAATAGGTCTGGGAGGTGGGAACTGGACATCATTTTTAAGTCTTTACGGCTCCTTGTGTGTAGAGTCGAGAATCATTGCACACGGAATTAAAAAAAAGGATTTTCACTTGCAGCCAAATACTTCAATACTATGTTCAATAACTCCTATAGTGCATTTAGGTATTACAATGCTATTCAATTAAGCCCCAATGATGATGTCTTGGTCTTCTGGACAAAATGATGAAACGTTTTAAAGACATTAAAAGCAAATATTTTAATTTTTTTGAATGGTATGCTCTTCAATAACATCCAATAGTGGCTTTTGGGAGTTTTCAATTAAATCTTTGAGCAACTTTATAAATGTTGACTCACATTTCAGATCAGGGTGCTAGGAGGTGCTTTTGGTGTAACAAGTCCTCTCAGATTATTAGCAAATATTCTGCAACTTTCTGTATGTTGAGGTCTCAAATACCTCTAATAGGTGGTCATCCTTTTCCCCAAGGGTAAGAAGGAACTACTTTAGGAGAAGGAAGCCTAGTAAAGACTAGTTTCAGCCAGCTTGGGTGGATTTCACTGTGGGCCTCACTGTTTATTCACTGAATTTCAATTTCAGGAGTGATGGTAAGAATTAAAAGTGAGGCTCCCTGTGAATCTCCAAGTAGAGGATGCACCAGAACCGGTCCTACCCTCCCCTGTGTTTTCCACTTCAACTGCCTGGTCCACGCTCCAATACATATAATGCTCTTATTATTTTTCATCATTTCCTGTGGGATGTTTTCTTTGGGTCTCTAGTGAGATCCACAACCATGCTGTATGCTCTGTTTATTGCAGAACTAAATGAAGCATGCCGGGCAGCATCTGAAAACAATTAAAAATAATTGAAATGAGCTGTGGACTCTACTAGTCTCATTAAGTTTTTTATTTCAGCCTCTACACATTGGGAGATTTAGATCTGAAACTCCAATCCCTGTGGCCTCCTGCTGGCAGGAGAGATTCCCCTTCCCAGGGCAGATAAAGGGCCATCAGTTTTCAATGTTAAGGCTGCACTCAAAACGATCAGGAAGGGAAAAGGCCTGATCACTGCCAAGAGGATTCTGTGGGAGGAGATGTCGTTCTCCACTAGCTGCCTTTGAGCAGCTGCTTTATGAATTAATAAACATCACTATGAATATGCACACTTCTCTTATTAAGAATTCACAAGCGTATTAATCAGTCAGCTCACTGAAACTCAAGGTATTAAAGTTAGCTTTTCTGTTGTCTTTCTTTGAGAGAGACAGAGAGAGAGAGAGACAGAAAAAGACAGAGAGTGAGAAAGAGCCAGGCAGCCAGACAGACAGAAGAGACAGAGAGAAAACCAAAATATTTCAATTATTTCTCTATATAAGGAGGCAAGACAATAAAAAAAAAATGTTAAGTTACTGAAATGAGATCATATTTCAAAAGTCCTCATTAAGGTAACTTGGATATAACAGCCTAAATATCTTAAAAGTTATATTGGAACCCATTTGATGGTTTAGTTACATGAAAATAACATGCATGCTTTTCTACAGAATAAGTTAGTTATCCTAGGAGATACTGTTACTGAGTGGCAAAAAAAAAATCATTTTTTGTAACTAGGAAGGTCAGGGAAATTTAGCTGCGAGGTAATTATTCTTATTCAGATATTTAACATGATTCAGTGACAGGTATGAGGAAATGAGATTAGCTCTTTCCATGAAGAATGACTCAGATGTGAGCTTGGAATAATGTGTGTATAAGGAAGATAAAGGTAGGTATTTTATTAAAGTGATGGTACTTGTGAAGATTATTCCATAGGCAGCACTATGCATTTGCATGTTTGACATAAAATAGCACTGGGAAGATTCCAAGTATAATTGACCTTTTAATTTTCCCTATTTCAGAAGGATCTGATTACCCCTAAGCTCATCTTAAAATGTTCTTCTCCTTTCAACTTTAGAACTGATATTACAATTTATTCCGGATGATCATGTTGATGGGACTAGGAGAATTAGAATCCCTTTAGTTTGTTTCTGTGAGTAAATTAGCTACAAGGGAAAACATTTGTTTCCGATAGAGGATCTTTTTCACTTAATAGTATAAATTCATGATTCTCCACATCAATTCTACATTAGGCAACAAGCCCTCCTTCCTGCCTCATCTAAAGAAAAACAAGAACTTTCCAGTTTCTTTCCTCATACAAAGCATTTTGTTTATAATAATAATAGCCAGCACTTATTAAATACCTACTATGCACCAGTCATTGTTCTCAGTGGCTTACATGCTCTTTCTCATACCAGACAGCTGCCTATGCGGTAAAATATTATTATTATTTTGATTTTGATTTTTATACATAAGGAAAGTATAACTGACGATGAAAAATAATTAGCTTATATAATGTTTAAAGGCAGAGCTAGAACTCAGACCCTGACATTTTAGCTCTTGCATCTGTGTTCTTAACCATCATACCTACTACGTTTATGGATATTGTCCACACTGCACTGGCCTCATTTAGATGCAAAATCCAGAAGAGAGGAGAGAAGAGACACCCTTGAGGTACTGAAACAAGCTCAAAAAGTCTGGAAAGGGGGAAGAATAGATTATGAGGAACTTACTCGTATAAGATGAAGACTAAATCAGGGTCTGGAATTCTAAGGGTCTTGTGCTCCTTGTAAAGGAGGATGAACTTTATCCTAAGGCCATGGAAGTCTTTCAGAGTGCTTCAATCATGGCAGTTGAATGGTCAGGCTTTACATTTCAAACAAACACTGACTGTAAACTGATGAGGAGAAGCAGAGAATAGATTAAGAGGATACAATCATGGTCCATTCACAGGTACAGATGGCTATGTTTTTTGCCCTGAGCGTGCTGGGAGAATGTAGTTAAACATTATGTGTTGATAGATGAAGTTCTAAGAAAGAGTAGGTGACAATATGTGTGTGAATTATAGTAGGCCCTAAATACATTTTATTTCCTTTTTTTCAAAAAGATAAGTGAATAAATTTTCCAGAATTCTCCTATTAGTACATATTCAAGTAAGCAAGTACCAGAAGCCCAGGAAAAGATTATAGGTTGTAGGGGATTGGATATGGAATGTTATGGGAACATTTAATAGTTCGGTGTAACTTTTTCTAGTTGTGTCACTCTTCTTCCTCCTAGTCCTATAGCCAACACTAATTTCCACGGCTGTATGAAATTGCAACCCTCTATTGAGGTGAATGTGAAAATGATTTTGAGATGATTATGGCTCTATATAATTACGTTTCTTGCATCATAAATTGCAGATTTATACTATTAAGACAGTTTAAGGAAAGATAGCAATCAAGACTGGATGAAATAGCATAAAACACAAAATTCTCTGTATCCTTAAAATCTTTTTTTAAATCATTTTTGTTATTCTTCCACTTGTTCAGAAATAAGAAATCTTACCTATAAGTTACAGTTCCTTTTTGAAATTCTAGTATATTGGAAGTGACTCCTGCTGTCATTAGAAAGAAAATGGGAATTAGAATCTGAGAATTAAAAGATTCAGTAAAGAACAAAGACTAGAATTTATTTTTATGAAACAGTCTTAGTGTGGATAAAAAAAAAATTCTTAAAGGCTTGGTATTTTTTACCTATTAGCGGGGAGTGAAAAATAACTATGATGTGAATAACTCTTGAATTATGTTTTCGAAGGAAGTGATATTGAGACAAGAAGTCTTCTTCTGATTGAAGGTTTTTCTCAATTGAAGGGTTCGTGGTCTCACAGGCTTCAAGGAATGAAGCCGTGGACCACAGCGGCGAGTGTTACAGCTCAATTAGAGAAACGTACAGACCCAAAGAGTGTGCAGCGCCAAGGTTTATTAAAGTGAAAGTAAAGTAAAAGCAAAAGTAAAGCTTCCACGTGGTGGAAGGAGACCCGGAAGGGTTTCCGTTTCTGGCTTGGGTGTCTTATGCTTATATCCTCTTATGACTCCTCCCCTTTTCCTTTTTCTGTCCCATAGGATTAGCTTATTTTCTATCTGCTTGTGGGTTGGCAGGCCTGATTGGTTAAAAACATCAGGCTGCAGCTAAAGCTTAAACTCCCTATATGATTGGGTGAAGTTTCAATCACTTAGTTTGCAGCAGTGACTCATTTTTGCTTAGGAGAAAGTCCCCTTTGATTGGTTGAAGTTTCAATCCCTTAGCTTGCAGCTATGACTCATTTTGGCTTAGAGGAATGTCCCCTTAGGGAAGTCCCTGTTGACCCAGGAAGTCTAGCTAACTTAGCCACTTAGTGCCTCAGTACCCCCTCTCAACAGGAAAGCCCAAGTGCTGTTGAGAAGTTGGGCAATGATCATTCTAGCTACTTCCTGCTGAACTGGGGCACAGAAGGGGATCTGCAGTTGAGGGTTCCTCAGGAGGGGAGTCTTCTTCAGTGTCGTGGTGTTAGAACAGGTTGGTAGGTCAGTCTAGGGGTCCTCGATAGTAGGTGCTAGTGGTGGTCATTTGGGGCTCCATTTGTAGAACCACTTGCAGTTTCATGGATTCTATTCTGGAAGAGACAAATTTTACAAGGAGGTTAAAAATGCAGGGTCCAAAGATAAGCAGCATCACAATAGTAGAGGGCAGAAAACCGGTATTCCTTCTCCTATATTCAAGTATATAATGGCCCCTGCTTTAGCTAATGTGTCCCTCCCTAGTAAAGGAGTAGGGCTCTCTGGCATAATAAGAAAGGCACATGAGAAAAATAAGTTTCCCCAGTCATAACTTAGGGGGTGGGAGAAATACCTAGTGACTGGCTGTCCTAGGACCCTTTTGATTTGACAGACCTGGAGGATTGTTGTCTGGGACAGAAGAGTAAAACTGAGAAGGCTGCACCAGTGTCCAGGAGAAAGTTAGTTTCCTGTCCCTCAATGGTTAAGCTTACCTGGGGCTCTGTGAGGGTGATGGCATGGGCTGGTGCCTGCCCCAGGCACCCTCAGTCCTGTTGTTGGACCATCTGGTTAGTGGCCCCTGGCCCAGAGGACCTTCGCCCTTGGGAGCAGTGTGCCTTCCACTGATCCCCCTGGCACAAGGGACATGGATGAGGGGGCGGCTTATGTTTGTTTGGGCAGTCCTTTTTGAAGTGCCCCTGTAAGTTGCACTGATAACAAGCCCTGTTAGGTGGGTTGCCTGCCCAGCCTTTCTTTCTTTCAGAGCCACCGAAGTTCTATTGCCTGAGGGCTGTGACTAAGGAGGCAGCCTTTTTCTTGTCTCATCTGTCTCGTTCAGCCTGCTTCTCCTGATCCCTATTATAAAACACTGAAGTTGCCAAATTCAATAGAGTTTCCAGATTTTGCTTAGGGCCCAGGAAAGACTTTTGAAGTTTTTTTCTAATGTCTGCAGCTGACTAGGTGATAAACTTATCCTTTAAAATTAGTTGGCCTTTAATAGAGTCAGATGCAAAGAGGTATGCTTTCTTAATGCCTCCCTTAGCCTCTTTAAAAATGCCATGGGGTTTTCTTCCTTTCCCTGCATTATATCATTGACTAATTTATTGGATTTTTTTCTGGTCTTTCTTAATCCCTTTAGTATACAAGTCAGTAAATGCCTGCGACTCCAGGCTCCATGCTACAAATCGAGGTCCCAGTGGGGATCCACGCTGGGAACCACCTGTTGGCCTGTGGGGAATTGTTCCCTTTCTTCTGATGTTATTTTATCATTTACCTGGCTTAGGTACCAGAGATCCCCAAACTTCCGGGCTGCAGTTAAGACGGCCTCTTTTTCATTGGGAGTTAATGTTTGACCTAACAACAATGTAATATCTTTCCATGCTAAATCAAAAGATTGTCCTAATCCCTGTAAGACATCTATGTATCCATCAGGATTATCTGAGAATTTTCCTAGGCCCGGTTTGATCTGTTTTAAGTCTGAGAGGGGAAAGGGGACATGTACTCGTGCTGGGCCAAAGTCTCCTCCTCCTACCACGGCTTGGAGGGGGCACAATTGAGACCATTGGCACCTTTCAGTTCCTTGACTATTTTTTTGTCTGGTTCCTTTTGGGCCATTAGGGCCAAAGGAGAGTCCTTACTAGGGGGAGCTGTGGGGAGACCTGGGTATGGGGGTAAGCTTTAAGGACTCCCGGTAGGATGTAAATTACATTTTTTACATAATTGTGGGTTATCTCTTAATGAGAAAAAAACCTGTACATATGGCACTTCACTCCATTTGCCCTCTCGTTTACTAAAGAGATCTAGCTGTAGGATGGTATTATAGTTTATACTTCCCTCAGGTGGCCATGGATCTCCTCCGGGAAGAGGATATTATGGCTAGGCAGTGCTGCAGAAAAATATGTTACTTCTTCTTCAGTGTTTGAGGGTCGAATTGGTCCCAATTATCCAGAATATACCTCAAGGGTGGCTTCACTTTTGAGGGAGCGCCTCCCATCTGAAAGGAGAACACAGGAGTGCCCACACCCCTAGTCATCCCCTAGTAAGCACTAGCCCTAGGGTGTCCCCTATGGTTCTAGTGTCCTTTTCTTTCCAGGGTGCACTATCACTCATGGAACACTGCTTATCAGATTTAATTGCACTTAACTGACATAGCAGTTTTGCCCGCACTTGTTTCCCACCCTTTTTTAGCCACAAAAAAGGGGGCCGGGGCTACTGGATTTTAGTGGCTCCTTACCAGCATGCCCACAATTGCCTTTGCATCTGCGAGTAGGTCTTAGGTTTGGGGTATATTTTGAGTTCAGAGACCAGGCACCAATTAGCATATTTCTGGGCCTGGAGCTTTCCCAGCAAGATAAATTCCTTGAAAGTGGCACTGAAGCACAACAGTTTTAGGGTAGGCAGCGGCAAATTGGAGGACCAAGGTTGGAGCAGTGCTTTTTGTACCCAAATTTTCTGTCAATAAATAAGAATATTTATTGACCTTTGGACTTGAATCGGGGGACCTATTGTCTGTTACATTGTTTTCACCCTATACCTCTGACTGCTTCTAGTGGACAAGTTCCACAGTTCTAATCACTGATCCCAGGCAGGAAAGGTGGTAATTAAAGTAGCCTCTACAATCTGGAGTAAGTTTTGGGCAACAAAAGGAAAAATGTCCTAGGCCTTCTATCAGCCACTGGAATGCCTTTTGATGTCCCGGATAGTGCCTAGGGTGTAGGTTATGAGGGACAGGTCCCCTATAAGTATATTGATACCCATTTGCATAAGAATAAGCCTGGGGGCACCATAGGCAAGGGTCTTGGGATTGCCACCCCTGTCAACTTAGACTCCTAGCTAAAAGATTCTTAGACTCAGGGGTAGGAAAGATCCTAGAGAACAGGGACCCAAGAAATTTTTCTCTGAGGACATTAGGACCCAGGAGGCATGGGTCAGAAAAGGCAGGGAATGCACACATGGGCGGCTGCAGCATAGCGGCTTCTCACTGTGCCATGATCTGGACTGATCAGTGCTGGGAGTCCGGGACAACAGTTTTCCACCTTTAGCCAGCCGTTGGCTTTTCCTGGGTAAAGGTAGAGAAAGGTGGAACTGGTTTCAGGCAAACCAACGCACCCAGCCTGGAGGGCCGGGGGTTGTAAAAGAGCCGTTTCCCAGAAAGCCTCACACCCATGTCTTAAGTCTGGTGGCCAGGCTTGTCACTTTTAAATGGCCGACAGGTGCTTGGTGTTTTCCTTCAATTTCTAGTGAGAAGGTAGAACAGAATAGCAAGCAAAAGGGGTCCGATGTTACTCACCACTTCAGAGAAATCCCGGACAGGCCCCCAGAAATGAGATGAGAAGTCTCTTCCGATCGAAGGTTTTTATCAATTGAAGAGTTTGTGGTTCCACGGGCTTCAAAGAATGAAGGCTTGGACCGCAGCAGTGAGTGTTACAGCTCAATTTGAGAAGCATGCAGACCTAAAGAGAGTGCTGGGTCAAGATTTATTAAAGCCAAAGTAAAGCAAAAGTGAAAGTAAAGCTTCCACACAGTGGAAGGGGAACTGGAAGGGTTGCCATTTCTGGCTTAGGTGTCTTATGCTTATATCCACTTATGACTCCTCCCCTTTTCCTTTTTCTGTCCTATAGGATTAGCTTATTTTCTATCTGCTTGCAGGTTGGCGGGCCTGATTGGTTAAAAACATCAGGCTGCAGCTAGAGCTTAAACCCCCTATACGATTGGTTGAAGTTTCAATCCCTTAGTTTATAGCTGTGACTCATTTTGGCTTAGGGGAAAGTCCCCATTGATTGGTTGAAGTTTCAATCCCTTAGCTTGCAGCTATGACTCATTTTGGCTTAGGGGAAAATCGCCTTAGGGAAGTCCGTATTGACCCAGGGAGTCCAGCCCACTTAGCCACTTAGTCCCTCAATATGGACAAAATTAAGCTATAAATGCAAACATAGATATAAATAAAGTATAGTTAAGCCATTATATATACGTGTATATAAATGTATATGTGTATAGTTTATGTGTATATGTTTATGTATCTATATCTTCACTGTCTCTATTTCTACATATGTGTGTCTTATGAAAATATGTTTGTATCTGAAATATACATATATACAGATACATATGTGTGTGTGTGTATACATGTATATGCGCATTCAAGATATTGGCAGAGCCTGGGGTGGAGGAAGAGTATAAAAAATGGTTAAATGAAAGTCACCTAAACTGAAAACACCCAAATTTTCCACATTTTATGATCTGTGTAGCAAGCCTAGGGAAACAAGAGGCAATGACACTCAATTAATAAATGAAAAGCATTTGGGTAGAAAGGAGTAGACAAAAAGAAAATGCCATTCAGGATTCATTTTATTTTTTACTTTATTTATCTTGATTAAACCAACTCAGGACTAATAAGGAGTGAAAATACAGGAGATAGGTGTTATACTGCTGAGTTTCTCACAAAAAGAGAAGGTGATTGGAAGGCAACTGGCTTTTTTTTTTTTTTAACTAATTTACCATGTGTAAAATGTCATTGAAATTTTCTTTATTTGAAATGCTATCTTCTAGAATTAATTATAGAAATCCTTGTATGGATTTTTTTAATGGCTTCATTCACACAAACCATTTTTTTCCTATTAAGATTTGATTGCTTAGTGGGAGATGTCTCTTCCATAAAAACGAATGTGTTTATGAATTCCTTCCTTTTAAATAATGTTTGAAGAAACTTGTTAATCCAGCAACCATTTTTGTAGCATTCTTATGTTGTGCTTCTGAAATTGTGCTTGGAAGCTCATCTGTAACTTGATTTATATGTCATGTAGTACATATTTCCTTCATGTAGAAGGTTAAGCACTTTCTGATCATTTATTTCATTTGAGCTATGTTAGTTTTGACTTGTAAACCAAAAAAAATAAAAATAAAAATAAATTCTAAGCCCACCAACCACCTGAATGGACTCCTCTTGGCCAGGAGCATCATAAAGTAAACCTGAAATAGTAGTTCAGGCCATGATGGGAATGTGGGGCCGGACATGCCTCATTCTACCTTCCTCCCTTTAGAATTCAGGCACAGCTGACCAGTATTAACATTAAAAAAGATACCTTCAGACTGACAAAGGGAATCTTTGTAATAATGCGACACCAACATGATAGACAGCAGGCCCTGATAGAAATCCAAGTGTTTTACCCCAAAATATATTTCTTTGACATAGTTTTAAATGGCCCTGCAAAGCTGTCTCTTTTGGGGAAAAATCTACATTCTGTAGAAAATCTCTGTACCTTTTTAAGTCAGACAAGAAACATTTGCAATCTATTCTCTCTGATGCCTGCTACCTGGAGGCTTCATCTACATAATAAGAACCTTGGTCTCTACACCCTCTTATCTTAAGCCAGACACTCCCTTCTATTGATTTCAGGTCTTTAGATAAAACTCTTTCAACCAATAGACAGTCAGAAAACCTTTGAATCCACCTATGACCTGGAAGTCCCTCTCCACACTTCAAGTTGTCCCACCTTTCCAGACCCAACCAATGTACATCTTACATGCATTGATTGATGCCTTATGTCTCCCTAAAATGTATAAAACCATGTTGTAGCCTGACCACCTTGGGCACATGTTTTCAGGACCTCTTGAGGCTGCGTCACAGTCCATTGGTCAATCATATTTGGCTCAGAAGAATTCTCTTCAAATATTTTACAGAGCTTGACACTTTTCATCAACAGACTGCATAATTTTTCCTGGCATTATACATTTCTATATTCACTTCAATCACTCTGATGCTCATGATTTAGCACATAAATTATACGGAAAATACTTAAATGTAATGTTCAATTTCACAATATAGATTAGATTGTTACTGAGCAAGATGGCCTTAAAAGTTCCCCTTGGCTTGACTACACTGTACACAGGTTTCTTCTCTGGTCTTTGATCTTCCTTTCCTTAGAGCATTTACTTTAGAAAACTTGAAACCAAATTCTTTCTCTGTGACTTTGAGATATAAATCTTCTTTTAGCTTCTTGATGGTTTTACATCCCAGGATTCTTTTTCATGTGGACCTTGGAACTGTCCTTTTGAAATGTGATCATCAAGAAAGACAGTGCTCCTATTCTCTCCTTTCTGTGGGAGGGGAGGAGCCTGCTTTCCATTAGTACCAATTATAGAACACAGATAACCTAATCACAATGACAAATTTTTTCCCTAAAATCTTCCAATTTTTAAAAAATTTATTTAGAAGGAACAAATGCAGATTTGTTACCAATAATTTTTCAGTAGCTCATCCTAGCCTTAATAACTCTCTGGCTTTGTGTTTCAATAGATTTGGGTTCAGTCTCTCTCCCTTTATTTCTCTTCAGCCCTACTGCAATCATCTTGAATAAAGTCTTCCTTACCTCTTTAACTCGTCTGGTGCAATTTTTCTTTGACACTACCAGATGTTATGCTTTATTTGAAATGTTTTCCAAAGACATAGGGCCAGAGATTTATATAAAAGTATAATTAGATTAGGCAACAAAGTTAAATAGGAGAAAAATACATTTAAGAATATTATGTGCATATTAAAATGATTTCATACATTTAATATAGAAAAAATTCATTAAATCTAAAACATATTTTTAATGCACTTGATATGGATCTAGTTTTAATAGGAAAACAGTATCAATCATACATATATTTGTGTGTATGCATATAATATTCATCAAAACAGCAAAAGGATACAGTGGTCTTCACTAGAAAGAGATGTTATTTTATAATTTAAAATTTATTTTCTTATATTTCTACCAGAAAGGGGTCCCAATCCGTTCTCCATGAGAGGGTTCTTGGATCTCATGCAAGAAAGAATTTGGGGTGAGTCCATAAAGTAAAGTGAAAGCAAGTTTATTAAGAAAGTAAGGTATTAAAGAATGGCTACTCCATAGGCAGAGCAGCCATAAGGGCTGCTGGTTGGCTATTTTTATAACAATTTCTAGATTATATGTTAAACAAGGGGTGGATTATTCATGAGTTTTCTAGGAAAGAGGTGGGCAGTTCCCAGAACTGAGGTTTCATCCTACTTTTAGACCATATAGGGTAACTTCCTGACATTGCCATAACATTTGTAAACTGTCATGGTGCTGGTGGAAGTGTCTTTTAGCATGCTAATTCATTATAATTAGCAGATAATGAGCAGTAAAGATGAACGGAGGTCACTTTTGTTACCATCTTGGTTTTGGTGAGATTTGGCTGGCTTCTTTAACACAACCTGTTTTATCAGCAAGGTCTTTGTGACCTGTATTTTATGCTGACCTCCCATTTCATCCTGTGACTTGTTGTAGGTCTCAGCCTTATTTTACCCAGTCCCTATTCAAGATGGAGTTGCTCTGGTTCAAACGCCTCTGACATATTCTTGAGTTTTTTCAAAAAATTTTAAACTTATAAATTTAAACTTTAAAATGATGTTTTAAAGGTTTGAATACTAATATTTAACCCTTTAACTTTGAATTTTAATGTCATGATAGATTTAGTATTCACGGCTGGCTCAGGCTGCATCTATTATTTATACTTGGTGGCTTTCATTCCCATAAAAACCCTATAGAGAGACTTCAACACTCTCAGCAGAAAAACATTAAAATGATTGTGTTAAGCCTTTTTAGTTTTCTAAAGTCAACATGGAAACTTTTTAATGGAAAATCCAAAACTTCCCTTGGAAATTTCTACTAAGCTAATTCTAAGTGAATAGAGGGAATTCCTGAGGCATAAGAAGTGGAAAATGAATATACCCTACAACTGCAGGGATCAGTCTCTGTCAAGTGAACATGAAGAAATTCATTAAAAAAAAAAATTCTATGTCTGTGATTCCACATCTCATTTGTATACTGGTCAAATTCAAGTCTTTTTTCCAGGAAGAGTAATTTACCACTTGAATGAATTACTTTCTTTCTACTTTTTCTTTCTCTCTCTCTCTTTTCTGTTTTTAATATGCATGGACTTGAGAAAGAAGCATTCAGCAAGGCAAAACTGCAGAATGTGGTATCTGAATTTTCAAGGTGCCAGGGTGACTTGTATACCATTTTCGCACCTAGGTAAATGTCAATGTTGCCAGGAAAATCTTTTTTATTTTCTTCAAATTCTTCTTTGTCTGATTGAAATGTTTCATTACCACAACATAAGACTGTGCTGAAGCCATAAGACCTGCAGGTGATTATCAGAGGTCCATATGACTGCAAAAATAGTGTTCCCAGCGTTTCAAACAGCACTCACACATGTAGTAAAGCAATGATTCATGAAGGTGGGGAAAACCAGGTTGTATTATCACATTATGGTGTAGTCTGCATTTTCTTTTCTTTTTTGATGGAAAGAAGTTAAAGAAAGGGTGAAGAAAGGCATGAGCTGATGTGTTTTAAAAAACTATTTGCTAATGCTAAATTATAAACATCACCAAAAGGTATAAGCAGATAAATGAAACATCATTTGCATAATAAAAACAGATTTGTCACAGCACAAAAATTTTCAAGGGAGGTTTTTAAAACAGGTATCTATCATCTTGAATTTTAAATACCTTTTAATTCCCCCAAAATAGCTTTATGTATACATTTTTTAAATTCACCTATTTACAAGCTTAGAAATTTGAAAAATGACTTTTTTAAACATAGAGACCTATTTCATAAAAAAATCACTGCCAACAAATAATTGTAAGAATTATTTTATTTTTATTGATTGAGAAACAACACTGATGGCAGATAATTCCCTTTAAAACTTTAATCTAAATGAAAACATATTAAATGATGTTTTAAAATATATATCATACTTTTGCAAACATAAATCCTCTGTGATCCAGTGTTTCTTTTAGAAAGAAAGGATTGTCGTATGATTGCATGATAGTGTTTGGATTGTAATATAGCTAAGAATTTATTCTCCTCCTTTAAAAAGCCTTATATGATTCAGCAGCTATCTTCTGCCGAAATCACTGATACAGATGATTGTTTTTTAACTTCTAACCCCTGAGTAATAGAGATTGTCGGTTAAATGCAGTCAGTCAATATTGTCTAGTATTGTAACTCTATAACTACATTAGAATCTGCTGAGGAAGGTAGAAACAAGTAGCAGGGATAGTGTTACATAAAGGGAGGGAGAAATTACCGCAATGGCATTCATGTCTCTTATCACCTTTATTAAGGTCTAATGAAGTAGAGTATAAGCAGTTTGTCCTTATTGCCTCTAACTAGCTATCTGGTTGGTGCTACTGCAATTATTGTTGGTGTGTGTGTGTGTGTGTGTGTGTGTGTGTGTGTGTGTGTTATTGTTGACCTGTTCTTTCCTGCTAAAGCTTTTGAGATTTTAAACAGAAGGTGATCACTAAAATTGTAGTAATGAAATCACTGTGTCTTTCTGTGTCGATAAAGTGATTGGCTAGATACTTATACAGATATGCATTGCTTAATGATGGGGATATCTTCTGAGAAATGCATCATTAGGGTATTTCATTGTTATATGAACATCACAGAGTGTATTTACACAAACCTAGGTGGTATAGACTACTACATACCTAGACTACATGGTATAACCTGTTACTCATAGACTATAAACCTGTACAGCATGTTACTGCACTGAACACCACAGACAATTTTAACACAAACACAAGTATTTGTGTATGTAAACATATCTAAACATATAAAAGATTCAGTGAAAATATGATATAAAAGATTTTTTAAATGGTACACCTGCACAGAGCACACACCATGAATGAAGCTTGCATGACTGCAAGTTCTGGGTGAGTCAGTGAGTGCAAAGGCCTAGGACATTACCATACACTATTGTAGACTTTAAAATCATTGCACATGTAGGCTACACTAAAATTATAAAACATATTTTTCTTTCATTAATAAGAAATTAACCTTAGCTTACTATAACTTTTTACTTTATAAACTTTTAAATTTAACTTTCTGATACTTTTGTAATACATAGCTTAAAATACAAATGCTTGTGCAGCAGTACAAAAATATTTTCTTTATGTCCTTATTCTAGAAGCTTTTAAATTTTTTACTTTTTAAAAATTTTTAATTTTAATTTCTAATGTTTTTACTTTTTAAAAATGTTTTGTTCAAAACTAAGACACACACACTTACCCAAGGCCTACACAGGGTCAGGACCATCAGTATCACTGTCTTCATCTCCACATCTTGTCCCACTGGAAAGTCTTCAGGGGCAATAACATGCATGGAACTGTCATCTCCTATGATAACAATGCCTTATTCTGGAATCCTCCTGAAGGACATGCCTGAGGCTGTTTTACAGTTCACTATTTTTTTTATAAGTAAGAGGAGCACACTCTAAAATAGCAATAAAAGATATGTCACAAATACATGACTAGGAACACATAGTCACTTACTATCATTATCATGTATAATGTGCTGTATATAATTATGTGCTATACTTTAGTGTGACTGGCAGTGCAGTATGTTTGTCTATACCTGCATCACCACAAACATGTAAATATGCATAACGCTGTACAATGTCACTAGGAAATAGGAATATTTCAGCTTAATTATAATCCTGTGGGACCATGATCATATGTGCAGTCTGTCATTGACCAAAATGTTATGCAGCGCATGACTGTACTCTATTTAAACTGGATAGAGCACCACTTTCTTCTGTGTCTAAGCACATTTGCAAAGTATGTATCTATAAAAGATATAATTGAAACTTCATTTTCTTGGTAAGACAGCATTATAATAATTAATTTTATATTATTAAAAGCCAAAGTACCAGTGGAAATTTATTTTAGAGTTTGATATACCAAGGACCTGCAAATGAGAGCAGAGAAATAGGCTTCAACTTTTCCTAATGTTTATATATTGCCTTGAGTATTTTAGTTTTTTAAAAAATACATATTGGAAGGTAAATGTAGGGAGTGTTCATAAAATATTGTCTATATAAAGCAACTATATAAGAAACATGCCTAACTTGTTCGTCATGTATAGAGAGCTCTATTAATATAAACAAGGCTTCTTTGAAAAATCTTTCTGTCTGTGTAAATGGTAGTAATGACTATTTATTAACAGTTTTCTGTATACTTTCTTTGAGAAGCCAATTTTGCTTTGTTTAACTGAATAACAACAACCCTAAAGGAGAGACCATTCTTGGTAAATAAGGGGAAAATAAATTAACACGGAGGTTGTATAGGCAGTCTGAATAATGATTAGAAAAAATGAAAAGCATCACAAAAATTACTCTGAGAAGTATAATTGAGTGGAATTTTTTATTATTGGTGGCCAGAAAAATCTACAGGGAAGGTCATATTTGGAGAAAAAAGAGTTTATTGAGCTTGCTGACAGAGCAAAGGGAGTGAACTGAATGGCTGCAGAGCACCTGTCATGGAGCTGTGGTAGCATGTTGCATCCGTCTCTCTATAGAAATACCCTGTCAGGCAGACCAGAAGATATATTTGATGATCGGATATGGTCACCTAGTCAGTCTTACAGACGTACCGTCAACTTGCTCACAAAGATTTTAGGTATTCAAGTGATGCCGTGTAATGTGATGCTGAGTAGACTCAAAACAAGAAAAGCTTGATAATTTTGTCATTTTGAAGGAAGGGAAAAGATAACTCTTGGATCTTTTGAAGATACTGACAAAAATGGCTTTGCTAACCCAGCTGTTACCCTCAACCCAGAAATTCCTTCTATCTCTATAGGCAGACAATTTAGGAAAGAAAAAATCATTCCAATTATTCTTAGTGTCAATAAATATGTGGTGGCCCTTTCCTCTTTCCATGGGGAATGGAATATTTTACTCACACAACCCACCTATGTGTATTGTCAAGAGGTTTGAAGAGAGGGGCGTAGCAGGAAGGGTGACATGTACCTCACTTTCTGCTTGGGGCGTGCGGCTAAAGAATCAAGGGACTTCACCCTGGTGTTGACATCAGAGTGTGGTCAGGGACTTCACCCTGGTGTTGACATCAGAGTGTGGTCAGGACATTCTCAAGAAAACATGACTACTTCCTTGCAATTTGGTTCTGGTACATAGATGTGGCCATTAGTATCTGCCAGTTAGCTGCAAAATTCTGGCAGTGGGAAGCTTGCTAAAGAAGCTAACATTACCAGGACAAGTAGGATCTAGAAGAATGAGAATCCCATAGCTTCCCCAGTTTTAAATGGCCTTTGGAAAGCTGGAAAGCAGAGTGATGGTTTCTGTGGTTCCATCTGACGGAGCACAAAGGTCACAGAATAGGCCTAAGAAAAGGTTGCATAGGTGGCTGCCAAAGAGAGAGGTTTTCTTCACCCAGAATTGGAGCTAAGAGCAAGGTCTACTCGCAGGGACTGAGGATGGCAATGTGACTCTGCCTAAGGAAGTCCTTTATGATGCTGGAGCCTGCAGTAAAGGAAAACACTACCCACAGGAAACCCAGCCATGCTGTCTACATGGAAACCATCACACCAACTGAAGCTACTAGGAACAAGACAAAACAGACCCTGCTAGAGTGGAATTAGTAGAGTGTCTCCATCTACAAACGGTAGCTGGAATGACACAACCACTCCTGTCTCCCCAGTTTCCTCTCTCCATTACAACACAGTGAAGAGTAGAATTAGGCATGTGTGCTTTCCCAGTGCAGGGCCCTGGCACCTGGACAAGGCACATGCAGCCTCCTCGAGCCACAGCAAAGCATGTGCAGGCCCTCAGAGAAAGGGTAAAGCATGATGTGAGGAGAAAGAGAAGTTGTGGGAGAGAGAAAGATGGGATGAGGAAATGTAACTGCACAGGACTGGATACTTTTTTAGGTTTTTTTTTTTTTTAATGTGAAAGTAAACAGAAAATTATGGCTCTCCATGAGTTGTCATTAGGAGTAGGAAAGGGGGCCTGGTGCGGTGGCTCACACTTGTACTTGTAATTCCAGCCTTTTGGGAGGCCAAGGCAAGCAGATCATTTGAAGTCGGGAGTTGGAGACCAGCCTGGCCAACATGGTGAAACACAATCTCTACTAAAATACAAGAAAATTAGCTTGGCATGCTTGTGCATACCTGTAATCCCAGCTACTGGGGAGGCTGAGGCAGGAGAATTGCTTGAAGCCAGGAGACAGAGGATGCATGCAGTGAGCCGAGATTGCGCCACTGCACTCCAGCCTGGGAGACTCTGTCTCAAAAAAAAAAAAAAGAGTAGGAAAGGGAAATTTCCCAAACTAGTGGTAAAGGCAGTTGTCGAGAAAAGTAAAACTATTTTCTTATTGTACCCTATGGAGTTGATTCAGTTCAATAAACCTGAGAGAATGCCTGTACCCCCATTGTATCTTGGAAGTAACTAACTTGCTTTTGTTTTACAGGTTCCTAGACAGAAAGTACTTAGTTTGTCTCAGATGAAACTTTGAACTTGGACTTTTGGGTTAATGCTGGAATTAGTTATGTATTAGTCAGGCTTTTCTAGGAGGACAGGACTAATAGGATGAATGTATATATGAAAGGGAGTTTATTAAGGAGTATTGACTCACACAATCACAAGGTGAAATCCTACAATAGGCTATCTGCAAGCTGATGAGCAAGGAAGCCAGTCTGAATCCCAAAACCTCAAAAGTAGAGAAGCTGATAATGCAGCCTGCAGTCTGTGGCCAAAAACCTGAGAGCCCTAGCAAACCACTAGGGTAGGTCCAAGAGTCCAAAAGCTGAATAACTTGGAGTCTGATGTTCAAGGGCAGGAAGCATCCACCATGGGAGAAAGATGAAGTCTGGAAGACTCAGCCAGTCTAGTCCTTCCACCTTCCTCTGCCTGCTTTTTATCTTAGCCATGTTGGTAGCTGATTAAATGGTGCCTACCCAGATTGAGGGTGGGTCGGCCTCTCCCAGTTCACTGACTCCAATGTTAATCTCCTTTGGCAACACTGTCACAGACACACCCAGGAACAATACTTTGCATCCTTCAATCCAATCAAGTTGACACTCACTCAGTATTAACCATCACAAGTTAAGACTTTGGGGGACTATTGGGAAGGCATGATTGGTTTTGAAATGTGAAAGGGACATGAGATTTGGGAGGGGTCAGGGATGGAATGACAGTTAAGCTTTGTGTTCCCACCCAAATCTCATCTTGAATTGTAATCCCTAGGGGATTACAGAGAGCGAGACCTGGGAGAGGTGATTGATCCTGGAGATGGTTTCATCCATGCTGTTCTAGTGATAGTAAGTTCTCATGAGACCTGATGGTTTTATAAAAGCCTCTTTTCCCTCTGCTTCCTTCACGTGCTCTCTGTTTCCTGCTGCCTTATGAAGAAGGTACCTACTTCCCCTTCTGCCATGACTCTAAGTTTCCTAAGGCCTCCCCAGTCATGAGGAACTGTGAGTCAATTAAACCTCTTTTTCTATAAATTACCCAGGCTCAGTGGTATATTTATAGCAGTGTGAAAACAGACTAATACACAAATATATATATATATATTTCTTTACAAATAAATATATTTGTAAATATGTACATATTTCCTTACACATACACAAATATATTTCCTTACAAATATATATCCTTAGAAATATATATATATTTCCTTGCAAATATATACATATATAGATAATTCAGTTATAAGCAAATTATATCATTGATTATTAACTGAAAAATGTGAAGAGATAATGAAAACGCTAAATTAGTTTTATGAATAAAGACACTGAAACATTAGAAATCTTTAAAATAATGGCTTTTCACTAGTTGCGGCTCAAAGGAAACTAGAAATGTTATCTCAGGAAATAAAAGCAAACTCTATTGTACCCATATTTTTGTCTGTAGCTAGAGGAGCCATATTACATTTACAATAGCAACAGAGAGAATATGCTGACTACCACAGGGTGATATGTTAAGTATAGTTTATTGTGTATAGTGGATGTGAAACTCAAGGATAAGGAAATAATTTGCTGATAGGGTGTAGAGAATAGAATGAAACTTGGTTGATTACTGTTTGGGGCACTAACATGAAGAAGAATATACTTAGATCTGAAGATGTCCTGGTTTGGGAAATGCAGAGTTATTCTTCTCTGAAATCAATGAAACAGCTCAGAAAGGTGCCTAAGTTATTGCAGGCTCCAACAGCACAATTTCAATATAGATAAATTATTTTTAATGTAAAATATTGCTCTAATGTTTTATCACTATCATCTCTTATCTGTACAGTAGTTACAGACTGAGATAGATACTATATGATATTCAGATTAATATCATATAGTATCTCTAACTATGATCTCAGTATCTCTAACTGTACAATAGTTAGAGACTGAGATACTATCTGATCATAGTATCACAAAGACTTTCATTAGATAAAAAAAGTACAGGAAAATGAATACAAGTTTATCAAATCTTACTATTTTATTCTTTTTTTAAACACTATTCTACAAAATAGAAGCAACCAGCACATTTTAGGTATTATAGTTAAATTTAAGTTAACATCAAGTTCTATAGAAATACAAAGATTGAAAAGATGAAGTTCCATTTTCCAGTGGTCCAGTGGGAAATTTCATTTATGACGTCTTCTCAGCCCTGATACTATATCATTTTCTGAAACTGACATAAAGTGGAGGACATGGAAATTTAAGGAAAATAGTATTGTGTATTATGTTATTTTTTTGTATGTATAATAATATAATTATAACAAACATAATTTTCCTATTACATTTCTGAATGTATAATTACTAGGCTTTCACTACTTAGAACATATTCACAATGCCTATCCATTTGTATCTAAATTCCTTTTATTTTTCCACTGAAGAATCATATTCCATAATTTAAAAATAGCATAGCAAGAAGAAAAATCTAATACAATCTACATACTTTGTGATGGCTTTCTTAAGAAAGTATTTTAAATCAAGCAAGAAGAATATTTTTTTCTCTCAAAATCTTCTTCCTCTCTTCAAATGAGTCTTTCATTTTATTGATTCTTTGGCACTGTCAATAAATTTCTTAAGTCTGCTAAACTTGGGTTTCCATTTTACTTTAACATGTTTTCACCTATTTTTCTCTTTTTCATCATGCATAAGACAATATTTCTGTGTTAAAAAAGCTTCTGAAAGCTAATATATCAAGAAAAAAACATATATCAATTGCTGTGGCCAGCCTGAAGGACAACAGAATTGCTTTGCATGTTGCAGTCTTACTTTGTTCAAACAGGGTATACTGCATTTCATCAAACTTATAATGTTCTTTATTTTTTATATATTTATTTTATTTTGTAGCAACAGGGTCTTGCCATGTTGCCCAGGCTGGTCTTGAATGCCTCACAGTAAAATTATAATTGAACTCAAAGTTGCTTTTGTACTTTTATTAGCATTTACATTTTTGTCTATTTGATTCAGATTATTTTAGTCTATTTTATTTAGGTATTTTATTATGTAGAAACAAAATGTGGATCTAGCATTCAACAAAGTGCTTCTTTTAAACAATAGTCATTTAGTAAATGCTCAACTGAATTTGTTGAACTTAACATATGTTAGGTATTCTGAAAATATACATGGCATCATGTGGCTCTGAGGAATCTGAGATTATATTTTTGACTCTAACATAAAGAATATTCTAACCGCTAGATCTAAAGATGATTTCGTTTAAGAGATGTAAAGTTATCCCTCTCTAAAATACACAAAATGACACACCTAACCCACTAGACAGGAATGTAGAAAAGACATTCAACTATTGGGTGGTAAACCTATATGTCCTTGTTATACACTTCTGGAAAGAACATGTTTGTTTTCAGGTAAGAAAATCCATGCATCCATTCTAAAAATGTTTATTAGTTAGTTAGATCCTCTGAGCTATAAAGACCCAGCGGAGGATGCATAGAGACATGCTTAGCAGTTGGCAGTAGAAATCTGCAACATGGCAGACACTTAGGAAAGAGATCATATTTTTATAAAAAGAATAATTGCAGCAGCTGATATAGAAAGATTTTCTAAGAAATCCATACATGTAGAGGCCCTCAGGAAGGCAATGACCATCAACAGAAACAGGGTAGGAATGAGCAGAGCTAAATGGTGGGATGTGGCTGGTCTGACTTCTCTCTTGTTTTCCCCTCTCCAGAATGTTGAAGACTTTCAGTACTTGTACTCTCATTCAGATGCACAAAATTCCCTCAAAATTCACACACATAAACACACCCTCCACACCCCTGTGGGCTAGCCTCCAGATTAAAATTTTTAAAACAATGTCTAACAAACATCTCAGAAGGCTCTCTTGTACCCCCTGCAAGTAAGTTAATACCCCCAACCCCAGCAGTGACTACTGCTTTGACTATTACCAGACTCAAATCCTTTTCAAACTTGTGTTATCTACATATGTATACATTTAAAAAAATATGAAATGGACAAATGCATACTCATCAATCATCTTAAGAAACAGAACACTGTTTTTTATTTTCATTTTAACAATGCTGTTTTGGTTCATTATAAAAGAAATTTTAGTACAAATTTAGATAAATATAGCATTTTTGTTTGTCTACCAGTGCCCCAAAAACTAACTCGGTTTGTGTGTAAACTTTCACTATTACCAAGGCTCTGTAAAAAATATGCTTTATAAGTGTCCTGGTGAATATTTGTGACAATTTTTCTATTATTGATACCTAGAAAGTTGGTCATAGGATAGGCATTCTTTTGTTCCATTAAAATATTTTACATGGTTCTCTAAATAGTTTACATTATTATTGTAATTACATTATATTAGTAATATTTTTTTATTTCTTCCATGTTGTTTTCAATATTTGGGGACATCAGACATAACATTTCAAACTAATGAGTATGATATGGCATTTGGTTTTTGTTTTAATTTATAATCTCTTTGGTACTTTTAAAGTTGAACATTTGTATATGTTGATCAAACATTCAGATTCTTTATTCAATGCACTGACTGTTCATTCTCTTTGCTCATTTCTCATTTTATTTTTCTCTTTAATTCCTGGTTTGTAGACATATTCATATATTCCAGAAACTAGTCCTTAACTGGTTATATAATTTGTAGATATCTTCTCTGCATGTGTAGGTTAGTCTATTAACTTTGAATGTGGTATGTTTGTTAAACATACGGTTAAATGAAGTCGATTTTGTCCAGTTTTTCGTTCTTGGTTGTACATTTTATATCTCATCTACAAAATCTTTCCTACTGTCACTACATAAAGATATTCTTCTCTATTTTATTTTTAAAATTACACAATTATAATATTTATGTTTAAGTCTTTAATCTATCTGCAAATTACTAACATATAAAGTGTGATAGGCAAATCCAATTTCATCCTTTTTTCCTGTTACATTATTACATTGGTTCATTGACTGTCTCTGTGCTGGTATCATACTGTTTTTATTGATACAGATTTATATAAAATCCTGATAAATGGCAAACTTATTCTCTTTTTTAAAAACTGACTTAGTTATTGATCACTTATTAACTTTTTATTAAGATTTTAAGATCAGCTTGTGAAGTTCTGTAAAAAAAGCCATTAAAATTTTGAATGGAATTGCATTGAATTCATAAGGTGAGTTGGGAACAAATAGCCATCATTAAGCTATTGACTCCCTCTATATACACCTTTTAATTAGGTCTTTTTCTACATTTTCTTGTTTTTCCTGTAAAAGTCTTTATATATAATGCACAATTTAAGATGGTTTGGTTATTTGTCAATTTATATATACACTTCATGGTTTTTGTTTTTGTTATAAATAAGGTAATTTTTTTCTTAATTACATTTTAATATACTGATTGTACTTTCTTGTGTGTAAGAAAATCCTTAATTTTGAACATGAACTTGCTTTTGGCAAATTATGAGTTTGGTTTGCTCCTTGATTTTTATAGATAATCATATTATCTACAAATCATATGCATGTTATTTCCCCACTCTAGTCCTTATAAAATTTTAGCTGCTTTTCTCTTCTCAAGAAGAGAACTCAACATTTTGTTGAGTAGAGCCTCAACTAAAATGTGTAATTGAAATAAACATAGTGATAGTAGCTATTTTTATCTTTTTTCTGATTATAAGGGGAATGCTTTAATATTCCATTCTGAAGTCTAATGTTACTCCAATTTTCTGAACAATACCTCTTTGTGTTAAGTAAGTTTTGTTGAATTAAAAACTTGAATGATTGCTAAATTGCGTCAACATTTTTCTGCAACTATAGAAATGAGGATACATTTTTTCTCTATCAGTCTGTTGAAATAGTATGTTTTATGAATACATTTTATAATATAAAAATATTTTACAAATTCTGTGATAAATTTTACTTGGTTATTATATATGATATATATATAACATCATATATAATAATATATAATATATACTAACATATAAGTTATATACATAAATATATTTGTGCATTGGATTAAGTTTACTATTATTATCTTTAGCATGTATAGACCTATTTTTTATATGAGAGATTACCTATAATTTTACTGGTATAGCCTTTACCCAGTTTTAAAATTAAAGTAATATTAGTTTCCTAAAGTACATTGAGAAGTTTTAGCCCTTCTTTTTTATTTTTTAGGACAATGTACATGCATTCATATCATCTGTCCTGTGAAGGTTTGATAGAACTTGTATGTATAAACTTATGGGAAGGAGAAGAGAGTGTTGTATGACAAAAGCAATGTGAAAATATTCTTTAGCAATACAGATAGTGTTGATTTGCTCCAAGAAGAGAAAGACTGAGAATTGACCATATAATTTAGCAAAATGGATATCATTGTTGATTCTGATTGGAGTACATCTAGTGACGTGGATTAGGGCCTATCCAGAGTAGATTTAAGAAAAAAAAATGGAGGAGTTGGTTTTGAAACACAAGGATAAAGAGTTCCTTCACTAAGCTTTGCTGAAGTAGACAGCGGGTAAGTGAGACAGCAGCTTGGGGATGCTCTTCAGTATTGCAACTTTTATTGTTTCTCCTTTGTCAGTTAAATAAGAGCAAGATTATCAGCTGACGTGAAGAATTGGAGGAGGTACTGTAGACTTTATGAAAGAGGAGATGGTATGGAATGGTCATCTAGAATACAAATGTGTATATACTAGGGAAATGAACGCATTTGTTTCTAGACAGCTCTCACCACCCCAATTAATGTTCGTGGCCATTAATTTAAAGTGAGATTAATCAGCAAGATTTTTTGGGTTTGCTACATTCAACTCTATTAATGTAAAATATAGAGTAGATAGAGTTCAAATTATCTAGGGTACATATTTTTATTTTTATTCATTTTTTGACAACTGAGTACAACAAAGTGAAGAAATTAAGGGAAGGTGAAGATTAGAGAGTGATCATGATGGCACGTGCAATTTCAGCTGAGTAAGATGAGAAAAGAGGATGTATGTGAGGAGCAGGAGCCTGAAAAATGGCAGAAACAACACATTGTAAAATTATTAGGATAGAATGATTGCTGGTGTCAGGATAGTAAAGGGGCAAACTAGAGAGAAATGAGATGGTGGTCAAAAAGTGGAAGTCTTGAAATTAAGACTATGAAAGGGTTACAGTTATTGATAATCTCAAGGCTTAGTCAGTGAGTAGCTGACATGGAGTAATGGATAATGTCTTGGAATATAAGGTCAAGAATTTGAGTCATTTTGGTAAGTCCTGTGTACATAAAAGTCATAAGAATAAAAATAGACATGTCAAAGAGGCTTGAAAATGAACAAGGGATTAAAATATTCAAAAAGCAGCAAGGAGGAACCCACGTGCTATAGATGTAAGGGTAGTTGGTTGTAGAATCATATGACAGAACTTTTGAAACTGATAATTTTAGGAATGACAGAATTAGAAATTTCTGGAAGAGGCAATGAGGACATTCCTCATCATCAGAAGAGGAGATTCCAGAGGTAGAGGAAAGGACCAGCCCCCTCTTGACAAGGATGCTAGGGAAGCAGTAGCCTAAGGGGAAAAAGAGCAGGGAGCAAGAAGATGACCCTCAGCTTCAGAGAAGAAGTTGAAGATGCAGTGGAAGTGAGATCCTATGGACACAGGAGAAGGGTGCTCCTGTCTCAGAATGGATAATCAATCAATGCTACTTCCATGGATGTCTTTCCATCTGGTCCCCAACATAAAGTAGTCAATAGTCAATGAGCCACTGTGTTTCTGCTCATATAATCCTATGTGATACTATTGTCTTCATGTTTGGAAGCCAGGATAGAACAGATTTGGGTGAGGTAGAGTAGCAATAAGAGCAAAGTAGAGGGCGGTAAAATGGGAGAAAAACACAAGAGAATATTTAAAACCAAATTTATAAAAGAATACACACAATAACGTAAGAGGAAAGCAAAATCTAAGTAATACTGATAATCAATTCCTTCTGTGTCAATAACACCTGAACTAGCTGTATTATTATTTTCTAGTTTGGAATTTATGACTACTTTGGAATTAATGACCAAGGCTGAAAAAGAGTCAAGGAGCTATTCCAACTGGTCTGTGTTTTATGGGAAACAACAAAGTATCTTATTTCATCAAATAGATCTAGAACTAGGGAAGCATTGCCAGTTATTGGAGCTCCACTTCAACCAGATGGGTACGGGCATTGAACTAGAGGCATCCTGCTCACACATACATCCAGGCTATCCTGTTGCTATTACCTAACCTCTCTGTATGTCAGTTTTCTCATCTGCAAAATGTACAAAAAAGTGACTACCTCATATGTTGATATAATTACATGAATTAATAGTGAGTGAGTACCTTAAACATGACCTGGAACATTGTAGGGATTTTATTATTATTATTCACATTGTTCTAAGATTTGTAAAGTTATGAGTCATGGGACTTTGTCTTGGAGGTGTCAGGGTAAAAAAATAAAGCAATAGAACATAATTTCAAATTACTCAGTCTTATTACTATTATTTCACAAATCTTGAGAAGGGGATAAAAGTCTATGCAATACTTCTTAAGATAGCTTCCTTTCCCCTTCACCTTTGTTGTCCATGTGCTGTTCACACTCTAGCTGTTTCATCTCTTCTCTCTTAAAGATCTTCTCTAATGACATTGGTTAACAAGTCTTTGTGCAAATCTCAACTTCTCAATAAAGTTAATTCCTTACAACTGTGTATAAATGTATAATAAGTCCCCCATAACCAACCATGCCTATACTCTTCATCAATCTTACCATTTTATCATGGAAACTTTCAACTTCTAACAAACTACACAATTTACTTATTTATCATGTCTATTATCTGTCTTCTTCTGCTAGAATAAAAGCTCCATAATGGTATAGATCTTTGTTTTATTCACTGAAGTGTCCAAAACACCTAGATAATGTCATGCCTATAGTGCATGCTCAATAGGAATAAGTATTTCCTCTATTATAACATGTGCAGGTTAAGGATTTTCTTTCACCTCCAGGAATACAGAGACAATCTCTTACTCTAAATAAATATTTCTCATGCTCCTCCTACCCCTTAGGACCTATTCTCTACTATATACTCTTTGCTTACAAAAGCCTCAGTGCTGTTTGATTGATTGATAGAAACCTAGTGTGGAAACGGTGACGACGACTGGATGGGAAGTCAGTTTTCAAGGAGCTTGGAGAAAAGAATTTGTGAAAATGCCATAGCAATAATTACGTGTTTCCTTTTCATCGTCTCCATAGTTGTTTTTGATATACTGGTAATTCTTCTTTTCAGCTAGAAATAAGTTATTCAAAGCGATCTCAATAAAGTACTTGCCATCTAAGAATGTTATATTAGGATGCCAAGCAAATGGAACAAATTGTATAACAAAGCAACTGAATTGTCTTCCAATATATTTTATGATGCCCCACTGTCATACTAATTAACTTTTAAGCACTTAAACTGAAATTTATATTGACTTCCTCAGTTTATTCTCAACCAAATTTTTAAGCTTCATTTCTCCCTGATCCCTTAAAAATATTCTAAACAAACACACAGCAAGTTGAAGAACAAGAAACTGGCCTTTAATATTGTTAATACTGATATATTTGACACAGTTGCATATATTTGACTCTGATAGTGTAAAACTCTTGAGGAAGTCTTGAGGAAGCAACGCTGCGCTTCTGCAGTTATACATGTGTCTGATGTAAACAAGGAGAATTTGTGTAAAAACCTTAACACAAACCCTTTTTTACTTGTGGGAAGCCAAGGGCTAAAGATATTCATGTCAATCTAATATACAAATGGTTATTTGATGAACTACTTAAAAATGCTGGGGATTACACAGAAAAATCATTCATTGTAGGAAAAAATTGTTTAGGATAAAATTTTAGTCTTTCCATTCCCTGATGTTTTAATATTTGTCATTGTAGACTGTGAATTACACATAAACTGTGAAGTCCCAACAGCCAAAAAGTGAGTAGTACCATTTCCTACTCACTAAAATTCCTTTGGGACCAATTCCTAAAAATGTGTGACAGTAAATGTATAAAATGACTTATATTCTTTATCTTTTTAAGATATTTGTATTCTCAACTCTGACAAAATGAAAAAAGTACAACTTCAATTTAGAGTATAAAGAAAATCAAAAATTGCTGGAAGGCCCACAAATGATTAAGCTTTTACTCTAAAGAATTTACTAGAAAAATGGAAACATTATATACTGGGAAAGACTTTCCCGCAGAGCTGGGTTAATAGGTTCAGATAAGCCCGTGGCCTAAGTAGGTTCTTCACTACTTAGCTTTTTCCTTCAAGGACTCCTCCAGGTGTGTCTGCTGTGACAGCAGTTTTAAGAGTTTAACAACACAGTGCCTTTTGATCTCATTTCAACTGCTGTGATTAAACAGACACACATCACTTGCTGTGCCACGGTGAAAGAAGCTTGTGGTTCACCTTTGCTGAATTAGTACCCACTGAGCACTGCAAATATTTAAAATGTCAATCCATTTGATAATGTCAGGGAGGCCTGCAAATACCACAAAATGGCATGAAGGAAGCATTCAACACAGACAAAAAACAAAACAAAACAAAACAAAACAAAAAAACACTTAACATCTCTCTCCTTCAAGATAAAATGAGAGTTAAATGGAAATAGTAAACCTCTGATGAAGTTACTAAGGTGGGCAATGTAATAGCTCCAAGTGAGACATGGGCATGTAACTTACTGTTTTGTATGTTCTTGATCTTAAACCCAGTACTATTTTTGGAGAATTAATTTATATTGACATAAGATTATGGAGTTCTTACCACAAAATTCAACTGATGTCATCCTTAGACAATCTGTGGATACCTGCCCCAAGAGCTCAGCTCTAAATGGAAACTTCAAGTCTCAAGTGACATCTTTACTTCATCATCAAATATTTAATTCTAAAACCACAGAGGACATCATTCTGGTGTAGAGTTTGGAAATAAATATCAGGAAAACCACAGACTACCCAGTAACCTCATGATCTTTTCATAAACTCCTGCTACTGAAGTCAAGCTCAAAATGCAACTATCCTTTTGATGTAATTTAGTTTGGTTAGATTATAACTGTTGATACACAATAAATAGGATCTCAAACATTTTTGGTTTCTTCTACTTATATTTGTATTCATTAGAGTAAAAGGCTAAATTGCCCTTCAAAAATACCCAACTTATTTCTCAGTGAGGGAACATTGAGAAGTAAGTATCCAAAGTCATTGGAAGCTCTGCTCCATGGGATAGTTAGGGTCCAGGAGGGCAGGTCTGACATATGCACAGAGGAATTCCAAGACCTTTTGGTTTGCTGTCATTCTTGCCTGTGGAAAAAAGGAAAGAGCCCTAGATTTCCTCTTAAAATGTAGAAGAGGCGAGGTGGCTCATGTCTGTAATCCCAGCACTATGGGAGACCAAGTTGGGAGGATTGCTTGAGCCCAGGAGTTTGAGAACAGTCTGCGCAACATACTGAGAACTCATTTCTTCAAAAAAATTTAAAAAAAATAATGATGTGGGAGGATTGAACCCAGCAGGTTGAGGCTGCAATGAGCCATGATTGCTCTACTACACTCCTACCTGGGTGACAGAACAAGACAAAAAAAAAAAAAGAAGAAGAAGAAAGAGAAAGAAAAAGAAGAGAATAGTGTAGCGAAAGTTGCAAATATCTCTCTCGCATTCTACTGATGTGAGCTTAGTCACATGGCCACAATTGGCCACCAGTTTGAGAGTTATAGTCTAATGTCCAAGAAGAATGCAAGAAAATTAATTTCTCCCCATGGAAAGTTTGCTCATCTATGTGTTGTAGTGTGAGTCCATTCTTGCCATTACCCATGGGAAAGGATGACATTTTGAGTTGAATATGGTAAAAGAGATAAAGAATATATAAGCACAGGAGTCAAGAATATTCAAATATTGATAAACATAAAATTCACATATAAAAAGTTAAAGAAATATTGGTACATTTGTGTCAGCATCCTAAGTCACAAATTTTTCCTATTGAATACAGTTTTGTTGTATTTTCCTTTGCTTTAAGAAAATAAGTGGAGGAGCCAAGATGGCCTAATAGGAACAGCTCCTGTCTACAGCTCCCAGCGTGAGTGACGCAGAAGACGGGTGATTTCTGCATTTCCATCTGAGGTACCGGGTTCACCTCACTAGGGAGTGCCAGACAGTGGGCACAGGTCAGTGGGTGCGTGCACCGTGCGCGAGCCGAAGCAGGGCGAGGCATTGCCTCACTTGGGAAGCGCAAGGGGTCAGGGAGTTCCCTTGCTGAGTCAAAGAAAGGGGCGACAGATGGCACCTGGAAAATCGGGTCACTCCCACCCGAATACTGCGCTTTTCCGACGGGCTTAAAAAACAGCGCACCACGAGATTATATCCCGCACCTGGCTCGGAGGGTCCTACGCCCACGGAGTCTCGCTGATTGCTAGCACAGCAGTCTGAGATCAAACTGCAAGGCAGCAGCGAGGCTGGGGGAGGGGCGCCCGCCATTGCCCAGGCTTGATTAGGTAAACAAAGCAGCCCGGAAGCTAGAACTGGGCGGAGCCCACCACAGCTCAAGGAGGCCTGCCTGCCTCTGTAGGCTCCACCTCTGGGGGCAGGGCACAGACAAACAAAAAGACAGCAGTAACCTCTGCAGACTTAAATGTCCCTGTCTGACAGCTTTGAAGAGAGCAGTGGTTCTCCCAGCATGCAGCTGGAGATCTGAGAACGGGCAGACTGCCTCCTCAACTGGGTCCCTGACCCCTGACCCCCGAGCAGCCTAACTGGGAGGCACCCCCCAGCAGGGGCACACTGACACCTCACACGGCAGGGTATTCCAACAGACCTGCAGCTGAGGGTCCTCTCTGTGAGAAGGAAAACTAACAAACAGAAAGGACATCCACACCAAAAACCCATCTGTACATCACCACCATCAAAGACCAAAAGTACATAAAACCACAAAGATGGGGAAAAAACAGAACAGAAAAACTGGAAACTCTAAAAAGCAGAGCGCCTCTCCTCCTCCAAAGGAACGCAGTTCCTCACCAGCAACAGAACAAAGCTGGATGGAGAATGACTTTGACGAGCTGAGAGAAGAAGGCTTCAGACGATCAAATTACTCTGAGCTATGGGTGGACATTCAAACCAAAGGCAAAGAAGTTGAAAACTTTGAAAAAAATTTAGAAGAATGTATAACTAAAATGACCAATATAGAGAAGTGCTTAAAGGAGCTGATGGAGCTGAAAACCAAGGCTCGAGAACTACGTGAACAATGCAAAAGCCTCAGGAGCCAACGCGATCAACTGGAAGAAAGGGTATCAGCAATGGAAGATGAAATGAATGAAATGAAGCGAGAAGGGAAGTTTAGAGAAAAAAGAATAAAAAGAAATGAGCAAAGCCTCCAAGAAATATGGGACTATGTGAAAAGACCAAATCAACATCTGATTGGTGTACCTGAAAGTGATGGGGAGAATGGAACTGAGTTGGAAAGCACTCTGCAGGATATTATCCAGGAGAATGTCCCCAATCTAGCAAGGCAAGCCAACGTTCAGATTCAGGAAATACAGAGAACGCCACAAAGATACTCCTCGAAAAGAGCAACTCCAAGACACATAATTGTCAGATTCAGCAAAGTTGAAATGATATGAAGGAAAAAATGTTAAGGGCAGCCAGAGAGAAAGGTCGGGTTACCCTCAAAGGGAAGCCCATCAGACTAACAGCAGATCTCTCAGCAGAAACCCTACAAGCCAGAAGAGAGTGGGGGCCAATATTCAACATTCTTAAAGAAAAGAATTTTCAACCCAGAATTGCATATCCAGCCAAACTAAGCTTCATAAGTGAAGGAGAAATAAAATACTTTACAGACAAGCAAATGCTGAGAGATTTTGTCACTACCAGGCCTGCCTTACAAGAGCTCCTGAAGGAAGCACTAAACATGGAAAGGAGCAACCGGTACCAGCCACTGCAAAAACATGCCAAAATGTAAAGACCATTGAGACTAGGAAGAAACTGCATCAACTAACGAGCAAAATAACCAGCTAACATCATAATGACAGGATCACATTCACACATAACAATATTAACTTTAAATGTAAATGGACTAAATGCTCCAATTAAAAGACACAGATGGGCAAACTGGATAAAGAGTCAAGACCCATCAGTGTGCTGTATTCAGGAAACCCATCTCATGTGCAGAGACACACATAGGCTCAAAATAAAAGGATGGAGGAAGATCTACCAAGCAAGCAAATGGAAAACAAAAAAAGGCAGGGGTTGCAATCCTAGTCTCTGATAAAACAGACTTTAAACCAACAAAGATCAAAAGAGACAAAGAAGGCCATTACATAATGGTAAAGGGATCAATTCAACAAGAAGAGCTAACTATCCTAAATATATGCACCCAATACAGGAGCACCAAGATTCATAAAGCAAGTCCTGAGTGACCTACAAAGAGACTTAGACTCCCACACATTAATAATGGGAGACTTTAACACCCCACTGTCAACATTAGACAGATCAACGAGACAGAAAGTCAACAAGGATACCCAGGAATTCAACTCAGCTCTGCACCAAGCAGACCTAATAGACATCTACAGAACTCTCCACCCAAAATCAACAGAATATACATTTTTTTCAGCACCACACCACACCTATTCCAAAATTGACCACATAGTTGGAAGTAAAGCTCTCCTCAGCAAATGTAAAAGAACAGAAATTATAACAAACTATCTATCTCTCAGACCACAGTGCAATCAAACTATAACTCAGGATTAAGAATCTCACTCAAAACCGCTCAACTACATGGAAACTGAACAACCTGCTCCTGAATGACTACTGGGTACATAACAAAATGAAGGCAGAAATAAAGATGTTCTTTGAAACCAACGAGAACAAAGACACAACATACCAGAATCTCTGGGACACATTCAAAGCAGCGTGTAGAGGGAAATTTATAGCACTAAATGCCCACAAGAGGAAGCAGGAAAGATCCAAAATTGACACCCTAACATCACAATTAAAAGAACTAGAAAACCAAGAGCAAACACATTCAAAAGCCAGCAGAAGGCAAGAAATAACTAATATCAGAGCAGAACTGAAGGAATAGAGACACAAAAAACCCTTCAAAAAATTAATGAATCCAGGAGCTGGTTTTTTGAAAGGATCAACAAAATCAATAGACTGCTAGCAAGACTAATAAAGAAAAAAAGAATGAAGAATCAAATAGACGCAATAAAAAATGGTAAAGGGCATATCACCACCAATCTCACAGAAATACAAACTACCAACAGAGAATACTACAAACACCTCTACGCAAATAAACTAGAAAATCTAGAAGAAATGGATAAATTCCTGGACACATACACTCTCCCAAGACTAAACCAGGAAGAAGTTGAATCTCTGAATAGACCAATAACAGGAGCTGAAATTGTGGCAATAATCAATAGCTTACCAGCCAAAAAGAGTCAAGGACCAGATGGATTCACAGCCGAATTCTACCAGAGGTACAAGGAGGAACTGGTATCATTCCTTCTGAAATGATTCCAATCGATAGAAAAAGAGGGAATCCTCCCTAACTCATTTTATGAGGCCAGCATCATTCTGATACCAAAGCCGGGCAGAGACACAACCGAAAAAGAGAATTTCAGACCAATATCCTTGATGAACATTGATGCAAAAATCCTCAATAAAATACTGGCAAACCGAATCCAGCAGCACATCAAAAAGCTTATCCACCATGATCAAGTGGGCTTCATCCCTGGGATGCAAGGCTGGTTCAATGTACGCAAATCAATAAATGTAATCCAGCATATAAACAGAGCCAAAGACAAAAGATGCAGAAAAAGCCTTTGACAAAATTCAACAACCCTTCATGCTAAAAATTCTCAATAAATTAGGTATTGATGGGATGTATTTCAAAACAAGAAGAGCTATCTATGACAAACCCACAGCCAATATCATACTGAATGGGCAAAAACTGGAAGCATTCCCTTTGAAAACTGGCACAAGACAGGGATGCCCTCTCTCACCACTACTATTTAACATAGTGTTGGAAGTTCTGGCCAGGGCAATCAGGCAGGAGAAGGAAATAAAGGGTATTCAATTAGGAAAAGAGGAAGTCAAATTGTCCCTGTTTGCAGATGACATGATTGTATATCTAGAAAACCCCACTGTCTCAGCCCAAAATCTCCTTAAGCTCATAAGCAACTTCAGCAAAGTCTCAGGATACAAAATCAATGTACAAAAATCACAAGCATTCTTACACACCAACAACAGACAGAGAGCCAAATCATGAGTGAACTCCCATTCACAATTGCTTCAAAGAGAATAAAATACCTAGGAATCCACCTTACTAAGGATGTGAAGGACCTCTTCTTCAAGGAGAACTACAAACCACTGCTCAAGGAAATAAAAGAGGATGCAAACAAATGGAAGAACATTCCATGCTCATGGGTAGGAAGAATCAATATCGTGAAAATGGCCATACTGCCCAAGGTAATTTACAGATTCAAAGCCATCCCCATCAAGCTACCAATGACTTTCTTCACAGAATTGGAAAAAACTACTTTAAAGTTCATATGGAACCAAAAAAGAGCCCACATCGCCAAGTCAATCCTAAGCCAAAAGAACAAAGCTGGAGGCATCACACTATCTGACTTCAAATTATACTACAAGGCTACAGTAACCAAAACAGCATGGTACTGGTACCAAAACAGAGATATAGATCAATGGAACAGAACAGAGCCCGCAGAAATAACGCCGCATATCTACAACTATCTGATCTTTGACAAACCTGAGAAAAACAAGCAATGGGGAAAGGATTCCCTATTTAATAAATGGTGCTGGGAAAACTGGCTAGCCATATGTAGAAAGCTGAAACTGGATCCCTTCCTTACACCTTAAACAAAAATCAATTCAAGATGGATTAAAGACTTAAACGTTAGACCTAAAACCATAAAAACCCTAGAAGAAAACCTAGGCATTACCATTCAGGACATAGGCATGGGCAAGGAGTTCATGTCTAAAACACCAAAAGCAATGGCAACAAAAGACAAAATTGACAAATGGGATCTAATTGAACTAAAGAGCTTCTGCACAGCAAAAGAAACTACCATCAGAGTGAACAGGCAACCTACAAAATGGGAGAAAATTTTTGCAACCTACTCATCTGACAAAGGGCTAATATCCAGAATCTACAATGAACTCAAACAAATTTACAAGAAAAAAACAACCCCATCAAAAAGTGGGCGAAGGACATGAATAGACACTTCTCAAAAGAAGACATTTATGCAGCCAAATAACACATGAAAAGATGCTCATCATCACTGGCCATCAGAGAAATGCAAATCAAAACCACAATGAGATACCATCTCACACCAGTTAGAATGGCAATCATTAAAAAGTCAGGAAACAACAGGTGTTGGAGAGGATGTGGAGAAATAGGATCAGCTTTACACTGTTGTTGGGACTGTAAACTAGTTCAACCATTGTGGAAGTCAGTGTGGCGATTCCTCAGGGATCTAGAACTGGAAATACCATTTGACCCAGCCATCCCATTACTGGGTATATACCCAAAGGACTATAAATCATGCTGCTATAAAGACACACGCACACGTATGTTTATTGCGGCATTATTCACAATAGCAAAGACTTGGAACCAACCCAAATGTCCAACAATGATAGACTGGATTAAGAAAATGTGGCACATATACACCATGGAATACTATGCAGCCATAAAAAATGATGAGTTCATGTCCTTTGTAGGGACATGGATGAAATTGGAAATCATCATTCTCAGTAAACTATCACAAGAACAAAAAACCAAACACCGCATGTTCTCACTCATAGGTGGGAATTGAACAATGAGATCACATGGACACAGGAAGGGGAATATCACACTCTGGGGACTGTTGTGGGGTGTGGGGAGAGGGGAGGGATAGCATCGGGAGATATACCTAATGCTAGATGACGAGTTAGTGGGTTCAGCACACCAGCATGGCACATGTATACATATGTAACTAACCTGCACAATGTGCACATGTACCCTAAAACTTAAAGTATAATAAAACAAAACAAAACAAAACAAAAAAATAAATAATCTTATGCTTTTTAAAGATAAAAAAAGGAAAATAAGTAACTTTTATTTTTGTCATTAGATGCCTCCAAGTTTTAAATGTAAGGAAGTTTATAAGATGGAATCAAATTTAATAATTTAAAATAGAGTTAATACTTCTACTGAGCACAGGTTTAAACATTATAGGAAACGATGCTTGAAAGTAAACGTTTGTGAACAGCACTATATTTCCATTATTTGTTTTATTTTATTAATTTATTTATTTTCTGAGTTTTAGGTCCCACCCTTAACAGCAGTTCAGCCTATTTATTTAAATTGATGCATAATAGATATTATGAGAATGCACTCATCTTGGAAAATGAATAGTTTGGAACTGGAATTTTATGCCTGATTGATTGAAAATTTTCAAGCCTAATTTCACTCTGGAACTAATCTTTCTATGAAACACTTTCTATCCTCAACTAGTGTTTGCATGCCTTCAATAATTGTAGATGATTATCGCCTTTCCTTTAAACCACCTCTGACCCATGCTCTTAAAATATAATTTCATTTTGAAAAGAATAATTTAATTTGATAAATATACCACAGATTAAAATGTAGAGATGAAGATGAATGATGTTCAAACCAAGCTATATCAGGGTCTATACAGAATGCTATTTAACATGCAATGATGAGCTAGCTCATCATTATTATTCTTCCCACATGTATCAATCCCTGTAACTCATTAATCATTTTCACCATCTTTCTTGAAAGTTTCCCCACTTTGTCTTCATCACATACCATTTTTTAAATACATTACACCTAAATGATACTTGTTTCAGATATAGCCTGAGCAATATGAAGTAGTGATACTCTATCACTTTTAGAGTTGGTAATTGTTCTTAATTTTAACTTGAATTAATTTTATGTTAATAATTATAATGAAGATAGCATCTCAGTTTCAGAATTTTTATTTTCCATGGTATAATACACACAATTCATTTATGTCATTATGCAGTGAATATTTCTTGAGTGCCAAGTGCTAGGCATTATACTAAGTACTGGAGTTTTCATGATGAGCACAAGGAAATACAAAAGCAGGTCTCATAAAGTTTATAGTTTAGTAGGAAAAACATTAATGGAAGAATCAAATATTTAAATTAGAAACTTCAGATGTGGCACTTTGAAGGGGAGTTGCTAAGTACTTTCCAAACTTACGATAAAGAAAACTGATCTAGTTAGTGAGAAAAGAAAGGCCCTCTCCGAAGATGATTAGCTAAGCTACTATCCAAGGAACTGATGGAAGTAACATAAAAGCAGAGGTTGGGAAAGCTGTAAGAGGTAACAGTCTGTGTCAGAAAGGAACATAAGCTCATTCTGGAAACTAGACATAAGCCAGACTTACCAAAATATGGAAAGGAAAGAAACAAGCTGTGAATTAAAATTAGAGAGGTAGGAAGATGCTTACAAAAAGTCATATCAGATATGTGGCTTTTTATATTACACTTTTAGAATTCTTTTAAGCATGTGGATAATATGACCAGCTTTAAGTTTTGAGAAAACACTGTCAACCCTATAGAGATCCACAATCCTAAATGTGGAAATCCCAAAAGAACAAAATTTCTGAAGTCTAAAATCCCCAAAATCACAATTCTAAAAGATAAAAATCCTGAAAATATAATTACAAAAATAATAATTTTTGCAGACGTATGTTTGCAAGCATAAACACCTAGCTATACTAACAAAAACCACATCAATATAACAGTTATGAGCAGAGAAATTCTGTTCAAAAAGAAATATGTCCAAAAGATAAGTATATAAACACATATCACTATGGTTGATCATTGTGTGCATAGGTTTATGACTATGGTCATCTGAAATACTGTGATAAACAACTTAAGCCTTCTGACAAAATCGATCAAAAACCACAACAGCTCACCATCATATATGCAGTTACCCAAAGAGACAAACCTCTAAGAAATTTTGTCTTTCACAAATGCAGTTGTACAAAAATGGCATCTTTCCATTTACTAAGGAAGTTTCAACATTTTTTACAACATGCACAATGCTTACACACAAAGTCAAGTTGTGATAATCCACTTTCGTAGAGTCACAAAAAAACACATGAAAAGAATTACAACTCTAAAAGTACTGGAAATGATGGAAAGATAAAATATGTAGCATAGTGAATTGTGTAAAATAATGCTGACATTTTAAAATAGTGGGTGAAAACTATAAAAAGAAAAAAGAAAGAAAAAACCCACAAAATTTCCCCAAAAACAGAAAAGAAAATTTGATACACACACAAAAAAAGGGTATTGCCGGGAATCCCCAGAATTAGTCCATATGGGCTGGCCAATTTTCACAATCATTAACTATATTTTGAAGTCTTTCATAGCAATGATAGCTGCTTTTTTTTTTTTTCTTTTAAGCCATGGCTTTCCTTGGAGAATACATTCACATACATTTTCTGTGCAATGTTGCTCTTTTTAAAATTATTCTGTATTTCTATATACACTGACATGAACATTTCCTAATAAACTTTCCAATCTTCTGTGCCATGCTTGTATGTTGCTTTGGGAAATCTGTTCTTCATGCACTTAAACACCAAGCACATATTTGGTGTAAACAATACTGGTGATCAAGCAGTAACACTGGTGCATAGATGTCTTCTTATCCTATTGTGCAAATAATTATTTGCAAGCTAGTCAGTAATTTGCTGACTTTTTTCAGGCAAATGTGACTTTAATTCATTAAAAGCTATTGGAATTTCATCAAAAGGGAAGAATTCTAATTCAGACAAATGCCATATTTTTAAACTGAAGTTTTTGTCATTGTTGCATTGTGTGGCAAATCCAGGCATCTAGATTTTTTGCCAAATGCAAATAAAGGCAACAACAAGGTAATAGTCTAACCTATCATGTTGCAACAAACATGATGTAACTATCCTGCTTACAACTGAAAACGTACTAATCCCTTTCTCAGAATTCAACTTCCAGAATTTTGAAATATAGGATTGTAACTGTTTGTTTGGGATTGTGATTTTTGGGATATTTTACATTAGGAATTTTAAATATTAGGGATTTTGCTCCTTTGGGATTTTGACATTCCAGATTATGATCAGCACTGGGAGATCCAAGGGTGGCCTGAGATGATCTAGAAAGTTAAATTAGGAGACTATTTCTGTGCTTTATACAATAAATTTTTATAATTTAGGCTACAGTTATGGTAGTGGAGAGATAGAGGAGCAGGTTCACTCTAGAGCTTCTTACTTCTTATGAGGTAAAATCAGTAAGACTTTATATAATGCATATGGGTAGAAAGGGACAGAGCAGTATTGAAGTTAGCCCTATGATTTCTGGCTTGTATAACAAAACAGATGTCGCTACTGTTGTCTGCAATGGAATGGTGCTGAGAACCAAGATGTAGGAGAAACGTAAGATTCAGTTTTGAAAAGTTTGATTTGCATTTCTCTTAAGATAGATATACAGTAGAACCCCAAATTAGGTAGTTGGATAAATAAATAGGTCTGATGCTCAGAGGGGAGGTATAAGCTGAAGATAAAAAGTTGTGAGCCCCCTGAAAAAAGGCGAAAATTTAAGCCATACACAGAAGTACACTTATCTAGGTATAACAGATAAAATAAAAAGTGAGAAGATAAAATAAAAATATTAAAGAACTTTTAATATTTAATGCCTTAGTAGAGGAGAATGAGCCTGCAGAAGAGAGAGAGAAAATGCATAGAAAGAAATATACAATAAATGTTATGTTACATCAAATCAGCAAAGGTAATAAAGCATTTAGAGATGGAGACAAAGGGCAAAAATGTCAAATGTTTCCAAAGGTTCATGTAAGATAAATAGTAAAAGATTTCCACTAGACTTAGTGACATTGTATTCACAGGTCAGATTATAATAGAGTGAGAGATGTAAATCAAACTGGAAGGGTTGATGATTTAGTGATAGGTGACAACGTCTCTCTTATAAAAATTTGACTATGAAAAAAATGAGATCAACAAGCAGTTGGAAGGTCTAGTGTATTCATTGTTTTTATTAATGCTTTTGTTTATATCTTTAAAAATGTTTGAATGAGAAATATTTCATTATGTTTAAAGATTATCGGAAAGAAAAAGTGGGTTGAATACGATGAGATAAGGGATAATCAATAGTGAAGAGAGAAGATATGAGGGGTTAGGTTGCAAAACACATGTGGGAAAGAGGCACCTTTATGTTATTATCAGGGAAGGAAAAGATGGTGATAAGATTAATAGAATGGGTTTGCTTTTCAGTAGAGATATTTGGCCTTCTGGTGGTTTCTGCATTCTCTGTGAAACAGAGGCTGCTTTGTCAGAAGTTTGAGGGAGTGGAAAGTTTTAAAAAAATCATTGCAAAAAGCAATATATAATCTAGTGCATGTTACAGAAGAAATTGGAGTGATTGTTAATAACATTTCTTGCTAAGGGTATATCCCTTGATAAATCCTAATTTAATAGAAAATCAATAGAAAGAAAAAATATGTCTCTTTTCAGTATCATTTATACTAAATTCATTCACTTGTATATGACTGTTACTAAGGGTTACAGAAAAAATAGAAAAGGACTCTAAGTTTCTTATCAAATCTGAGATTGAAAACAATTTGACATTTAAAATAAAAAACTTTGCCTTTTGTTAAATGTGTTCCTTTTTATTTGACTAGCATACTATTTCAACTACTTTCAAATGTGTTTGGTACAATAAAATTCTTCTTCAAAAGTGCTTTAACTTAATTCCAAAAATCTGGCTTTTAGAAAGATACTGTAGTTTGTAAATAGTAGGGACTATATTGCATCAGAACGTTTCTAGATCATTTACTTGAATGCTATATCTTCAAAATATTTTGAAGAAATTTTCACATTTGAAAAGAAAAAGGTTTTAAAATATTTGACATAAATATTTTTAAAGAAAATTACACTTTTTCTGTTACAAATAATTCAAATCATTGAAAAATTTGAAGTTAGAATAAAATTCAAAATCTGTTAAATTTTATTGAACATTGTTCATGTTGGTATTATCAGCATAAGCTAAAAATATCACAAACACAATAAATCAGTAGATTAGACAGCTTCTCTGTTATACCCATGTTTTAATAAAAACTCCCACTCTTTTCCCAAAATATGGGTTAGCACTTTCGCAACATTTATTTCACTCTGTTTAATTTTGTTACCATTCAACTTCCCATGAAGCAATTAAGTATCAAAGATTGATAACATCGGTTGTCATAATAGTTTTCAGATTACATACTGACAACAAATCATTGAAATTATGTCCCAATCTCATTCAAAGTGAAATGCTTTACAAAACCCAACAAAATTTGGAGTAGATAAATCAATACAAAGATTTCTGCAAGAGTAAATGAAAGATTTTCATATTTTCAATGATAAATTGTAAAATTACAGGTTTCATGGTGATTCTCAAACTTCTTTGTAAGCCTGACACAATTGAGGGACTCATACAATCTGATCAACGATGACTTATATCTACAGCAATATTTCTTGAAGTGGGGAAGATAAACCGAAAGAAGAAAGTAGAGTCTGGTGATGAACAAGAATGGAAAGGGAATATATAATAAGCAGAAAAAAAATAAGTAAGTTAAAAAAATACTACACATAAGAATAAACTGGCTGGGTACGGTGGCTCATGCCTATAATCCCAGCACTTTGGGAGGCCGAGGCAGGTGGCTCACCTGAGGTCAGGAGTTCGAGACCTGCCTGGTCAACATGGTGAAAACCCATTTCTACTAAAAATACAAAAATTAGCTGGGCATGGTGGTTGGCACCTCTAATCTCAGCTCAGGAAGCTGAGGCAGGAGAATCGTTTGAACCTGGGAGGTGGAGGTGGCAGTGAGCTGAGATTGCACCACTGCACTCCAGCCTGGGCGACAGAGGGAGAATCTGTACCAAAAAAAATAAAAATAAAAATAAATTATCCAGATGGCATAACCCTTCTCCCACCATTGAAAAATCACTAGTTTTCTATATTTGGCTCTGGGGTAGAAATCTGGCCTGGCCCATTTACTGACATGTTTTTCCATCAGTGGACACAGGAGAGAAAGATAAAGAAACAGACACAGATCTTATTCTCTCCAGTTTGATTCTAGTTGTTTGCGGATCAACATTGTAAATCTATGTTTTTAAAATGTATTAACAGCACAAATATTCATCAGTGGATGAATGCATAAACGAATTATGCTGTATACACACAATGGAATATTTTTTACTCTTAACAAAGGTTGACAAATACATGCTACAATGTGTATAAACCTTAAAAAGGTTATTCTAAGTAAAAGAAGCCAGACACAAAATTCACATATTGTATGATTACATTTATATAAAATATGTGGAATAGATAATTCCATACAGATAGATAGAACACAGATTGGGGGTTGCCGGGGGTAGGGAAGGAGTGCATGGGAGAGAATCCTTAATGGATAAGCAGTTTTACTTTGAAGCGACAGAAATATTTTGGACCTAGATAGTTTTGTGTGTGGTGGTTGCACAACTACATGTTGTGATTATTAAGTGTCACTGAGTTCATTTTAAAATAGTTCATTTTATAGTATATTAATTTCACCTCAATGCATTATTTTTTAAAAATTTAACCATATTACAAATGAAAATGCTACTAAATTTAATAAGTACTGGTAGAATTTGAAGTCAATATTTATTACATAATAATACTAGCTCCCATTTATTATCTGTTATTTTACTTAGTTCTCCCTACAATCCTGTGAGGTATATGCTATATCTCATATTGAGAAACCAAAATAGATTAAGTTTGAGTTACTTGCTCAAAATAATGTAGCTTGTGAATGGCAAAGCTGAGCTTTACTTTTCTGACTTTAAAACCTATATTCTGAAAGATAAAACTGCCATTGACTCAGCAATCCCATTTCTGAGTATTTACCAAAAAAAAAAAAAATTGTTCTACCCAAAAGTTACATGCACCCACATGGTCATAGCAGCACTACTTAGATAAGCAAAGACATGAAAATCACCTAGGTGCCCATTGAAAATGGATTGGATAAAGAAATGTGGTACATATATACCATGGAATGCTACACGTTCATTAAAAAGAACAAAATCACGTCCTTTGCAGCAGCATGGATGCAACTAGAGGCCAATATCCTAAGCAAATTAATGCAGAAAAAAAAAAAATAAATATCGCATGTTCTCACTTATAAGTGAGAGCTACACTTTTGCTACATATGGACATAAAGAAGGGAAGAGTGGACACTGAGAACTCCAAAAGGAGGAAGGGAGAGAGGGGCACAAGAGCTGAAAAGCTTCCTATTGAGCACTATGTTCACTATCTTAATGACTGCACCAACAGAAGCCCAAACCTTAGCATTAAGCAATAAATCCTTGTAAAAAATCTGCACATGTAACTGCTGGATCTAAAATTAAAATGTAAATTTAAAAAGTGAATTCAACAGAAAGATTTTGTAATAATGAAAAAAATCTATGTTTTTAAAATTTTACTTCTCTACCCTTTATTGTACATGCTCGAATTCTCAAGTACATACCTTTTCAATAGAACTCTACTATATCACAGCCAAAGATGTGAACTACATGGTCTTTAGCTCCATTAAAAGAAACCTTTTAATGGTTTACCTTTTAATGGTAAGCAGTCAGAGAAGTCAGGGAAGTATATCCGGAGACAGATGAGAAGACAAGGAGGAAATAAATCTATCTAGAAGGAATATTTTTATTCTAAACCTTAATATGTAAACATGTTGGAAATTTGTGAAAGGCTAAAAGCAATGAAACAATGTATTCTTTAAAATAACAAATTGAGAAAATAGCTAATAGGATAATCACATGGAAACAACCAAGCAATTAATGTTCCTCATGAATCATAGACATGAAGGCATAAACATAGGTATTAGTGTTTTATCCTGAAGGTGAGGGATTAGCTGGTATAGGAAGGAAACCCTGAGAACAAAGATGCAAAGTGAGCACATAAAAAAGATATAAGTGGAATATGGTGGAATACCCTTTTGTTGAGTAGCTATAAAATACGATAAGGCAGAAATCTAATTACAGTGCCTTTCCAGAACTATAACTGATGAGGGACATAAGAGCAAAAAATTAGCAATAGTGAAATCATCAATACATTTCTTTTTTTTTCTCTCTCTCTGTCAAACATTTATACACACACACACACACACACACATTTATATGCCCACATGTATGCACACGTGTGTGTGTGAAACACTGGACTAATGTAATCTGTTCATTCATATTTTTCCCTTCTCCCATTATTTTTGGTAACATTTATCATACTTTTTCTAAGAGAAAGTATAAGAGCCAATTAACCCTAGTTGCTTTCAAATTCATCTATTTAATAACTAAGACAAAAATGTACATTCTAAAGATTTATGAAAACAGCACCAAAATTCTAAAATAAACCAAAGAAACTCATTTTTACCTTATCTTTTCAATAGTTACACTTCTGTCTTACTATATTGATACTGTTGCTATATTTCTTTTTATTTGTAACCACCTATATGTTTGCCCAATGCTTTTGAATAAGCCATGGCGCTCAGAAAAACATATTTCTAGCATTTTATAACTCTGTATTATTATAGTTTGTGTCTCCTGCCATATGATTTTCTGTCAATCATTATGGCTATCTTTGTTTCTATTACATTATTGCATTTATATGCACAGAATGTTAAAAATTTTTGATATATTTTCTATACCACTTCTCAGATAATTGAATTTCTCTCATTGCATCATCTTCAAATAGGAGAAGAGCAGAAAATGGTTCAGAAAAAAAAGATTCCAGATTTGCAAAATGACAACATATGCCTCATTTGGATATTCTAATTCCTTATTTTTTCAATTTTCTGTGTATATCTATATGATAAGACCAAAGCATTTAATTTGTGCTGAGATTTAATCTTGCTCAGCATGTTTATTTTGCTTTCCCAGGCTCAAGGTTTCAGTCAGTGGTGAGCTTACCATGGACCCTGAATATGTTCTAAAAACATTTCACAGTTATTCTGATGTCATTTTATCAGTTGGTAGTTTCTCACATGAAAGAGATAAAGGGAGAGCGCTGATAATGAAGATATTTAATATCATGGAGCTTCATTTTGGGTTGTTCTAATTTTTCCTTGGAATATGTTACTAGGTGTTTTAAATTATGTTCTTACTTCTTGTCACTTAGCTCTGTTCTCTCCCCACATCCCGTGGAGAAACCACTGTACTGCTGATTAACAGCCATGTTATTCAGGGATTCCTGAGTGTATAACTTGACTTATTGATTTCCCTGAACATTCCCCTCGAAGTTTTCAAGTACCTCCAAACATTGTGTTATGGTTAGAAATTACTTTTAAAATGGAGTGTGATTATATTTCTCTCAAGTTAATTGATCTACTACCCCACAGACATGCAGAATAAACTTAATGCAGACCGATTTATGTGACTTGACATAGTAAATATTAGAAAATATTAGGGAAACTATATGCTACCCTGACTCCAAAAGTATGCCTGGCATTGTATTTGAAAGTGAAATTTTAAAAAGTATACTTCAAGCAAAATTTTTAAAAAAGGAAAAATGTTTGAGGAAAAAGTCATAATAATATTTCTTTTTAACTTTTCAAACAGAAACTTATTTTCTTTAGGGTGTTTTAAATTTGATTTTTACTGCTTTATTTGGTTTATATACAAGCTTATCACAAAAAAGACCTTTACACTCTGCTTATTTTTTACTTCAAACCCATGGCATTGAATGACTTACTTTGCAAGCACCTCTAGAGATTTGATGCAATAGTATATGATTGTAGTATATGATATGGTAGTATATGATATAGTAGTAATTGATAACATTATCAATTCAAGTAATAGATCCTATTAGAAAGTAATTTATCAAAAAGCTCATGTATTTGTGTTGAAAATTTTGTAATCATATGTTTATGATTTTAATGTCAAAGAAATGTCAATAAAAAAAGCTATTATTCAGATACTGTACATTACTTGGTAATTATATCTGGCCATAATTTTTTTCTTTTTTTTAACTTTTAAGTTCAGGGGTACATGTGCAGGTTCATTAGACAGGTAAACTTGTGTCATAGGGCTTTGTTGTACAGATTATTTCATCATCCAGGTATTAAGCCTAGTACCCATTAGTTATTTTTCCTGATTCTTTCCCTCCTCCTACCCTACATTCTCTGAAAGGCCCCAGTGTATGTTGTTCCCCTCTATGTGTCCATGTGTTCTCATCATTTAGCTCCCATTTATAAATGAAGACATGTGGAATTGGTTTTCTGTTCTTGTGTTAGTTTGCTAAGGATAATGGTCTACAGCTCCATCCATGTCTCTGCAAAGGACATGATGTCATTCTTTCCTATGGCTGCATAGTATTCCATGGTATACATGTACCACATTTTCTTTATCCAGGTTATCATTGATGGGCATTTACAATGATTCCATGTCTTTTCTAGACAACTGAATTTTTTTTAATAAATGAAATAAAGGAGAAATCACCTGGATATCAGTAAAGAAAACAAAATGGGTAAATTCTGTAATTACATTGCTCTACTGCACAGTCTCATTTGCTCATGCACTATCAGACACACTGAGTACTGAATTCCATCATCCTGAATTTTAATCTTGATGCTGCTACCAGAATACTATGTGAGCTCAAATAAATCATTTAATTTTTATGTAAAATTGGGATAATTTTTAACTTGCAGGATTGTTGTGGGAATGAAATCAGATTGTGTTTCTAAAGTGCTTAGCAAGTTCCCAGAGCCATATAAAGAAAGCTATAATTAATAGTTATCATCTTTGACTAATTTTCTCTTCCCCGCATAAAAACATCTACTAATGCCCTACCTAGCTCCTCTCCCATAGGTTACTCTTACTAATTCGTAAAAACCCATATTCAACCCAATGAAAATTATCCTGTTTGAGACATACTGTATTAGTCTGTTTTCACACTGCTATAAAGATACTACCTGAGACTAGATAATTTACAAACAAAAGAGGTTTATTTGACTCACAGTTCTGCATGGCTGGAGAGGCCTCAGGAAACTTACAATAATGGCAGAAAGTGAAGAGGAAGCAAGACACGTTTTACATGGCAGAGAGAGAGAGACAGAGAGAAAGAGAGAGAGAGAGAGAGAGAGAAGGGGGAAGTGCCAAACACTTATTAAACAATCAGATCTTATGCTAACTCACTCACTATCATGAGAACAGCATGGAAGAAGCCACCCCCATGATGCAATCACCTCCCACTGAGTCCCTCCCTTGACATGCAGGGATTAAAATTTGAGATGAGGGCCAGGCGTGGTGGCTCATGTCTGTAATCCCAGCACTTTGGGAGGCTGAGGTAGGTGGACCACCTGAGGTCAGGAATACAAAACCAGCCTGGCCAACATAGCAAAACCCCATCTCTACTAAAAATACAAAAATTAGCCAGGCGTGGTGGCATGAGCCTGTAATCCCAGCTACTCAGGAGGCTGAGAGAGGATAATCGCTTGAACCTGCAGGCAGAGGTTGCAGCAAGCCAAGTTCGTGCCACTGCACTCCAGCCTGGGCGACAGAGCAGAACTCTTTCTCAAAAACATAAAAAAATAAATAAATAAATAAAAATAAAAAATAATAAAATAAAATTTGAGGTGAGATTTGGTTGGGAGCACAGAGCCAAATAATATCACCTATCTACCTTAATACTGACCTATATCACCTATATTGAGTCACAGTAATTAATAATCACATCACACACACACATACCTCTACATAAATCTAATGTATTCCTTTAAATGATATGTATAAATAATAGTTTATTCAAAAATTTCCATTTACCTGATAATTACTCACCAGCTATAATGTGACCATGGATTAAATTGGAAAAGTTTTTTGTTTGTTTTTTGTTTTTTTTTTTTTTTTTTTTTTTTTTTTTTGAGACGGAGTCTTGCTCTGTCACCCAGGCTGAAGTGCAGTGGCGCAATCTTGATGCAACCTCCACCTCCTCGGTTCAAGCTATTTTCCTACCTCAGCCTCCTGAGTAGTAGCTGGGACTACAGATGTGCACCACCATGCACGGCTAAATTTTGTATTTTTAGTAGAGACGGGGTTTCACCATGTTAGCCAGGCTGGTCTCAAACTCCTGACCTCAGGCAATCTGCCCACCTCAGCCTCCCAAAGTGCTGAGATTACAGGCGTGAGCCACTGTGCTTGGCCTAAATTGGACAAGTTTTTAAAGGTCTAATATTTTGAATATTTTTTCCATATGCTGGAGGCATAGTGATTTCACTTGTGAAGTAGCTTGTGGAATCATTAGCACTTTTCTGCATTGGTGAAAGCATGCTTGATTTCTTCCATGCAAAGAGAATTACAGTTGGAAAGTCACCTATTATGTACGAGTATGCCTTGACACTGCAGCCTTTTTTCCTTATTTTGCCCATGAGCCTATTGATCTGAACATTTTGATTGTAATCTGTGATTAAAATAGTGACATTATCAATAAGCATGAAACCAAACTTAAAAAAGCAAAGAAATTAATGGTAAAAGTCATCAAGGCAAATAAATGACTAAAGGATTATATCTTGTGCTAATATGAAAATTATAAAAAGTGACAAGCTTATTTTAATAGAAATAATATTTTCTTTTTGGAAATTGAATGAGAGGCTAACTACAGCACCAACAGTAGAAAAGAGTTGAGTACAGAAAAATGCTTGTATCCCCATGGCCTAATGTATGGTGATTATACAACTATATTGGCTTCCCCAATATAGTTCTTGTTTATTTTTTCAGCTCAATTACTAATACATAGAACTCATTTTAACTGTTAAAATGGTATCAATTTGAGTTAAATTCTTTGTTTGTATTACCAAAACAAAGGGCTCTTTAGTTCATTAAAAATATTGTCCTACCAGGTCATAGTTAATACACATGAATGAGAGTGAGAGAGAGAGAGAGAGAGAGAGAGAGAGAGAGAGAGATTTTATTCTAATAACATTATACTTGGCTTTCATATAGTGCACTTTTAAAAACTTATATTTCTTGCTAATTTTAATACATAAAAGATCAAACGCGTTCATTTATCAGCCTGGTCAACATGGCAAATCCCATCTCTACTAATAATACCAAAAAAAAAAAAAAAAATTAGCTGGGCGTAGTGGCATGCACCTGTACTCCTAGCTACTCAGGAGGCTGAGGCAAGAGAATTGCTTGAACCCAGGAAGCAGAGGTTGCAGTGAGCAGTAATCGCATCACTGCATTCTAGCCTGAGTGACAGAGTGAGACCCCGTCAAAAAAAATAAAAATAAATAAAAAATAAAAGAAGAAAGAAAGGAAGAAGAAAGGAAGGAAGGAAGGACGGAAGGGTAGTAGATATATTTAAAGAAATAATGGCTGAGAATATTCCAAAATTAATGGCGGAGATCAAACCACAGATTCAAGAATTTCTGAGAACACCAACCAGGATATGTATGATAAAAATCTATACCTAGAAAAATTAATTTAAAACTGTCAAAAACCAAAAGAAAAGAGAAGATCTTGAACCAAAAGAAAAAGTTGGGAGTGGAGGGAGAAACCTTACTTATAGAGAAACAAGGATAAAAACTATAACAAATTTCAGAAACCAAAATGTAATAAAAGTATTAAGTATTAAAATACCCACTTGCCTAGACTTCTATATCCAGTAAAATTATCCCTCAAAAGTGAAGAAATAAATTAAAATTTTTTTAGACAAAAGCTGGGGAAATTCATCATCAGAAAATCTTTCCTTTGAGAAATGCCAAAAACCGATTCTTTAGAGAGAAATGATATATGTCAGAAACTTGGAACTACATAAAGAAAGAAAGAGGGTTTGAGAAGGAATAAATGAAAACAAACTAAAATATTTTATTTTTTATTCTTAATTGAAAACTGTTCAAAATAATAATAGTAACAATGCATTGTATAATTATATGGATAACTAAAATAAATGATATCAATGTTATAATAGATGAGGTGGAAGAAATAGGAATACTGTATCATAAGATATTGTAGTATCTGGAAAGCAGTGTAATGTTTTCTGTAAGTGTAATTAGATTAGTTGTAGATGCATATTGTAAACTCTAGGATAATTTTTTTAAGGAAGCATAATTGATATGCTAATAGAGGAGATAAAATGAAATTATATAAAATTCTCTATTAAAACCAGAAAAGGCAGAAAAAGACAAAAAATGCATTAAATTAAAAACTGTTACATGCATGGTAGGTATTAATTGAACTATGTCAATAACCACTTTTAATGTAAATGGAAAAAATAAAATAATTAAAATACAGAGATTGTCAAAAAGATTTAAAAATTTTAAGACCAAATTATGGCACCTCCAAAAACCTATTTTAAATATAAAGATGTGTCTTTATATTATGATAATTAATGGTAAAAGTCACCAAGGCAAATAAATGACTAAAGGATTATATCTTGTGCTAATATGAAAATTATAAAAAGTGACAAGCTTATTTTAATAGAAATAATATTTTCTTTTTGGAAATTGAATGAGAGGCTAACTATAGCACCAACAGTAGAAAAGAGTTGAGTACAGAAAAATGCTTGTATCCCCATGGCCTAATGTATGGTGATTATACAGCTTGGCTTCCCCAATATAGTTCTTGTTTAAATATAAAGATATATCTTTATATTTAAAATAGGTTTTTGGAGGTACCATAATACCATAACACAGATAGATTAAAAAGAAAATGATGGTCATGGAAAAAGCTATAACATAATAACACAAGACCCAAATATAAGCTACCTATAAAAGCCTGACTTCACCTATAAAGGCATGCATAGACTGAAAGTGAAAGGATGAACAGAAACATTCCACACAAGTAGAAACCAAAAACATGCAGGAGGGCTACACTTATATTAAGCAAAACAGACTTCATGGCAAAAATCATAAAAAGAGACAACGAATGTCCTTATATAATGATAAAAGATAATCAAGAGAATATAATTGTAAATATATATGTACCCAACATGGGAGCATCCATATATGTAAAGCAAACATTATCAGAGTTATAGAGTGCATTAAACTCCAATACAATAATATCTGGTTACTTCAGGGCCACACTTTCAGCATTAGACATGTCATCTAGATGGAAAAAATCAACAAAGGAACATCACACTTAATCTGCACTATAGGCTGAATGGACTTAGACATTTACAGAACATTTCACACCACAGCTGTGAATACACAACCTTCTCATTAGCACACAAACATTCTGTAGCATAGACCAGACATCAGAACACAAAACAACGCTCAACAAACTCAAAAGAATTGAAATTACATCAAGTATTTTCTAAAATGGCAGTGGAAGAAAACTAGAAGACAATCACAACAGGAACTTTGGAAACTTTGTAAATATATGGAAATCAAACAACATGTTTTCTTTCAATGAAGAAATTAAGAAATAAATAAAAATATTTCTTGAAACAAATGAAAATAAAAACACAACATACCAAAACGTATGAGATATAGCAAAAGTAGTTCTAAGAGGGCAGGTTACAGCAATACATGACTTCATCAAAAAAATAGAGAGACTCAAATAAATAATCTCATCATGGACCTTAAGAAACTAGAAAAGTAGGAACAAACCAAACCCTGAACAAGCAGAAGAAAATAAGTAATAAAAATGAAAGCAGACCTAATGAAAATACAGACAAAAAAAACCCACAAAGGATCAGTGAAATGAAAAGTTTATTTTTTTGAAAAGATAAAGAATATTGACAAACTTCCAGCTAAATTAACCAAGAAAAAAAAGAGAGGGCCCAAATAAATAAAATTAGAAATGAAGAAGAAGACATTACAAATCTGTTTTACATTCTGTGGAAACACAGAAATACAAACGATCATTAGAGATTGTTATGAACTATACTCTAACAAATTGGGAAACCTAGAAGACATAAATAAATTTCTAGATACATATTATTCATTAAGATTGAGCCATGAAGAAATAGAAAACCTGAAAAGATCAAAAATGAGTAATACAATTGAATCAATAACAAAGAAAAGCCCAAGACTTGTTCCACTGCTGAATTCTACCAACCTTCTAAAGAAAAACGAACACCAATTCTTCTTAAACTATTCCCAAAAAATTAAAGAGAAGGGAATTTTTTTCAACTCATTCTAAGAGGCCAGTATTACCCTGATATTAAAACCAGACAAGGACACAAGAACAACAACAACAAAGAAAAAAAAAAAAACCTTATAGGCCAATATCCCTGAAGAACATAAATGCAAAAATCCTCAACAAAATATAAGCAAACAAAATCCAACAACAAATCAAAAAAACAACACACCATGAACAGGTTGGATTCATCTCAGGGATGCAACGATTGTTCAGCATATACAAATAAATAAATGTTATACATTACATGAACAGAATAAATAACAAAAACTTTATGATCATCTCAATAGATGCAGAAAAATATTTGATAAAGTTCAATAGCCCTTTCTAAAGAAAATTCAACAAATTAGGCATAGAAGGAACATATCTCAAAATAGCAAAAGCTATATATTGCAAACTCACAGATAACATTGTAATGAATGGGGGAAAAGCTTTTCCTCTAAGAACTGGAATAAGACAAGAATGCTCACTATCACCATTCATTTTCAGCACAGTATTAAACGTCCTAGCCAGAGAAATTTTGAAAGAGAAAGAAATAAAAGTCATCCAAATTGGAAAAGAGGAAGTAAAATTGTCCTTCTTTGCAGACAGCATGAACTTATATATAGATAAGACTACAGACTCCTCCACAAAAATACCTCTTAGAAGTGCTAAACAAATTCAGTAAAGTTGCAGGATACAACATAAACATACAAAAATCAGTAGCATTTTATGCACCAATAATAAACTAGTTGAAAAAGAAATAAAAAGAAAAAAGAGTAAAAGAAAAGCAATACCATTTACAATAGCTATGAAAAATACCAAGGAATAATTTTAACCAGAAAGTGAAAGAACTCTATAATAAAAACTACAAACACTAATGAAATAAGTTAAAGAGAACACGGACACATTTTCATGGACTACTGGAAGAATTAATTAAAGTAGTTAAAATGACCATACTACCCAAAGCAATCTACAGATTCAAGGCAATTCCTATCAAAATACCAATGACATTCTTCACATGAATCGAAAATAAATCCTAAAATTTGTACGGAACCACAGAATAATTTGAATAGCCAAAGCAATACTGAGCAAAAAGAACGAAGCTAGAGGAATCACACTATCTAACTTCAAATATACAAAAATCTATAGTAACCAAAACAGCATGACAGTGGTATAAAAACAGACACATAGTCCAAGGAATAGAATAGAAAACAGAAACAAATCCATGTATTACAACCAACTTATTTTTGACAAAGGTATGAAGAACATGCTCTTCAATAAATGAAGCTAGTGTAAGAATTAAAGAAAGAGGAAAGAAACATGAAAAGTGGCTTGGCAGTCAAGGACAGGTTTATTTTAGAGAAAACAAACCTAAAAGGGGCTTCTGGCTGAGTTAAGTCAGAGGTACACTCTCGTACAGAATAAGAGATTTTAAGGATTCAGGGTGGGAGAGTTTATCAGAGGCTTGGACTGCTTCTGTGTCTCTTTGTTGTGCTTAACTGGGAGGGAGAGTTGTGTGTCTGTTTCCATACAACTTTCTGCAGCTGCAGGCATACTCCCCAAGTCTGCATTTAGCCTCCCTACCTTAGTGCACCTGAAGGGAAAGGAATGTGCTTATTAAGGCCCACCGTATTACTAGGGCCCATTGTATGAAATTATGTATGAAACTAGGGCCCACCGTATTACTAGGGCCCATGAGGGTGAAATTTGGCAGTTACCCAAGACTTTTCCCCTACCTCCCTCTGTGCCCGAGCTGTCTTATCTGTGTTTTACTATGTGTGCTTTCTGGCTGCTTGTAGTTAGAAGTGATTTCCTTGAAATGCATGAGGCTAGAAAGGGAACTGGAACTTTGAGTGGTGGTGTTTGTCCAAGATGATGGTGTGCCTGCTCTGTCACCTAGTATATTCACATGCAGAAAAATAAAATGTAACTCCTATCTCTCACCATATACAAAAATAAACTCAAAATAGATTAAGGACTTAAACATAAGTCTTGAAACGTTAAAACTACTAGAAGAAAACATAGAAGTAATGTTCAAGACATTGGTTTAGGAAAAAATTTTATGACTTAAGACTTTAAAAACACGGGCAAAAAAAAAAAAACAGACAATGAGGGTATATTAAACTGAAAAGCTTCTGCACAGCACAATAAATAATCAGCAGTCTACAGCCATACCACCCTGAACCTGCCTGATCTCATCTGATCTCAGAAGAAATGATCAACAGAGTTAAGAGACAAAAAGTAGAAAGAGAAAATGTTTATCTGACAAAGGACCCATATCCAGAATATGAAAAGAATTCAACAGCATAAAAAGCAAATAATCCAATTAAAAAGTGGGTAAAGGAACTAAATAGACATTTCTCAAAAAGAAGACATACACATGGCCAAAAAACATTAAAAAAATGCTCAACATCACTAATCAGAGAAATAAAAATCGAAATGACAATGAGATATCACCTCATGTCAATTAGAGTGGCTATTGTCAAAAAGACAAAAAAAAAACAACAACAAATGCTGGCAAGGATGTAGAGAAAAGAAAATTCTTATACACTGCTGGTGGGAATGTAATTTAGTACAGCCATTATTAAAAACAGTATTAAGGTTTTTTGAAAAAGTAAAAACAGAACTATCATATCATCCAGTAATCCTGCTACTGGGTATTTATCCAAAGGAAAGGAAATCAGTATATCAAAGAGATAACTGCACCCTCATGTTTATTGCAACTCTATTCATAATAGCTAAGATATGGAATCAACCTAAATGTCCATAAACAGATGAATACATGAAGAAAATGTGTTACAGACACAATATAATACAATTCAGCCATAAAAAAGAAGAGGGTTATATACATCATTAATTAACTTAAAAATAGTCATTATGATTAGATTATAGTGGATGAGGAAGTCATGGTTAGAGGTGTGTGCAAGGTGATAAAGAAAGACCACATCATACAAAGCCTTCTAGGTTAAAATTAAGCATAATAAATTGTGTTAATATATTGAGCACTAATGAATCAGCCTTATTTTCTTGATATAAACCTTTCTTTGCTATGGTGAATTATTCAGTTAGTGCTCTCCTGGATTCTATTTACTAATGTTTATTTATATATTTTGATCCACATTAATGTGATATTGAGCTATAGGACAAAAAAATCTATTTTTCTGCTTCCCTTATCAGTTATTGATGTTAAAGTACTCAGCTTCTTAAAATGAATTAGTGATAATTCTATTATTTTTGTGGTTGCACAAGTTAAAAATGTTTTTTCCAAAGATAGCCCTCAACTAAAAATGTATTAGGATTTGCCAATAGACCTGTGCCTTTTTAAATATGTAGAATGATATTTACTTTTATAACCTTTTTCTTCTTAATTTGCCTGCTCAGTTATTTTATATTTTTTTCTAGCGTGATTAATTTTGTTTTGGAAATGATTCAATAAGCATAGACTTAAATTTTTTGAAAAAAATGTAGCATTGTACCTGATAATCTTTTATATCAGTTTTAATCTCTCCTATGACTATGAATACATTTACTTGTTAATTCTTAATAAACTGTCTCTCTCTTTTATTTTTTAGATTAAAAAATTATGGAAAGACTGAAAAACGTAATTCTAGGAATAAATTACAGGAAGACTGAGAGTAGTCCTTTGAAAGTGCAGGCATTGCATTTTAAATACTTTTTACTGTATTTTGTTTTTAATTAATTCATTTTAGGTTTGGGTTTAATTTATTCTTAATAAATTTTACTCTAAATTAATTTTCTAATTTATTAGTATGAGAAGTTATTTTTTTTCTTTCTTTTTAAATATAAGCACATTTAAATTATATAATTTGCTTTGAGTACAGTTTTAATTGCATCCCCAAATTTTTCTATGGAGTATTCTTTATTTCACTGCATTCATGATGATCTGTCATTTTGTTTTTAAAAGCCTCAGTTATACAGGGTGCTTTGCCAGTACCTTTCTTAACATCAAAAGAGCTTTTGTTTGATGTCATTTTATGCTTAAAGCATTTCATACTTGTAAATATTAAAATATTTAATTTTTGAACTTTATAAAGGAGTTCCTGCCTGTGCTGATTTCTCCTTGTGGGTGCTAGGGCCTCTACTAAATTGGACTTTTTGTATTTGTGATGCATTTAATAAAAACCCTATGATCATTTTTTAAATAAATAATAAAATTATAGTTTAGTATATGTTAGTTCAGGTAAGAATTTAGTATCTAATAAAACAATGTGCTCCTGAATGTAAATATGCAAACAAAAGGATGAAACTAGTATGACAATTAGGAATAGAATAAATAATCTAATAAATGTAGTAAAATGGAAACCATTTCTTAAATGTCTATCTGATTACCATAATGTCCTAATTTTCTTCTAGAAGTTTACAATTTTATGTTTTTAAGAACAATAGCTAATGTCTAAGGTCTATTGAAGTAGAAATGTATTTAGAGTAGGAACTGCAAGGAAATGATTAAATAGTTATCAATATTAAGTTCTACTTTAACTGTCATTTTTGGAAAATTGGCCAAAAAATCAGACATTTAATATCCATAATGAATAAAATTACTTAATTCTTTTATTGCAATTCTTACTTATTACCAAAGAACCCCAAACATAAAACCTTGCCTCAGTTGCTAAATAAAACATAAAACCAAACATACTTATTATGTTTGGTAAAATTATTACCAAAGAACCCCAAACATAAAACCTTGCCTCAGTTGCTAAATAGTAACACAAATTTTAGGAAAATCAAGCAATAATAAAGTGAGCTGGCCAGATAATTAATATATAAATAAGCAGAATAAATCTGCACAAATAATAACTATATTATCAGTATAGATAATAAATGCTTATTCACATATGCCAGATGATAGACATGCTAAATCATTTAATTCTAAAATAACCTTGCACGGTAATGATAAATACTTGTGTTTAGCAAGGAGAAAAATGAAGTGCAGAGAAATATTTTGCTGAGGTTAATTTTTTTTCACCAAGCCAGGCTGTTCCCAATGATGCCTCTTAAAATAAAAACAGCAATGCCAAGATAAAACTCCACAGAGAGGACAATTTATAACTTTTGTAATTGATGATAACTCAAGGAAGTAAAAGAGGCTTATTTTAATGATTGCAAGTTATTTCATGAAACCCAATGGCAAGAGTAATAATATCAGCTAACATTTATCAAGTATTTATTATGTGCCAGGGTCTGCTATAAATACATTAGCTTGTTTAATCTTCTTACCAACCTTATAGTATTATTATGAGGGCTTAATGTACTATAACTCTTATAATAACATACATTATTATGGCATTATATACTATTATTATCTCCTTTTTATAGAGGAGGAATTCAAGGTACAAAAAGGTAAGTTTTTTGCCTATGTTCACAGGGCAGGATGAGAAGGCCTACAGTCTGGTACCAGAATCTTACTGTGTTTTGAAGAGTGGAATTAAACAGTGGAACCGAAAAATCTACCAGAATGTTCTTTCTCAGCTCTTCTCTTTTGAGTGTTACTGAATGCTTCTAAGTTTAGGTGATATTGGCCTATTGTAAGCAGCCCCTCGCAACCACTTCCGAATCTTGCAGGTCTAATGATTTTCAATTGATGATCTATTTGAGTCAGCCGTCCAAGCTTGGTCTAAGACAGATGAGATCCCATATTACAAATTTGGTTACTGGGATCTTTCTACTGTAGATAAAGGGAAGAGAAAAATTCCTCCCAAAGAAAGTCACTCTGAATAGACAAAACAAAAACTAGCACTGTGGTAAAAGTAAGAATCAAGGTAAACAAAAAAGTACCATTAGCCATAACACAGTATGATCATTATTTGATCTGATACAAGTTTCTCTTTTGAACAGCCTATTCCTTCAAATTATGAACTGTGTCTTATTCAACTTTGTTTTTCCATGTTGTGGGCATTGTCTGATGTAACAGGCTGACTTCGAATGTTTTAGACGTGAACTGAATGACATACTAATTTACATTTTCCCCAAGATGTGTACAGTTCATTAAATATTCTCCCAAGGAGGTGTATTTATTAGAAAAAAATACTGCAGATTCTACATAAGTTTTAAAAATGCATTTCTATAAGTGAATTAGCTGTATATTATCTTAATCACATTAATAAGAAGTGGGAATAAAGAAATAATAGGAAGTAATATATTCACAAAAAAGTAAACATTAAGGGAGCCAGAAACTCTGAACTGATACGGTGCAAACCTCATCCTATGCACCCATGACCCCTGGAGCACAATGAAGAATTTCATAATTTCCCTTGGGTCAGCAGGAGCCCACAGTGCTATAAAGGGACCAATAGCAAGCCAATCTTTAATAGGACTCAGAAGGAAACAGAAATTGTTTGGCTTAATTTAGATAAATAGCAGAGGTTCACCCAAGAACTTTCATGTTGTAATTAAAAACATTTATTATGTTAAACTAAACACAGAAACATTATGGAATAGAAGCAAAAAAATACATAATTCTGAGGAAAAAAACAGGAATTTTTGAGGAAATTATGTCTAGAGAGGGCTGCATCCTTCATTTTTTCCAGGTGTGTTAGTTCACTTCTTCCTGCCAAAATGTGGTTCATCACCTTATTTTGTATCATATGCAGTTTCTTGGAATTAATAAAGGCTGTTTCTAAATTATTATATAATACATTAATATAAGAACAAAATCACATTTTTACATTCAATTTCAGAGGGTTCAGCCTCATCCATATATTCTCCAGAGGTCATGGTGCTCCAAAATAAGAGGGCTTGCTGGATTAGAGTATATCAATTTCTAGAAAACTCTGAGAAGTCCTGTTCAAAGGCATTGGCCAAGGGTAAGAAGGAAAATGTGGTTAAGCCATTATTAATAATTAGCATTTTGTTGCAGTTATCATAACTCTTCTCTATTTGATAGCTGGATAAATCATATACACAGAGTGGGAAGTTTGACTGGATACACAGATCTTAGAATTATCTGAGATTGGCAAAATACTAGAGAAATCAGAGGGAATTTAAGGATATAGTCAAGGACAAAGGCTTTGCCATGGTTAGCAATTTTTACCAATTTTTGTTCATCTTAATTCTGAATAGAATTATTTTAGATGTATAGCAGTAGTGCATTCTCTAAACAATAGAGAAAATTCCACTGAGATAATATTAAAAGTGATTAAAAAATAAAATTTAAAGCTTCTGTATGAGCATTTAAAATATGTATTAAATTTGTGTTTGTGTAGCATGTGTGTTTCTGTGTGCATGGGAGAGAGAGGATGATATGGTTTGGTTGTGTCCCCACTGAAAACTCATCTTGAATTCCCACATGTGGGTTGGACCCAGTAGGAGGGAATTGAATCATGGTGGTGGGTCTTTCCCATACTGCTCTTGTGATAGTAAATAAGTCTCATGAGATCTGATGAGTTTAAAAATGGGAATTTCCCTGAACAAACTCTCTCTCTTTGCCTGCTGCCATCCATGTAAGATGCGACTTGCTCCCTGCCATCCATGTAAGATGCGACTTGCTCCTCCTCACCATCTGCCATGCTTGCGAGGCCTCCCCTGCCACGTAGAACTGTAAGTCCAATAAACCTCTTTCTCTTGTAAATTTCCTAGTCTCAGGTGTGTCTTTATCAGCATTGTGAAAACAGACTAACACAGTAAATTGGTACCAGGAGTGGGGCACTGCTGAAAAGATACGTGAAAATGTGGAAGCAGCTTTGGAAATGGATAATAGTCAGAGGTTGGAACAGTTTGGAGGGCTCAGAAGAAGAAGGCAGAAAAATGTGAGAAAGTTTGGAACTCCCTAGAGACTTGTTGAATGGCTTTGACCAAAATGCTTATAAGGATACTGACAATGAAATCCAGGCTGAGGTGGTCTCAGACCGAGATGAGGAACTTGTTTGGAACTGGGAGAAAAGGTGACTTTTGTAATGTTTTAGCAAAGAGACTGGTGGCATTTTGCCCCTGCCCTACAGAATTGTGGAAATTTGAACTTGAGAGAGATGATTTAGGGTATCTGGAGGAAGGAATTTCTAAGCAGCAAAGCATTCAAGGGATGACTTGGGTGCCATTAAAGGCATTCAGTTTTACAAGGGAAGCAGAACATAAAAGTTTGGAAAATTTGCAGGTTGACAATGCAATAGAAAAGAGGATCCCATTTTCTGAGGAGAAATTCAAGCTGGCTGCAGCAATTCCCATAAGTAATGAGCAGCCAAATGTTAATCCCCAAGACAATTGGGAAAAATGTCTCTACAGCATGTCAGAGGTCTTCATGGCAGCCCTTTCCATCACAGGCTCAGAAGCCTAGGAGGAAACTATGGTTTTGTGGGCCAGGCCCAGGTTCCTCATGCTGTGTGCAGTTTAGGGTTCTGGTGCCCTGTATCCCAGCTGCTTCAGCCATGGCTGAAAGGGGCCAATGTAGAGCTCAGGCCGTGGCTTCAGAGGGTCCAAGTCCCAAGCCTTGGCAGCTTCCATGTGATGTTGAGCCTGTGAGTGCGCAGAAGTCAAGAATTTAGGTATGGGAACCTCCACCTAGATTTCAGAAGATGTATGGAAACCCCTGGATGCCCAGGTAGAAGTTTGCTGTAGGGGCGGGGCCTTCATGGAGAACCTCTGCTAGGGCTGTGTGCAAGGAAAATGTAGGGTTGGAACCCCCACACGGAGTCCCTACTGGGGCACCGCCTAGTGGAGCTGTGAGGAGAGGGCCACCGTCCTCCAGATCCCAGAATGGTATATCCACTGACAGCTTGTAATTTGTGCCTGGAAAAGCTGCAGGCACTCAATGTTGGCCTATGAAAGCAGCTGGGAGAGAGGCTATACCCTGTAAAGCCACAGCATCAGAGCTGCCCAAGGCCATGGGAACCCACCCATCAGCATGACCTGGATGTGAGACATGGAGTCAAAGGAGATCATTTTGGAGCTTTAAGATTTGATTTCCCCACTGGATTTTGGACTTTCATGGGGCCTCTAGCCCCTTTGTTTTGGCCAATTTATCCCATTTGGAATGGCTGTATTTACCCAATGCCTGTACCCACATTGCAGCTAGGAAGTAACTAACTTGCTTTTTATTTAACAGGTTCATAGGCATGAGGGACTTGCCTTGTCTCAGATGAAACTTTGGACTGTGGACTTTTGAGTTAATGCTGAAATGAGTTAAGACTTTGGGGGACTGTTGGGAGGGCATGATTGGTTCTGAAATGTGAGGACATGAGATTTTGGAGAGACCAGGCATGGAATGATATGGTTTGGCTGTGTCCCCACCCAAATCTCATCTTGAATTCCCACATGTGAGAAAGACCTGGGGGGAGGTAATTGAATCATGGGGGTGGGTCTTTCCTGTGCTGTTCTCATGATAGTGAATAAGTCTCATGAGATCTGATGGTTTTAAAAATGGGAATTTTCCCGAACAAACTCTCCCTCTTTGCCGGCCACCATCTATGTAATATGTGACTTGCTCCTCCTCATCTTCTGCCATAATTCTGGCCACCCCAGCTATGTGGAACTGTAAGTGCAATAAACCTCTTTCTTTTGTAAATTGTCCAGTCTCAGGTATGTCTTTATCAGCAGTGTGAAAACAGACTAATGCAGAGGGTGAGTGAAAGACAGACATGAGGAGACACAAAAGACAAACCAGTAGATAAAAGTCTAAATACAGATCTAAATATTCATGTGATATCACATTATAATAATTCTCATTAAATATATACATAAAATACATTTATTGAAAAGACTTAGAATCTTAGGTATTAAAAATTTTTTTTACAAACATTAAAATTTAGAAGAATTAATGATGGCTTTTGACAAAATTATCAATTTTTTCTGGATACATAATTTTGATTTAAAGGTGTCAATGAAATAATTATTTGCAGGTTAAACTGTTTCACCATTATCAATATCCAATGCCTCAAAAATGACCTCTTTTTCTTTGTGTCAGAATCTATAGAACTAATTTGTGGAAAACAGCTTACCAGTTTGTTCATGTTGAAGGCACGCAATTTTCTTGTAAATATATGATTCCTAAGTTGTAAGTTTTAATTTAAAAAGTTCATTAACTTTTCTGAAAATAATAGTACCACTCAGTTCATTACATAAGTATTATTAGGATAAAGGATGATTAATGAGCTCAAATAACTCAATCGAAACCATGTAAGTTTTTTAAAAATTATAGTTTTTTTAGTATAAATAATTTTGGTTAAGTACATTTCACTATAGGTTAATTAATCCTGAAATATTTATAGTTATCAGTTTTTTAAGCATTTAAATTATATACTTTTTGTTCTTCACATTTTTTATGGAAGCGCCTAATAATATTCTGATCATTCTGTTATAAGGCAAGTTATTTCATTGTTCTTGAAGTAATGACCTACTGATAAATATTTTCAAATAATTGAGATGTACTAATAAAAGGGATTTTTAATGTATTACACTACAATTTCTGAGAACTCCACCATGACAAGACTGTATCAATGCATATGCAATATATAAATTCTTAACATAGAGTCTGTTTCTTTCATAAAGCTGTATATCACTTTAGTAAAATGTTTTTATATACAACTTATTAAGACAGTATTAGATTGAAATGAATTAGCTTAATTGTAATTATATATAATCATTCTAGTAGTAAAATCCATGTTATTTTGTGAGATATATATACAAAGAGGGAATATTAACTAAGAAAGATTATTGCCTACATGCATGTCTTCCTGTTTCCAATCCATCCAATTTCTTACAGCAGAAATATTTTTTGAATCATTTTTAATTTATCTTACTTCGCTTTCAGCTAGTCATGGTGACTTGCAATTGTCTACTGCATCAGATTCAAATCGTTTATTTTGCTTTCATAAGTCTTCATATCTGATCTTTCTGCTCAATCTCAGTTATCAACTGCATTCAATAATCACCTTTGCCTTCAGTTCAGGCCAAGTCCATTATTCATGCAGCCACACATCATGATTGAATGAATTATCCAATCATTCATTTATATGTTCAACATTTTTTTCTTAAGAAAATATTTATTCAGTCAGCATTACTATGCCACATACCAAAAAAGAGCAAAAAAAATAACCTCAAAGAGGTTAAAATCTGCAAAGGAAGATCATGTTCATTCACATATTTAAATAAAAGGTATCATCCTCCTCAATATCACCATTAAAATAGTATCATTTATTGAGCACTAGCTATGTGGCAGACACTATTCTACATGCTTTCTATGTATCATCTCTTCTAATTTTCAACATCATCCTGTAACATAGCACTTATTAAAATCCACATTGTACTAATAAAGAAACTGAGGCCTGGAAATATTAAGTAGTTTCTCCAAGTCAGAACTTGGAGGTGGTAGAGCTGAAATCAGCAACCAGGCAGATGGATTCTTGGCACAAAAGAGATCTAATCTGATTTTCCCAATTGTTCTATGAAGTAGACCAAGTACATGTTATTTATTCATTTCATGGACCATGGAAAAAAATGGTGAGAAATAAAATGACTTGTTCAGCATTGGATGGCAAGCCAGAATTTAAATTCAGATCTTCCACTTTTTAGTCCCATATTTTTTTTTTCAGCTATGCCACATTCTAAAATTTAGTGTTAAACTATTTCAGAGAAGTACTTTGCTTTTGGTTGAGGCTTGCTGGATAGAACTTGTGCAGAAAATATTACTTAACACTATGTTTTGAATAGATGGTATTTTATATTTGATGAGAAATAAAGGACAAAAGGAAATATGTGGAAACTTCCTGGAGATGCTTTAGGTGACGGCAAGTCTTTCTGTTTGAGAGAAGCACAGAGTTTGTGTTAAGATGACTATTCCTTATCAATGAGCTGAAATCAGATTATGGAGTGTCTTAAAATGCTGTCTTCATTAGCTCACAAGGAGAAAGGCACTAAAATCCTGTTTAGAATAGAGTGAGAGATTTAGGATGACTCATCTTACAATGATTTGTGAAGTACAGTTCACTAATATTGTATAATCACCAGTATGTGTGCCGTTGCATCTGAGTTACCTAGAGAGCTTGTTTGAAACCCACTTGCTCTTGAGTGTAGGTAGGTCTAGGTAGATCTGGCAAAGTCCTTAGAACCTGCAGTATTTATATGAACAATGATGTTTGGGTTTAGATTGGAGGATAAATATATAGGAAAAGTGGACCCAATAAGGATATTGCGGTACTGAATATAAGAAAAAAAGAAAAGAAAACTTGAACTTGTGTATTTTCAGAAAGAAAGGGAGAGAAAAGGCAAATATGCCCTACAAAATATTCCATATATATTTGCAAGTAACAAAATCTGAATGAAGAAGAGATCTGAGGTATTTCTAAGGCATTAAGACTGTGAGGCTTTGAGACCATAATTTAAAGAATAAATAAGAGCATGAATCAAGACAGGAAGCAAGCAAGAAAGAAGGATTTGAAGATCATTAGGGAATTTACTTTGAACCTGGAGTAGAGATGATTGTGATTGTTTGACGGCTTGTAGTCTCCTGTGAAACCAGAGTCAAACCTCCCCTTTAACTCCTAATTGAGAGGTGGATCTAAGTAGCCTTGTTTATTCCAGATTAAACCATATCCTTGGTCACAGCTTTTAAGATCAGGGATGGCATCAGATTCAACCTACACTAGAGTCTTGCAGAAGTGCGTCTAGCTACTCTGCTTACAATGTTAGGGATTAGCCTCAGCTTTGAGGCTTCAATTTAGATTAATAGGAGATTTTTCCATATTCTGGTTATCTAGCTACTCCTGTAATTTCTTGTATAACTACCTATCACTAAATTCAGATGTCAGCTGTCACCTCATTCTCCTCTTCAAGCTCCTTCTAAAGAAAAAAAAAGTTACTCATATATTTATGTTTTTGAGCAACATTGTATTTATTAAATATTTCATAGAGGAAATGCAGGAGAGGGTACAGACTTCATGCCATACAGCAATCAGTTTAGTAAAATCTTCAGTACACACAGAGCAGCAGGGTGTAATTGGGCAGGAGTGCACTGCACAAAGGCTCCCTGCTGAGGTGGTAAATGAGATCAAAACATTGTTCCACTCACCAAGTCATGAGCCCTGGTGAGAGACTACATCAGTCTAGACAAGGAAAAGAGCTTCTTTGTACCCTCCTCTCTGGGAGAGCTGCCTTCCTGAAAATCATCCTCTTGAAGGAGTGACTTTATGTAATTCATGGAAGAGTGCCATATATGCTAAGAGGCACACAGGATTAGATATTACGGTTTAGCTCAAAGTCCATCTTTGGCCATACCACCACTTAGAGGTCCTTTTCCCTCCTCCATCTCTGTCATATCACATCCTCTCTGTATTCAGCATTTAATCTTGCTCCATTGTTCTTCCAGCACCAGTAATTGTAGGGGGATCTAGCCAACACCAGAAAATGCAGCCAAAAGTAGGGAAAGAGCAGGAAAACCAATAACTTTCTCTACCCTGGGATCTCCTGCCAGTGCTTTCTCTCAACTGTCACCAGTAAGAAACCAGAAAGCAAGATAACCCTGGTGAAGCAACTCATATATATCAGCCTTCTGCTTGATACAGAAAGGTAAAGGAGGGTAGAGAATGGATTGGAGTGGACAGAGCAGCAAAATAATTTTCATTCCAGCCTCTGCAGTCTAAATACATTAACAATCTCCTTTAAGGTTGTCATTTTCAGGTGCAAAATAGTGGCTTTCATACTTTTTTTTTTCGTAACTCTGAATCTCAAAAATATTAATTTGAAGCACATGCTTGATTTGTCTGTTCATCTTTTCCACATTTATGTAAATATCAGTTTTAAATCATGTGTTAAAAGGAAAAATTCTTAAACTTTTAAATTTAGCAGAGTGCATTTGAGTAAAATACATAAAACAATGAATGAATCCAGCAGTTCCCAGAACCAAAACAAATTCATAGGACTCTGGCCAACAACATATAAATAGGACTCTAGCCAACAACATATAAGGAAAGTGAAGTATAGAGACAACTTACTTGGTTACAATGTAATTGGTTAATTGGTTACAGAACCTCCTGCTGTTAACCGATCCTTGGCTACTGTGATCAGACTCTATACTGTATTGGTTTGGTCCACTGAGGCTAGGGCAGGAACTCAGCACAAATCAATGGCCTCTTACAATTTTATTTAACAATGAAAACATTAATTCCAAAATCTTTAAGAGTTTGAAAATTCAAAGACATATACTATATTTGACTTAAGAAACTAGAGAAGTAAACTTTATACTTGAAATACTTCTCAATGTATATAAAGCCCTTTCTTTCTATAAACATTTTTATTTTATTAACATAACATCCTACAGGATCCCCCAAAACATATTTTGTTGTTATCTAAAAGAGAAGTGTGTCAAATGTGACAGCAGATCATTTCCAGATTCAATTTGGTTACTCACTTTTGGCAGAAGAATCATGCATTAGATGGGACAAATTCCCTGGGATACCTGAGGCTACTAACTGTATTTAGCCTAGTCAGCTGTTTTGAGTAAATTGAAAAGGCTTGATCTCACATACGAAGACAAATGGTAGAGTGAATGTGAAAAAGCTTCAAGATCCAATTTCGGGCAGATAAGAGTTCTGCTTTTACTTGGCAATTGAAAATGCTTTTCAACTTCACCAGATGGGAATTTAAGTACTTTCTCTGTTGTCATTCTTAAACAAGAAATGAATTGTCAGAAAAGGGGAAAAGTAGAGTTTATTTTAAAGTGAAGACATACAGTGGAAGAGTTAGTAATAAGCAATTCTCAATCACAATTCTATACAAGAAGTTACCAGAACATGTTACAATAATAAACAAGGCACGAAGTAGAGTGATGTTGAGAAAACAAGGTTCAAAAAAGTGTATTTAAAAAAGATAAAAAAAATTCTGGGAAAAAAACTTCAAAAAAGGTGTCCTGTAATTTGTTTTGAATGTAGGTTCTCCTGTTACAAGAAAATGCCCCATCGTAGTCAAAATGAAATATTCAGTGAAGCTTAAGGTAGATCAATGACCCAGTTATGTGATGCATATGTCATTTTTGTATAAAGAAAAATTGTTGGCCAGGAATGGCGGTGCATACCTGTAATCCTAGCACTGGGTGGATGGCTTGAGTCCAAGAGTTTGAGACCAGCCTGGGCAACATGGAAAAACCCCATCTCTACTAAAAAATACAAAAACTAGGCAAGCATGGTTGCTCACTCCTGTAGTACCAGCTACTCCTGAGGCTGAGGTGGGATATTACTTAAGCCCAGGAGGTTGAGGCTGCAACAAACTATGGATGTGCCACTGAACTCCTGCCTGGGTGACAGAATGAGACCCTATCTCAAAAAAAAAATAATAATAATAAAGAAAAAAAGAGAAACATTGTTAACTAGAATAATATTAGAAGTCCCATCGTTAAGTTGAATGGAGAAGAAATGAAATTAACTGAAGTTAGAAGATCACTTTGAACCTCACATAGACATGGAGATAAACGGAATGGTGTCAACACATGCAACTGACTGTATGGTTCCAGATATAACTTTTATAGCTCTTTCTCTTTTAACTGTTACTTTTGCTGACTGTGATACATATTCTGCCTGAAAAAAAATTAGGATAACTTCACACTGGGATCCTAAACAGATGGGAAAGAGAATATAAGTCATTTTGACAAAGCTATACCAAGATTAGACTGAAAGTTGATTACACTGACAGAGAGAAAGCTCTAATACAGAGGCTGGGCAAGCACAGAAAGTAGAATGGATGAGAGGGTAGTCCTAAGATCTTAACCACAGGTAAGAGGAGGTGGTCAGCAACTCTCTGAACCATATTTCAAGGGGCAGAATAAGACTTGGGGCAAATGATTCCTTTTTACACTGGTAACTTAATCTTTCATTTGGCAGTCCCTCCAGGCCCCCCTTCTGTATTGTCTGAGACAAGGGGATTACAAGGATTTTGTGGCCTCTTTACACTGAGGCAAAGGGTACACATCCTTTACTCCTGAGTATGTCTTTCAAAGCAGCACTATGCATTCAAAACGAAAAGGCCACGTTCTCTTCCCTAGATTTCCAGTGCATGATTCCTCCCAAATGCTTCTCTACATAGAGCATCTGATTGTTGAAGTTCCAACCATATGTTTCTGCTTTATTCAAAGAAATCACAGTCAACATACCAGAGTCCTCTAAAACCTCTAAGTCAAGGCAATACTTAAGAAAATACATTTTATGTCCTGCTTAATATAGTCAGGAGAATATAATCCCCAAATACTTCCAAGAGTAGAAGAAATGCTATGGTTATCCCGAAAGATTTCTCCTTATTTTACTTAATAAAATGAGAACCAAAATAAGTGATCTGATCTTTATCTTCACCTCTAAACTTGATAAACACCTTAGCATCTTTGTCACATCATAGAAGTATTTTAATGTGCTAGAAAATAATCATTTGAGACTACATTTCATGCCTTTTGAATATTGGTTATGGGGCACGATTTGGCTCAACTCTTAGCATTTTGAAAACCAACTGGGTAGATAGAAATTGGAAAGAAAAATTACTTAATAGTCAATATTAGGAAAATTCATACAAATAATATGGTGCTTGCCAATTAGAAAAATATAACAGTGTTTAAATAAAACATTACACACCGAAGAAAATGGACTATAGCTACATACATTAATGTGAGAGATGCAAATCTCAGGAGGTTTATAAAAGAGTATGGCCCAAAAATAATCAAGCCTATCTAGAAAAAGAACAAAGTAGTGTGATTTGCTTTACTAGACATAAAAAATAACACTGTTAAATAATATAAGGTATTAGCAGTGTAAAGATATTGGAACCTAGAAATAGACCACTTTTAAGACTAATGTTTCATTATTTAGTTAGTATTGAAGATTGGTAGAAAAACAATAGGCTTTTTAATGGTGCTGAGACAATTTTTACATGGAAAAATGAATATGGAAACCTACCTGATACTAGATACAGAAATTCATTCCATATTTATTGAGTTCACAATTTGTTTAAGTTATAAATCATTTAGAAGAGAATACACAGAAATGTCTTAGGATATGGAAGGATTTCTTAAGCAAGAAACAAAATTTACAAAACATAAGGGACAAGAGCATCTTTGGATTGTTTACAACACCAATGATAAATGCTTGAGGGACTGGATACCCCATATTACATGATGTGATTATTACGCTTTGCATGCCTGTATCCAAACATTTCATGTACCCCATAAATATATACACATGCTATATACCCACAAAAATTAAAATAAAAACAATTTAAAGTATGTATTTTAAAGCCCAAAATAACATCTCACAAAGAATGAACATGGTAAATCACAATCAGGAAGAAATTGCATTACTATGAATATTCAACTTGTGAGAAGAATAACTCCCAATCAAAAAGAAAAAAAAAAACAAGTAAAATGAGAGCAAAAGAGCTTAAAAGGCACTTCATAGGATATTTAATACAAATTCAATAAACAAATATATAAATGCAAATTACAACTATAATTAAATGATATTTTATACTTTCCCACCCTCTAAACCACACAATTTCACTAGGCATCTTAATTTTCACATTCTGGTGGATGTAAAATGACTAATTGCCATTGGTCACTTGTTTTTCTACATAGAAAATTTGCCTAATTAATTATTTGTACCTTGTTAACACCATAAGTAATGGATTTATGTTAAGTGCTACATCTTGTTTGTGAATGTCACTCTCCCCTATGCTGGAACAAAAATCAAAAGGCCCACAGGTCTTCATGAAGAAACCTAAACTTTACTTGAACGTCCTAAGCTGAGGACCATAGCTCACTTGTTCTACAATGGGATGTAGAAGAGAGAAAAGTAGGACATTTCAAATGGAATATATCTGTGTGTTAACACACTTTTCTTTTTCTGACATCTATTCAATCGGAACAAACAGCAATGTAAACTGCTTCTTTGGGCAGCAAGCTGTGTTCTAACTGTATTAAAGTCTGTGGTCTCTAGAAGAACCAAGTAGTGTCCAGATGCACTGATTTTGCTCACTGCAGGAGTTCATGAGTCCAGCAGAGCTGCTTTAGAACTGCAAGCTGGGGCTTTTCAGTAGAACAGGACATGCCCATTGGAAAACAGATGAAGGAGACAAAAACTCAGAAACAATAGGAACAGGAACCTATGGATCACACAAGGACTAACAGTGGAGTGATTTAATTACTGAAAAGGAGGTATGGAGAAAAAAGACAATCATGTGAAGGAAGTACATAAATTAAGACAGAGAAGGAGATGAAAAAAATGAGCATAAGCAGGGTCTCACATACTCATACAATGGAGAAATATAAGTTTAAAGAAAAATGTGTTGTTCATTGAACCTCAGTAAGCTGTGTCTTTTTTCAACCACACTAGGATACCTATTTTTTTAGAATTTAAATATTTTAAAAAAAGATTGTTTATTTTTTTCCTGTTTCCCCTTGAATTGCATTTTGAATTTTTTTCCAAAAGCAGTATAAGCTGTGTATAATTCTCCAATATTGCTACTGAATTTCTATATTGATATTTCTAGTAGGCATCTTATCTAAATTTTGTCAGTCCCATGTTCTCTCTTCTCCAAAAAACTAATTTTAGTGTCATATTTAATTTTTTCTCTAATGTCATATCCCAAATAAAGATATCTTTTAACAGGATACACTTTAGATGATGAAGCAATGAACTGAATGCTTTGATCTTTTGGGATAGATATGTATTTATCAATAGAGAAATTTTTGGTAAGAGTTTTGTTTTCTCAAAAATGACGTGAGTTTTTGTTTATTTGTGTGTACGGGAGGCTTTTTGGGGGGTTTGTTGCTTTTAAAATGATCCCTTTTTCCTTCCTTTTTTGTGTTTGAAGGTTGTGATATGTCTTTAGTCAGTTTTCTTGATTATAAGCAACAGTAATCAACCAGATAACTGAAGCAGAGACCAATGGGTTGAAATGATATTTCAAGGCTCACAATCTTGACAAGAAGGCTAGAAAACCAAACTTACATAATGGGTGGAAACAAAAGAAGTTAATCAACAAAGAACTCATCCAATATCAAGCCAAGAATATTGTGTATGCATACCACAGCGTTGATGATAACCAACATCAGGCACTCAGTGCTGCCCTCCTTGGATTCCCACTGACACTATCGCCTCTACGGATAATGTATCAAATGGCCTTGGATATTTGGACTGTTCTCTCAAGATTCAAAGCCCAAATAGGGCATACAAGCTTGAATTATGTACCTGTGTCCTATCTCCCAAGAGCCATTGGGAAAAATACTCATTGTTGAGTTTCTAATAATGGGAAATTCTGCCTCTAATCATATCTCACACAATGATGGATGCCTTTAAATTCAGAATGATGTTTTGATGTGAAGCTTAAAAAGTAACAATTGTGCACATATATAACTATTAAAATCACTTTTAACATATCTCATTGAGTTTTCTATAGTCTATCCTACTTTTTGTACAGCTAAGGCCTCTTCTCCAATGTACAAACAATAAGTTTTTAAATTTACTGCATATATCAGAAACCACTTCAATCTTTGTAGTCAATAATTTCATCTGTCTTCTTCAAAACCTTTAAAAATATCAGGTCTTTCTGTTTCAATATTGTTTATGCCATATTGCAAGATGAAAATTCATCATGTTTTGACTCCTTTGGTGTGAGATTCAGCATCTACATTAAAAACAAATTATCAAGAGAGGACAAGATGATGGCCAACTAGATGCATCCAGTAAGCACCACTTCCACTGAGAAAGACCAAATTTTCACGGAAACCAACATAATTTGGACAGACCTTTAGAGAGAAATTAGCAAGAGCATATGGAGATGCAATGCAGATGCTGAGGCTGAGGAGGGAGGAGGCTGGGAATCCTGTGCAGGATAAACAAACACTGGGGCTAGTTCTTGGCCCAAAACAGCTCCTGTGGAACAAGTGAGTAAAGGGGCTGCGGGACTGCCCATGCTTGCTGCAGACCTCTGGGATCCTGGCTACAGGAGGCCCCATGTGCCCCATGAATGTTTGAGCTGACAGGGGAATCTGTCCAGAGACTAGACAGAGATCAAAGTTCAGCTGGCATAGAAACAGAGGCCATTGTGCCTAGTGCAGTTCTGGCAGAGTGTGGCCACCCATTCCCCAAGACCTCCCATCTCCCTCCAAGAAGCTCTAGCTCCAGCTGCCCACCAGCTAGAAGAAAGTGGGGCTGGCTTTCCCATGGGACTGGAGCACACCTGTTCTATAGGCCCTCTTTCCCACCAGCAAGGGCCCCTACCTGGCCACCCTGAGGAGTGTGTGCATAGTACAGCCTCTGCTGCCCAGCCTGGGTGCTTTGCTCCACATAAATATGCTTCTGGCACACTGGGAGCACCTTGGGTCCCCCAGCACACCTGAACCTAATTCAGAGGGTCCAGAGGATAGAGCTGCAAGCCAATCCCAGAGCCCCGGGGCTGCAGTGCACAGGTAAGGAATACTAAGCCAAGATCTGTGTCCAGCACTTGGTTGGGAGAGGAGCCCACACTCTCAGAGAACTGAGTGGGTGAGTCATGTGGGTTCGTGAACTGGTGTGGGAGTAGAACATGCTACTCTCCACAGGGCTGGCCCAGAAAATGTGTAGCTTATCTCTCTGCTCTGGTCTCTGCCCAAGGGAGCTCCATGGCATGAAACTCCTAACAAAAGAAATGCAGGTGCAGTGCCAGTTTGCGAAGGGGTCTCCCCCAAGGTCCAGGAGCAGACCTAGTGAGGTGGGGGCGGGGGCACCCTTCTTCTTTCCACATCACAGAACATGGCTGCAAATGTGAGGAAATATACAGGAGCCAGAGAGCTAAGAGCCTATCTACTGCCCATTACTTATAACCACCATCTACTGGATTGCAGACCAAACTACAACAATAAAAATGCTTTACTCATATACCCTGCTGTGAAACCAAAGGTAAGAATTCAGCCACAAAAAAATACCCTTTAATGAGCTTCGGCCCTCTGAAAACATCCCAAAATGGAGCCAGCTGACTATAGTCAACTAATACCACAGTTAAAGGAACATCAACCCTCCCAAATGAGAAAGAGTCAGTGCAAGAACTCTGGAAATTCAAAAACCCAACATATCCCCTTGCTTCCAAAACAGTCCACCAGTTCCCCAGCAATGCTTCTTAACCAGGCTGAAATGGCTGAAATGACAGACAGAATTCAGAATCTGGATGGCAAGGAAGCTCAGTGAGATTCAGGAGAAAGGCGAAACCCAATCAAAGGAATCCAAGGAATCCAATAAAATGATATGAGAGCTGAAAGATGAAATAGCTGTTTTAAGAAAGAATGAAACTGAACTTCTAGAGATATAAAATTCACTAAAGAAACTTCATAATACAATCAGAAGTATTAAGAGGAGAGTAGATCAAGCTCAGAAAAGAATCTCAGAGCTCAAAGACCAGTTCTTTGAGTCAACTCAGATTTTAAAAAAAGAAAAAAAAAAGAAATGCAAATCAAAACCACAAAGAGATAGCATCTCATGCCAGTCAGAATGGCAATTATTAAAAAGTCAACAAACAACAGATGCTGGTGAGGTTGTAGATAAAAAGGAATGCTTTTACACTGTTGGTGGGAGTACAAATTAGTTCCACCATTGCAGTGATTCCTCAAAGACATAGAAGCAGAAATACCATTTGAGCCAGCAATCTCATTACTGGGTATATACCCAAAGGAATATAAATCATTCTATTATAAAGATACATGCATGCATATGTTAATTGCAGCACTAATCACAATAGCAAAGACAGGGAATCAACACAAATGCCCAACAATGATAGACTGGATAAAGAAAATGTGGTACATTTACACCATGGAAAACTATGCAGCCATAAATAGGAAAGAGATCATGTCCATTGCAGGGACATGGATGGAGCTGGAAGCTGTTATCCTTAGCAAACTAACACAGAAACAGAAAACCAAACACTGCTTGTTCTCACTTATAAGTGGGAGCTAAATGATGAGAACACATGGACACATAGTGGGGAACAACACACACGGGGGTCTTTTGGGGGTGGGGGAGGGAGAGCCTCAGGAAGAATAGCTAATGGATGCTGGGTGTAATACCTGGGTGATGCGTTAATCTGTGCAGCAAACCACCGTGGCTCACATTTACCTATGTAACAAACCTGCACCTTCTTCACATGCACCCTGGAACTTAAAGTTGAAGAAAAAGAAAGAATTTTAAAAACGGAACATAACCTCCAAGAAATATGAGATTATGCAGACACCAAATCTAAGACTCATTGGTATTCCTGAGAGAGAACAAGAGAGAATAAGCAACTTGGAAAATATATTTGAGATGTAGTCCATAAAAATTTTCTTTATCTTGCTAGAGAGGTTGACATGCAAATTCAAGAAATACAGAGAACCTCAGATACATACCATACAAGACAACCTTCCCAAGACAAATAGACATCACATTCACTAAGGTCAATGTAAAAGAAAAAATTGCAAAGGCAGCCAGAGAAGAGTCAAGTCATGTACAGAGGGAATCCCGTTAGGCTAGTGGCAGATCTGTCAGCAAAAAACTTACAAGCCAGGAGAGATTAGAGGCCTATTTTCAGCATTCCTAAAGAAGAGGAATTCCAACCAAGAATTTCATGTCCTTTCAAACTAAGCTTCATAGTTAAAGAAGAATTAAATCCTTCTCAAACAAGTAAACACCAAGGGAATTTGTTTCAACTAGACCAGCGTTACAAGAGGTCCTTAAGAGAATGCTAAACATGGGATTTCAATAATGACAACTGCTACCACAAAAACACACTTAAGCACATAGTCCATGGCACTATAAAGCAACTACACAGTCAAGTCTACATAACAACCAGCTAACAACACCATGACAGTATCAAAATCTCACATGTAAATACTAACCCTAAATATAAATGTGCTCACATGTAAATACTAACCCTAAATATAAATGTGCTAAATTCCCCATTTTAAATATGCAGAATGCCAAGCAGGATAAAGAGACAAAAACAACGATCTGCTATCTTCAAGAGACCTATCTCACATATAATGACACCCATAGGCTCAAAGAAAAGGGATGGAGAAAGATCTACCACACAAAGAGAAAACAGAAAAAAAAGAGCTGGAGTTGCTATTCTTACATCACATAAAACAGATTTTGAACTGATAAAAATTAAGATGCATATAGAAGTGTATTACATAATGACAACAGGTACGATTTAAAAGAAGAATTAACTATTGTAAATACATATACATCCAACATTGGAGCACCCATTTATATAACAAGCTCTTCTTGGCCTACAAAAAGAATGAGACAACCACACAATAATAGTGGGAGACTTCAACAACTTACTGACAGTGTCAGATAGATCATCAAGGCAGAAAACTAACAAAGAAATTCTCGACTTAAACTTGACATTTGACAAATTGGAACTAATAGGCATCTAAAGAACACTCCACCCAATAACCACAAAATATAAATTATTATCTTCTGCACATGGAACATATCTAAGATTGACCAAATTCTCCATCATAAATCAAGTCTCAATAAATTCAAAAAAATTAAAATCATACCAAGGATATATTCATACCACAGTGCAATAAAAATAAAAATCAGTATAAAGAAGACCTCTCAAAACTACACAAATACATGGAAATTAAAGAACTTGCTCATGAATAACACGTGAGTGAACAGTGAAATTAAAGGCAGAATCAAAAAATTATTTGAAATTAGTAAAAATTGGGACACAATTTAACAAATATCTTGGATGCAGACAAACCTGTGTTAGGAGGAAAGTTTATAGTGCTACATGCCTTCATCAAGAAATTAGAAAGGTCTCAAATTAACAATCTTAAATTTGTACCTGATGGAACTGAGAAAAAATAATAAACCAACCCCAAAGCTAGCAGAAGAAAAGAAATAACTAATGCCAGATAACAACTGAGTGAAATTGAGATGCAAAAATCCATACAAAAGATCAGTGAAACTAAAAGTTGGTTCTTGGGAAAAATAAACAAGATCAGTAGACTGCTAGCTAGATTAACAAAGGAAAAAAGAGAGATAATTCAAATAAGTACAATCAGAAATGATAAAGATGAAATTACAACTGATTGCACAGAAATACAAAAGATCCTCAGAGAATAATATGAACCACTCTAGGCATAGAAATTAGAAAATCTAGAGGAAATGAATAAATTCCTGAAAACTCACATTCTCCCAAGATTTATTCAGAAGACATTGAAATCCTGAATAGACCGATATCCAGCTCTGAAATTGAATAAGTAAAACAAAACCTACCAACCAAAAAAAAAAAAAAAAGCCAAAGACCAGATAGATTCACAACTGAATTCTGCCAGATGTACAAAGATAAACTGGTACTAATTCTACAGAAACTATCCCAAATTATAAAAGAGGAGGAACTACTGATTAACACATTCTATGAATCCAGCATCTGCCTAATACCAAAATCTGGCAGAGGCATAATGAAAAAATGAAAACTTTAGGCCAATATCCCTGATGAGCATGGATGTAAAATTACTCAACAAAATATAACAAACCAAATTCAGTAACACATCAAAAAGTTAATACACCATGATGAAGTAGGCTTTATTCCTGAGATGCAAGGTTGTTTAAACATGTGCAAATCAATAAATGGGATTCACTACATAAACAGAATTAAAAGTAAAAATCTTATGACCATCTCAATAGATGCAGGAAAAACTTTTGATAAAATCCAACATCCTTTCATAATAACACCCTAAAACAGAATAGGCATCAAAGGAACATATCTCGAATTAGTAAAAGCCATCTATGACAAACCCAGAGCCAATATCATACTAAATGAGTAAAAGCTAGAACTATCTTTTCTTGAGAATTGGAAGAAGACAAGAATGCCTACTTTCACCTCTCCTATTCAATACAGTGTTGGAAGTCCTTGCCAGAGAATCTAAGCAAGAGAAAAAAATAAAAGGCATCCAAATAGGAAAAGAAGAATTCAGTGGGTTCCAAGATGGCCAAATAGTAGCAGCTCCAGTCTACAGCTCCCAGCGTGAGTGACGCAGAAGACAGGTGATTTCTGCATTTCCAACTGAGGTACTGGGTTCAACTCACTGGGGCTTGTTGGACAGTGGGTGCAGCCCATGGAGTGTGAGCTGAAGCAGGGCAGGGCATCGCCTCACCCAGGAAGTGCAAGTGGTCTGGGAATTCCCTTTCCTATCCAAGGGAAGCCGTGACAGATGGTACGTGGAAAGTCGGGACACTCCCACCCTAATACTGTGCTTTTCCAATGGTCTTAGCAAACAGCGCACCAGGAGATTATATCCCACGCATGGCTCAGTGGGTCCCATGCCCATGGAGCCTCACTCACTGCTAGTGCAGCAGTCTGTGATCGAACTGTAAGGCAGCAGTGAGGCTGAGGGAGGGGCGTCTGCCATTGTTCAGGCTTGAGTAGGTAAACAAAGTGGCCGGGAAGCTTGAACTGGGTGGAGCCCACTGCAGCTTAAGGAGGCCTGCCTGCCTCTGTAGACTCCACCTCTGGGGACAGGGCATAGCTGAACAAAAGGCAGCAGAAACTTCTGCAGACTTAAATGTCCCTGTCTGACAGCTTTGAAGAGAGTAGTGGTTCTCCCAGCACAGAGTTTGAGATCTGAGAATGGACAGACAGCATCCTCAATGGGTCCTTGACCCCCGAATAGCCTAACTGGGAGACACCTCCCAGTAGGGGCTGACTGACACCACATACAGCCAGGTGCCCCTCTGAGATGAAGATTCCAGAGGAAGGATCAGGCAGCAACATTTGCCGTTCTGCAATATTTGCTTTTCTGCAGCCTCTGCTGGTGATGACCAGGCAAACAGGGTCTGGAGTGGACCTCCAGCAAACTCCAACTGACCTGCAGCTGAGGGTCTTGACTGTTAGAAGGAAAATTGGCAAACAGAAAGAACCTTCACACCAAAACCCCATCTGTACATCACCATCATCAAAGACCAAAGGTAGATAAAACCACAAAGATGGGGAGAAATGAGAGCAGAAAAGCTGAAAATTCTAAAAATCAGAGAGCCTCTTCTCCTCCAAAGGAACACAGCTCCTCGCCAGCAACGGAACAAAGCTGGATGGAGAATGACTTTGATGAATTGACAGAAGTAGCCTTCAGATGATCGGTGATAAAAAACTTCTCTGAGCTAAAGGAAGAAGTTCGAATCCATCACAAAGAAACCAAAAACCTTGAAAAAAGATTAGACAAATGGCTAACTAGAATAAACAGTGTAGAGAAGAGCTTAAATGACCAGATGGAGCTGAAAACCATGACAGGAGAACTATTTGACACATGCACAAGCTTCAGTAGCTGATTCGATCAACTGGAAGAAAGGGTATCAGTGATTGAAGATCAAATGAATGAAATGAAGCAAGAAGAGAAGTTTAGAGAAAAAAGAGTAAAAAGAAACAAACAAATTCTCCAAGAAATATGGGACTATGTGAAAAGACCAAATCTATGTCTGATTGGTGTACCTGGAAGTGACAGGGAGAATGGAACCAAGTTGGAAAACACTCTGCAGGATATTATCCAGGAGAACTTCCCCAACCTAGCAAGGCAGGCCAACATTCAAATTCAGGAAATACAGAGAATGCCACAAAGATACTCCTCCAGAAGAGCAACTCCAAGACACATAATTGTCAGATTCACCAAAGTTGAAATGAAGGAAAAATTGTTAAGGGCAGCCAGAGAGAAAGGTGAGGTTACCCACAAAGGGAAGCCCATCAGACTGTCAGCGGATCTCTCGGCAGACACTCTACAAGCCAGAAAAGAGTGGGAGCCAATATTCAACATTCTTAAAGAAAGAATTCTCAACCCAGAATTTCATATCCAGCCAAACTAAGCTTTGTAAGTGAAGGAGAAATAAAATACTTTACAAACAAGCAAATGCTGAGAGATTTTGTCAACACCAGGCCTGCCTTACAAGAGCTCCTGAAGGAAGTACTAAACATGGAAAGGAACAACCAGTACCAGCCAATGCAAAAACATGCCAAATTGGAAAGACCATCGATGCTAGGAAGAAACTGCAGCTAACAAGCAAAATAACCAGCTAACATCATAATGACAGCATCAAATTCACACATAACAATATTAACCTTAAATGTAAATGGGCTAAATGCTCCAATTAAAAGACACAGACTGGCAAATTGGATAAAGAATCAAGACCCATCAGTGTGCTGTACTCAGGAGACATATCTCACATGCAGAGAGACATATAGGCTCAAAACAAAGGAATGGAGGAAGATCTACCAAGCAAATGGAAAACAAAACAAAACAAAAAAGCAGGGTTTGCAATCCTAGTCTCTGATGATAAAACAGACTTTAAACCAACAAAGATCAAAAGGGAAAAAGAAGGCCATTACATAATGGTAAAGTGATCAATTCAACAAGAAGAGCTAACTATGCTACATATATATGCACCCAATACAGGAGCACCCAGATTCATAAAGCAACTCCTTAGAGACCTACAAAGAGACTTAGACTCCCACACAATAATAATAGGAGACTTTAACACCCCATTGTCAACATTAGACAGATCAATGAAACAGAAAGTTAACAAGGATATCCAAAAATTGAACTCAGCTCTGCACCAAGCAGACCTAATAGGCATCTACAGAACTCTCCACCGCAAATCAACAGAATATGCATTCTTCTCAGCACCGCATCACACTTATTCCAAAACTAACCACATAGTTGGAAGTAAAGCACTCCTCAGCAAATGTAAAAGAACAGATATTATAACAAACTATCTCTCAGACAACAGTGCAATCAAACTAGAACTCAGGATTAAGGAACTCACTCAAAACCACTCAACTACATGGAAACTGAACAACCTGCTCCTGAATGACTACTGAGTACATAACAAAATGAAGGCAGAAATGAAGATGTTCTTTGAAACCAATGAGAACAATGACACAACATACCAGAATCTCTGGGAAACATTTAAAGCAGTGTGTAGAGGGAAATTTATAGCACTAAATGCCCACAAGAGAAAGCAGGAAAGATCTAACATTGACACCCTAACATCACAATTAAAAGAACTAGAGAAGCAAGAGCAAACACTTTCAAAAGCTAGCAGAAGGCAAGAAATAACTAAGATCAGAGAAGAACTGAAGGAGATAGAGACACAAAAAACCCTTCAAAAAATCAATGAATCCAGGAGACATTTTTTTGAAAAGATCAACAAAATTGATAGACCACTAGCAAGATTAATAAACAAGAAAAGACAGAAGAATCAAATAGACACAACAAAAGATGATAAAGGGGATATTACCACCAATTCCACAGAAATACAAACTACCATCAGAGAATACTATAAACACTTCTACCCAAATAAACTAGAAAATCTAGAAGAAATGAATAAATTCCTGCACAAATACACCCTCCCAAGACTAAACCAGGAAGAATTTGAATCCCTGAATAGACCAATAGCAGGCTCTGAAATTGAGGCAGTAATTAATAGCCTACCAACCAAAAAATTCCAGGACCAGATGGAATCACAGCCGAATTCTACCAGAGGTACAAAGAGGAGTGGGGACCGTTCCTTCTGAAACTATTACAATCAATAGAAAAAGAGGGAATTCTCCCTAACTCATTTTATGAGGCTGGCATCATCCTGATACCAAAGTCTGGCAGAGACACAACAAAAAAGAGAATTTTAGACCAATATCCCTGATGAACATTGATGCAAAAATCCTCAATAAAATACTGGCAAACCAAATCCAGCAGCACATCAAAAAGCTTATCCACCATGATCAAGTTGGCTTCATGTCTGGGATGCAAGGCTGGTTCGACATACACAAATCAATAAACTCAATACATCATATAAACAGAGTCAGAGACAAAAACCACATGATTATCTCAATAGATGCAGAAAAGGCCTTCAACAAAATCCAACAGCCCTTCATGCTAAAAACTCTCAATAAATTAGGTATTGATGGGATGTATCTCAAAATAATAAGAGCTATTTATGACAAACTCACAGCCAATATCATACTGAATGGACAAAAACTGGAATAATTCCCTTTGAAAACTGGCACAAGACAGGGATGCCCTCTCTCACCACTCCTATTCAACATAGTGTTGGAAGTTCTGGCCAGGGCAATCAGGCAGGAGAAAGAAATAAAGGGTATTCAGTTAGGTAAAGAGGAAGTCAAATTGTCCCTGTTTGCAGATGACATGATTGTATATTTAGAAATCCCCATCGTCTCAGCCCAAAATCTTCTTAAGCTGATAAACAACTTCAGCAAAGTCTCAGGATACAAAATCAATGTGCAAAAATCACAAGCATTCTTATACACCAATAACAGATAAACAGAGAGCCAAATCATGAATGAACTCCCATCAACAATTGCTTCAAAGAGAATAAAATACCTAGGAATCCAACTCACAAGGGGTGTGAAGGACTTCTTCAAGGAGAACTACAAACCACTACTCACCAAAATAAAAGAGGACACAAACAAATGGAAGAACATTCCATGCTCATGGGTAAGAGGAATCAATATCGTGAAAATGTCCATACTGCCCAAGGTAATTTATAGATTCAATGCCATCCCCATCTAGCTACCAATGACTTCCTTCACAGAATTGGAAAAAGCTACTTAAAGTTCATATGGAATCAAAAAAGAGCCCACATTGCCAAGAAAATCCTAAGCCAAAAGAGCAAAGCTGGAGGCATCACACAATCTGACTTCAAACTATACTACAAGGCTACAGTAACCAAAACAGCATAGCACTGGTACCAAAACAGAGATATAAACCAATGGAACAGAACAGAGCCCTCAGAAATAATACCACACATCTACAACCATCTGATCTTTGACAAACCTGACAAAAACAAGGAATGGGGAAAGGATTCCCTATTTAATTAATGGTGCTGGGAAAACTGGCTAGCCATATGTGGAAAGCTGAAACTGGATCCCTTCCTTACACCTTATATAAAAATGAATTCAAGATGGATTAAAGACTCCAATGTTAGACCTAAAACCATAAAAACCCTAGAAGAAAACATAGGCAATACCATTCAGGACATAGGCATGGGTAAGGACTTCATGTTTAAAACAACAAAAGCAATGGCAACAAAAGCCAAGATAGACAAATGAGATCTAATTATACTAAAGAGCTTCCGCACAGCAAAAGAAACTACCATCAAAGTGAACAGGCAACCTACAGAATGGGAGACAATTTGCACAATCTACTCATCTGACAAAGGGCTAATATCCATAATCTACAAAGAACTTAAACAAATTTACAAGAAAAAATCAAACAAACCCATCAAAATGTGGGCAAAGGATATGAACAGACACTTCTCAAAAGAAGATGTTTATGCAGCCAACAGACACATGAAAAAATTCTCATCATCACTGGCCATCAGAGAAATGCAAATCAAAACCACAATGGGATACCATCTCACATCAGTTAGAATGGTGATTGTTAAAAACTCAGGAAATAAGAGGTGCTGGAGAGGATGTGGAGAAATAGGAACACTTTTACACTGTTGGTGGGACTGTAAACTGAGTTGAATGGGTTGAACTCAACCATTGTGGAATATAGTGTGGTGATTCCTCAAGGATCTAGAACTAGAAATACCATTTGACCCAGCCATCCCATTATTGGGTATATAACCAAAGGATTATAAATCACGCTGCTTTAAAGACATATGCACACATATATTTATTGCACCACTATTCACAATAGCAAAGACTTGGAACCAACCCAAATATCCATCAGTGATAGACTGGAGTAAGAAAATGTGGCACATATACACCATGTAATACTATGCAGCCATAAAAAAGGATGAGTTAATGTCCTTTGTAGGGACATGAATGAAGCTGGAAATCATCATTCTGAGCAAACTACTGCAAGGACAGAAAATGAAACACCACATGTTCTTACTCATTGGTGGGAATAGAACAATGAGAACACTTGGACACAGCGTGGGGAAACATCACACACTGGGGCCTGTCATGGGGTGCGGGGATTGGGGAGGGATAGCGTTAGGAGACATACCTAATGTAAATGATGAGTTAATGTGTGCAGCACACCAACATGGCATATGTATACATATGTAACAAACCTGCATGTTGTGCACATGTACCCTAGAACTTAAAGTATAATAAAAAATAAAAAATAATAAAAAAAGAAGAATTCAAACTATGTCTCTTCATTGATGATATGTTTCTATACCTTGAAAACTCTACAGACTCCACCAAAAGGCACCTGGAACCAATAAACAACTTCAGTAAAATTTCAGGATACAAAATTAATTTATGAAAAACAGTAGCATTTCTATACACCAATAATATTCAAGCTGCGAGCTAAATCAAGAGTGTAATCCAATTTACAATAGCTGCAACAACAATGAAAATAACTAGCAATACATCTGCATCTACCAAGGAGGTGAAAATGTCATATAAGGAGAACCACAAAATAGTGCTGAAAGAAATCATAATTGACACACAATAAAATGAAATAACATTCAGCAATCATGAATTGGAAGAATCAATATCACAAAAATGGACAAACTATCCAGAGTAATCTACAGATTTAACACATTCCTATCAAGCTCCCAAGTTATTTTTCACGGAAGTAGAAAACACTATTGTAAAACTCCTATGGAATCAAAAAACAGCCCAAATAGCCAAAGCAATCCTAAGCAAAAAGAACAAAACAGGATGCATCATAGTATTCTACTTCAAACTATACTATAAAGCTACAGTGACCAAAACAGTATGGTACTGATACAAAACCACATAGAACAATGGAACAGAATATAGAAGCCAGAAATCCACATACCTACAGCCTTCTGACCTTTAACAAAGTCTACAAAAGCAAGCAATTGAGAAAGGAGTCCCTATTCAATAAATCATGCTGGGATAGCTGGCTAGCCACATGTGGAAGAATAAAACTATACCTTTGCCTTTTACTGTATACAAAAATTAACTCAAGGTGGATTCCAGATTTCAATGCAATACCTCAAACTAAAGAATCCTAAAACAAAACCTAGGAAATACTTTTCTCGACACTGGCCTTGGCTAAGACTTTTTGGCAAGTTAAACTAAAGAGCTTCTGCACAGCTCTTTAGAAAAAAACTATCAACAGAGTAAATAGACAACCTACAGAATGGAAGAAAATATTCATAAACTATACATCTGACAGATTTATTCAGAATTTATAAGGAATGTAAATTAAAAAGCAAGAAACAAGCCCATTAAAATTAACAAAAGACATGAACAGCACTTCTCAAAAGCTGACATACATGCAACTAACAAACATGAAAAAGTGCTCCATATCACTAATCATCAGAGAAATGCAAATCAAAATCACAAGGAGATACCATCTCACACCAGTCGGAACGGCTATTATTAAAAAGTCAACAAAATTTGCTGGTGAGGCTGCAGAGAAAAGGGAATGTTTACTCCCACCAGAACCAGCTATCCCATTACTGGGTATATACCCAAAGGAAAATAAATCTATCAAAAAGACACATGCACACATATGTTCATAGCTGTGCTAGTCACAATAGCAAAGAAAGGGAATCAACCTAGGTGCCCGTTAGTGGTGGATTAGATAAAGGAAATGTGGTTCATATATATAATAGCATACTATATAGCCATAAACAGAATGAAATTATAACCTTTGAAGCAACATAGATGAAGCCGGAGGCCATAATCCTAAGCAAATTAATGCAGGAACAGAAAACTAAATACCGTGTGTTCTCACTTATAAGTGTGAGCTAAACACTGAGCAAATATTGACATAAATATGAGAACAATCGACACTGTGCACTACTTGTGGGGAGGGAAGGATAGGGGCATGGGTTGAAAAACTGCCTGTGTGCAATATACCCATGTAACAAACCTGCATATATACCTCCTGTATCAAAAATAAAAGTCAAATTTAAAATAAATAAATAAATAAAATTTAAAAATAAAAAATTTTACAGTTCTGTCTTCTTAAGATAATAGAAAACAGAATACACTTTTTTTCAGAGCTGTGGATTGTTATAAAGAAAATATCTTTAAGAGAACAGGTGGAATTTTGCATACTATCTTCTATTTAGGAAACATATGTGAGGAAAATAAATAGGCCCTGTGTATCTAGGGATGAAAAATATAAGTGCGATTCCTGTGCTCATGAAGTTTGGGTTGTTGTGCAGCCTCCGTTGTAATTCCTTCTCTAGATTGTCAATTTATATAAGTAAGGAATAATGGATTTTATTCTTCTCTATTGCTACATCTATGATAAGAACACAATACTCACATGACTAAATATGATTTTAGAATTTCAATTAAATTTGACTATGTCATTATTATTTCATTGAGTTTTTATTTCCTTTTTATACCTAAAGTGTCTTTGAAAGTTAATAATAAACTTTTGCTTTGAAAATGGCACTAAAGCATGATCTTCTTGAACTAGAATTTTTGATGTTATTGTTAATTGGTTGACTTAAAGGAATACACACTCATGGTGACAACATAAAACATTGCAAAACTATATAGAATTAAGACTATTTTTCCCATTACAAATCTCAGCAAGTTATTTTGTGGATATTGACAAACTAACACACGAGTTTGTATGGAAGGCAAAAGATCCAGAGCTTCCAACACAATATTCAAATTGCGAGAGAAGGGGAAGATGCTCACCTATTAACTTTGGAAGTGAGTGGTGTCTATAACTCTAAAAGCAAAAAGAATTGTACATAAAATCTGACCTCTAGTTGATAAAATTGTTTGCCATGTGGATATGGGTTAGCAATATTGATACTGATATACATGTATATTGAAACTGATGGTAGGTTGTAGGAATAATATTTCTTATTGTTGTCCTAGGAAGTTAGAGTTAAGCAGGGGGAAGAAACTAGAATGATTCATATTGTAATGGATAAAATTTGAAGAGATCCATAAGATTTCACACTTAGCTTAATATGGGTACAGATGTGTAGATATAGAAACATTTATAGATATGAGAGACCCTAGAAGCAAAACTATCCCAGTAGTAAGGAGCACTTATTCACATATTGGTTTCTAACTGTATTCTCCAGCAAAAGGATTTAGTGATCTTTGGAAAAATAACTAATTCTAGGACTGGGGTAGAAAATACACAAGATAAGCTTGCAGCATTTTGTAGAGACAGAAAGTAAGGAAGTGCTAAACAAACAAACCATTTTGGAGTGAAATGGACTGAATGCTTGTGTCCCCATAAAATTTATATTTTGAAATCTTAATCCCCATTGTGATGATATTAGGTGGGGCCTTTGGGAAGTAGTTTGGTCATGACAATGAAACCCTCATGAATGAGGATTAGGACCCTTATAAAATGTATCTCAGAGAGCTGTCACCCTCTTTCTGCCATGTAAGGATACAGTGAGAAGGCAGAAGTCTGCAACCTGAAACAAGTTCCTCTTTTGAAGCTGATTATGTGAGCACCCTAATCTTGGACTTCCAGACTCTAGAACTGTGAGAAATGAATTACAGTTGTTTACAAGCCACCCAGTCTATAGTACATTGTTACAGGAGCCTGAACTAAGATATTGGGCATTTTAAAAGACCACGGAAGCCAACTAATAGAATTTCCAATGCCCAAAGCTGAAACAATTTGAGCAGCAAAGAAATAAGATAGTATTAAATTTTAACCCAAAGTGTAATTAAATATCAATAAGTCTATACTGACATAAATAGATGACTGAACAAATAACTGAATAAATAAGTAACAAATCTCTCATGCATAAGAATTCCAAATAATTTATGCATATACTTTACCCTAAAGAAAGTGGTGCATAATTTCCCATTCCTTAAGTATATGTCAAATATAGTAACTTACTTCCAAACAAATCAGTGTGAAAAGAGGGTGAGGTAGTGGGAGGGAGAGTAAAGGTACATTAGTGAAACATGACAAACGCTACCTCAGCAAAGTGATAAGGGTTAATGTCAATGGTGGCAGTCACATTGATAGCATATATCCTTGAAATGATGTGATGGCATTGGAAATATACATGTGTGGTCTTCCTCCCTAATACCCAATGTCCCAGCCTACTCATGAGAAAATGATCAGACAAGCTGAAATACAGTGGCATCCTATAATATACTCGACCAGTACTCCTGAAAACTCTGGAAGTCAAGGAGAGTCTGAAAAAGTGTCACAGCCTGCTGTGAATGTGTCCCAGAGATTCTGGTATGTTGTGTCTTTGTTCTTGTTGGTTTCAAAGAACATCTTTATTTATGCCTTCATTTCATTATTTACCCAGTAGTCATTCAGGAGCAGGTTGTTCAGTCTCCATGTAGTTGAGCGGTTTTGAGTGAGTTTCTTAATCCTGAGTTCTAGTTTGATTGCACTGTGGTTTGAGAGACAGTTTGTTATAATTTCTGTTCTTTTACATTTGCTGAGGAGTGCTTTACTTCCAACTATGTGGTCAATTTTGGAGTAGGTGTGGTGTGGTGCTGAAAAGAATGTATATTCTGTTGATCTGGGGTGGAGAGTTCTGTAGATGTCTATTAGGTCTGCTTGGTGCAGAGCTGAGTTCAATTCCTGGGTATCCTTGTTAACTTTCTGTCTTGTTGATCTGTCTAATGTTGACAGTGGGGTGTTAAAGTCTCCCATTATTATTGTGTGGGAGTCTAAGTCTCTTTGTAGGTCACTAAGGACTTGCTTTATGAATCTGGGTGCTCCTGTATTGGGTGCATATATATTTAGGATAGTTAGCTCTTCTTGTTGAATTGATCCCTTTACCATTATGTAATGGCCTTCGTTGTCTCTTTTGATCTTTGTTGGTTTAAAGTCTGTTTTATCAGAGACTAGGATTGCAACCACTGCCTTTTTTTGTTTTCCATTTGCTTGGTAGATCTTCCTCCATCCCTTTATTTTGAGCCTATGTGTGTCTCTGCACGTGAGATGGGTTTCCTGAATACAGCACACTGATGGGTCTTAACTCTTTATCCAATTTGCCAGTTTGTGTCTTTTAATTGGAGAATTTAGTCCATTTACATTTAAAGTTAATATTGTTATGTGTGAATTTGATCCTGTCATTATGATGTTAGCTGGTTATTTTGCTCGTTAGTTGATGCAGTTTCTTCCTAGCCTTGATGATCTTTACAATTTGGCATGTTTTTGCACTGACTAGTACCGGTTGTTCCTTTCCATGTTTAGTGCTTCCTTGAGGAGCTCTTTTAGGGCAGGCCTGGTGTTGACAAAATCTCTCAGTATTTGCTTAGCTGTAAAGTATTTTATTTCTCCTTCACTTATGAAGCTTAGTTTGGCCGGATATGAGATTCCGGGTTGAAAATTCTTTTCTTTAAGAATGTTGAATATTGGTACCCACTCTCTTCTGGCTTGTAGAGTTTCTGCCAAGACATCAGCTGTTGGTGTGATGGGCTTCCCTTTGTGGGTAACCCGACCTTTCTCTCTGGCTGCCCTTAACATTTTTTCCTTCATTTCAACTTTGGTGAATCTGACAATTATGTGTCTTGGAGTTGCTCTTCTTGAGCAGTATCTTTGTGGCGTTCTCTGTATTTCTGTGTGTAGAGGGAAATTTAGAGCACTAAATGTCCACAAGAGAAAGCAGGAAAGATCTAAAATTGACACCCTAACATCACAATTAAAAGAACTAGAGAAGCAAGAGCAAACACATTCAAAAGCTAGCAGAAGGCAAGAAATAACTAAGATCAGAGAAGAACTGAGGGAAATAGAGACACAAAAAACCCTTCAAAAAATCAATGAATCCAGTAGCTGGTTTTTTGAAAAGATAAACAAAATTGATAGAACACTAGCAAGACTAATAAAGAAGAAAAGAGAGAAGAATCAAATAGACACAATAAAAAATGATAAAGGGGATATCACCACTGATCCCAGAGAAATACAAACTACCATCAGAGAATACTATAAACACCTCTACACAAATAAACCGGAAAATCTAGAAGAAATGGATAAATTCCTTGACACATACATCCTCCCAAGACTAAACCAGGAAGAAGTTGAATCTGTGAATAGGCCAATAACAGGCTCTGAAATTGAGGCAATAATCAATAGCTTACCAATAAAAAAAAGTCCAGGACCAGAAGGAATCACAGCCGAATTCTACCAGAGGTACAAAGAGGAGCTGGTACCTTTCCTTCTGAAAGTATTCCAATCAATAGAAAAAGAAGGAATCTTCCCCAACTCTTTTTATGAGGCCAGCATCATCCTGATACCAAAGCCAGGCCGAGACACAACCAAAAAAGAGAATTTTAGACCAATAACCTTGATGAACATCGATGCAAAAATCCTCAATAAAATACTGGCAAACCGAATCCAGCAGCACATCAAAAAGCTTATCCACCATGATCAAGTGGGCTTCATCCCTGGGATGCAAGGCTGGTTCAACATACACAAATCAATAAATGTAATCCAACATATAAACAGAAACAAAGACAAAAACCACATGATTATCTCAGTAGATGCAAAAAAGGCCTTTGACAATATTCAACAACCCTTCATGCTAAAAATTCTCAATAAATTAGGTATTGATGGGACGTATTTCAAAATAATAAGAGCTATCTATGACAAACCCACAGCCAATATCATACTGAATGGGCAAAAACTGGAAGCATTCCCTTTGAAAACTGGCACAAGACATGGATGCCCTCTCTCACCGCTCCTATTCAACATAGTGTTGGAAGTTCTGGCCAGGGCAATCAGGCAGGAGAAGGAAATAAAGGGTATTCAATTAGGAAAAGAGGAGGTCAAATTTTCCCTGTTTGCAGATGACATGATTGTATATCTAGAAAACCCCATTGTCTCAGCCCAAAATCTCCTCAAGTGGATAAGCAACTTCAGCAAAGTCTCAGGATACAAAATCAATGTACAAAAATCACAAGCATTCTTATACACCAATAACAGACAAACAGAGAGCCAAATCATGAGTGAACTCCCATTCACAATTACTTCAAAGAGAATAAAATACCTAGGAATCCAACTTACAAGGGATGTGAAGGACTTCTTCAAGGAGAACTACAAACCACTACTCAATGAAATAAAAGAGGATACAAACAAATGGAAGAACATTCCATGCTCATGGGTAGGAAGAATCAATATCGTGAAAATGACCATACTGCCCAAGGTAATTTATAGATTCAATGCCATCCCCATCTAGCTACCAATGCCTTTCTTCACAGAATTGGAAAAAACTACTTTAAAGTTCATATGGAACCAAAAAAGAGCCCACATCGCCAAGTCAATCCTAAGCCAAAAGAACAAAGCTAGAAGCATCATGCTACCTGACTTCAAACTATACTACAAGGCTACAGTAACCAAAACAGCATGGTACTGGTACCAAAACAGAGATAAAGACCAATGGAACAGAACAGAGCCCTCAGAAATAATGCCACATATCTACAACTATCTGATCTTTGACAAACCTGACAAAAGCAAGCAATGGGGAAAGGATTCCCTATTTAATAAATGGTGCTGAGAAAACTGGCTAGCCATATGTAGAAAGCTGAAACTGGATCCCTTCCTTACACCTTATACAAAAATTAATTCAAGATGGATTAAAGACTTAAATGTTAGACCTGAAACCATAAAAACCCTAGAAGAAAACCTAGGCAATACCATTCAGGACATAGGCATGGGCAAGGACTTCATGTCTAAAACACCAAAAGCAATGGCAACAAAAGACAAAATTGACAAATGGGATCTAATTAAACTAAAGAGCTTCTGCAATGCAAAAGAAACTGCCATCAGAGTGAACAGGCAGCCTACAGAATGGGAGAAAATTTTTGCAACCTACTCATCTGACAAAGGGCTAATATTCAGAATCTACAATGAACTCAAACAAATTTACAAGAAAAAAACAAACAACCCCATCAAAAAGTGGGTGAAGGATATGAACAGACACTTCTCAAAAGAAGACATTTATGCAACCAGAAAACACATGAAAAAATGCTCATCATCACTGGCCATCAGAGAAATGCAGATCAAAACCACAGTGAGATACCATCTCACACCAGTTAGAATGGCGATCATTAAAAAGTCAGGAAACAACAGGTGCTGGAGAGGATGTGGAGAAATAGGAACACTTTTACACTGTTGGTGGGACTGTAAACTAGTTCAACCATTGTGGAAGTTAGTGTGGCGATTCCTCAGGGATCTAGAACTAGAAATACCATTTGACCCAGCCATCCCATTACTGGGTATATACCCAAAGGATTATAAATCATGCTGCTATAAAGACACATGCACACGTATGTTTATTGCGGCACTATTCACAATAGCAAAGATTTGGAACCAACCTAAATGTCCAACAACGATAGACTGGATTAAGAAAATGTGGCACATATACATCATGGAATACTATGCAGCCATAAAAAATGATACGTTCATATCCTTTGTAGGGACATGGATGAAACTGGAAACCATCATTCTCAGCAAACTATCGCAAGGACAAAAAACCAAACACCGCATGTTCTCACTCATAGGTGGAAATTGAACAATTAGAACACATGGACACAGGAAGGGGAATAACACACACAGGGGACTGTTGTGGTGTGGGGGGAGGGGGGAGAGATAGCATTAGGAGATATACCTAATGCTAAATGACAAGTTAATGGGTGCAGCACACCAACATGGCACTTGTATACATATGTAACAAACCTGCACGTTGTGCACATGCACCCTAAAACTTAAAGTGTAATAATAAGAAAACTAAAAAAAAAAGTGTCACAGCCAAGAGGAGCCCATAAATATACATACCTACTATGTATCCACCAAAATTTTTAAAAGACAGAACATTAGAGAAAACTGATGAAATCTGAATATAGACTTTAGTTAACCATAATGTATCAATAGTGGTACCATACTAATGCAAGATGCAAATAGTAGAGAAAATTGATTGTGGGTTATACAGGACTTATCTGTACTATCTTTGCAATTTTTCTGTGAATTTAAAATTTTTCAAGTAAAAAATGTATGAATCAGAGTAAAAGGTTTTCTTCTGTCTTACGCAAATTCTAATTCTGAACTCTTCTTCACAGAGGTAAGTACCAGACCCAGTTTGTCAATTTTCATAATCTACATATTTACGGCAATATGTATAATATATATATATGTGGTAATTTGTAGAGTATTAGATGTATAATTATGTACAGGGGTGTATATGTGCAGTAGATAGATACATGGTTAATTATATTTATGTTTGTAATACTACACATTTTATATATTTAAGAGCTTATATATTTGTAAACATACTCTTCACTTACATAAATTTTAGCATTTAATATATAGACATTCTATTCTGAAGATGTATTAATATTTCTTAGAACTTATTATATGTTGGTGCATATATGCTCACTTCATTCATGTTCCAACAACTAGCAGTGAAACATTGAATTAATTAACTGATTTAATGAATTTCTTGTTAATGGTAATGTATGTTGTTTTTGCATATAAACATGATGTATTTATTCTGCAAATGGCATTGCTGCATCAAAGTATATATGCATATGAATTGTTTGATAGATACTGCCAAAATACTCTCCAACAAGGTTGTACCATTTTGCCTTTCATCAACTATGTATGCAAGTTCCTGTTATCTCTCATAATCAGTAATATCATCCAGTACCACAATTTTTTATACAAAAGTATATGATGTTGTTGTTTTAATATATATTTGTATGATCAAGATTGCATATCAATTTACTATTTAAAAGTCCTTTGTACCTCAAATCAGTGGTGATAACTGTGAATGTATTCATCAACAGTGTTTGTTAGACAAATTGCTAGCCATTTAAAAGAGGATAACATTGGCTTCATATCTTCTACCAAACCACAGGATAAACCACAAGATTGTCAACACTTGAAATGTTTGAAAAAATGAAACCTGCAAATAGTTGAAGAAAATCGGGAATTTTTTATGGCTTTGGAACTGGAACATTCTTTTGATCTATGCCTCAGGAGCTACTTTAAAAATGTCCAGATACCATGAAAAAAAAAATTGAGTCTTTAACTTTATCAAAACTAAAATTATCTGCACGTTCAGGAAAGAATCAGAAGCAAAAACAAACAAAACAAACAAAAAATATATTCATATGTACACAAAGACATAAGAAAACAAAATGACACTGGAACATATGAAAAGACATTCAGTCTCATTCATATTAAGTGGAATTACACAAAGATATATGTGTGTTATCTATCCAGACTGTCAAAAAGCTAAATGTTAACACTATTTGCAGGGCTTTGAGAAAGGAAGCACTCTTACACATTGCTGGCAGGAGTGTAAAATACTTCAACCTCTAATGAAGGGAAATTTGACAATATCTTTCAAAATTGCAATTACATTTACTCTTTGACTCAGGAATTCCATTTTGGAAAATATATCTTACAGACATACCAAAAAACATAGAAAATGACCTATATATGTCATTTTTCATAGCTTTCTTGTTTATAAGAGCAAAATGTTGAACACAAGCCAAAGGCCCATCTATATGGGAGTTGTTAAAATAAACTATAATATATCCATATAGCGGAACATGTACAGCTTTTAAAGAATGAGAATGCCCTCTATGTACAAAAAGGAAAAACTCCACATTATGTTTTTACATCAAAAAACGTGTGGTTAGAAGAGTAGATAATATATGCTATGTTCTGTGTAAGGTAAGAGTAAATAAAACTATGTATTTTCATTTTTTTATGTCTGTATGAATAAATGCTAAATAGATACATTTAAAAAATAATAGAAATTGTTTCCCTCAGGGGATGGGGGTTTGGTGTGGACATGGCACAAGGATAGGAATGACATTTCAATGTTTATCATCTATTATTTTTATTTTGATCCATGTGAATATATTTACCTATTGAAAAAAACTAAAAAAAAAAAAAATTAAAGGCAGAAAACTGCTTTTTATATTCTTTATTTTTATATTGAGTTGTGTGTTTCTTTCTTACTGAGTATAAGCTTTCTTTTCAAAATACAGAGATTAATCCTTTGTAATATATTTTGTAAATATATTTTTCACATCTGATATTTCTCTTTTTGTTTTGTTTGTGGTATTTTTCCTATTGGAGAAATGCCTCTTTAGTCAATGATCAAATTCATTTTTATTTTATAACTTTTGTGTTTTGTAGGTTAGTTAAAATGAGTATTTGCCTATTATTAAAGAAAAATTTACCAATTAGTTTTGTCTAGTATTCTATGATTTCCTTTTATTCAACAATAATCTTTGATCTATATGTTATTTCTGTGTTTCAAAAAAAGTAGATAGCAATTTTTCTAACCTTGAACAATTCTAGCCAATTATTATATTTATTGAGTGATGCACTTTTCCTCCACTACTTTAAATAACACTTTAATTACATACTCAAATAAACTACCTTCTATCATCTTTCTTTATACACTTATTTTGATCATTTAACCTATTTTCTGCTGTTATAAATAGAACATTTACCCTTATTATATTCTGTTATTATTTTCTTGGCTTTGTTTATAGAAAATATATAAGCTTTTATTCCTTAGTCATTTAATCAACCACTTACTAAGTTTTCTTATAGCCTCATAGTTTATGGTTAATGTTTTGGGATTCACAAGTATAAAATCATATCAGTTCAAAAACTTAATTAATTCACTGCATAAATTTAGAGTAATAACGTGTGCTTTAATTAGTTTGAACTTGTCTAAATGAAATCACTTCTTGGTAAACCACACACAATAGTGACATATTAACGTTGCCTATGTTGTCTCTGGGTGCTTATTTTAATAATTTGTTTTGCTCCCGATAGCATAGCACTGGTGAAAATAAAAAAAAGAGAAAAGTATAAATGCCATATTTTTTCCTAGTTCCTCTGAAGTCAGTTTTGTATAGGTAAGAATAAGAATTGGAGTTTTTTTTTACAAACAGTTGCAAAGATTATTTTCAACTTTGTGATGGAGGAGGTTCAAGATTTAGAAGAGAATGCATTACCTGGAAAAGAAGAGTATAAATAATGATAGAAGTCAGATTACTTAGTAATGTATAGCTTTATTTTCATCTCAGACTATTACATCCATAATTCTCAGCTAGTATTTTTGCTCTAGAATAATCAATACTCAGTACAATGTAATAATGTTGGCTAACACTGCAAACCGTTTTCATAAATGCTCTGCAAAATTCTACAGGACAAATTATCCCTTTTACAATTTACATTCGTTTACTTCATCTTTTGTTAGTTATTCCTTGTTTCTTAGCAAAATTATTAGACATTTGAGCTCAGTTGCTGTATAATTTATGTAATTATCACTGTGTTCTGTCTTAATTTTTCTCTTCAGAATATGTTAAATCCTTTTCACTATCTTTTCAATTTTCAAAAACTGAAAACATGGCAAGCATCAGGTTCAGTTTTTTTATATGTCAACACTTAGAGATACATACTCAACATTTAAAAAATTATGTAATATCTTGACATATCTGTTACAATAAGAACTATTTCAATATAATATTTCTAAGATCTGTATTGAGAAAGCTTTAATTCACATCCCCATGTATTCAGTGTGTCCATGTGCTGGCTGCCTTCTTTTGGTGACCTATTCTATTCTAGGAGCGAAAGCGTATTTTCATGTGCATACATAATAGATAGAAACTATCAGTTCTTTCCTTCGTGTGTGGGTAAATTTAATTCAGAGGACAATACATTATCATAAATTTAAGTGAAGATAATTAGGGAGTGCAGTGATTCTGGGCAATTTTAAAAGTAACTCAGAAGTATGTAAATTAATTTGTCAATAATCAATTAATTATCTGAAACAGTACATCATCAGGATTAGTTTATAAATGTAGAAGTATGTGTTTCAATATATAAGTATTAATGGTGCTTATGATGTGAAACATTGGATATTTAGAAAATGTTGCCAGGTAATGGTCAGAAAATCATGGTTTTAAAGATTTTTATCATTTCAAAGGACATTTCTAAATTTGTGCATCTTTATTAGACTGAATTACAAAGTACTTCAGTCGTTCTAAGGAGATGCAAGGACAAAAGAAATTTTAAATAGTAAAATTTGAATGTAAACTTTCCGTTGCAATTAAAACTAAACTTGCAGAGTATAGTAGACTATGCAACTTCCTTTATTAGTTAGAACAACACCGTAAGAGACTCTAATTTCATTAACATTAATAGTAAAATATCACTACATTTGAGTTTTAGTTTTGAGGATAGATTTTGTATTTTGACATTTTTAAGAATGAGTAATGGAGATCCTTTTAAAAATTATATCACTTACAACATAACACAATTTATGCTTTTATCACTTATAATTAAATGTGAAGGTTTTTTTTTTCAGTTTCTATCTTTTGAAACATATTTGAAATACTATTTTACATGTCTGTGGTTTTTTTTCTGAATGCTAATTGGGACATACTCCCTCATACTAACTTCTAATAATTTAGTATTTCCTCCTTTAACATATTTTTTCTTTAGAAAAAATGTATAAAATATATGCAACATTTATCCATTTTTTTCTAAAAAATTGCATAAATCATTTGAAACTGTAGAATTCCAAAATAAGATTGGAAAATGCTTGAGTGATGTGTGTACTATTTGCATTGCAGTTGGGTGCCACATTGGAGAAAGCCTGTGCCTATAATCTTAATTCTCTTCCTAGTGAAATCAAAGCATGGTCCCTTGTGACTTTTACCTATTACTTTCAGTATTAATTTCTGGGAAAATAAAAATGTTTGGCATTTTTTCTACACTATTCCTTAAACTATTAGAAAAACTATTCTGTTTCTTACGGGATTCATGTCCATACCCAGTAAGTAATCCCATCCTCTTTATTTGCATGAATTTTAAATGGCATTCGTGATACTTTAATCTTAGAATTTTTAAAAGACTTGGTATTAAATAAATAACTGTTTTAATGATTTATGAAGAGCTAGGATTTTGGGCTAGGTAACTTTTTAAGATTATCTTACTTAGTACAAAAACTGTGTAATATAATAAATAACTCCCAAACCTCAGTGACTTGATACACTAAAAGTTTTTGCTTGCTACGTTACAGTTCATTGAGATCAGCAAAGATGGGAAGTAGATAATTTCATGTGGGGAACTTTTACGGGTAAGGTGAAGAGATTGTGCAACTTTCATTCAGGTTGCATTGGCCAGAGCTCAGCCACATGGCCCAAATCTAACTATGAAGGATTGGAAAACGTGGTTGTGTTGTGTACACAGGAAGAAAATGAGATTCAATTGCTAAATACCTAACATTATTGCTGCCTCAGTCCACTTTTATCAACAAACATTTGTCCCTCTTAGTTTTCCAAATGAAGACAATCCTCCCTGGGTCAATGGTCCAGTTAATACATCCAGCTCGAAGATAAGGTCCTCTGTTTTACGTACAACCCCCTGTCTGGTCTGAGTGTGGCTCTTGGGTTCAAACAGCCTACGAACTAAAATGGCAAAGCTGAGAAAACAATTATTCCTTTTAACAAAGGGGAAGAGTAAGAGTCCCATGACAGTCACTGGCCAATAGCAATTCTGAAACTCCTCTGGATAAACAACATAAAATCCTTCTGTTCTGAGGATTAAACAGTTCCTTGAAGAGGCCATGATTCTGCTCTCTGTGTGGTTTTCTTCATCCATTTTTCTCTAGCAATATTCTATGGAAATTTTCTTTCATCTGTTGATGGGGAAGGTGTTGTTTTGTAGCCTTCTCCGTGACCTAGGGTCGTTTTAATGTTCAACTAACAGTATCAGGCATTTTGAAATCAGGCTTTAATTTTCTCGAAACCAATACAAATCTCTCCCAGAATTAGTAAGCTTCTGATCCATTTGCTTCCAGCAGGCCCTGTATCAGTACTTGCCATTGAAATATTATTTTCCTAGACATGGTTCTGCAATCTTTGCTCTGTATTTTTTCTTCTTCCAACTTGTTGCTGCAACTTGGTGGCTAATAAGCTTGCGTGAAAATGACACATCTTTTATCCATTCATTGTCACAGAGTCATTATTTTCAAGGGAGAAGGCATATTGGGACTTTGTCACTGAGAGTCTATTAGAATCACATCTATTACTATTTATGTCTAGATGTTGTCTTTCCTAAATCTTCAAGAATCCAAGTTTCTGAACACTAGTTTTTTCCTTTCTATTTTCTATTTGGCCAATTTTTTTTGTATTCATTTTTTTCTTATAATTATTTGCTAAGTACTGTCAATGAAAACCAATGTAGATGATTACTAACCATTTTCCTCTAGAGCTATAAGCTCAGTAAGCATAATGGTTTCTTTGAATTTTCGCAGGTAATGGTTTTAGCAAAGGTGTTGCCATTATACTGCATTAACACACTTAATTTAGGTATTTTTTAAAAGGTTAATGTCATATTAATTTACATTTTAATAAAAATAAAATTTCAATTATAAAAATATTTACCATTTAATTTATGGTTACCAATTGGTCTAAGTGGAAGTGTAACCTTGAAACATTAGTAATGTATTTATGATAAATTCCTAACTTCAATATCAATTAACCTGTCTTTAAAGGTTACAAAAGCAGAGATTAGTGTTAAGTAATAAACTCAAGAATAAGGCAATGCAGATATTTGAATACTGGTGATTTAGTACATGAATAGTAAAATATTTAACCCTGACTCAAAGTGAAAAGACATTAATATTCACTGATTATACTTTATAGCTAACATGCATAGTAAGATTTGTATAAAAAACATTTGTATAGGCCTTCAACCTTGTTCAGAATTTTGTATGGGCCAGGCACAGTGGTTCACGCCTGTAATCTAGCACTTTGGGAGGTCAAAGCAGGCAGATTGCTTGAGGTCAGGAGTTTGAGACCAGCCTGGCCAACATGGTGAAACCCCATCTCTACTAATAGTGCAAAAAATATTAGCTGGGCGTGGTGGTGCACACCTGTACCACCCAGCCACTTGAGAGGCTGAGGCAGGAGAATTGCTTGAACCCAGGAAGCAGAGGTTGCAGTGAGCCAAGATGGTGCCACTGCACTACAGCCTGGGCAACAGAGTAAAACTGTGTCTCGAAAAAATATATAAAATAAAATAAAGAATTTTGTATAAACACATTAAGAGCATTTAACTCAGCAATGTCAGTTCAAAAGTAAAATTATTAAAAAATTACCACCTTTGGTCATGTCTTCTAGAATGTGCAATAGAAAAGAGATTTCTTTCCAGAAATACGAATCACGAAAGTCCAACAACTGATTTCCTTCCAGTCCAATACATTAGACAACTTTCAAAATAAACACACTTGCCACAAAAAAGGAGACTAAATTAAATGCTGTGATTTCAACCACTTTCCTCCAATGTTACATTTATGAAAACATTTACAATAACTTGCATTTTGATCACATAATATACGCCAGGTGCTGTAATATGTAATTTATACATTTTATCTCTACTAATTGCTATAATTTCATGGAGGAAGAAATTTTCAAAAGATGAAACTAGAACTTAAAGAGGTGAATAAATCTCCCAGTCAAAAAATGCGTAACTCAGGATCCAACAGTTCATGTCTGGGTCATTGCAAAGCTCATACCCTTAACAACTATGCTAAACTGCCTAAAATTAATTAATGAAAAGCCTTTAATATTTAAACATTACTCTTGCAGTCAAAGCTTTTTTCATACTTATTTTAAGGAACTCTTCTTTTCGTTAATAAGTAGTACATTCTTACTTACCTAGAACACGAATGTTATTATACTTTCTCATCTCCTTTAGCCTGAGACTGCATGAGATAACTAAGGCATGATATTCCTGAGACTGTAATGATGTCTATCTAATATGCTCTTGTCCTTTAGCAAAGATGTTAAGGGATAACTATGTTAATAGCTATACCTTATATTTAAATGGGTTTATGCTTCTCAAATTGTCTGTAAGCTTCCTTATTTTATATTTATTTTAGGCAAGCAAGGAAATAAGTATTATTCTATATTTTTGTAGAGAATTAAACACAGCATATATAAAAATCCTTCCGTTAAGGATAACCTAAAAAAAAAAGACAATTGTGAATAAAACATAGAGAGCCAGAATGTGTGGGCGGAGTGAAGATGAAGAGGTGGGTAGGGATCTGTGAGGGAAATGTGTGATGTTTCTGGAGCCACAGCACTTTTTATATTCCTTTTGGTGCTGGGAAAATTTCCTGTCTTAAGCATCCCACATACTCCTAACTCAAGCAGAAGCAAGAATTCCACTTTGCTAACCTCCATTTGTACCCAGGTTGCTGGCCTGTCATGTTGGCTCTGCCAATCAGACTCAACTACATAAGACTTTAATTCAGACATGGACAATGTGACATGTCTTCAGCAGACATATTAGATAGACATCATTATAGTCAATAGTCATTATAGTCTCTGAAAAATCACTCCTCAGATTTATCATGTAGTCGTCTAAAAAAGATGAAAGTCTAATAACATTCTTTTTCTAGGTAAGCAAGGGTGTACTACTTATGTATACCTTATGTATATTTAAAGGGAAAATATTTTCCAAATGATAGTGTGAGTATAGGATGCTAACATATTCTTTGGAGGTTAATAAAGAAAGAATAAACCAAGAGGAATTTATTTGAGAATGATGGTGTGATGAAGCTTCTAGGGCAGTGGGATGGAGATTCTGCCACTTATGTCAGCAACAACTAGTATGGCATTTGTGTCGTATCTACAGTGGCTAAAATAGACACAGTAAATGTGATTTGAATATTATCTTTGAATGTGTGGTCTTTGGCTTGACCATCTGACTTTCCTATTTGGAAAGCTCTTTAATATTCTTAAATATTTTTTTAAAAACTACTTCAAGAGGTTTTTATTACTCGCATCTAAGATCACTGACTGACAGAGGACATGGCTTCCTAAGTCTTTAGGTGTTAAAGTTTACCGTTTAGTATATATTTAGTAATGATCAGAATACTAATTTGAAGATTGTATTTTGTTAGGGAAAAGAAACTTGCCCATTTTGACTACTTAAATTTAGCTTTTTAGAAATAAGCACCTGACAAGTCCTAGCATCACTAAGAAGAAGTCATCATTTCACGTAGCAGTAATTACCTCAAGAGAATACATAAATTTCACAACTCTTAATTCACAACTATGTATTTAACAATATTATGTTGAATATTTGGACTACAGTAAGTTAGTGCACTCTCTATCCATGAAGAACCTATAATCCAGGGAGACCATGTTTTTAATACAATCAGTTTCAACAATTTCTCACAGGATTCTTAAATTAGATATTAATGTAAGTAGCATCAACCATCAATAGTTTACTTTAAAAATGTATAAATTTATGAGGTACAAGAGAAATTCTCTTACATGCATAGATTGCCTAGCAGTCAAATCAGAGCTTTTAGGATATCTATCACCCCAATAACATATGTTGTATCCTTTAAGCAGTTTCTTGTATTCCACCTCCCTCCTAACCCTTTAACTTCCCAAGTCTCTGTTGTCTATCATTCTACTCTCTATGTCCATGTGTACATATTTTTATTTCCTACTTATGAGTGAAAACCTGTGATATTTGACTTCCTGTGTCTGAGTGTTTCATTTAACATATTGACCTCCAGTTTCATCCATGTTAGTGCGAAAGATAGGATTTCATTCATTTTTATGGATACATAGTATTGTATTGTGTATATACTACATTTTCTTTATCTAATCATCCATTAATAGATGCTTAGGCTGATTTCTATCTTTGCTATTGTGAATAGTCCTGTGATAAACATATGAGTGCAGGTATCTTTCTGATATATTGATTTCTTTATTTTATTTTGAGTAGATATCCAGTAGTGGGATTGCTGGATGGAATAGCAATACTATTTTAAGTTCTTTGAGAAATCTTCATAATGTTTTCCAAAGAGGTTGCACTAATTTAAATTCCCACCAACAGTGTATAAGAGTTCTCTTTTACCTCACCCTCACTAACATCTGTTTTTTAGTAATAGCCATTCTGACTGGTATAAGATGATATCTCATTGTGGTTTTAATTTGCATTTCAGGTAATTAGTGATGTTGAGCATTTTTTTCATATATCTGTTGGCCATTTGCATATCTTCTTTTGAAAAATGTCCATTCATGTCATTTGACATCGTTTTAATGGAATTATTTGTTTTCCTGTTGTTGTTAAGTTCATTGTATATTGTCTGTCAGACGAATCATTTGCAAATATTTTCTCCTATACTGCAGGTTGTCTGTTCACTCTGTTGATTATTACTTTTGCTGTGCAGAAGCTTTTCAGTTTAACTAAGTCCATTTGTCTATTTTTCATTTTGTTGCATTGGCCTAAAGATTTTGTTGTTGTTGTTGTTGTTGTTGTATCTCTGCCAGCTTTTTGTATCAGGATGACGCTTGCCTCACAGAATCAGTTAGGGAGGAGTACCTCCTTTTCAATTTCAGTTTCAGTAGGAATGGTACCAGCTCTTCTTTGTACCTCTGGTAAAATTCAGCTGTAAACCTGTCTGGTCCTGGGCTTTTTTGGGTTGGTAGGCTATTTATTACTGACTCAATTTTAGAACTCATTATTGATCTGTTCGGAAATTCAATTTCTTCCTGATTCAGTCTTAAGAGGGTGTGTTTGTCCAGAAATTAATCTGTTTCTTCTAGATTTTCTTTTCTTTCTTTTTTCTGCCTTTTTTTTTTTTTTGGAGTCTCATTCTGTTGCTCAGGCTGGAGTGTAATGGCATGATCTCAGCTCACTGCAACCTCTGCCTCCTGGGTTCAAGCGATTCTTCTGCCTCAGCCTCCCAAGTAGCTGAGATTACAGGTGCCCACCATCATGCCTGGCCAATTTTTGTATTTTTAGTACAGACAGGGTTTTACCATGTTGGCCAGGTTGGTCTTGAACTCCTGACCTCAGGTGATTTGCCCACCTCGGCCTCCCAAAGTGCTGGGATTACAGGCATGAGCCACCCCGCCCGGATTTCTTCTAGATTTTCTAGTTTATGTGCATAGACATATTTATAATATTCTCTAATGGTTGTTTGTATTTCTGTGTGGTTATGGTAATATCCCCCTTATTATTTCTGATTGTGTTTATCTGATCTCTTTTCTTCTTTATTAGTCTAGCTAGCAGTCTATCTATTTATTTTGTTTTTTTCAAAAAACCAGCACCTGGATTCATTAATCGTTTGAATGATGGTTTGTATCTCTATCTCCTTGAATTCAGCTTTGATTTTGGCTATTTCTTGTCTTCTGCTAGCTTTGGGATTTGTTTGCTCTTGGTTTTCTAGTTCTTTTAGTTGTGATGTTAGGTTGTTAACTTGAGATCTTTATAACTTTTTATATGGGCATTTAGTGCTATAAATTCCCTCTTACCACTGCTTTAGCTGTGTCCCAGAGATTCTGGTATGTTGTATCTTTGTTCTCATTAGTTTTAAAGAACTCCTTGACTTCTGCCTTAATTTCATTATTTATTTAAAAGTCATTTGGGAACAGGTTATTCAATTTCCATATAATCATATGGTTTTAAGTGAATTTCTTCGTCTCGAGTTCTAATTTGATTTTCCTGGGTCTGAGACTCAGGAAAATCAATGTTTGTTATTATTTCAGTTATTTTGTATTTGCTGAGGAGTGCGTTCTTCACAGAACTGGAAAAAACTATTTTAAATGTATCTGGAGTAAAAGCTGGAGGCATCACCCTACCTGACTTCCAACTATACTACATGGCTGCAGTAACCAAAACATCATGGTACTGATCTAAAAATAGACACATAGACCAATGGAACAGAATAGAGGACCCAGATATAAGACCACACACCTACAACTATATGATCTTCAACAAACCTTACAAAAACAAGCAATGAGGAATGGATTCCCTCTTCAATAAATGGTGTTTACATAACTGGCTAGCCATATGCAGAAGATTGAAACTGGAACCCTTACTTACACCATATACAAAACTTAACTCAAGATGAATGAAACACTTAAATGTAAAAACCAAAATTATAAAAACCCTGGAAGACAACCTAGGCAATACCATTCAGGACAGGCATGGGCAAAAATGTCATGATGAAGATGCCAAAAGCAATTGCAACAAAAGCAATAGTTCACAAATGGGATCTAATTAAACCTAAGAGCTTCTGCACAGCAAAAGAAACTATCAGTGGAGTAAACAGACAACCTACAGAATGGGAGAAAATTTTTGCTAACTATGCATCCAACAAAGAAGCATCTATAAGGAACTCAAACACATTTACAAGAAAACAAAAACAACCCCATAAAAAAGTGGGCAAAGGACATGAACCAACACTTTTCAGAAGAAGACATACTTGCAGCCAAAAATTATATGAAAAAAGGCTCAACATCACTGATCATTAGACGAATCCACATCAAAACTACAATGAAATACCATCTCACATCAGTGAGAATGACTACTATAAAAAGTCAAAAAATAACATGCTGGCGAGATTGTAGAGAAAAAAGGGAATTCTTATAAACTGTTGGTGGGAATGTAAATTAGTTCAGCCATTGTGGAAGACAGTATGACGATTCCTCAAAGACCTAAAGATAGAAATACCATTCAACCCAGCAATCCCATGACTGGGTATTTACCTAAAGGAATATAAATTGTTCTATCATAAAAAGTTCATTGTAGCACTATTCATAATAGCAAAGACATGGAATCAACTTAAATGTCCATCAATGAGAGACTGGATAAAGAAAATGTGGTACATATACACCATGGAATACTCGGCAGTCATAAAAAATGAGATTATGTCCTTTGCAGGGACATGGACAGAGCTGGAGGCCATTATCCTTAGCAAACTAACACAGGAACAGAAAACCAAATACTGCGTATTCTCCCTTAAAAGTGGGAGCTAAATGATGAGAACACGTGGACACACAGAGGGGAACAATACACACTGGGGCCGTTCAAAGGTTGGAGAGTGGGAGGAGGGAGAGAATCAGGAAAAGTAACTAACGGGTACTAGGCTTAATACCTGGGTGATGAAATAATCTGTACAACAAACCAACACAAATTTACCTGTGTAACAAACCTGCACTTGTATCCCTGAACCTAAAAGTTTAAAAAAAAAAGAAATGCTGGAGTGGCTCTCATAATTCAAAAACTCTAGCCAGTGATCTACCTTTAGAAAGTCAACTTGCTTCTGTGTATAAGAGAAGATATATGTGCTCTGTGTCCATCTCCTCACAGAGCTGTTCAAATTGATGTGAGTTAAAGACATGTACTTCAATGTGGTTGATAATTTTAATCACATCCTGCAAAATGTTCTTAAGTTCAGATGACATTTTTCAGCTAGCAGCATTTCTCTATGGAGGACACAGTACATAGACTCACATTCAGAAGCAACCTCTTTGACCCAATTAGTGAAACCAGAAAGCTATCCACTCATGTAGCCACTCCGTCCATGCATATACTGACACAAAATTACCAATTCAGTTTTCCTGATATGTAATCATTCAAAGACTTGACTAGTTCGGCAGCTGTGATGCTGGTTGGCCACAAAAGTTCACATAACATATCTTCATGCACATCCTCCTGAATAATATATCGCACAAAAACAAGTATTGTTGCCTTATTGTCAACATTGGTAGACTTATCAACCTGAATTTCATACCATGGTGACTCATTAATCCTTTCTAACATTTGGGCCTCATATCCTCTGCTATTTCACAAATTCATCTAGTTATGATAACAGCCAAAAGAGGAACACATGCCACCTTTGGAACAAATGTCCTTAGCAATAGGGTGGATCAACTCTTCACCAATAGTAAAGGGCTCCTTGGCTTTAGCAAAGTGGTAAGCCACTAAAATGATGCTCTCAGTGCAAACACATTTGATGAAGTGATGGTCTTCAATAATTGCTTCTGTTCTTTGTGTTCACATTTTTTTTCTTATGAAAAATTCCAAAGGCTTCTCTTTTAATGCAGGGTGCTTGGTCTCCATGTGGCAAAGCAGTTTGAAGGTTTCATGGCTTTGTTGGGTAGCCAGTTGCCACATATTATACAAAGCAAGCTTGGAGAATATGAATCACCTGTTGCAATGAACTTGTAATTTAAGTAGGACTCTTGCTATTTTATTTTAAATGTAGCTTTTTTGTTGTTGGCAGCCTTAGTGTCTTCTGCTGTCTCATCATTGGGTTCTTCCCCATTTTCAAAGAAGCTCTCTAGTGAGGTTTGTTTTATATTTATTTTAGATGAGGTTAGCTTGTGGGCTTGCCAAAATTGTGACTGAGACAAGTGTGCAGTGAAGGAAAGAGGCGTGGATGAAAGTGGTAAATGAAACAATGGATGGGTCAAACGCAGACTAAAATAAGTGTAAGATTCTGACTTAAAGCCTGCCACCAAATGCAGCTGTACAGTTGTACGTCAACTCACTTGCCACTATAAAGCAAGCCACCAGATGCAGCTTAATTGTCACTGACAGTCACTGATAGGGTTATGAGTCTGTGAGCAACTGATTTATCATGGTCTCTGTACAGTCAAACCTCTCTGCTCATGTTAATCTGTATTTTCAGCCACTCCCCATTGCTAGCATCACGACCTCAGCTCCACCTCAGATCATCAGGCATTGGATTCTCATAAGGAGAACACAACCTAGATCCCTCACATGCACAGTTCACAATAACATTCGCAATCTTATGAGAATCTAATGCCACCACTGATGTGACAGGAGGCAGAGCTCAGGCAGTAATGCAAATAATGGGGAGTGGCTGTAAATATAGATGAAGTTTAGCTCCCTTACCAGTCACTCACCTCCAGCTGTGCAGCCCAGTTCCTAATTTCCTGGGGGCTTGGGACCCCTGCTCTATAGATCCCTGTCCTGTTGATGTATGTGTCTATTTTTATACCAGTGCATGCTGTTTTGGTTACTACAGCTTTGTGGTATAATTTGAAATCAGGTAATGTGTCACCTCCCACATTGTGCTTGTTGCTTAGGATTGCTTTGGCTATTCAGGTCTTTTTTTTTTTTTTTTTTTTTTTTTGGTTCCATATACATTTTAGGATTACTTTTTTTAATTCTGTAAAAAAAAAGATATTTGTATTTTGACAGGAATACCAGTGAATCTGTAGATAGCTTTGTGTATTATGGTCATTTTAGTGATATTAATTCTTCTGATAATGAGCATGGAATTTTTTTCAATTTGTTTGTGTCCTCTACAGTTTCTTCCATCAGTGTTTTGTAGTTTTCCATGTAGAGATCTTTCAACCCCTTGATTAAATTTATTCCTAGGGTTTTTTAAAGCTATTATACATACACTTGTCTCTTTTATTTCCTTCTTACTTACATCGTTATTGTTGTATAGAGATGCTACTCATTTTTGTGCTTTGATTTTGTATCCTGTAACTTTACTAAATTTATTTATCAAATCTAAGAATTTTTTGGTAGACTCTCTAGGTTTTACTAGATATAAGATCACATCACCAGCAGACAGGGACAGTTTGACTTACTCTTTTCCAATTTGGATGCCTTTTATTTCTTTTTCTTGCCTGATTGCTTTGGCTATGATTTCCAGTACTATGTTGAATAGACATGGTAAAAGTAGGCATCATTGTCTTATTCCAGTTCTTAGAGAAAATGCTCTCAACTTTTCCCCATTCAGTATGATGTTGACTGTGAGTTTGTTGCATATGCCCTTTATTATTTTGAGTATATTCTTTCTATGCCTAGCTTGCTGAGTTTTTATCATGAAGGGATGCTGAACTTTATCAAATGCTTTCTCTGCATCTATTGAGATGATCATGATTTTTTTCCTTAATTCTGTTTATGTGATGTATCACATTTGTTGATTTGCATATGTGGAACCATTCTTGCATGTCTGATATAAAGCCCACTTGATCATGGTGTATTTTTTTTTTTATGTGCTGCTGGATTCAGTTGGCTAGTATTTTGTTAAAGATTTTTGTGTCTGTGTTCATCAGGAATATTGGTTTTAAGCTTCTTTTTTAAAAATGTCATTGCTTGGTTTTGATATCAGAGTGATATTGGCCTTCTAGAATGAGTTGGGGAGGAGTCCCTCCCTTGAATTTGAAACAGTTTCAGAAGAATTGGTATTACTTTTTATTTGTATGTTTGGTAGAATTTGACTGTGAACCCATCTGATCCTGGGCTTTTCCTTGTGGGAGGTTATTTTTTATTACTGAGTCAATCTTGTTACTCCTTATTGGTATGTTTACATTTTGAAATGATGCAACTTTCTGATAAATAAAACAGAAGAAATTTTAAAATTTTCTGTACACAAATATAAATTTATTTAATTAATGGATCTGAATATTTAAAGGGAAAATGTTTTCCAGATGATATTTTAAATATAGGATGCTAACATACTCTTCGTAGGTTAATAAAAAAAAAATTAACTGTTCTTTATCTTATCCTGTTCATCTCTAAAATCTGAGAGTTAAAATAAGATCCAAAGGAAATATAGTCATACTAAAATAAACTTAGGTAAGCATAGCTAGTCTAATCTTACACATTACAGATTGTTGGTCAGTATTACAGGTTCTATTGTTTCTAGGTAATTTATATTTTCTATTTAGATTTTATTGCCCCTAAACTTAACTGTATAAATTTCCATGTATAGTGGTGTCAAGAAGAGAATTTGATGAGATGTTTTCCTTCATGATTTACAGAGTTATTTCTGGAGGGATGACTAATGGGCAAACAATTGTTCTAGCCCTGATTTCTGATACTTCCTGGTTTGGAATACTTTTGCCAATCATGCCTTCTAAATATTTATACTTCTTATATTGATGAATCATCAAGAAAAATGATGTCCAGATTTCTTAGTTACAGACAACCAAAAAACCACATGCAAATTAGCATAAGTGGTTGTATTTTGAATAGCATTAAATTATATTCATTTGCCTTCATGTATTTATGTTTAACAGAGATAAGACAGGTATAGTTATCCTTGCTTATTTATCTTGAAACCTGTAATTTATACAAAATTTACTCATGTAATTTAGCTTGTAAGATATCATGTAGACAGCATTTCAGAATCTCTAACTTCTGGGGCAATAGTCTCTCTATTATACAGTATTTCACCTTAAATTAGCCATGCAATTATAAGCAACATTAGTAATGTACAACTAATTGAAATTAAAAATTATATTCCACATTTTGTACCAAGTACTCTAGATATGTTGATTCATTTAATCCATACAACTACCTTAACTTCATTTCATACATGAAGAAACCATAGCTTAGGAATAATTGAAAGGCATAAAAAGAATTTAATCATTTTGGTTCCAAAAATATCATAGATATGGTATCACAAATACCAAGATATAATCTCCAAGAAGCTGATTCTTAAGGAGACAGAAAATACTAGCTTTGGGCATAGAAGCCATGGTTTCGTGTGTTCTTTTTGAGGCTTTCCAACTGTACGAAGGCCACAAATTATCTGAAACTTGGAGTCCAAGTGTTTTGTATTATTGGTGGTAGATGTTTGTTTTTTGTTTTGTTTTGAAACTCCAAATTTGAAAGAAAAATAACGACTCCTTGGCTAGTTGTTGGATATCAATGAGATGACATAGTTTGTGACGTTTTGTAATCTATAAAGAGCCACACCTGTGTGGTAAATACCATAATCGCTGTTTATATATGGCTAATTCTCTGATACTACTAGAAAAATTATTTTATAAAACAGGATGCGCTGAAAGAATATTGATATTGATTGCAAGCTAACTCCAGTTTCTAATAAAAATTAAATGAATATATTTCTATATTGATTATGTACAAAGAAGAAAGGGGCTTATAAGTTTTAAGCTAGTAGGCTAAACCAATTATAGTTCATGTTCCTCATTCCAAAATATAAAATTATTTTATATATATAATCAGAATGTATTTCAATATATTCTGTAAATGCGAGTTAATGGATCTAATAAATTTAGAATAGATTCTAAACTCCTCTTTAGTAAAAAAAAGTGTGCCATCTTAAATTTTAATTAATTCATTCACTTAAATTATCATCAAGACTCTTGTTTCAGAAATAGGCTTACATAAACAAAAGCTTGAATAAGGAACAATATAAATGTGATTGGTAAAAATATTCTTTATATTTTTAAAAGATATTTTGGCACATACCCCTGTGCCAAAGATGGTTAAAATAGAGTGTACTTATGGTGCCCTACAGATAGTGACACTTGTGACCATGTAATAAAATGCTTCATGGCTGGGTTCTGTTCTATAATTCCATTTTGCTCCAAAAGCACAGTGCCACAAGTTATTTTATCTCCTGCCATTAGAGTATGTATTGCCTTTCTAGTCCACATGCTAGGAATAAAACCAGACAACCCTGGTGCTCTAAGGGCAAGAACATTTTCACCCTACTTAGCCCCGACAGTTGGTTTTACTCTTGTTATTCAGTGTATAAGTGAGTATTAATGTATAGGAAATGTAGGGCAATATACCAGGATCTGGAGTTAGAGGATGAAGACTCAACATTTTGTATCATTGCTTATATTCTATTTGACAGTGGGAACATTGATAAAATTCTCTAATCTCTTCTTTTTATATCTGTTAAATAGGGTTAATAATAACCTCCACTTGGCCAGGCGCAGAGGCTCACGCCTGTAATCCCAGCACTTTGGGAGGCTGAGGCGGGCAGATCACAAGGTCAGGAAATCGAGACCATCTTGGCTAACACGGTGAAACCCCGTCTCTACTAAAATTACAAACAAATTAGCCAGGTGTGGTGGAGGGTGCCTGTAATCCTAGCTACTCGGGAGGCTGAGGCAGCAGAATGGCATGAACCTGGGAGGTGGAGCTTGCAGTTAGCCGAGATTGCGCCACTAAATTCCAGCCTGAGTGACAGAGACTTTGTCTCAAAAAAATAAAAATAAAAATAAAAAAATAATAATAACCTCCACTCAGTGTTATAGTGATGAAGGAGTTGTAGATGGCCAAACACTAAATGCAGGTAATCATTGTCTCTGGTTGAATTATAGATCTTACACAATGAAGCCGTGTGACCACAGCTGTCCTTGATGTGACATTAAGGCCAACTCTAATTGGAAGAGAAGAAGTGTTAATTGCTTCCATCATTCTTTGTATTATTTTTGGTACTGAATAAACCAAGTTCCATTTTTCAAACCACGTTTGTTTCTTTTTAAAGTTTTGGGACAGTATTTGTGTAGACTCCAGTATTTTTTTGCTCTTAAATTCTAGATTGAAAACAACAATCTAGCCATCCTTTGAGATATCCCTGTAAAAAAGTTTCACAGAACAAGGCAGCTGTCTTACTTTTCCTCCCAAACATGGTTTAAAACATATTTTTACTCATGATTGTATTTGGTTATATTTTGAGGAAAAAAAAAAACTGTATGCTTACCTATCTAGCACCAGTTTTTTTTTTTAACTGTTCCAAGCATCTGATGGGAGCCAGTGACCTAAAAATAATTAATTTGCTTCCAAGTCCTCTTCAATGCATAAAATTGCAGAAGAGAAAACCTGAATTTGAGAGCAAGGGATCTTAGATACTTTCCAATTCAGTCTCTTCTTTGTGGAGGTGAGAAACCTAAGGACCAGTGATTTCAAGTGATATTTGTTAATATCACTAGTGAATAAAGGACTCAAGGCTGGGTCAGAACTATTCCCATGGCTCCATGCAGTGTCTATATATATTCTTTAGTGTTCTCAATTGCTAATTTCTTCTATTCTGAAACAGTTGTTTCCTAACCATAAACCACAGCTTCTTGTGATGAATTCAGGACCATTTTTAAAAATACATCTCAAATTTTGGGGATTTTGCAGTGTCTCATGAATTTTCTGCTTTGAGATGATTTATAGTAGGGTGTTTCCATTAAGAAATAGCCTCAAGTACTGGCTGTAGCAGACATGTGCATAAAAGAAACAAAAAAGACCTCAAAATAGTGATGTCTCTGTATAGAGAAACAAACAGTCTGCCTCTGAGATAATATTGAAAGAGGAGTTTTTAAAACAAAAGAGAATGCTATTGACCAATTGCTTATGTCCTCCCAAAATTTGTATGTTGCAATTCTAACTCACAATTTGATGATATTAGGAGGTGGGGCCTTTGTGAGATCATGAGGGTAGAGCCCTTATGAATGGGATTGGTGCTCTTATAAAAAGATACAGGGAGCATGTTTTCTCTCATTCTGCTCTCTGCCATGTAAGGATAAAGGAAGAAGATGGCAAGCCAGGACATGGACCCTCACCAGGCACTGGATCTGTCAGCACCTTCATCGCACCATATTCTTGGACCTCCCAACTTCCACAACTCTGAGAAATAAATTTCTGTTGTTTAAGCCACCTCGTCCATGGTATTTTTGTTATAGTAGCCCAAATGATTAAGACAGAGAATTAAACAAAAAAGAAGAAACAAAACCCTGGATACTTCACAGGGCCAGAATAAATTCTATTTCTCCCCAACTACAGCAAAGCTTCCTAATTGAGTACAATGTGGTTCTAATTAAACTTTTGTAATTGTCAATATAAATATTGAAAATCCATCAAGAAGAAATAATACTGGTCTAACTTGATCACTGATGATTTCGTCTTTCTGCATTTGTTTCCAAACCTGTAAACTGAGAGGGGTTAAAACTAAATTTCTTCTAAATTACCTTCTGTTAAAACTTTTATAAATTTTAAGGCATTTAACCCATTATCCTCACCTTTCATCCTTCCTTTGTTGACTAACACCAGCATATAAAGTTTCATTACCTAGAAAGTTTATGTTAAAAATTGCAGCATCTCATCCATATTCTGTACTCATTGGTCAAAGTAGCACAATATTCTTTGAACCAGAACATCTTTGAATTGATCATAATATAATGCTGGATTAATGTGTTGCATTTCTAATTTAATTATTGCCAAGTCTGAGTAATGTATATAAAACATATTGAATGCTGTGTAATGTTTTCTTCCCTACAAGAGAAAGCAGTGTGGAAGAAAAATAAAGTGAGTTATATGTAAAAATAGACCTTAGTGATAGTTATACATGCTATTGTGAGGCAGCAATTGTATTGTATGACCAGAATCAAGGTCATACAAAACGATTGTGTTTCAGACTGCCTCAGCTTCCGATTACACCTCTGACCAGGGCTGTTGCTGAGAGTGGAATTGGTCCATTATAGAAATTAGTCCAATTCTTGGGTCTGGGTGAAGGTGTTCATGAGCCAGGCCACTAAGGAAAGAGCAGCAATGGAAGAGCTGCCTATATAACCCTCACTAGAGAGCACCTCTTCTCAAATGATATCAGAATATAAGTTACAATAATTCAAACCAGTTCTCATCTTAAAGATATCAGAAGCCTATTTCATCCCAATGTTAAGGCAGAAATATTTTGTGTGGGATCTGTTAATAACTTTTGTGTAATTTTTGGCTGAAAGCATGCATATTTAGTCAAATAGCTCCCTCCCAAATTGTTTATTATCGCCCCAAATTCTGTTTTTACATATTTCTCCTCTCTAGGGAACTATTTTTGGCAATAACATTATTATAAAAGCTCAAGATAAGATTTTTATTGCTTTGAATAATAAATTGTAGTGTTTATCCACAAAATTAATGGACCATCATCTCTCCACCACACACCCTCCCTCTCTCCCACCCCCACCAAATCAGTGGTTTTATTTCTGCCTAAGAAGTTCCCTGCAATCAGCTGCATTACAGTGACAATAACTAAAATGAGCACAGAGTCTGTACTGAAAGAATTGATGTGGCAAAATTCTGCTGACTTTCTTGTTAACACTTGAGATTTTTAGGAACAATACGACATAAATGTTTTATCTGAATGTCTCTTCTTTGGAAAGATTATATTGAGGCAACAGGAAAGGCAAAAGTTTTAGGCTCTCAAGCCAGTTAGAATTTTGATTAAAATGTAGGATCCATAACTTTCTAGTTGTGTGACTTTGGGTAAATTGTTTAACCTAAACTTCAGGCTGCTTATGTATAAAATGGATGGGTGAATTAAATCTAGTCTTAAAGAATTGTGAGGTTCAAATGACATAATATGTAAAAGTATATAGCACAGTGAATACTTGGCATATGGAAACACTTCATGGATGGATGGTGTGTTATGTTTAATGTTATTTATGTTTCTTTTATTTATTATATTATTCATTATTTGTGAGTTTATTTTGTCAGATGATTATTCTTTTTCATATTTAGTCACACTTAACTATGAAGGAAAGAAAGATAACTAAATGTAGTACACAAATACATGAAATGGCTTGGCACTTTAAAATATGATTTTAATTCTTTTGTCTCAGACTGCTGTGCTAGGAATCAGCGAGACTCTGTGGGCGTAGGACCCTCCGAGCCATGTGCGGGATATAATCTCCTGGTGCACCATTTTTTAAGCCCGTCAGAAACCAAACACCGCATGCTCTCGCTCATAGGTGGGAATTGAACAATGAGAACACATGGACACAGGAAGAGGAACATCACACTCTGGGGACTATTGTGGGGAGGGGGGAGGGATAGCATTAGGAGATATACCTAATGCTAAATGATGAGTTAATGGGTGCAGCACACCAGCATGGCACATGTATACATAAGTAATTAACCTGCACATTGTGCACATGTACCCTACAACTTAAAGTATAATAATAATAAAATTTAAAAAATACTTCTGTCAATTAATTTCTCTAGAAATTTATTTTTATGCTATTTCGCAAAAATATCAGTTGCTAATCGTTGGGTCAGGGTCTCATGGAGAAAGCAAACTGGTCATTCAGCAAGAATAATTAGAGAAGCCCTACCTAGAACAGAGCATCTTCAACTTTTAACGCTCACACAAATCACCTATACTAGGGTGAAAATGAGATTATACATTTTCAACAAACTCCAGGTGAGGCTGATGCTGCACAGAGGACGTAATTTAAGAGGTAAAATATTAGAGGATTCAGACTAACCTGCAGAACTTGTGACTCATTTATATTTAGTAGACAGCCATATTGGTTGCCACAAATAAACTGAATTGGTCACCTTAAATTAACTGAGTGCACTGATGAAGTATATATAATGCTCAATTAAGACAAGTCAAAATGTCATCTAAATTGGCATTATTATGTAATAATATTTTTCAAGCATTTATAGTATAAATATACTGAGATACCTTTATTCTTGATATGGAGAAGATCTTGGCCCCCTGTTGAATATAAAGGTCTTCCTCAAAAGGCAAGGGACAGAATTTTGGTATTCTAATCTATTCTGGGCCGGAGACTGACTACTGTGTCACAGTGGAGGTCACCAGGTATACTAGACTGCTTGTAAAGCTGCTTCCTGAATATGGGAGACTGGAAATTTCTGGGCTGTTTGCCTCCTGTACACTGAGGAGAGAGGAAGAGGAGAAATTTTTACTGAACTCTTAGATTTGGTAAAAAATGCCTGGAGTAAATTCCAAGTGAAGAGAGGAATGAATTGTTGGTGAGGAAAGTAAATACTGGAAGAGACTCCTTAGCCAACAATGTAATGAACAGAGAACCACTGCCGTCTGATTTTTCGGAGCTCCCATTTGCCTCTCATCAAATTAAGACTCTGCAGTAAAGAGATGGTAAGGATTTTTACCTGGGTGTAGCTGTCTCAAATACGCTCCCTCATAAATGTTCCTGCTCTCAGCATCTAGCTGAAGATCATTGCTTTTAAAATAAATAAATAAGTGATTCCTATTTATGCATACATATTTAAAATTTATCTTGGAGTCAGATATTAATATGTCCGTCTTTCACCTAGAATAGTCATCACTCAAAGATCATTTTTTCTTCTATCAAATCTCTGTTGAAAAATAAAACTTTTACATGAAGACTTTTTTTCACAGCACATTAGACTCTAATAAATTCTATGAAATTCCTTCTTCCTACTTCCTTGAATCCTCAAGATATTGTGGGTGTATCAGTAAAATTATGGTTCTTATGTAGTTGTCATATATCCATATTTTTTAACCAATTTGAGTAACAAGTAAGTCAAAACACCATCAGAATCTATGATCTTTCAATTTATTAAAATCGTTCATAACATTGAATTCACTGCATTAAATGAATATCGATCATCTGAGTTATATTTCTGTTCTAGAACTAACGGGGTTTTTATAGAATTTTGTTTTATTTTTCTTTTGAGTGAACATGCTAAAATTATAAGGCCAATTTTTAGAAAATGGGAAACATATAGAAAGCTAATTGTGCTCCTCAGTTTTTCATTATGATTAGTTATCACTATTCAGAAAAATTTATTTTATTTAAATCTTTGTGAAACATACCTATAATGTTTTCTGATTTCTATTAATTGAATGTAGCCTTAAATAATGAACTAATTAATTTATCAAAAAAGATAGCTATTTCTTATCATGAACTAGGTGTTGTATCAAAAGTTATACTGTGATGACTATAATTTGCAGAGAAAGATAAATGATAACTAACAAACTTACGTTATAATTGCTAGTAGAGTTACAAAATGTTTCCGTAGTGCAAATTAAAGTATTAGAGAAGGGTCCACAGAAGAGGAAATTACAGTTTTGTACCACTGGATAAGAGTGTGTGCTCTAGGGTCAAACAGACCTAAATTGAGTCCCTATTCTGTCATTTATTAGTCTAGGGAAGCAGGGCATAAACTGGTCAATAAAAAGTGAAATACAAAGAAAAATATGGATTTGAGGAATGCTTTGTAGACAGAAATATAAAAAAAATAATAATTATATATGGTGAGATCCAATGGGGCAGCATTCACATGGCAAATACTTTCAGTGTATATTTAAAATAAAAGATACCAAACTGTCATGAGAAGAGTATGGATAGAATATAAAGTTAAACATTATTGTAACATTTTTCAAAGAGAAAATAAAATTATTTGAGGACTCATAGTATATACTATGATCGAGCATATTTTTTCTTTTAATAGTACCTGAGTGTTATTGGATAAGAGTTTGCTTGATTCTTCAGTAAACCTGGGCTTTTTCTTGTCACAGTAATTTATTTTGTCTGTTAGATGTATCATCACCTTGAAAATAAAAATATATTTTTTAAAAAACTAATTGTATAAAGTCTGACAAATCTACATGGGAACTAATTAGCTGTGTCAAGTCAACTACCACTTGGAGATCTGTACTGTGCAGGAGTATCCAGGTGGGCTGACTTAAAGGTGGCCCAGGTTTGTTGAGCACCTACTGTGGCCAGATTTTGTGGTAACTGTAGGTTTACAGCGAGAAGCAAACCTTTATAGACCTTAAATACTAGATCATTTATGTATAAAAGAGATCTTTATTGTGTAACTTCTATGTGCCAGGGATTGTTCTGGATACTGTAGATAACAGCAATGAATACATTAGACAAAACCCCTGACTTCATGGAACAACAAGAAAAAATTATTCACTAAATTTAAGTGATATAATATTGCATGTACTTTGGACATATGCAAATTACATATAATTGAATTTGTTAATTTAAATATTTGATTAAACAACTTTAACCCCTTATATACGAATAGATGACTTCAAGCAATTATATAGTATATTCCTGGATCAATTATTTTGCTCATTGTTACAGATGAGGACTGAGAGTGACAATCACATTTTTAAATTAAATTTTAGAGTACTTCTCTCATAAGTGAATATCACAGATATTAACCTGTGGTTGGTTTGTTGGTTGTTTTGCCATTTTTTGATTCTTTTTCATAGATATATCAGCATATCCCTCAAGATGATTGTTAATGGATTTTAAAATTATGACCTAAGTGGAGCTACGAGAGAAAATAAACTATAATTTCCAAGCACCTCTAATGAATTCCTTCAGAAAATCCACTTGGAACCTCATATTTTTCTTAACTTCTTGGTGATTTGAAAAGAAATGCCTTAAATGCTTTCTACTGTGCTCCAATGCAGATATGAGAATATGACCAAATAAAATAAGTCCCCTGGATAGTAATGTACATTTCAGTAGCAATTCATAGAGTGCTTTATTACAGTACCCTCTAGAACTGCATAAAGCAAACATTAAACTGTAGAGCAATCAGCTAAAAGCCTGATTAAGCAAGTAAGGTTTAAGCAAACATTTCAAACAATCAAGATTGATCCCTGAAGTTTCTAAGCAAGGGAGCTGCCTTCTTTTTACCACAAACAATAAGCCCATGGAGACAGAATCAAATCTCAAATGCAAAAGCAGAGCTATCAATATGACCAAAAAGCAAGAGCAAGGCACAATTCCAGCAATCTAAACAATGAATGCATGATTTAGAAGTTTTGCCTCTAGCATAGAGGTAACCAGGGCCTATTAAATGCCGTATGTCCACTGCAGGGCTGTCCTGAGTGAGTGAGATATGAAAAGATGTCCAAGTATACCAAGGAAGTAGGAAGTGCACTCTCCTTTTATTGGATCACTAGCTTTGATAAACAATGTATCAGCTAAATAATTAGGTACCTCTGGTTTTAGAAGCTATATTTTGCATAAAAATAATAATACAGATATCTTATCTTACTACCAAAGTTAATACACTTTTCTTACTCTACTACATTCAGAATGGCACACACACACACACACACACACACACACACAGAAAGACTTATGTCTCATTTGTGTCCATTTATTGTTGTCTCTTAGAGGTATGATTTGAATTGCTTTAGTAATTTTCTTAAGCAGATAAATTACTTGAAATAGTTGCTATTCAAATTGTGAAGAAGGTGACAAAGTGACAGTATACTACCTCTACAAAAGCAAGACAGTAACTACCTCAAAGACTATATATTAATAAATGGATGCTACCAAGCCAGTGACTAACCAGCCTACAAATGGCTTGATAGCATTCTCATTATTTACCATCAGAATTGTTATCACAACTATAATGAGAGTTAACATTTAGTTTCCTACAATTGTGTTAAAGGCTTAAGGTGAAAGAACTTACTTAATTTTTATAACAGCCATTGAGCCAAGTATTTTACTTTTCCTCACTTTACAGATGAGGAAGTGTATGTTTTAGAGATATTGACCAAATTGTCCAATACCACACAGCTTGGAAAAGGAAGTATGTGAATGCAAATTTAGGCACTGCCTAGAGAACCTTTCATCAGTGTCCAATACTTGTGATTTTATTATTTTTAATCATAGAGTTTACATGTAGTACCAGGTTCTTTTTCTTCTTCTTTTTTATGCTCCTCTTCTAGCCAATTCAAAAAGAAAACCATTTATATATTTTTTTTTATTTTTGCTGACTAGTTACTTTTTCACATTCAAAATGAACTTTTCAGCTGGAGCATTACAGGAGTCCTTCAAAAACCAATTCTTCATTATTGTTAAAAATGTATATTTTTTGCCTCTAGAAGAATATTTTAGATAAAGGATCACATAGGGCTGTTTAAGTATCCATTCTATATCCCTTCTTCTTCTAGGAGGGGAATTTGTAATAAGGATATTTGCTTGATAGTGGAGGTAGTCATATAGCCTAAATGGAGACTTATTTTTAAATAGCAAGGGTTAAACTTCTGTACCAGCTGAAGTTTCCAGATGGTGTGTAAAACAGTAAGCCAAAGACAGGCTGGCTCCAGAATATGTCCTTGAAATAGCTGCATGGCAACAGAATTGTAGGAAAATGGTAGTGTCATCATTGATGATAAACAAAATATGTCTGGACCCATGGGGCCAATAACTTAAACAGGAAGGCTATGAATAATAGGTTCAACCATCTGATGAAGATGTCTCCAAAGCTCTTGACTCAAAATAATTTGCAAATGTTCAAAATTACATGTCAAGTTTAAGAGGCCTTAAATCCAAATAAATTAAACAACATAAATCAGTGTAACCTCTTCCAATAGCATTCACATGTAATGTTTCGCAGATGGTTAAAGACTGAAGTCACCACAGAGTTTATCTAATCCCACTCTCTCATTTTACAGATGAGCAAACTGATTCAACACACAACCTAAATTCAGCACATAGTAATATAAATCTGACTAACTTAATTACATTAAAAATTAGTAAATGAGCAACTGTAGCTGTCTTTTTCCTCTTTTTTAAATACCCTTATAACCTTGGTTAGAAAAATGTATCCATCAAGTGCCACAGGTTCCAAGTATAGCACTAGAAAAAATATACAGTAATACAAAATTTTAAAAATAGAATAAATACAATACATAATGATAAGAATAATTTTGTTTGATTTACCTACAACTGGATTTTTTTCAGAGATTATAAACTGATGAGAAATAAAAGAAATATTAGAAAGAGAAAGGTATGGCCAACTTGAGAATAACTTGCCCTTTCATCTATAGATGAGAACTTTTGTCACATGGATAAACCTCTAGCTCTTAAACATGTCACAAAATTGTAAAGACACAAAAAATGACAGGATCTAAGAAGGCTTTTGAAAACATTTTTTATTTCTAAATAATTTTAGATTTACAGAAGAGTTGCAAAGATGGTATAGAGAGTTTACGTAAAACCTTATCCAGGTTTCCTGCAATGTTAACACCTTATGTAACTATCATAAAATTATGAAAACCAAGAACTTAATATTGGTATCATCCTATTAACTATTACCAACTTTATTTGAATTTTATGAGACTTTTCACTAGTGTCTGTTTTCTGTTAAGGATCTAACCCAGAATGTCATTGCACTTAGTTGTCATGTTTCCTTTGTCTCCTTTAATCTGTGATGATTCCCTGAGTACTTCCTTGTCTTTCATGTTCTTGGCACTTTTGGAAGAATACAGGTCAGGTATTTTGCAGAATGTCCCCCAGTTTGGGTTTGTGTGAGGCTATCTCACGATGTGATTGAATTTATGGATTTTTGGCAAGCATGTCACAGAGGTCATGTACCCTTTGCACTGTATCTTACCAGGGGCACATGATGTTCATATGTCTTACTCCTGGGATGTTAACTTTGATCACTTGGTTAAGGTGATATCTACTTGATCACTCTACTGTAAGCTAACTTTTTTGTATTTAATAAATATTGGCAGAGGGGAAGATACTTTGAGATTATGAAAATATCCAGTTTCTCATTAAACTTTGTCCACTAATTTTATCATACATCTTTGAAACTTGCTTGAATCAGTTATTACAATAATGTTTTAATGGTGATTTTTCTATTTCCTTTATTCCCTCTACATTTATATTGTACAATGATATTAAAGAGTCGTATCTTCACCCCAGTCCATTTATTTAATCAATATTCATTTATCTCAACAGGGACTCATAGATGTTTATCTGGGTAATAATTTAAGAATTGGGTTATTTATTTAATTTTTCTAATTGTTTTAGCTTTGGCCAATGGGAGCTCTTTCATATCTACTCCTATATCCCTTTGACATGCCCTCATATTTTTGGTTTTGCAGCACTTTCTTACTAACTAGAATTATAAGATACTCCAGGAGCATCTGGTAATTTGTCTGCCACAGTCTTAAAATCAACTATTTCTCCAAGGGGCCCACTTTATAAAAAATTGGAAAATGGATTATAGAAACCAAGATCTAAATAGATTAATGCATTCATTGCTACTGAAATATTATTGCTTCTAGACCCTTTTAGTAAATAGAACTAGGAGATATATTTATACACATGTGTGTGCTTGTACTAACCATGTATATACGTCTATCTCTTCCTTTGTGCATACACAAACGTTGTATATATATGGTAATCACGCACGCACAAGCATATATTTTTTCTATATCTGTGTGTATTTCTATGCAAATATATGTGTATATAAGCATATGTATGAACATATATGCATATATAAAATAAGTTCACATAGTATTTCTTGTCTGTTTATTTTTCTTTATAATTTCAACCTTTATTTTAGATTTATGGGCTACATGTGCATGCTGGTTACATGGATATATTGCGTGATGCTGAGGTTGGAGTATGATTCATTCTGCTACCCAGATAGTAAGCAAAGTACCCAACAGTTCATTTTTCAACCCTTCCCCACCGCTCCTATCTAGTAGTCCCTAGTGTTTATTGTTGCCATCGTTATGTCTGTATTTACCCAATGTTTAGCTCACACTTATGAGAACATGCAGTATTTGGTTTTCTGTTTCTGCATTAAGTTTGCCTGGGATAATGGCCTCCAGCTCCATCCAAGTTCCTGCAAAGACATAGTTTCATTCTTTATAATGCTACATAGTATTTCATGGTGCATATGGACCACACTTTCTTTATCCAATCACCACTGATGGGCACCTAAGTGGATTCCATGTCTTTACTATTGTGAATAGTGCCGTGATGAATGTATGAGTGCATGTGTCATTTTAGTATAATGATTTATTTTCTTTTGGATAGGTACCCAGTAATGAAGTTGCTGGGTTGAATGACCATTCTGTTTTAGGTTTGAGAAATTTCCAAACTGTTTTCCACAGTGGGTGAAATGATTTACATTTCCACCAATAGTGTATAAGCATTCCCTGTTCTCTGCAGCCTGGCCCAGCATTAGTTTTTTTTTTTTTCAAATAATAGCTATTCTGACTGATGTGAGATGGTATTTCATTGCATGTCTCTGATGATAAGTGACATGGAACATTTTTTCATTTGTTTGTTGACTGCTTGTATATCTTCTTTTGGGAAGTATCTGCTTGTGTCATTTGTCCCTTTTTAATAGGGTTATTTGCTTTTTGCTGGTTGAATTGTTTAAATTCCTTATGGGTTCCAGATATTAGACCTTTGTCAGATGCATAGTTTGCAAGTATTTTCTTCCATTCTGTAGGGTTTCTGTTTACTCTGTTGATAGTTTATTTTGCTGTGCAGAAGCTTTTTAGTTTAATTAGGTCCAACTTGTCAATTTTTGTTTTTGTTGCAATTCGTTTTGGGGACTTAGCCAAAAATTATCTGCCAAGGCCAATATTGAGAAGGCAATTTCCTAGGTTTTCTCATAGGATTCTTATAGTTTGAAATCTTACATTTAAATCTTTAATTCATTTAGAGTTAATTTTTGTATACGGTGCTAGGTAGCAGTCCAGTTTCATTCTTTCGCATATGGCTAGCTAGCTCTCCCAGCACCACTTATTGAATAGAGAGTTCTTTCCTCACTGCTTATTTTTATCAACTTTGGGGAAGATCAGAAAGCTGTAGGTGTGAAGCTTTATTTCTGCATTCTGTATTCTGTTCCACTGGTCTATGTGTCTGTTTTTGGACCTCTACTAGGTTGTTTCAGTTACTGTAGCCTTTTAGTATAGTTTGAAGTCAGGTAATGTGATGCCTCCAGCTTTATTCCTTTAGCTTAGAATTTGCTTTGACTATTCAGGCTCTTTTTTGGTTTCATATGAATTTTAGAATAATTTTTTCTCTATTCAGGGTCTTTTTTGGTTCCATATGAATTTTAGAATAATTTTTTCTCTATTCAGGCTCTTTTTTGGTTTCATATGAATTTTAGAATAATTTTTTCTAAGTCTTTGAAAAATGACATATGTAGTTTAATAGGAATAGCATTGAATCTGTAAATTGCTTTAGGCAGTTTGACCATTATAATAATATTGACCCTTCCAATCCATAAGCATGGAATGATTAATTTTTTTGTGTCACCTATGATTTCCTTCAGCAGTGTTTTGTAGTTTTCCTTGTAGAATGTTCCACCTTCTTAGGTAGCTGTATTCCTAGGTATTCTATTTTTTGTTGCTATTGTAAATGGGATTATGTTCTTCATTTAACTCTCAGCTTTAATGCCTTTCCTGTGCAAAGGTCTCTCCTTATTTGTAACTTATTTTCCCAACAGTGGTACACCTGTTTCTCATTATAGGTGTCTACATTTGTTATGGTGTGGTAAAGTAGTTTCAGAACTTACCACCTAGACTTCAGTTTTTTTAGATTATTCTCTTCATCATTAGCCTTATAGTATTCAGTGAAAACAGTTTTCCAAAGTTTCTAGATCCACTCCTTTTCTTTCCCACCTTCTTCAATGTGTTATGTCATTTATTTATAATGCAGTTAGAATCATTGTTGCAATCTGCATTTCATCTTTGATTTTCCCCAAATCCTGGTTAACTTTCTAAAATTTGCAGACATTAAAATTTACTCTCCTTTATGTCCAGATTTATGAGGTTTTACACCACTTATGGTTCTATAATTACCCTCACAGTACCACATAGAACTATTTTATCACCTCAAATTTTTTTTGTGCTGCCCTTTTATAGTAAAGTCTTCTACCATTACAACCAGTGGCAACAACTAATATCTCCTGTTTTTACAATTTTGCCTTTTCCAAAATGACAAAAAATTGAATCATATAATGTAGCCTGTTAGGTCTGATTTATTTCACTTAGAAAAATACATTCAACATGCATCCATGTTATTGTGCAAATTGACAGTATATTTATTTTTACTGCTACAGTGTCTTTCAGTGTGTAGGTGTTTCATAGTTTATTATCCCTTCACCTGTTAAAGAATATATTGGCTGTTTGTAGCTTTTGGTGACAACAAATAATGCTGCTCTAAAAATTCATGTATGAATATTTTTGAGAATGCAGACTTTTTATTTAGGGTCAAGCTCCAGAAATAGAATTTTTGTGTTGTATAGTAAAGTTTTGTTTAACTTCATGATAAACTCCTCACCGTATTTTACAAAGTAGCTGTATCATTTTTTATTCTTGCCACAAATGAATAAGAGTTCTGGTTGTTTGGAATTCTTGCCAGAATTTGATAATGTCAGAGTTTTGTTTGCTTATTTAATTGATTGTTTTGTTTTGGTTTTGCCATTCCAATAGTTGTGTTGTGGTAGCTTATTGTGGGTTTGATTTCCATTTCCCTAAGGCAAATAAAATTGAGCATTTCCTGTATGCTTATTGTCCATCCACATACCTTCTTTGGTAATGTTTCTGCTCAGAACGCTATCCTATTTATTTTTAGCTGTGTTGTTTGTTTTCTATGTTTTCTAATTGTTGATTTTTAAGAGTTCTTTAGATATTTTGGTTATAATCCTTTCTCAGATATATCACTTGAAAATATTTTCTCCAGTCTGTGCCTAACCTTTTCATTCTCTGAACAGTGTCTTTCACCTGGCAGAATTTCTGTATTCAGATGAAGTCTCGGTTACCATTTTTGAAAATGAATCCTGCTTTGGATGTTATATTTTAAAACATCTGCCTTATGCAAACTTACACAGATTTTCACCCACCTTTGATCCTAGAAGTTTTATATTTTTATGATTTATATTTAGACATATAATCTATTTGAACTTTAATTTTGTACAGGTGTGACATGTTGAAGTTCAATTTTTGATAAATGGTTATCCAATATTTTCAGTACCATTTTTTAAATATACTACTTTTTCTTGTACTACTGTTGCACTTTTGTCCAAATCACAATTGGATTTATTTGTGCGGGTCTATTTATGAGCCCTCTATTCCATTTCATTGATGTATGTAACCATACTTTCACCAATGCTACAGTATCTTAAATAGAACAGCTTTATAGTAAGCCATCAGTATTGAATAATGTGAGTCCTTCAAATTCTTTTTCTTTGTCTAAGTTGTTCTGGCTATTTTAGTCACTTGTTTTCCTGTATAAATTTTAGGATAAGCTTGTTTATTTTTCAAAAAGAATAAATCTGCTCTAATTTTCATTGGAATTATATTGATTCCATAGAACACATTGAGGTAAATTGACACCTTGAATATACTGAGTCTTCTAATTCAGTAACATGATATAAATCTTGGTTTATTTTGGTCCTTTAATATTTATTTCTTCAATATTTTGCAGTATTCAGCATATAGATACCACATTGTTAAAGATTCCATTGTGCTAAATTCCCATTGTGCTAAATTCCCATTTATATAGAAATAAAATAGATTTGTGTTTATGAACTTTGTGTCCTTCAACTAGGAGTACTGACATCTTCAACAATAATTATAAATGTATCTATTTATCTGCTTAAATTATAAATTTATCTATTTATCTACTTAAGTCAGCTTTTACTTTACTTATTTTTAAACTCAGATGTTAGGTATGCACATAACATACGTCTTCTTAAATAATTATCCCTTGTTAATTATATAATCCTGTTGCACCTCTAATAAAGTCATTGTTCTGGAGTTTATTTTGATACTATATGGCAAATCCAACCTTCTTTTTGTTAGAGTTTAGACAGTGTGTTAAGGGTACACAAGACATCCCTCAGCCACAATGATTCATTAGAAAGACCCACAGGTCTCAGAAGTTCTTATAATCATAGTTACAGTTTATTACAATTAAAATATTCAGAGTAAAATCAGTGAAGTGAAAAGGCACACAAGTTGAAATTCAAAGGAAACCAGGTAAAACTTCTAATTGCCCTTTATCAGTAGATTCACACAGAACACATTTAATTCCTTCAGAAATGGTATCTGACAACAGGTTTAAAGAGATGTCAACCAGAAAAGCTAACCCAAACTTGGTAGTCCAGGTTTCATTGGAAAGTCTTTTTTTTTTTTTTTTTTTTTTTTTTTTTTTTGTGGGCATACAGCACCTGTGTAACTAGCCTCAGTTTCTCAAGATCCAGATCCTCAGAGGAAAAGCAGGTGTTCACCATATGTCACATTGTTTGCATAAACTATCTTGAAAACTGATACAGCATAGCCCAAGGTCTCAGTCTTGCAAAAATATCCATATTAGACATATCATTCCAAGAACTTGGTTTCTAGGAATTGACCAAGGGCCAGTCATAAATGCAAATTTCTTGGAAATATGTAGGGTTTGAATAACCCAGGCCTGCTGAGTTAAGCCATTTCCATACACATGGTATAACTTTTTCAACCTTTTTATTTTAATTAGTATGTGTTTAGATTTCTTAAAGTGGGTTTCTTGTAGATGACATTTAATTGGACCTTGCTTTTTATATGATATGGTAATCTCTGTCTTCTAACTGCTATGGTTATACCATTCACATTTAATATGGTTGTTGATATGTTTGGGTTAAAATTTGCCATCTTAAGCAAGACTTTTTAATAAGGGATATATGGACACTTGGTGATCCAGGAGGAAGCTTCAGGGGCCTCTGCATATCTGTGGAAATTGTATATAAAATATTGTGTGAGTGTTTGAATGAAATTATTTGCGGGGAAAAACCACAGGTTTTTTCAAACTCTCATAGGCATTTGTGACATGTTTCCCTTAGGAAAAGAAGAAAGGGTCATTGATATAATAAAAAATATCATTTTCTGAGCACATAACTGTGTAAGCCAGCACACTTGTAAGAGTATTGCATTTGTTAACTCCCTCCTAATATTCCTAAAGATCCTATGAGGAATTTACTATTATCATCTCTATTTAACAGACAAGGAAAGTGAGAGTTAAAACTACTTCTATGGACTCCACAGCTCATACATAGCCAAGAGGATGCAAATACAGGTGTGTGGCCCTAGAAAGTACACTCAGCAATACATTGTAATGTCAGTCATAAAGCTCTCATAAACATTGAGACTGTAAATCTGTCCATATCAACATCAACAATGAAACGATATTATTTGTAGATATAGATTTTCATTTGCAAAACTTCAGAAACAGTTTTTAACTTCTACTTTTTGGCAGCCAATTGTCCAATAATTGATTTTAAAAATAGAAAACTAACCCAAAGGATCTAGTGTATTCTTTTACAAGGTAGCAGAGAGAGATGCTTTAAATGTGAGAAACACAGGTCCAGTGAGTAATGCTAAATCAATACAGATTTCCCTTACAGTCGGTTTATTTTATAAATGACATATCTGGCCCTTTTAGCCTTTTCCAGCGTAATTACTTACAGCCTAATTACTAGTGTAATTTTAGGATCTGAATAATATCTAACCTAACATCCGTGTATATTATTTCTGCAAGACTATGAAAAATAAAGGAAATATCTGTTTCATTTTGTAAATAAAAAGACTGTATTTCTAAAAGCCACAGGTAAAATTTTATTTTAAATCTATTTGCTTTTAGAAGAAATCCCCTGCAAAAATTTGGAGAAAGAGCTTTCCATGTCAATATGTAAAAACAACAAAATAGCCCTGTAATAAGTATGTTTGGTAAGATCCCAAAATAGTAGAGTCCAATATAGCTGGGAGCGGAGTAAGTGAGTAGTTAAGCAGTTTAAGATAAAATGAGGTGACGGAGCTTGCAAATCTTTGTAAGGGCCTGGGTTTTGTTCTGAATGAAATGCATTCATTTCACAGCTTAATTTGTCCAGGGAAAAGGGTGGAAGCAGGGAGGCCAGTTAATGTTTTGCAACAATCCAGGCAGGAGAAGATGCTGGCCTTCATTATGATAGCATTGGAGGTGATGACAGTTGTTTAAAATCTGGAAATATTTTGAGAATAGCATTGCTTTGGGAAGGGATATATAATTATGAGAGAAGAAAGAAATCAAGAATGGCTCCAGGGTTTCTGATCTAAGCAACAGGAAAAATAGTTTGACATTAGCTCAGATGGGAAGATGTGAATGAATAAATTTCAGAGGAAACATTGAGTTCAGTTTGGGGCATGTTGAATTTGAGGTACCAATAACACACCAAGTAGTAAGTGTTGAGTGAATGAATGAATAGTACTCTTAGATGAGTCAAAGAAAGTGTAAAGTCTTTGTAAAAAATAAACTGGTATTTGTGTTATTAATTTTTAGAAGCATTTCTAACTTCATATACCCATTAGGTGCCAAACACTTTCATAAGTTCTGAGAATAAACTAGTTAGGAAAGCAGTCAAAAGTCATTGTCTTCATGAAGATTGAGTAAGAGAAGGAAGAGATAGAAATTTTAGAAATCAAATAAGTTAAATATATAATGTGATAAAGGGTAGAGAATATTGGGAGTATCAGCAAGGTGGGGATGGGTGCTATTATGAAAACAGTATGCCCCACAAATGAAGCTTGCCATACAATACTCAGATAAGCTGTCTTAGAAGTTGCAATATTTGTAAGGTGCCTATTTATCTGCCAAACTCTTTATGAGGTAGAGATCTGTGAACATCACCTGTAATCTTTAATTCAACCTAGAAAGACATTTCAAATGGAAGGACTCTACAAACATCTGTCAAACACCACAGCTAACAATGAAATACCCTGAAGTTTGCTCATGCTCCTTCAGTTCCATCATTCATATTTAAACAATTCAGCTCCCACTGGTGACCCGGTGACGTGAGGGAGTCATGTTTTTCAGCTACTATAGTCAAGATATTATCTGTTTCCAGCGGTGGAAGAGATGAAGACAGGATAATAAAGGGATAATAGCGTTGGGTAGGAAAGAGGCAAAAGGACAGAAAATCTGGCAAAGAGAGTCTTATATTCTAAAGCATTATTGAAGATCTATGCTGAAAATTGTGAGAATGGTAATAAGTAACATGACCATTTACTGCTTGACAGAGATTGTTCTAAATGCTGTACATTTATTATCTTATTCAATCTATATAAGAATTCTAAGAAATAGATACTATTTTTATCCCCATTCTACAGATGCAGAAACTGGGACTCATAAAGTTTCAATCACTTGTCAAATTCACACAACTAGTAACTGATAGAGCTTGTGGCAATCTGACACCTCACCTGGGGAATACAGCCCCTTACTAACTTTCAGATGAAAATTGCCTGCCCTATTTCCACATAAGATTTGTTGTAAATTCAATTTAGTCACCTATGTGCATTTACTAAAATAGATCACAGCACCAAAGAAAAGAAGCTCAAAGCAGAATGCCACATTACAGAAACTTTTATTTTGGAAACATCTCTTTTTCTATCTGAAATGATTATAGTTGAACACAGTTATAAACCAATATATACATATATATATATATATGTCAATATATATAGACAGATATACATGTAGGTATACACACACATATATACAATTTGCCAACAGCATTAAACTTGTAATCACTAATACACAAGCTTTCTCATTATATCATCTGGCTATTTACAAATTAATAAACAAATATCCAATTAATTCCCTTCCTCTCTGCTGATGCTCCACCTTTGCCTTAATCACTTATGAGTGATGATAATTGCTAGTATTAGAATATGTCCCCTCCAAAATTCAGGTGTTACTAATGTATTAAGAGGTGGTTAGGCCATGGCAGCTTCTCCAGCTTCTCTCTTGTGAAAGAGATTAAGGCCCTTACTAAAGGGGCTTCACATAGCTTTCAGAAAGATTGCTCTTTTGCTCTTTGACCACGTGAGGACACAATATTCCTCCCTTCCTGAGGCTGCAGCTCACACCAGACAACTGAACCTCCTAGCACCTTGATCTTGGAAATACCAGGCTCCAGAACTGTGAGAAAAAGTATATTTCTGTTCTTGTAAGTTACCCAATCTCAGGTACTCTGCTTTAGAAGCACAAATGGACTAACATAATAATAATAACAGTTTTAAAAAATTTTTCATGTAATAATCCCTTTGTTATTTCAAGCAAATCCAATGAAATAGGGATTATCTCTGCCTTAGAAGACATGAAAAGGTATTTCATAGACTCAGATATTTTTACTCAGCTAAATAACATCAGAGACTGGATCAAAGCCAGTTCACTCAGTATTGTGCTTCTCCACATTTTGTTCTGACACCATGAACAAATAGATTGCCTGCAAAAACTCATCTATGAAGGGAAGTGGTTTATTATGCCTAGAATTTTTATCTCTGCCACATAATCATGGGAAGTGAATTTGTGCCAACTTTGATAAACAATCTAATTGATCTAACTAGAGTAGAGGAGAAGAGAAAATAAGAAAGGAAAGCAGAAAAAGAAGAGGAGACTGGGAAAGAAACAGGGAATGAAATAGAGGCCTTCCTTTAAAGAATTGCAAATACTTTTGCTACAATATTAATAGGCAGAAAAGCAGTGATAAGCATTACCGTAACAGAGTTTAAAGGTAATGCTTGACCTTGAAATTAAGCACTATTACGTGAATGAAGCCAAATTCTCTCCATGTTCTGGTAAGACCAAGGTTTGAATTTTCTCAGTACTTTTTTAGTGATACACATTCATTTTTGAAAGGGAAACCTAAAGGCTGTTCTTTACTTAAGTAAGGTAGCATTCATCCTTTAACACCAAAGAAACCAGCAGCTGTCATGGCTGAGTCCTGATTTAATTATCCACATTTAAAAAAGCCAATATACTTAATAGAAATACCCTAAGGAATGCACCTTCACATTGTGAATCATGATGATCTGGAAAGCCCTCCAATGCTTAGTATTTGGGATATGGTTGCAAGCATGGAAAGGAGATGTCACCAAGAATGAAACTGTGAGCCTTTCGTATCATATTCTATGCATTCTCACAGCATTATTTTGATTTTTTTAAAGAAAAATATCTGGAGCTTGATTTTATATCTTACACCAGGGTTTTAGTTGACTATTATTTGCCTTATCTTAAATTCAATTATAAGGCCAAATAATAAACTTCAAACCAAAAGGCATTTAAAATATCATCAATTTCATGAATATGAAGCATTGTTAAAACTCAAATAAACACAATAAAGAGAATCCAAAGAGATGAGAATGAAGCAAGTTGGAAAGTGATGTCTTTAAAAATTTCATTAAATTCTTATTCATTTTAGAGTGTCTCATCTTTCCAGTGTTTGTCATCACTGATTGTTCCAAATAGAATCTAGTTTACTCTCCATTGAACATTAGATGTGATGGGTTTCATTAAAATGGCATAACTTGTGAAATACCCTGGGAAATCTTACAGACACCTGAATGAATAAGCAATCTATTAAATTATAGATATATAGCTTGGATGATAAGTTCACTTTCACAAACTCTAGCTTTTTTGGTCCCATGGTACAAAAACTCAGCTTAAGGCGCTTGAAGTTAACACAGTGGAAAAATAATGGAATTCATATAATGTAGCAATAGATTATAGTTGACTGTGGGGTGGCAGGAGAGGGGCTTCCATAGGGAAACAGAAGCATGCTTCATTTCACTGAGTAACAAAGAAAAGGAAAAGTGTCAGATATGTGAGAGGGTAATGTGGCAAGAAGGAAAATAAGTTAGGGGAAAAAAAGAGGCCAGCAAACAATGGCATAATCAGTCATGACACATTCAGAATTGTCAAGTGAAAGTGATCACATGAGACTTCTGAGCTACCGACACGTGCAGAACACTTAACAGAAAATAACGGAAAACTCTAAAATCATTACTGATGTGATTTTAGAACTTAGCCATGAATCAAGTAGAGAAAAGCAAGGTGACGTTTCTACAATGAGGAGCTGACAATGTTTATTTCCACTTTTCTGTGCAATTCCATAAACAAAGGGTAAATATGTACACTTCTTTCTCAACTCTGTACTCCATCATCTAGATTTGTGCATCATAAAAAGTGACAGTAAAATTGAAGGTAGATTTTTAGTTTTTACTTTATTAATTTCTATTTTTGTTCTATCTTTTAAGAATGACACTTTTGGATTTATTCTCAAAATAGTATGTTCTAAAAGAAGTCCAAACTATGACCCTATTTTCTCAGATCTAACACTAGCTTGGCAAATGATGTTAAGATTTGTACTAAATTACTAGAAAAAAGATATTAGGATGTAGAAGAAATAATTTATTCTAAGAAATTGAACGATAACCTTATATTTTAAAAAGGTAGTTTTTGAATAAATATTACCTTTTTAACATTCGACTTCATATAACTAAAGCAAGAACATAAATTATTTTCATAAAATAGTGCCCCATAGAATCCTGTTTGAAAATAAACATGTCATTATCCATAAAGCAACTTATAAAACTTTAATTAAAATACTATACCCAACAAATGAAAGAATTCATATACATTTCAGACTCAAAATTTAACAAAATGTTAGCTCAAGACACAAATCTAACAAATTTCAAAAACTGAAATATTTTGAGTATGTTCTCCAACCACATGGAATTAATTTGAATACCAACTGAAACTTAATTAATAAGTACAAACTGCTTAAACAGTAATATATTTTTAGAAAATCAATTGAACAATGAAGAAATCAAAATTGGAACTAAAAATATTTTAAATTTAATGATAATATAAGCAACATATCTAAATGCATGGGATGTAGCTAAAATAGGACTTAGAGGGTAATATATAGCTTTAAAGATATATTTAATCAGAAAAGTCAAAAATCAGTATCTAACCTTGCTGCACAAATAAACTACAGCAAATCTAACCCAAAAACATAAGTCGACTAAAATAATAAAGTTAAGCTCAGAAACAAATGAAATAGAAAACGAATGTACAATAAAGAGAATCTAAAAGTTCAAGACTGAGTAAGAAAATCTAAAGGCTCAAGACTGAATATGAAAGAGAAAAGAGAGAGATGCTGCCAATATCAGGTTTGAAAAGGATGACAACTCTACAGATATTAAAAGCATTAATTCAGCAACTTAAGTGAAATGAACAAATTCTTTAGAAACACAATATATCAAAACTGATACAAGGAGAAAAAATGTATATTCCTGTATATGTTAGAAATTATATATTTCATAAAAATTATTCCTACAAAAATGCTCTTCTATCAATTAAGAAAAAAACACTAATTCTATAAATTCTACACAATTTCCTTTAAAAAACAGAGAAAAAGGCTGTTTCATAACTTATTTCATGAGACCAGGATAATGTTGACACCAAAATCTGACAAAAACATTACAAGCAAGGAAAACCACAGTCCATTTTCTCTCAAAAACATGGATGTAACAAATTATAAATGTCAGCAAATTGATTCCAGTGATCTTAAAAATGATTATACATCATAGTGTTGATTACAATTTAAAGTGGTCTCAACTTTTGTAAATCAATGTAGATATAGTGTCACATTGACTGCAAAAGGTATAAAAATCAAATGATTATCTCAATAGATGCCGAAAAAGTAGTTGATAAAATTCTACAACCAGCCAGGTACGGTGGCTCGCACGTGTAGTCTCGGCACTTTGGGAGGCTGAGGTGGGAGGATCTCTTGAAGTCAGAAGTTTGAGGCCAGCATGGGCAAGATATTGAGATCCCATCTTTACAAAAAGAAAAAAAGAAGAAGGAGGAGGAGGAGAAGAGGAAGAGGAAGAACAGGAAGAAGAGGAAGAGGAAGAGGAAGAAGAAGAAGGAGGAAGAAGAAAGAAGAAAGAAGAAAGAAGAAAGAAAGGATTATAATTCTGAGCATGGTAGCACACGCCTACAGACCTAGCTACTTGGAAGACTGAGACAGGAGGATTGCTGGTGCCTGGGAGGCCCAGGCTGGTCCAGGCTGCAGTGAGCCAAGGTCATGCCACTGTGCCCCAGGCTGGGTGACACAGCAATACCTGGTTTCAAAATAAAATAATAACAATCTACAACCATCTGCCATTACAAACTTTTAGCAAACTCCAAATAAAAGAAAATCTCTTTAATCTTAAAAAGAATATCCAACAAAAAACACCAGAAACACCATACATATCATATTCATGGAATATGAACACTTTCCCCCAAGGCTAGGAATGAGACAATATTGCCTGAAATCTTTTTTTTATTTCAACATTGTATTTGTGGTCATAGCCTGTTAAGAAAAGATATAAGGACAGGAAAGAAAAATTAAAACTGTTATTATGCACAGATGACATGACTGTTAAAGTATAAAGCCTGAAAAAAATTACTTCAAATAATAATTAAGAAGCATTTAACATAGTTGCTGAATACAAAAATAATATGAAAATTATATTTCCATATGTCTTCAACAAACAGAAGAAAACATAACAAATAATAAATTGTAAAAGCACAAAAACTCAAATACCTAGAAACAAATCTAATTTTAAAATGGGAAGGATTTATATATTAAAAACTAAAATATTTTTAAGAACAGTTAAGGCATACCTAAGTAAATAGGGGTATATATCGTGTTAGTCATTTGAAACCTCAAAGTTGTAATTAAGCTAATCTCTCCAAATTTATCTACAGATTTAATCCAATCCAAGTCAAAATCTCCCATCTTTGGTAGAAATTGACAAGTTGATTCTAAAATGTATAAATAAGCCAATCTTGAAGAAGAAAACAAAGTTGGAGGATTTAAACCACAAAATGGGAAGACTGATTTTAACACAGTAGTAATGAGGGTAGTGTAATACTGGCACAAAGACAGAGATCAATGAAATTGTAGAGTCTAGAAATAAACCAACACTCTTATGCTCTCCTGATTTAAGACTATGTTGGGAGAAAATGGTCAATTGAATAACCACATGATAAAAAATTAAATTTTGGTTCTTACTCAATTTCATATAAAAATAAGACAATTTTAGATGGATTGTAAATCTAAAGATGAAAGATGAAATGATCTACTCATCAAAATCCCAAATGTCCAAATAAATTCAAAAATAAGTTAATGGCTAAATAAATCATTACCATTAAATTTATTTTTGAAAAATATTTAAAGGCTTACAAAATGTCAAAACTTAAAACATGGAAGAAAATAGTGTGCTAAATTGTATATAGAGCATGATTCCAACTCATGTATAATATGGATGTAAAACTGGGAATAAACCAAAATAACATTAAGGGCAGTTATCTTTGGGTGGTAGAAATATTGATAATGTTTGCCTTCTCAATCTTTTTTGTATGTGTTTTTAAACTTTATACAATGTGTATACATTTTTTTAACCTGGAAAAAAGTTGTTGTTTTTTTAAATTGCCCCAAATAGTTCATAACTCAACTGATGTTTTTCATCTCATGTACATCTACATAAAATCATTTATACCATCCAGTCATGGCAAAGTGTGCTTCCCAAATGATAAGCATGATAAGTATGACTTGCCTGACACAAGTTGGTTATTTTGCAGTATTTTAATAGATCTGTACATTATTTATTTGCTGGTTTTTACTTCTAATATTTGATTTTTCCAGACATGTTGAGAGTGGCTCAAAAATTCATAGATTTAAATTTCAAACCTCTGACTGTGCTCTTAAACTTAATGATTAAAAAAAGCAAACAACCCAACTGGGTCATGAGCAAAATATATAAAGAGACATTTATCTAAAAATGATGTACAGATGGAAAATAAGCATGTGAATAAAATGATCAACATAACTAGCCTTTAGGGAAATGCAAATAAGTACAATAACCTATCACCACCAACTTAGCAGAATGGCTAAAATAAAAAATAGTGACAATTACAAGTGCTGGTAAGGGTTTGGATAAATGGAATCATTCATACAATGCTGGTGAGAATAAAAAGTGATACAGACACCATGAAAAACTGGTTGGCTGCTGACTTAAAGTCCAAACATGCAACTACCATAAAACCCACTGACTGCATTCCTGGGCATTTATACCGGAGAAATGAAGACTTATATTCATACAAAGAAACCTGTACATAAATATTTATAACAGCTTTATCTGTAATAGGCCCAAACTGGAAACAACCCTGATGCCCTTTAATGGGTGAATAGTTAAACAAATTGTGATACATCCATACCATGGAATACTACTCAGCAATAAAAAAGGGAATACAGTATTAATACACACAACTTGGATGAAACTCCAGGAAATTATACTTAATGAAAAAAGGCAATCCCCAAAGGTTATATTTTTATATTATTTCACATATATAACATTATTGAAATGACAAATTTGTAGAACTGAAGAATAGATTAGTGGTTTTCTAGGGATTAAGAAGGAGGTGGGAGCCAGAGGAAAGTGGGTGTTGCTGTAAAAGAAAACATGAGGGATCCTTGTGGTGATAGAAATCTTGACTGTGGAGTTGTATAATAGTATTGCAAGATGTTACTATAGGGGCAGAAGGAACTGGGTAAAGGATACACAGATCTCCTCTTATTACTTCTTACAATTACATGTGAATCTATGATGATCTTAATATTAAAATTTAATTTAAAAACATAAGCTATAATTATAAACCTCCAAATATATTAGTTTTAAAAAAGTAAAAAAAAATGGATTAGGCGATCATTAGACAAAGAACAGAAAACATTCCATGAAATCAGGTAATCGGTTTTTTTCTGCCACTACATAGACATAGTTCAGTGTAACTTCATATACTCCAGAGATACTAATTTGGGAGACAACCATTGTCATCTGTTCATTTCTACTGTTGGTTTATTTACTTCTATATATGATGCATCAATGAGCCTTATGTACTGTCATCTTTAAATTAGTGTAGTAATAATACTAACTTCTTACAAGTAAAAAGAAAACCTGCAAAACTGGATTTCAACTTTTTAATGAATTCTACTGTAAGTCTACTGAGCCTGAGCAAGACCTCAGTAGGAAGAATATAATTATGTGCGTTGCAGCATTCTGTGCAAAAAAGATTAATATCTGGACAAGTCAAGTACCCTTAAGGGAAGCAGTTCTCTTCATAATTGAAAAGAGCTGGGTTACATACATCTTAGGAAAAAAAATCATTTATCTCTGAATAGAACATTGGTAATAATGAAAACAACCTACAATTGTATCTGGTGACCCAATGAAGTGCAACAAATACCTAAGTTAGGTAGTTGTTTAATGTTAACTCAGCACAGTAATAGGAAGACCAATTTATCTTTGAGTTTTATCATTTAGAACTTAGGTACTTGAGGCTTTGACAACCACTGTTGTCAGGAAACAACACACAAAAAGTAGTTGTCATGAGATTTACAAAACAAATCCAAGAAATGATGGTAAAACTGCAGAATTGTTTTAATCTATTTTAACAAACAGCTTCTGAAGGTGTTGACTTCCTTATAAACAATGCAAATCAGAAGTCTGAAGTTTCATTAAGTACATCATTGTCAGAGTACCTAGAAAATATTCCTAACAGCATGTATGTCTAATCTTTACTCTCTCTTTGTTCTGTTTTCACCAAATATTGCCATAGGCAGGATCCATATATATTTTTAATAGTGGAAGGTTTCTCATCCTCAGTACAGTGTTTTCCTTCATGTTCTAACCTTATAAAAATAGTTCTTTTAAAAAAGCCACTGCCCATTGTTTTAGTGGGTAAGGTTCTAAAAACCATGGCATATATTTGGGTTATCCTGGTCCTTATTTCTTCATAGTCAAGCATGAAATGAGGCAGGAACAATAAGGATCTGATGAACATAAATCTCATGATCCAATTATCGTCCACCTGGGACCATACTTCACAGCTGCAAATCTGCTCACTGTCCCTACATGGAGCTTGAAAATACTTGTCTTCAGTTCTTTCTTCCACAGGAGAGGTACTATATTGCTATTGCCCACTCTTGAAAAATATTTTCTAATTGCCTCTTCAAACCTAGTTGAAATTTGAATTAAATATGCATCTCCCTATCATTGCTTGACTCAAGGCGGCATCAAATACTTCCTGTTTTAGTTGTGTTGTGTTATCTTGGTCCTTTAAAATCACCTTCGGACACAGATCTTCAAATCTGACTCAGGACCAGGGTCATATCTAGTGAGGTATGTGGAGAAAGTCAGCTAAGATGAGCTAAAGAGTGAAGTGTGACTTTCTCCTCTTGAGGACGGTTCCCGGTTTCTGAGTTCTCTATGGTGGCTCCATCCCGTTTCTCAGCCAAGTGATAACATTACAAAACAGAGGAAGCAATTGAAGTCTTGCCCTAACCATTCAGCTGGCTTAAAGTTTTCAAGTAATTTGAAGAACTAATTAAAAGTTTGCCTGAGTTATTGTGCTTTAGATAATAAACCTGATCGTTGCATCCAGAGTCAAATTATTCACTGGAAGCATAGACTTTAATATAGAAGCTTGGAGTAAGTTTGGTCTAGTTAATGTTAACACAGAGACAATTTACATTTTGCGTAAAATTGTGAAAAGCTGGTGAAACGAGGGATAACTTTAACTCTGATATGGTAAGCTAACTTTCTCAACAAATGTCAAAGGAATGGAATAATTACTTTAGTCTGAATCTAGTTACTCTGTTTTTATGGGCAGCTGCATTTTAACAGATTAAAAGAATGTAACTGGCAACACTAATCAGGGAATTAGTTTGAATGACTGGAAAATATAGTGTTCATAAATCCAAGAAAATAAACATTTTCACATGGGACCTATTTATTGCATTTTTTCTAGCCATACATCTATATTCATAATACACAAATTTATTTTTTAGTTTTAGACAGGGTCTCGCTCTGTCGCCCAGGCTGGAGGGCAGTGGTGCAATCACAGCTCACTGCAGCCTCGACCTCCTGGGCTCAATCGATCCGCCCGTCTCAGCCTCCAAAAGTGCTGGGATTGCAGGGCATGAGCTGTCACACCAGGCCATAAATTTGTCTCTATATAAAACAACATTCTATACATACTGGGGAGAAAATAGTTTTGAGCAACCTTGATATGAGTTTTAGAAAACAAAGATATTAGCAATGGAAATAACTGTTAAAATGTTAATAATTTTTGCTTTTCAGTAAACTTATGAATCTGCACTACATATTAATCATCTGATAACAATTAAAATGTCACTTTCCAGAGAATCAGAGAATTTCAGATATAAAAGCCCATGTAATCCAGGCTCTAAGTCCAAGTTGCACAAATGTAATAACCAATGTTGGTCCTTCAAAGTAGGTCCATGGTAGTGCTTATGTATTATTACTAAAGAGATGGTAAGACACTTGTTCATCCAAAATGTTCCTAAAGTAGTGCTTGCTTTGGCACCACATATGCTAAAATTGGAATGATACAGAGAAGATTAGCATAACCCCTGTGCAAAATGTTCCTAAAATCTATAATACACCTGATTTTCCCAGTAAAAGTCACCACTTTAGATCAAGGTGCAAACACTCATATTTAAATGTGTTTTTTTGCCTTTAGTGATTTTATCAGATTGCCCTTAAATTCTTTAGCAAGGCTCATAAAAAGCAGCCATAGATATAAGATTTAGAAGGACTAAATAAAGCCTAAGACTATAGGCTCCTACCAAGCCTACAAGTAAGGATTTGGACCTGTATTAATATTCTGCTGCTGCTATAACAAGTTATCACAAATTAAGAGGCTTTAAAAAAACATTCATTATATTTCTGTAGGCCAAAAGTCTGAGTATAACTGGGTTCTCTGCTTAGGGTCTTACAATGCCAAAGTCCAGCTATCAAGCAGCCTGGCTTTTGTCTGGATGCTCTGGGGGACAACCTCTTTCCAGATTCAAACAAGTTGTTTTGTGAAAATCAGTTTTGAGCAGCTGTAGGACTGGGGTCCCTGTTTTCTTTCTGATTGTAAGCCAGGGGTTGTCCTCATGTTGTAGAGACCACCTATAATCCCCAGCTTTTGGACTACTGGAGTTTGAGTCTCCTCCATCTTAAAGGCAAAAGATGTATAGAATCTTCATCTGCTTCTCCTGCTTCTTCCTGCTTTGAATCAATTTTTCCTTCCTCTTCTGCCACTCTCTTCTGTTCTTAAAGGACTCAAGTGATTAAATTGGGCCTACCCAGATAATCCATAAAACCTCCCTCTTTTAAAGTCAATTGATCAGTAGTCTTGCTTATATCTTTGAAATCCCTTCTCAGAAGTAGCTAGGCTAATATTTGAATAACTATATATAAGAAACTTGAAGCATCATCTTTAGATTATTGCCTGCCACAGAACTTCAGAAGCATATCTATTTCACTGGGTGAAAACTGGGGACAGGAAAACCAGCTTTATCAGAATTATTTATGGAAGCAGCCTTAACCCCAAACTACTTTTTAAAAGAATTTTGGACTTTTTGAGTTTGGATGTTTTGTAGTTTTTTTTTCTTTTCAATCTGAGATTTGTTTTATAATTTAAACTTCATCATTATAGAAAATTTGAAAAATTGAGGCAGGCAGGCCTCCTTGAGCTGCGGTGGGCTCCACCCAGTTCGAGCTTCCCAGCCGCTCTGTTTACCTACTCAAGCCTCGACAATGGCGGGCGCCCCTCCACCAGCCTCGCTGCCGCCTTGCAGTTTGATCTCAGGCTGCTGTGCTAGCAATGAGCGAGGCTCCGTGGGTGTAGGACTCTCCCAGCCATGCGTGGGATATAATCTCCTGGTGTGCCATTTGCTAAGGCCATTGGAAAAGCGCAGTATTAGGGTGGGAGTGACCCGATTTTCCAGGTGCCGTCTGTCACCCCTTTCTTTGACTAGGAAAGGGAATTCCCTGACCCCTTGCGCTTCCCGGCTGAGACAATGCCTCACCCTGCTTCGGCTCACGCTCAGTGCATTGCACCCACTGTCCTGCACCCAATTTCCGATGCTCCCCAGTGAGATGAACCCGGTTCCTCAGTTGAAAATGCAGAAATCACCTGTCTTTTGCGTCGCTCACGCTGGGAGCTATAGACGAGCTGTTCCTATTTGGCCATCTTGGCTCCAAATGTCCAACAATGATCAACTGGATTAAGAAAATGTGGCACATATACACCATGGAATACTATGCAGCCATAAAAAATGATGAGTTCATGTCCTTTGTAGGGACATGGATGAAGCTGGAAACCATCATTCTCAGCAAACTATCGCAAGGACAAAAAACCAAACACTGCACATTCTCACTCATAGGTGGGAATTGAACAATGAGAACACATAAACACAGGAAGGGGAACATCACACACCGGGGCCTGTTGTGGGGTAGCGGGAGGGGGTGGGATAGCATTAGGAGATACACCTAATGTTAAATGACGAGTTAATGGGTGCAGCACACCAACATGGCACATGTATACATATGTAACTAACCTGCACGTTGTGCACATGTACCCTAAAACTTAAAAGTATAATAAAAAAATTAAAAAAAGAAAGAAAATTTGAAAAAATAGAATAAAAATATGAAAATGTCACCGATGGTCTCAACATTCAAAGATAATAATAGCCTTGACATTTAGTGTGCTTCTTTTCACACACTTAGAAAGTTTTGTGTGCCTGCTTCATAATATCGTATGCCTAAGCAAAATTGTAATCACATGTGTTTGTATTTCTAAATGGTGGAAAACTATCTCTGGGAGAGTTGTTCCCTGGAGAATTTTTGGGAATTCAAAATAGGATGTTTATACCTATCATTAGTGATAATAATTCACTGGCTTTCCTGTTGAAAATTGTATGCATGGGTAGAAGAGAAAGCAAGTCAATCTTCTTACAGGTTTAATCAAATGGCCAGTTCAAACAGATGTGGTGCAGTAAGATGGTGATTTCTTCAAATCTTGTGATGCAAGTCAGCGATATGTTTGTTATTATGAAAGATCAATTCAGCTCTTTAATCTCCAAATGTCCAAAGTCTTGAATTGTTAATTTGGAGTTTTCACTGTCAACTGGAATATGATTCCAAATAACTTTATGAAGTATGCAAAGGCATTTAATCTGAATCTTAATGTAAGTGAAAGTAGTTTATTATTGCCTTCACATTTAAAATACATCTTAGCTGGATATAAAACTTATTGAATTACAAACTTTTCTCTGTCAAAACTCTGAATCTTAGCCTATCCAATTTTGGCATTTGTTGTAAAGAAGACTGAATTCAGAATAATTTGTGTTCTTCTGGAGATGAGCAGAATTTTCTACCTGGATGCATATAAAAGTTTGCTTTAATATATCATTAAAATTGAAAATGGTTTGTTTTCTAGATGTAGGTATCTTTTTATGCTTTTTTTCTTGCAACAACAGTATTTTTATCTATATCTCGAGTTTTACAATAAATCACAAATCAGTTTTATATTACTGCTTCTGATTATTTTGGTATTATCTTCATTGACACTGACAGTGACAACTGATAGATTAAATCTTTACTTTTCAGCTCCATATGTGTTGCATTCCCTGTCACTGTTTTAATCTTTTTTCCCCTTGTACATTGTGGAAGAGTGACTCTGAAGGAGTGATTCAGGTATTCCACAACATTGATCCAATTTCTCAGTGTCAATTCAGCTGTTGCACTTTCACTTTCCCTGAAAACATTATTATCTCTCTTTTTTTTTTCTTTTTCAAAATTCTGTGGGGTTTGTTTCTGTTTCATAGACTCTATTTCTTATTAAAGATGTCAAACGGGGTTCTATAATTTCCTTCCAGTTCTTAGAGGAAATGATTTTCAGAATGTCTGAATCTTCAAGATGTTCTCTTACCATTGTTTCACAACATTAATTCATAACCCCAGCTTATCTATATGAATCTCCTAGGAAGGTGAGAGCTATATCCAGTCTGTATTTGCCAACAGGCAATGTGTAAGAATATCTTTGATCTTGCTATCTGTTCATTCCAGTGCCAGTCAACTCTTTTAAATGACAAACTGAAAACATAATTGAGGATCTAGATTTTAAAACAGATTTGCTTTGTTAAAAAATACTTTTCTATCAGGCAGCTCTTTCAGAAGAGCTTGCCTCCTACCTCTAGCTTAATATTTCTCTGATTAGGTAGAAAAACCTAATCTTGACTGCCCTAACTACAGTTAGCATGGTCTAATGAGAATTCAGAAAGACCTAGTTTTGAATCTCCACTCAATCACTTTCTAGTTTTATAGCTTTTAACAAATTTCCCAATCTCATTAAATTAGTTTTATAATCACCTACTTCTCAAGATGGTCATGTGAATTATATGAAGTGGCACATGTAAAGCTCATGACACTGCCTAGACCACATAGAAGAAAATAAGCTTAGTTATTATTACATTCCCAGGAGTGATGAGTCACCGCCAGTTAATCTTTCTTTTTGTCTAGGTTCTCCTCTTTGATGTGGCAGATTTCAGCTAAATATAAAAATCAAATTTATACTGATGGATGTAATGGGGAGGGGCTAAGGTCGGTATGTTGCCTCAGTAAGTGTCATATTCCCAGGAGAGAGACAGTCAATTGCCTTTCCTGTGGATATAGATCTTGAATTTAGGAACCAAAAGCAGAATATGTCTCCTAATGAATTGCAAACATAAGGCTGTTTAGTCTATGACTTTTATTTTTCAATCCCATTTCCTCAGGCTCTTTGGCCATAGTAAATCCCTCAAGTTTATCATAATACTTTGACAGTCATCTCTTATTGTTAGTGTGAATTTGTAGTACGTGTATACCCATTCCTTAATAAGTATATTTGTGGATACCTGTTCTACTTCACAGGGTGGCTGTTAGATACTATTTTGAAACAAAAAGCTATATTTTAATGAAATTTTCTTCTTTAAAAATTCTTGATGTCATATTGCCGCATTTCCAGTGGGTTTTTTTTCCATATGGTAGTTATGAGATAAATTAGTCAAATTTATTTGAGTAATACTGGATTGGAGCAAAAATGAATAATTTATTTATTCTGTTACTACATAAGACCTATAATATGCTATTGTGCATTATCAATCTCAGAAGAAGGTGTAGCATATAACACTTCTCATGTTAGTTGGACCACAAAAACTGTGAGAGGTGAGTGAGTAGCTGCAGTGAGCACTCTGAGTTCTGCTGAGAAACCTTCACATCCCCTTTTTGGACACTGTGCTCTGTCTCCCAGCTTCCGCTCATTTTTCTGCTAAAAGTTCTCACCTGAAAATGACTTCTGGGGATCTCTCTGAAGCATTAGAACTATCTTTTCAGTTGGAAGAGCTAGAAATGCATGGAAATTTACATCCCCATTCAATCCCACTTCTACCCACTTCCAACTGTTGACCCACAGCCAGTGACTGGTGTCAGGGTACAAAAGCCCAGCCCTTTTGCTGAGAAAACTCTCGTCCATAATCTAGAACTCCTAATGGATCAGGGCGAGTGCAGGACATCACTTGAAGTTATTAATACAATCTTCCCTGGAGATCGCCTTCCCTGCTCTGCTTCCCCACATTTGCACTTCTCAGCAGTTTCTTCTTAGTAAGTCACTTGTTCCTAAATCTTTGCCTCAGGATCTCTTTCTGGGAGAACACAGTCTAAAGCAGTGTAATATTTTGGACCTTTCACTTGAGAAAAATAATTGGAAATATTGCTATACAGCATGATAATTGCCTTCAGGACACCTGAAAGTGGGTTTTAGAATCTGCTTCAACAAGCAGCTGAAGTAATTTGATGCAATTTCAAGTTTAAGAATAAAGTAACAAGAAGTATATATTAATTAATATTAAACATGCATTTATAAAGAAAGCCTTTCATAGTTGCTCATTGGTTTCAGTCTCTATTATGCTTTCTTCAGACACATTTCTGTGCTTTCTTTTGAAGACTTTTACCCTTTTTTTCTCAATTATTTTAAGCAATCACTTCAGGAAAGTTTCACTACCAAGAGTAAAATTTGTATTAACCTATTTGAATTTCAAATAATAGTCTATTAGAGCTGGGTGAGACCTTAATGATCATATATTTTAACCCTGTCATTTCAAAGATGAGGAAACTTAAATTTAGATAAGAAAAGTTATGGCCCAAGGTCACACAGAGCCATCCCTTGTCTTTTGAATCTTAGTCAGATATTTAATCTTTACACAAGGGTGCCTTTCTAATTTTACAGATAATAAGTGAGCTGGAATGCATTACATTTCTGGACTCTTCATTTTAGCTATAATTCTATTCACAAAAATGTGATCATTGCTTTACATAGAGCTCTTATTTAACGTTCTAAGCTCCACAAACTGAAAATTGATTTTTCTGTTTATCTTCAGAGGAAGAAAGAAAATATTTAAAAATTCATATATGCAGCAAACTGCAGTGAAAATTACTAACACTTGCCATGATTCCATTTAAAAATTTTTAGCTATTGTAATAAATAATATTGGCCCCAAAACAGAAAGGAAACTCTTCTTTGTTCAAAAAACACAGTTTAAACATGGAGAAGGAATAATTAAAACTTCTCTATTGCTTGTGTAAATTTTTTGGTGCAAACAAGGATAGTTTTGAGAGGCAAAGAGGGTGCTATTCGTAAGTATGCTGAATCTGTGCCAGCAAATTGGGATGTGTGGTCCTTCTTTCCATAACCCCAGAAATTTTGCCTCCTCCAAGAAGAGTTCCTCACTGATCTTAGACAAGCTCTTTTTCTCACATGACCATTTGTCCTAGACATTTCTCTTTCCTTTCTGATAAGTTATTCCCCCTCTCCCACTCACCCCCTACCCTCCACACCCCCACCACACACACACACGCATTTTCAGTCCATTTTGTATCCTCCACACTGGCTAGACTAGGGCATTGCTCCTCATTGACGCCTTAGAAAATAATGTTTCCATTTGATTACTTAAGATTCATTCATATACAAACTACTAGACTTAACCTGAAAATAACACAACTGCATCCAGTTAAGCGAAACTCAGTCCTCTTTCTATATTTTGTTTCCAAACATAGAGATAATTAAGATGCTGCTAAGAAGTGGCAACACTCATTTGCTACACACATATGAAAGGGCTGCCAAAAAAAACTTTCTTAAAAAACAAAATATATGTGTGTTTGGCTTATTTCTTTCTTACATTTTGGATTTTGTGTTAAAGAATTCAGAAGCATTATAGGTGTTTAGTGACAAGTCAGATCATTCATTAGTCTCCTATTCCTTTTTTGTAACTAAAGCTAATTCTAATACCTAATGATTCTTCTAATTACAAGCTCTGTGAATATTGATCTCAATGCAAATAGTGTGGAAAATTAATGAATAGAAGCCAAAGAAAAAGGTAATGTAAAATCTCTTCTTTATGATACCCTTGCATGTAGTATAATTCTTTTTGATACTTACTGTAATCGGCATCTCTGCTCCCTTGTTCTACTATAATAAGACTGATTAAAACATTAGTCCATAGAAATAAAAGCAATATGCAATTATTGGCACTGAGGCATTAATATTACAATACCATTTTACACTCTTCCTCATGGAGTCTGAGTGAGTCGCAACTGTTACATCAGCCACTTTAGGAAACAATTTCTGTTCCACGGACTTCAAAAAATTCTCTAATTTAGTTTTTAAATTTATCTATATTTCCAAATACCAGCATCATAATTTGGATTCCATTGGCCTTGAAAGTACTTGTTCCATCTTCAAGAAAAGAGAAAATGGCTCTAGGGTGTTAAAAACTCAATAACCAGGATCAATTTTGCTAACTATCCTTGTCCATAATTAGCCTAATTTGATAATTTGTAAAGCCTACCACACATAAGTCTTCAGTAAGCAATTTTGCAAATATTTGCAATGAGAAAGGACATATAAGATATTTAATAAGTATTGAGCAGGTTTTTAAAGGCTTTTTCATGTATTATCTCATTTTATCTTCAAAATAACTCTAAAAACCAGGAATTATTGCTTGTTACTGAGATAAGAAAACCTGGCTGATAGAGGTTAAGGTACTTGTTCAATGTCTACAAGGCCACAAAATGGCAGACCTATGCTTTGAACACAGATTATTTTCTAACTACAATCCCATGCTTTCAAATATAACAAAGGCCTGTGAACTCTAGCCATAACTGAAGCACATTTTGAAATTACTCATATCTCATTTCCTTGTTTTTAACAATATCAATTTTATTATCAGTTAACTCTTGATGTGAAAACATGTGTTACAGTCATTGGGAGTAGCTAAAAAAATAACCTTGAAAATTCAAGCCTACGTGATTTGGGGTAAGTCACTTGATGTCACTATCTATTATCTTCATCTCTAAAATAGAATCCACGTATCTGTTTCTCAGAGTTTTGAAGACTACATGATAAAGTAGCTGGTATAGGATTTTCTTCCCTATAAAATAATGTTCACATGTAAGATATTCATTGTTGTTTTAAGACTAGATTGAAAATGTACTGCAAATTCTCAGCTAGGAAATTTTGTTTTCACAAAGTAGCAATGAAGCGAGTGTTTACAAATCAGCCAATATTTTATATTGTTATGTTCTGCATGTCAAATTTCATAACTCCAAATCTGCACATGAAATCCTAGATTCCTAAGAGAAGTAAAGGTATCAGAAATTTTTTTTAAAGTCTCAAAAATTATTTTTGTCTAAATACTTTCTATATGCTGATTATGTTTCTTTACAATAGGGCAGACTTATCAGCATGAGTGGCTCACTGAAGGTCATATATGTTAGGTTACAATATAAATGTACAGCTTCTATCAACTTGAACATGTGTAGGACTAGGTGGTTATTACTCAACAATTTTGTGAGAAATGGGACATTATTAATTGAAAAATATACATTTGTGAACATTGATTTTAAACTTGGCAGAGACCAAACCATTTATTTCCCACCCCCTTCTTCCTCTGTAGAACTTAAGAATTTGCATCTGACAAAGCATCTAACATGGATGAGCCAGAAATATTAAGCACTTTGAATAGAGGGCAAGACTCAGAGAGGCAGAGGGGATATTATTTTTGCACATTGCCGTGCAAATAGGCTCCATCCTAACAATGACAACTTCAAGTGTAGGGAGAAAAGATGGTGGCCAGTTGCCATGAAAGTGTATTCAGTATATTTCTGCTCTTCTGGGACAACAGGCACAGGAAAATGCCATTTTTATACTACTGGTAAAATAATTTTTGTCTACATGTATAGCACTTTTCCTATTATATGATGTGCAAGACCAAAGGCAAATCATGTTCCATGCTCATCCCCATTCTGAAATATTTTGCACACCCCCATCAGTACTTCTGTATATGTTTTCAAAAACATTCTGTAGCCATGATTGTATTTAAAATATTAGTGTGGTTACTTTGCAACTTAACTATAAATTGCTTAAAGTCATGAAATTGCTTTCCATTCACAGTAACTAAAACCATTTTCAATACGCTAGGAAAAAAGTGAGTATTTAGTTGGTGTTTTGTAGATACTTCTTTCCTTGCACACTGGTTTATCCTATGACCCTTTACCCATTTCTATTTCTTGTGATCTCTGAGCCACAGGAAACTGATTTATATGAGCTGCATCACCCAGGCCCTTTTGCCATATAGCTTCCCACAGGGTTCAGCCAATGCTAGGTGCCAGAGAAGAGCAGAAGGCAGAGAAATGGAGAGATCAAAATATTTCTTCACACTAACCCCACCCCCAGATTTCCCTGTGGCACCTCCCTGGCTGAAAACCTGGTAGACTCTGTGTTCCTTTATAGGCACAGCTCCTATTGAGCAGTCCCTCCTCCGAGGCTTCAGCCATTGCCCCTTCTGCCTTAGAGTAGCAATGGTTTTCCTGTTGTTCTGAGTATGTATATATATATAAAACAGTTTCTTTATCCACTCGTTGACTGATGGGCACTTGGGTTGATTCTATGATTTTGCAATTGTGAACTGTACTGCTATAAACATGTGTGTGCAAGTATCTTTTTCGAATAATGACTTATTTTCTTCTGGGTAGATACCCAGTAGTGGGACTGCTGGATCAAATGGTAGTTCTAGTTCTTTAAGGAGTCTCCACACTCTTTTCCATAGTGGCTGTATTAGTTAACATTCCTATCAGCAGTTAGAAGTGCTCCCTGATCACCGCATCCATGCCAACATCTTCTGTTTTTTGATTTTTCGATTATGGCCATTCTTGTAGGAGTAAGGTGGTATCGCATTGTGGTTTTGATTTGGACTTCCCTGATCATTAGTGATGTTGAGCATGTTTTCATGTTTGTTGGTCATTTGTATATCATCTTTTGAGAACTGTCTATTCATGTCCTTACCTGACTTTTTGATGCGATTGTTTTTTTTTCTTCCTGATTTGTTTGAGTTCATTGTAGATTCTGGATATTAGTCTTTTGTCAGATGTATAGATTGTGAAGATTTTGTCCTACTCTGTGGGTTGTCTGTTTACTCTGCTGACTGTTCTTTTTTCCATGCAGAAGCTCTTTAGTTTAATTAAGTCCCAACTGTTTATCTTTGTTTTTATTGGATTTGCTGTTGGGTTTATGGTCATGAAATTCTTGCTACGCCAATGTCTAGAAGGGTTTTTCCAATCTTATTTTCTAGAATTTTTATAGTTTCAGGTCTTAGATTTAAGTCCTTAATCCATCTCGAGTTGATTTTTGTATAAGGTAAGAGATGAGGATCCAGTTTTGTTCTCCTACATGTGGCTAGCCAATTATACCAGCACCATTTGTTGAAAAGGGTGTCCGTTCTCCACTTTAGATTTTTGTTTGCTTTGTGGAAGATTAGTTGGCTGTAAGTATTTAGGTTTATTTCTAGGTTCTCTATTCTGTTCTGTTGATCTATGTGCCTATTTTTATACAAGTACCACACTGTTTGGGTCACTATGGCCTTATAGTATAATTTGAAATCAGGTAGTGTGATGCCTCCAGATTTTTCCTTTTTGCTTAGTCTTGGTTTGGGCATGTGGGCTCTTTTTTGGTTCCATATGAGTTTTATAATTGCTTTTCTAATTATTTGAAGAATGATGGTGGCATTTCAATGGGAATTGCATTGAATTTGTAGATTGCTTTTGGCAGTATGGTCATTTTCACAATATTGATTCTACCCATTCATGAGCATGGGATGTGGTTCTGTTTGTGTTGTCTGATTTCTTTCAGCAGTGTTTTTTAGTTTTCCTTGTAGTGGTCTTTTGCCCCCTTGGTTAGATATATTCCTAAGTATTTTATGCTTTATTTTATTTATTTATTTATTTATTGAGATGGAGTTTCACTCTTGTTGCCCAGGCTGGAGTGCAATGGCACAATATCGGCTCGCTGCAACCTCCGCCTCCTAGGTTCAAGCCATTCTCCTGCTTCAGCCTCCCTAGTAGCTGGGATTACAGGTGCCTGCCACCATGCTCAGCTAATTTTTTTTTTTTTTTTTTGCATTTTTTTAGTAGAGATGGGGTTTCATCATCTCGGCCAGGCTGGTGTCAAGCTCCTGACCTCAGGCGATCCACCTGCCTCCGCCTCCCAAAGTGCTGGGATTACGAGCATGAGCCACCGTGCCCAGCCAGTATTTTATTTTTTCTTTAAAGCTATTGTAGAAAGGGTTGAGTTCTTGATTTGATTCTCTGTTTTGTCGCTGTTGGTGTATAGTGGAGCTACTGATTTGTGTACATTAATCTTGTGGGCGAGCTGGGCTTGAGAACTTGCTCCAGGCTACCTGCCTCCCAGCTGCGAAAGAAAAGGGTTTTGGTTCTCCCACCTGTGGAGTCTGCACGCCCGATTCACGACCTCTCCTGAGTTCATGCCCTCCCCCGAGTTCTGGCCAGGAGGCTTCTCGCCGAATTCAAATTGGTACAAAGTTCAGCTGAAGACTTCCTTCTCTCTTTCTGTGGTGATTTCCCCCCAGCATCTGGCCACCCTGCCAAAGGATCCCTGTGGTGCCTGGCAGGAACGGCCTGCTTAGGGACCCAGCAAGGTCCCAAGGGCCTTTCCAGCTGCTTCCTCTACCCCTGTATTTCGCTCGGCTCTCTAAATTGACTCAGCTCCAGGTAAGATCAGAAACTTCTCCCGCAAAGTAGACCTTCAGTTTCCCCAGTGGTGGTGTATGTTCTGGTGAAGAGGGTCTCCCATTCCCACTTCCACAGTTTGGGCACTCACAGTATTTGAGGTGTCTCCCTGGTCCTGCAGGAGCAGGCCGCTTCCTTTAGAGGGTCTGTGAGTCCTCTTAGGATGCTTGTTTTGTTCTTGCAGTTGTTCTGGAGCTAAAATTCACAATGTGAGCCTCCACACACTGCTCTGCCTGTCCAAGTCAGAGCTGCAATCTAGTCCTGCCTCCCATCCACAATGATGTGTATACTCTCAATAAATTATTTTTAAAGGAAAAAGAAAATATTCTTGTGTATCCGCCACTATCACTTAAACATATTCAAACATTAAATAAGCTACAAATAACTTAAAAATACAACAAAATGATCTACTAATTAAACAATATTGGTAGTTTTTTACCAACCAATTAAAAAATTCAAATCAATAGCATTTGCTATGACAAATGTTTTGCAGAAATTAAAAAGCTACTTCAAATATGGTGCCACAAATACACTTATGAACTTTATGCAAATTTATGGTCTTATCTCCTTTGAGAATTTTATGTGAAAGACATCACTACCTCTGCAAGACATCAGGTGGAAAACGTGGGTACCATCTTGAATTATTCTTATTCACCTTCCCCAGAATTCAATTGATCCACTTCTCTCTAATTTTAATGCCACAACAACATTGTGAGTTACCATTATTTCTATACTGTATTATTAAATCAATGTAATTTTTTCATCTAATATTGTCTCCTTCCAAACTATTCTCCAATTTGAATCCTGTGTCATTGTTATTGCATGCAAACCTCTATGTCATGTCACCTCTTTTCGAGACCTCTGATGGTCATTTATTACTTCTTTGATAAAGTCAACACCCTTTGCACAGGGGTCTCATATGATCTGGCCCCTCTTTGGAATTCCACTACAACAATAAGAACCAACATCTTACACTCAGTGTTCCAGTCATTCTACACATCTTAACATTCCTCTCCAGGCAATTCTTTGTTGTTTGGGTTTCCACACTTGAAGTTCTCTCCCTAACACATGTTTTCCGTTGCTCTTTTTGTTTGCCTGGCATACTACTCCAACTCATCTTAAGAATCTCATTCTCTAGGACTCCTTCTCTTAATCTTACTTGGATCTGGTTTAAAAGATCCCACCCTTCTCTCTCACACACTGTTAAAGTGTTCAGTTCGCACATCTGTATGCCTTCTCTTAGGCTCTGTCTAGACAGAAAATATGTCTATCTTGTTGACAGGTTTATTTCCAGCTTTTGGCATGTTATGGGGATATTCGTAATTGTTGCTTAATAAATGAATCAATGTACAATAAAGGAAGCATTGCATTTGAACCCACTGCCACATTTTACAGTGTTTTTTTTAATTTAAGATTTCTCCATTTTATTTCAACATATTCGAAACTGAAATGATAAAGGCTCAGTACCCATTTCAAAGATCCTATTTGTATTTTCAGATACTATATTGAAAAGAAGCTTTGGATATTTTCATTCTCTTAAAATTCCAGATAGTGGTAGGATCATTAAAAAGCCTTTAAAAAATCTAAAAATTGGAAAAAAAAAACAATAGGCAAATCCAAAGAAATATTCTCTTATCAATTACCTTTAAAAGACACATGCTGGTGTCTTATATATTACTAACTATTAAAATAACATTTTACTTGTGATTTTGTAATCTGTGAAAAGCTACAGATAACTATAAATAAATTTAATTTAGGTTCTATACATAAAATACAAAATGGTGGCTAAAATAACACTAATCTTAAATTTTCCACAAAACAGAAATAAAAAATGGTCATACAGTGAAATATCTGTTATATTAAATTATATTATTGAAGAGGTAATTTCTATACATAAGAATTTCAAAATATTTTAATGAGATGCCTTCAATATGATGCTAACTCAAATTATAAATAATGTGTATAGTATACCTACATTTTTGGTTGAAAAAATGATAAACTTATTTGAAAATAATCTAGAATGATATGCAAAACAATCTTAATAGATACATCTTTAGATGACAAGATAGCAAATATCCTTTCTTCTGTATTATCTGTAATTCCTAATTTTGCAGAATAATTATGAATTATTTTTAAATAAAATTTTAAAATATTTTAAATTAGAAAAACAGTTGCTTCTGTGTCACTACAAATCTATATAATTCTGTGAATGAAAGCAAAACCATTAACATAATGAACAGTTGAAAAGTGCAAGCAAAATCATCATTGTTAAAATCAGTTTACTATAAATCAAGAGAAAATAAAACATTATCTAACATATATTATTTAAAACACAATGTATCTGCTCTTTTTCTTTTTTATAGCACCACAAAAGGTAAATTCACTGTCGTCTTGAACACTAATTAAGTCTATTTTAACCATCCTGATATTATTAATGCATGAACAGATTACTATAAATGCAAGTATAGATACTTTAAATTTTCTGCTAAGTAAACATGCTGTTCTTCCTATATATACAGTGATGATATGTGCTTTTATTTCTTTCAAATCGTATATAGACAGACAGGGAGAATTATCTTCTCTAAAGAAAATCTATTCTTAACTTATTTTTTACTTAGGCTTTCACATACCTTTGGGATTGACTACTGTAGAAGAAAATTTATTATTGTTGCTATCATTATTATTGATTATTAATTAAAGCCATATATTTGCTAAGCTTTCCTACTCTCGTCATTGATCTTACACAGTAAATTATGTCTACGAAACAATATTTTATGTAACCGTGTCTAATATGCAGTTATGATGACATATGGGTTTGCCAACTTCTTTTATTTTATAATTATATTAAGTACATAAAAATATGAACCTGACTTCTTAATTAAATTGATTTGTAGATAATTACTAAATTGGTACTAACTTGTAAAACCTGAATAAAACATCCTGGACTTAAAATTAAATGCTTAGCATTGAAAATAATGATCTATTTTTGCTAAAATCTCAATATTTATATCATATTGGACATTGGCTACTAAAATCCAATCCCAAGATTATTTTAATTATTAATACTACTAATAAAATTGAAAACAAAGAGAATTTGTTCTACCTTTATAGCGTATGCAAAAACAACTGAAGTCTAGTGCTAAATTATTAAATACTAAATAAATCCTCCCAGAAATAACAATGTATAATGACACTCAAGTTCATAAGATTCCTGGGAATAACAGAATATTCCATCTTCAAAAAAATTTCTCAAATTATATTTAGTTTTCAATTCTAAATTTGCAATGAAACAGAAGTCTTTTAAAGACTGACACTAAAAATTATTTAGATCCTATGGAGCAAAACTGGCAAGAATATATAGGACTCAACAAACTGAGCCTGTAATACTGCTGTCCCTGACACAAAGTCTCACCATATGTCTGGACCTGAATGTTTAGAACATGATTCATGTATCAAGCAGATATTTTATCACTTTCTTAGAAGTCACTGTAATTCCATCCTTGTAACATGCACACATAGGAAACACATGGGAATCCATGTATGCCATTTTTTCTTTTTCGCTAGTCCTACATAAATTTACTACTGTGATTTTAAAGTACAATTCCAGCAGCATTAAGATAAACTTGGAAATGTGAAAAGGTTGTATTGGCAATTTAACAATTAAGGGACAGATTTCTAATTTGATAATCACAAGTCCCTGGACACACAAATATGCACTAATTGTTGACTCTGGTCATTTTCCCTTATTGTCGCATGTGGTAGCAGGCAAAGCTTGGAGCTCTAGTGGGCTGCTTGTGGTGCTAAAGAAGCCAATCTAAAATTTAAAAACAGTGGAGTTTATTAGAAATTGAAAACATAAATGACCTCCCCTGGTTGCTCCTTATAGTTTTCGGCTTTTTCATTGTCATCCCTAAGGTCTACCGAGAAGCCTACGCTCTCAGCAGACACAACACTGCACATCACTGAGTCAGAGCATTTGTTAATATCTTTATGGTGAAAATATTTAAGCTCTATATTTGATTAGACCCAGAACACAGTATCATCAAGAAGAAATAGCTCAACCCAGAGAACTAAACATTTGTCTCATTTGGCCAACTACCATCTAGCAGCCAGAAAAAGGATGCTGCTGGACTCCACATACGGAAAATGCCACAGGTTTAACTTTTTCCTCTAGACATTTTACTCAGTTGTTTTACCTTTGATTCACATTTAATGCAGTAAATTTATTATTTTCTCCAAGATCTTTGAGCTAAATGAAACTAGGATATTTTGAAAATACTGAGAAATGGATTATTCATAATTATACCTGACATGATAAATGAGCACACTGACCAAAGTTCTGAGACGCTATGGTTCTTAATAAGTCCAATTTGTATGTAGAAAGTCAGAGACATGAAGAAAGAATATGGTAATACACAGAACAATAGTATACCTCCAAAGCAAAAGAGTGATCCCTCATGTGTATTTGCAGCGTAGAGAACATTGTTCAAATAAGAGAACAAACAAATATTTCATAGAGAAACAGATGAGATTGATACCAGAAGGAAAGACGGGCTGAAAGAAACAGTAACCAAGTTCTTTAAAACAGCAATATTCAACACAAGTCAAACTTGCCTTAATAGTTTATATAACTAGGCATATGCTATGGAAAGACCATAAAGGCTAAACCCCAACCCCCTAGGTTTTAGACATGTCTAGATTTAGTTAGAAGATAGATGGAGGCTGGGCTTCCAGAGGTCCACTGAAATGTAAGCAGATATTGATTGCCAGGTCTCATCACTTCAAATGAATTTTCTTTTACTATCACCCATAACAATAACAGCAGGGAACATGCCATAATATTACCCAACCTACTGGACTTATGACACTGGAATCTGACCTAGGAAGGGGCAATTAGGGTCCCTTTCAAGGAATTTTAATTTGGACTGAGAGAGCATGTAAACAGTGAGATCAAGTTCATTTTCTTCTTTGTGCTTTGTGGGACAGAGCAAATCAGACTACAGGAAGAAAATAATGAAGCAGATGCACAGAACAGAACATGGATTAAGTGTCCAGGATCCTGATTGTTTTCCAGCATTAGGAATTCTTCCAGTGGCCTGACCGCATTCTTGTAAGGGAGAAAACATTTTCCCACCTTGTAACATTAGTGCCTGAAATCAAAATCACTTCCATAACTATTATAATTTTTATGTGTCTATTAACTTCTAGTTAGTCTTGTCCATATATACCATACCATCGTCAGAGTGTGTTATGGTAGATTTTTACTTTTATCAGTTGTCTTATTTTTAGTGATTTGCTTTGGTGAGAAGCGGCTTAGTAAAGAATATGACATATGCTACCATGTCAACTAAATGGTGCTCAGCACATTTCTAAGTAAAACTTGGTTTGAGGGAGTGATGTAATAGTGATTTACATATTTCCTTTTTTAAAAAAAAGTTTTCTGAATTTTGAATACTTTTAAACTAAAAGTATATCACATAAATAATCAAAGAAAAACAACACAAAGTAAGTTATCACAGTCCTGTCCCTCCAAATGAAGAAATGGACTTTATTCAATAAGTACTGGAAATTCTGAAAAGGAAAAAGGCTCACTTTAGTCAACATATCTGTGAACCTTAAGGAGTTAGAATTCTTTAGTAAATAACATAATATATACTTATAACACCATAAACCGTTATACATAAACTGCCAGAGAGGAAGAACAAAAATATGAAAATCAAAACTGTGGTAGGATAAATAATGATCACCAAAGGTATCTAATATCGAATTGCTGGAACCTATAATGTTACTTTATGTGGCAAAAAGGAACTTTGAAGATGTGGTAAAGTTAAGGATTTTGAGACTAATAGATTATTCTGGATTATCAGGGTGGGTCCTAAATGCAACTACATGGGTACTTATAAGGGAGGCAGAGGAAAATTTGAAACAGACAGAAGAGGAGAAGGCAATATGAGCGTGAGGCAAAGATCAGAGCAATGGAAACACAAGCCACAAAAAGCTGGAAGAGGCAAGGCATTAATTTTTTCCTAGATCCTCTGTAGGGAGCACAGCCCTGTACACACTGATTTTATCCTAGTAAAACTGATCTGGATTTCTAACTTCCATACCTGTCAGAGAGTAGATTTCTGTTGTTTGTTTTAAGCCTTCTGGTTTGTGGTAATTTGTACCAGCAGATCTAGGAAACAAACGCAATAACCAAATATAACCAATAATGAATTACATTCTTTTCTGAGACTTACTGAGCACCTGTTATGAACTGGATGTTATGTTATGCCCAGGGCTACAATGTTGTACCAAATATAAACCACTCCTTTCCTGCCAGAACTTGCAGTCCAGTGAGAATCAGTTAATGATGCTGGGGAAGAAGCCTACACCTTATTTGTGTGAAACATGGACCGCATCATTCAAGAGTAACCAGGAGGGCTCAAAGCCTGATTGCTTATGCCATTCCCTAGGTCTGAAATGCTTGACCTGCCTTACTGATAATAATATAGCAACGGGTACTTTTTGGTTGCTTACTTTGCCACGGGCTTTTTGCATGCATTATGTTCTAATTCTAATCCAAACCTTCAATCTAGATACTATTATCCCTATTTTACAGATGACAAACTATTTACATTTACTTAATTTAACTAGATATCTCTGTGTTTATTGATATTCAAATTATTACCATTATAAAATGCCACAGACTGCAATTAGAATACAAATACAATGTAAACAAAACATAAAATATAATAGTTATTAAAATTCTAGAAATACTATGGTTCGACTTCCATAAAAAAATATCAAACCCGTTTTCAAGACTTGGATAGATTCAGTCATCAAAGTGGTGGGTCTAATATTAAGTTACAGAATAGCCATAGGTATTTGTGTTGGTTCAGTGGGAAAATAGCTTTGTTGTAATAAATTATCATTGGACAATTTCAGGATAATTACTAAATAATTATTCTGGTAATAAGCAAATATAAGGCTGAAAATTAAAGTTCATTATTGGTCTTCAGAATCATAATCTAAATTATTTGGGTTTAGTATGGTAAGTTAAGGCAATAACACAAAGGTTTATTTTTCTTAATATAATTTCTAAGGAACAAAATACTATTTAATTGTGTATCATAATGTGATGTATTCTACGTGCTCCATGACTTCAAAAATAGAGCAAATGAATACCAAATCCTGATAAAATATTTGGGAAAATATACACAACACTGCAGTGTATTTCTGTGTGTGTGTGTGTGTGTGTGTGTATGTGCACGTGTTTGTGTGTCTGGGGTGTTCACAGAAACAGATGTCAGTTTTTATGTTTGGAATAACACTATGAGATTAAGGTAACATCTCTAAAATGCAAGTGCTTAGCAAGGTAATTCATCATAGATTTATGGTGATGACTAAGTGATCTAGTACATGTAAAGTACCCTTGAATAATGCCTGGAGCATGTTTAGGTCACAAGAAATGTTAGAAAGTATTACAATATATGAAATTATAATTTAATGTTCATTATGAAAAAATACATTATCTAATATCAATAACCAATGTATGTATTCTCTGCTGTAATTACACATAAATGTTTAGTGTGGTTTAGATTGTTTTCTAATGGACTATTTGGCTTCTCAACAAGCACCATGAGTTTTGAAATTCAGTTGAGTTTATTAGCTGCATTTATTAGCTGAATAAACTTGGGCAACTTAAATAAAATTTCTGATTATTAATATGTTCATTCTAAAATAGAGATTATACAGCAACACTGTGAGCATTAAGTAACAGTAGGGTACAGTGTTGATGACATGCCTTGGGGATTCAATAAGTAAAAACTATTAATACTACTACTAACAATGGCAAATCATCCAGTCTCCAGTGAAAATACAATATACTTATTTGTTAAATGCATATGGGTATTTTTCAACACAAATACAATAAAATTTTAAGCTAGTGAATATTGTGATCTATGCATTTTACGTTAAAAAACATTCCCCTCAGCAAAGACCACAGGGAGACATCCATAAAAGGTTTTGACAAACACTTGTTAAAATACTGTTTACCTAAATCTTTTCTCTAAGATCTGACAAATATGCACAACACCTCATAATCTACCCCTTAGGGATTGAAGTCTTCTTGTCTTGAATTTCAGCCAGTACAGGAAACCAACCTCCAATGTATCTAACTTATGATTAGCAAACCTCTGGTTGAATGTTTTGATAAGTGTAAACTATTACTTTTCCATCTGTTCCTTTTTCAGGAATACAGTTCCATTTCTGAAAGATTATTAATATATTTGGCAATATTATAACTCTTCATATCTACTTCCCTTTCACCAAAATATATCACGATTTGCATTTTTCTATTATGGGATTTACCACATTGCATCTTGCATCTTCTTTTTGCATGTATTTCTTATGCAGTAGACTTGGAGCATTTTGAAGGCAAGAACCAAATGATAGCTTCAATTTTGTTCACAAACCACATAAGATTTCTGACATGCAATAGCTGTTTAATAATGTTATTGAATAGCTGAACAAAGGATTCTTTGTTCTAAAGCCACATATAAGAGTTTACACCTTGTTTTGCATGACGGACATCAAAAATCTAATACCAATTCCACTGTTTCTCTCTTAAAATATTAATTTTCAACTGCTTTTAATGTATGACTCCAAAGCCTATGTCAACTATTATTCATCTCATATGACTTACTTTTATTATCCAAACTTCTTTTTTTGAGTGACAACAGAAAGCCTTAATTGAAATAAAGAACATACGCATGGGCAAGGACTTCATGTCTAAAACACCAAAAGCAATGGCAACAAAAGACAAAATTGACAAATGGGATCTAATTAAACTAAAGAGCTTCTGCACAGCAAAAGAAACTACCATCAGAGTGAACAGGCAACCTACAAAATGGGAGAAAATTTTCGCAACCTACTCATGTGACAAAGGGCTAATATTCAGAATCTACAATGAACTCAAACAAATTTACAAGATAAAAACAAACAACCCCATCAAAAAGTGGGCGAAGGACATGAACAGACACTTCTCAAAAGAAGACATCTATGCAGCCAAAAAACACATGAAAAAATGCTCATCATCACTGGCCATCAGAGAAATGCAAATCAAAACCACAATGAGATACCATCTCACACCAGTTAGAATGGCAATCATTAAAGAGTCAGGAAACAACAGGTGCTGGAGAGGATGTGGAGAAATAGGAACACTTTTACACTGTTGGTGGGACTGTAAACTAGTTCAACCATTGTGGAAGTTAGTGTGGCGATTCCTCAGGGATCTAGAACTGGAAATACCATTTGACCCAGCCATCCCATTACTAGGTATATACCCAAAGGACTATAAATCATGCTGCTATAAAGACACATGCACACGTATGTTTATTGCGGCATTATTCACAATAGCAAAGACTTGGAACCAACCCAAATGTCCAACAATGATAGACTGGATTAAGAAAATGTGGCACATATACACCATGGAATACTATGCAGCCATAAAAAATGATGAGTTCATGTCCTTTGTAGGGACATGGATGAAATTGGAAATCATCATTCTCAGTAAACTATCACAAGAACAAAAACCAAACACCGCATATTCTCACTCATAGGTGGGAATTGAACAGTGAGATCACATGGACACAGGAAGGGGAATATCACACTCTGGGGACTGTTGTGGGGTGGGGGGAGGGGGGAGGGATAGCATCGGGAGATATAACTAATGCTAGACGACGAGTTAGTGGGTGCAGCACACCAGCATGGCACATGTATACATATGTAACTAACCTGCACAATGTGCACAGGTACCCTAAAACTTAAAGTATAACAAAAAAAAAAGAAATAAATATTTGTTTTATTTACTTATTTTCAACTTTTATTTTTGATTCAGGGGGTAAATGTGCAGGTTTGTAACCTGGGTATATTGCATAATGCTGAGGCTTGAGGTACGAATGATCCTCTCACCCAGGTACTGAGCATAGTGCTCAAAAGTTAGTTTTTCAGTCTTTTATCCCTTCTCCACCTCCGCTTTTAATAGTCCCCAGTTTCTATTGTTGCCATCTTTATGTCCCTGTGTACCCAATGTTGACATCTTTATGTCCCTGAGTACCCATTTATGAGTGACAACATGTGGTATTTGGTTTTCTGTTCCTGCATTAATTCGCTTAGTATAATGGCCTTCAGATACATCCACATTCCTGCAAAAGACATAATTTCATTTTCTTTATGGCTCTATAGTATTCTATGATATATATGTACCACATTTTCTTTATCCAATCCACTGTTGCTGGGCATTTAGGTTGATCCCATGTCTCTGTTATTGTGAACAGTGCTGCAATAAACATACAGATGTGCATGTCTTTTGGTAGAATGATTTATATAACTTTGGGTATATACTCAGTGGTGGGATTGCTGGGTCGAATAGTAGTTCTTTTTCAAGTTCTTTGAGAAATCTTCAGACTGCTTTCCACAATGGCTGAACTATTAAATAATTTACATTTCCACTAATAGTGTATAAGCATTCCCTTTCTCTGCAAATTTGCCAGCATCTGTTCTTTTTTGACTGTTTAATAATAGTCATCTGACAGGTGTGAGAAGGCATCTCATTGTAGTTTTGATTTGCATTTCTCTATTAGTGATGTGAAGCATTTTTTCATATACTTGTTCACTGCTTGCATGTCTTTTTTCATAATTTATTATGTTTATTGCTTATTGTTTGTCTTTCCCATTAGACTGTAAGCTCCATGAGAACAGGAATTTGTTTTTTTTTTCTTGCAGTATTATGAGTACCTAGAACAGTACCTGTGCTATAGTAGGTACTCTAAATATTTGCTGAATCAGCAATTGGGCGATGTCCAAAGTGAAGTTTTTTTTTTTTTAATTTTATTTTTTATTATACTTTAAGTTTTAGGGTACATGTGCACAACATGCAGGTTTGTTACATATGTATACTGTTCATGTCTTTTGCCCATTTCTTAATGGGATTGTTTAATTTTTGCTTGTTCATTTGTTTAAGTTACTTCTAGATTCTGGGTATTAGACCTTTGACAGATGCATAGTTTGCAAATTTTTTCTCCCATTCTGTAGGTTTTCTGTTTATTCTATTGACAGTTTCTTTTGCTGTGCAGAAGCTCTTTCATTTAATTAGGTCACACTTGTCAGTTGTTGTTTTCGTTGCAATTGCTTTTGAGTCCTTAGCCATAAATTATTTCCCAAGGCCAATGCCCAGAATGGTGTTTCCTAGGCTTTCTTCTAGGATTCCAGGATTTCTTTCTTTCTTTTTTTTTTTTCTTTTTCTTTTTTTTTTTTTTTTGAGACAGGGTCTCACTCTATCACCCAGGCTGGAGTGCTGTGGCACAATCACAGCTCACTACAACCTCTGCCTTCTGGGTTCAAGCAATTCTTATGCCTCAGCCTCCTGAGCAGCTGAGATTACAGGTGCACACGACCACGCCTGGCTCATGTTTTTATATTTTTCGTAGAGACAGGGTTTCACCATGTTGGCCAGGCCAGTCCTGAATTCCTGACCTCAAATGATCCAGCCGCCTCCACCTCCTAAAGTGCTGGGATTAAGGCGTGTGCCACCACGCCCAGCTTTCTTCTAGGATTCTTATAGTTATATGTCATACATTTAAATCTTTAATCCATCTTGAGTTAATTTTGGTACATGGTGAAAGATATGCATATAGTTTCATTCTTTTGCACATGGCTATCCAGCTATTCAAGCACCATTTATTGAATAAGGACTCCTTTCCTCATTGCTTGTTTTTGTAAAAGATCAGGTGGTTGGAGGTGTGTAGCTTTATTTATGGGTTATTCTGTTCTGTTCTGTTCTGTTCTGTTCTGTTCTGTTCTGTTCTGTTCTGTTCTGTTCTGTTCTCTTCTATTGCTCTATGTGTCTGCTTTTATACCTGTGTCATGCTCTTTTAGTTACTTTAGCCTTACAATATAGTTTGAAGTCAAATAATGTGATGCATCCAGCTTTGCTCTTTTTGCTGAGGATTGCTTTGGCTATTCAGGCTCTCTTTTGGTTCCATATGAATTTCAGAATAATTTTTTCCAACTCTATGAAAATGACATTGGTAGTTTGATAGAAATAGCACTGAATCTGTAGATTGCTTAGGGCAGTATTGCCATTTTAACAATATTGATTATTCCAAATCCATCAGCATGGAATGTTTTTCCACTTGTTTCTGTCATCTATGATTTCCTTCAGCAGTGTTTTGTAGTTCTCCTTTTAGTGATCTGTCACCTCCTTAATTAGATGTATTCCTATGTATTTTACTTTTTTGCAGCTATTATAAATGAGATTACATTGTTGATCTGGCTCTCAGCTTGAATGTTATTTGTATGCAGAAATGCTACTGATTTTTGTGCATTGATTTTGTATTCTGAAACTTCACTGGCGTTGTTTATCAGTTCTAGGAGCCTTTTGGTGGACTGTTTAGGGTTTTCTAGGTATCAAATTAGACAGTGTGCCTTCTTCTCCTATTTGGAAACGTTTTATTTCTTTATTCTAACCGATTGCTTTGGCAAGCACTTCTATTACTCCGTTGAATAGGACTGGCAGAAGTTGGCATACTTGTCTTCTTCCAGTTCTCAAGGGGAATGCTTCTAGTTTTTGCCCATTCAGTATGATGTTGATTGTGGGTTTGACATAGACGGCTCTTATTATTTTAAGGTATGTTCCTTCAATGCCTAATTTCTTGAGGGTTTTTATCATGAAGGGATGTTAGATTTGATTAAGAGCTTTTTTTTTGCATCTATTGTGATGATTTTTGTTGTTGTTGTTTCCAGTCCTGTTTATGTGGTGAATCATTTTTTATTTGTATTTGTTGGACAAACCTTGTATCTCAGGAATGCAGCCTACTTAATCTTGGTGAATTAACTTTTTGATGTGTTGTTGTATTCAGTTTGCTAGTATTTTCTTGAGGGCTTTTGTGTCTATGTTCATCCAGGATATTGATCTGTAGTTTTCCTTTTGTTGTGTCTTTGACTTTGATATCAGGGTGATGTTGACTTTGTAGAATGAGTTAGGGAAAAGTCCTTCCTCCTCAATTTTTTGAAATAGTTTTGTAGAATTAATGCCAGCTCTTCTTTGTACATCTGGTAAAATCTATCTGATCCAGAGCTTTGTTTTTTTTGTTGGTAGTTTTTTTTTTATTATTGATTCAATTTCAGAACTTGATACTGGTCTGTTCAGTGTTTCAGTTTCTTCCTGATTCAATCTTGGGAGACTGTGTGTTTCCAGAAATTAATCCATTTCCTCTAGATTTCCTAGTTTATGTGCATAATAGTTTCTGAGGAACTTTTGTATATCTGCAGAATCAGTAATGTCATCTTTGTTGTTTCTAACTGTGTTTATTTGGGTCTTCTCTTTTTCCTGGTTGATCTAGCTAGCAATCTATTGATTTTTGTTTATCCTTTAAAAAAACAACTTTTGGTTTCATTGATTTTTTGTATGGGTTTTGGGGTCTCAATTTTGTTCAGTTTCACTCTGATTTCAGTTATTTCTTTTCTTCTGCCAGCTTTGGGGTTAGTTTGTTCATGTTTTACTAGTTCTGCTGGTTTAATGTTAGATCATTAATTTGAGATATTTCTACCTTTTAGAGGTAGGTGTTTAGCACTATAAAATTTCCTCTTAACACTGCTTTTGCTGTATCCAAAATATTTTGGTGTGTTGTTTCTCTATTTTCTTTTATTTCAAAGTTTTTTTTTTAAATTTCTGGATGAATTTCATTGTTTAACCTAAAGTTATTCAGCAGCAAGTTAATTTCCATATAGTTGTGTGGTTTTGAGAGATCTTCTTGGTATTGATTTCTATTTTTACTCCATTGTCACCAAAGACTAAGGTTGGCATGATTTCTATGTTTTAGAATGTATTAAAACTTGCTTTATGACAAAGCATGTGGACAATCTTGGAGTATGTTCCATGTGCAGATAAGATCAATGTATGTACTGCAGGTGATGGGTGTATTCTGTAGATGTCTATTAGGTCCAATTCTTCAAATGTGAAGTGTAAGTACGGAATTTTTTTGTAAGTTTTCTATCTCAATGATGTGTCTAATGCTGTCAGTGGTCTGTTGAAGTCCCCCACTATCATTGTGGGGCTAAGTCTCTTTGTATATCTACAAGTACTTGTTTTATGAATTGGATCCTCCAATGTTAGGAGCATATATATTTATGATAGTTGTCTTCTTGTCAGATTGAACCTTTTATAATTATGTAAAAAGTCCTTGTTTGTGCTTTTTTATTGTTTTTGGCTTAAAGTCTATTTTATGTGATAGAAGAATAGTGACCTCTGCTCTTCTTTGTATTCCGTTTGCGTGGTAGATCTTTCTCCAGCACTTTACTTTGAACCTGTGTGTGTCAATACATGTGAGATGGGTCTCCTAAAGACAGCAGATGGATGGGTCTTATTTTTTTATACATCCTGCCACTCTATGCCTTTTAAATGGGGGTGTTTAGACCATTTATATTCAAGGTTAACATTGATGTATGAGGTTTTATCCTATCTTGAAGTTGTTAACTGGTTACTTTGTAATTTTTGTTACGTGATTGTTTTATAGCATCTTCAGGCTACATACTTAAGTGTGTGTTTGTGGTAGCAGGTATTGTCCTTTTGTTTCCATGCTTACAACTCCCCTAAAGATCTCTTGTAAGGCTAATCTAGTGTTAATTAATTCCCTTTGTGCTTTATTGTCTGGTAAAGATTTTATTTCTCCTTCATTTATGAGGCTTACATTGGCAGGATATAAAATTCTTGGTTGGAATTTCTTTTCTTTTGGGAGGCAGAGGTGGGCAAATCACTTGAGTCAGGAGTTCAAGACCAGCCTGGCCAACATGGTGAAACCCCGTCTCTATTCAAAATACAAAAATTAGCCAGGCGTGGTGGTGCACTCTTGTAACCCCAGCTACTAGGGAGGCTGAGGCAGGAGAATCACTTGAACCTAAGAGGCGGAGGTTGCAGTGAGCCGAGATCATGCCACTGCACTCCAGCCTGGGCAAAAGACTGAGACTCCATCTCAAAAAAAAAAAAAAAAAAAATATATATATATATATATATGCTGTAAAAGACCCCCAATCTCTACTAACTTGTAAGGTTTCTGCTGAGATGTCCACCATTAGCCTGGTGGGCTTCCCTTTGTAAGTGATCCGACCTTTTTCTCTAGCTTTCTTTAAGATTTTTTCTTTAGCATTGACCTTGGACAGTCTAATGACTATATCCCTTGATGACGTTCATTTTGTACAATATCTCACAGGTGTTCTCTAGATTTTTTTGTATCTGGATATCTACTCCTCTAACAAGATTAGGAAAGTTTACTTGAATTAGTCCCTCAAATATATTTTCCAGGTTGTTAACTTTCTCCTTATCTTTCAGGAATGGTAATAATTCATAGGTTTGGTCACCTTACACAATCCTGTATTGCTCAAATACTTTCTTCATTTTTCTAAATTATATATTTTTAAATTTTTGTCTGACTGGGTTAGTTCAAAAGACTTGTCTTCAAGCTCTGAAATTCTTTCTTCTGCTTCCTCTATTGATAAGGTTTTTGATCATATGTTGAAATTCCTTAAGTGAGTTTTTCAAGTCCAGAAGTTCTGATTGATTTAAAGATGTTTATCTCTTCATTTTCTGAAGTACTTTAGAAGTTTCTTTGTGTTGCTTTCGAACCTTTTCTTGGATCTCATTAAGCTTCCTAGCAATTCATGCTTTGAATTCTTTATCTGTCATTTTTGAGTTTTCATTTTGGTTAGGAATCATTGGAGAACTAGTGCAGGAGGTGTCACTACATTCAAATTTTTCATGATGATAGAATTCTTGTGCTGATTCCTTCTTATCTGGAGATGTTGGTATTGATGTTTTGAGTGACTCTGAGACAGTTTCAGATCATGGATGAGGTCTTCACAAATTTTGGTGAGATACAATTTCTCTGGCACCTTTTAACAAGGCATTCAGCCTATTTCATGTTCTATCAAGTTCTGATCCTTCTCTCCATGTTGAGTTTATTTTTTTTCACATACCACACCATCTTTGTAATACATGGGGCAGAATAATGAATTGATCATCCTTGGCCAGGTGTAGTGGCTCATGCTTGCAATCCCAGCACTTTGGGAGGCCACGGCAGGAGGATTACTTGATCCCAGAAGTTTGAGGCTGTAGTAAACTATGATCACACCACTGCAATCCCGCCTAGGGGACAAAGTGAGACCAGTTCTGCAGCCCTTGAAGTTGAAGATCAAAGCACTGGGAGATTCAGTATCTGGTGAAGGTCCACTTCTGTGTTTGTAGACAGCTTTTCCTCAGTGTCTTCACATGACAGAAGGGGCAATAAATATTTATTTAATGAACTAAGCATGCCTTTCTTCATATAGCTCTTTTATTGTCAGAAAATCCAAGTTTATTTGAAATTTTTTCTTGGCTATAACATTAACAACATGATGTTTTTGAAAATAATAAAACTTTACTTGTAACCAATAAAGGACAACATTTTGGTTATCTATTAGCATAAATATGTAAATATGTTTCTGGCCGCAAAGAAAAAAGATGAGTTGACAGTTAGTGTTCAATTTTTTTCTTCTCTATTTACTGATTTGCTTAGTAACATACAATGCAGGGATAATACTACTACCTTATGGACTATAAGTCTAATTAAATAAATTAATATTTACAAATAGTACTCTGTGTATTATAAGCACTATATGTTATAAATAATAAAATTAAACAAAAATAGCATACACACATAAGCATGCCATATACATACAATTGAGGTTTTTCTACCTATCAAGTAATTTGGGAAAATTGTTTTCATTCATATATTCATAACTAATATTTACCTACTAATGGATAGCTTTCCTATAAATCCATACTTATTTTACCACACTTGCTTTAACATTGATATAAGAAGAATAAAGAACTAAAATACTTTGTATTCCAAAATATACTCCTAAAATAGAATATAATGTTTCCCTTCAAACAGAATTTTGATTAACATGGACACAAAAATCCTTCGCAGAATATTTTTAAAAATAGAATATGACAATTTATAAAAATATTATACACCAAGGAGTTTTTTGAAGGTTCAATATTGAAAAATGTATTATAATTCTTTATGGAGCTGGCTAAAAAGAAAAATTGCATTATTATATTTATTGATCAGAAAAAACAAATGACAAAATTCGACACCCATTCACAAAAACTCCCAGAAAAATAGGAATACAGGGGAACTTCATCAATCAATAAAATGATCTATGAAAAACCTGCTGCTAACATTATTTTTAATTGAGGGGGAGTGAATGGTGACCCACTAAGATTAGGAATAAGGCAAGTATGTTCATTCTCACCACTCTCATTCAATGTAGGGCTGGAAATTCTAGTTAGGGCAATAAAGCAAGAAGAGGAAATAAAAGGCATACAGATCAGAAAGAAGTAAAACTCTTACTATTTGCAGATGACCTGATAACACAGAAAATTCATGGTGGTTGCTAAAGGCTGTGGGCTGGGAAAAATGGGGAGATGCTGGTCAAAAGGTTCAACATTTCAATTATGCAGAATAAATAAGTTCTGGAAATCTAATGTATAGCATGGTAACTAAAGTTAATAATTATATATTGTATATTTGAAAATTGCTAAGAGAGTAGATCTTATAAATTCTAACTGAACACACAAAATATAAATGTGAGTTGATGGACTTGTTAATTAGCCTGATTGTGATAATCACCTCATAGTGTATACAAATATCAAAACATCATGTTGTTCACCTTAAATATATATATATATGTCAATTATACTTCAATAAAGCTGAAGACACATAAAAGTTAGCTACATTTTTATATATTGGCAATGAGTACACGGACACTAAAATAAAAAATACAATGCCATTCACAATCATTCAAAAGTGAAACACTTAGGTATAAATCTAACAATACATTTAAAGGACTTGTATGCTGAAAATTGCAAAACAGTGACAAAGAAATCAAAGAGCTAAATAGGGATACATGTTCATGATTGAAAGACTCAACATAGTAAAGATGTCATTTTCTCAAATCGATGGGTAGGTTTATGGAATTCCTATCAAAGTTTTAGCAAGATTTTTTATAGATATAGACAAGATTATTCTAAAATATAAACAGTTAAGAAATTGGAGAAAATCCGATGGTGTATATGTGCCACATTTTCTTAATCCAGTCTATCAGTGTTGGACATTTGGGTTGGTTCCAAGTCTTTGCTATTGTGAATAGTGCCACAGTAAACATACGTGTGCATATGCCTTTATAGTAGCATGATTTATAATCCTTTGGGTATATACCCAGTAATGGGATCGCTGGGTCAAATGGTATTTCTAATTCTAGATCCTTGAGGAGTCACCACACTGTCTTCCACAATGGTTGAACTAATTTACACTCCCACCAACAGTGTAAAAGCATTCCTATTTCTCCACATCCTCTCCAGCATCTGTTGTTTCCTGACTTTTTAATGATCACCATTCTAACTGGTGTGAGATGCTATCTCATTATGGTTTTGATTTGCATTTCTCTGATCATGGATGAAGCTGGAAACCATCATTCTAAGCAAATTATCACAAGGACAGAAAACCAAACACCGCATGTTCTCACTCATAGGTGGGAACTGAACAATGAGAACACTTGGACACAGGTTGGGAAACATCACACACCGGAGCCTGTTGGGGGGTGGGGGGCTGGAGGAGGGATAGCATCAGGAGAAATACATAATGTAAATGACGAGTTGATGGGTGCAGCAAACCAACATGGCACATGTATACCCGTGTAACAAATCTGCATGTTGTGCACATGTACCCTAGAACTTAAAGTATAATTAAAACAAGAAAGAAATTGGAAAAAATCTAGATGAGAGAATTTGGTGAAAATTTATATTTTCCAAATATTTGTAGGATTATTGTCTGGAAGAGGGGCCAAATATGTTCTCCATGTTTCTAAGATATGAAACTAGGTTCTGTAAGAGAAAGAATTATGTGAAATTATATGTTAGATTAAAATAAAGAAGTTCTTCGCATGTCAGTCATAAAGTCAAAGATAGGACAGACCTCCCCACCAGTAGACAAAATTCAGTTGTGAGTCGCCTTCCTAAGATCATAATAAAGAGAATATTAGCATCAGATCAAGAAATAAACTGACTACAAAAAGTCACTTCTTATCCAGATACAACTCTAATGTCATGATTCCAAGTCAGAAGAGAAGTAGGGTAGTGTTATCTCTACTTTAGAGTTGGACAGTATGAGATCTAGAAGATATAAATACATAAATAAGTGTTGCTTATAGTACTAATGAAAGCATCATAAAATAATCATGATTTATCTGTATGATTGAGTCCTCAGCAAATTATCATACATGAAAGGAATTCTTAACATTTTTTCCCAAGCTGTATTTTCTTTATCTTATTTGAACTAGCAAAAAGATTTTGTATATACTTGCCTTTCATGGCCAGATGGACACCTAGCTTTGAGAAGAATAATGGTGTTATGTGCTCATTCCATGACTAGCTTTTCACATATTGTATGCAGTAATATACTTTTCTTGTCTTTTTCATTTGTATTATCCTTTACAGCTATCTAATCAATTGTTCTTCATGAACATTATTATATTATTGAGTTTTCTCAGGAAACATATTTATAAAGTAAATGTGCTGTTTGATGAATAAAAATGTAATAATTACTATAATTACTGTCCATGTATCCACTAGGTTAATAATTGAGTATCAATTTGAAAAGTTTAATCTTCTAATTTATATTTTCCTCCATGGACCTTATTTTTGGACATTCTACTAAATTACCCTACATTTTAACTCTCTAATATCATCTTCTAAAAATTTGGTTTTACAAAAAGTATTTTTCAAAGCTCTATACACATTATTAAATTGTAATAGGAACGATAGAGATTAAAAAGTAATCTCAGTTCCATGACTGCAGTGAATTAGAAGGCATAAAAAATCAGTAGGCACATGGGAGAAATAAAGATAAGTATCTTTATTTGACACAGTTACAGTAAAGAACTGTAGGATTCTAGGATTATTAACCTCAATCCTCCATTATAATAGAGTCATCCATAACATTTTGAGGAAAGAATCTTCACACTACAAAATGTATTTGTTGAATTTATTTTTCTCTTTTTGTTTTTAAATTGTTTTATCATTCCCCCCAAAATACCTCAATTTCACTTAATATTTATAAAACATAAAAGTAATTCACTGTAATTTTTCTAATATTCCCAATCAAACAATAAATCCTCTTATAACTTCACAATACTGAATATAGATGACAATTTCAACTTTTACTTTCCATAAATGTTCTCCCCACTTGCTCTGCACTCCTGCACACCTCTCCACATGACTCTTAGGGAGAAAAAAAGAAAACCTACGTGGAGTTTATTATTTGTTTAGATGCCTAGCAAAATGCCAACTATATTCTTTTGTTCAGATATTAATCCACTCAAGTAAATTTACAAGCGTAACATTTTAGTTCTCTTTTTTCTCCATAACTCACCCTACCTTCATGTAATGAAATCGTACTCAAACCCCAAACCATAAGTCCAAAATTAATAAGCATTCTCATCTAATTTAGTCTTAAAAATGTCTCCATACACCTGACCCAATTGTTTTTGAAAAGCTCAGGCTTTGTGTTTTGGAATCTTCAATTATATTTAAAAAGTAAAGAGGAGATTTTAAAGGGCTTGATCAGCTTGTCTTATCCTCTTCGATTTGCCTTAAAATTTCTATAGGCAAAAGGAAAACTATTAGATGAACCATGACACTCCCATCTTTTTGCAATTTATAAGGGAGAGATGAAAGTGATGTAAAAAATTACTTCCATCCTAGAAAGTACTGAATGACTAACCTAGTTTTTGTCAAGACAGAGGACTATGTTTATACACGTTAGAGCTGCTACGTTCCATCTTTCTGAAGAGTTAATTATCTTATCAGTCCTTCTCGGTTATCTACTTACTCTAATGTTCACATATTACCAAACAGGATGATTCTCAGGAAAAAAGTACACTCAGAAATTCACAGGCAAGTGTAACCAGATCCACGATGCTGTATCTCCTAGTAATCAGTGAGTTTACCCAAAGGAGTTGGCTCCATCTTTCACATATTTTAAAAATAATCCTAAATAACACCAAATACAGAGATTAATTGCCAGAAAATCATGAATTCAAACCTGAATTTCATGCATGGTTAGGACAAAGGAAAGAACAGTTTAAAAAAAATAAGATAGAATAAACAAATTTGGATAATGATGAAAGGGAGAAGAACAGGAAGGGAGAGGAGAGAGAAGACAGGGGGAGGGTCATGGGGGAGAGAAAATGTAGAGATAGCAGTGAAAGGAATACACAGAAAAAAAAAGCAAGGCATAGTGTACTTCCTTCTCTAAGCCAGATGTAGCTACCTAGGGTCAGTCAGAAATCAGACCTCATATCTTCAACCTCACTAGAGCTAAGATAGGATATTTAAACAACTAAGAAACATTTACACAAACACATCCTGTGGTTCACAATCTTAAGTGACCAGCCCACTTGGTAGGAGCTTGGTAATTTGTTGATTTGATTCATTCAAACTAATATCTAATCTCCTTAAATGTTCTTTAAATACAGACTAAACTTTCTACTTTGGAGTATATTCATGCCGTCTCCCTACCCTCAATCAGAAAGCAACAATGGAAGTGTGCTTCACACTTGGCAAAGACTGCTGAATGAAACAATATGTGATGGATGTTCTCAAGGACTTGCAGATAACCCATCTCTGCATTGTTTTGGTTTCCATTGCTTGGTTTTTATTGATTGTGCTTATTAGGCATATAATAGCTTAATAGCAGTTTAATGACATCAAACACTTAAGAGGGTTACAAAAAAATTCCTAGATAACTCAATGTATAAAGAAACATTGTTGGGGAAAGAGTTCAATGACTTAATATAAATTCTTTACTCTTTATTATGGCCCATGAAGGGGAGCGGGGGGAAGTGTTCTCTGGTATGTGCAACAGGAATAGTTTCACTTTTCCAAAATAATGATTTTTGTTTTCATCTTCTGGATTCCAAGAATCATGTAGCACTTTGTATTTCCCAATTTATTTTGGCTGCTACAAACACTGGACCAAATTTATATCATCCAAAGAGCAAATATTTGGGATAACAATCTTACTTCTGGCTTCAATGATAATTCAATATGGAATTAATTTTCATGGTTGCCAAATCTGTTATACAACTTAGTGGAATGTAAATGGGAGGCAAGGAAGGTATCGTTTGGTGAAAGCAGAGGGTGTAGGTGAGAAATAAGTATTTTAGCTAAATGATACTGGCCTAATCATGTTCTCAGTGTTTAAGCCTTATCTTTATTCTAATCAATTTTAAACTGATTTTACAGAATTAGAATATAATTTTACATCAGAGATGTGATAAGCTGAAAGTAACAAAAAGCCATAAAAACATAGTCTTTCAAAAAGTAAACGGTTTATTTTCTTATGCAATATCATGTCCAGGGTTTAGTAACCCAGAGCTGGTGTAGGCTCTGTCTGTCTTCGTAAGCAATGTTTTTTATGTGGTCTATTTTTCAGACACATGTAAGAGAAAAGACAAAGATAAAAGGGTAGTTTTCTATAGGGACTTCTTTCTATACCTCATTGGCCCAAACTGTATCACTAGGCCGCCCCTAACTGCAGAGGAGGCTGGGAAATCAAGTCATTTTAAATGTCTACTCTCCATTAAATGAAGATAAATAGAAAGGGGGTTAGACAGGGTAGAAAATGGGCCCCAAAATTATGCACCAAATTTTGTTACTATGTTGTTTACCTGAGGAAAATCTCACAGGGACTATCTAAAAATGCAGTACACACGAAAAAAGTCAACAAGGAAGAAAAATTGAAAACATAAGAATGTATATTATATTCCTGCAAGCAATCGGATTTTATTTATATATATCTTTATCCAAATAATTTATTTCTAGTTTAAGTTTGCATATTTTCTAAAACATTGGCAGTGGCTTGGAGATGACTGTTTAGTATGACATATTATGACATCTGAAGTGAAAACTGGTCTTTGAGTTTAAAGTACTGGGTTTCATTTGATTACATTACTTATTACTTGGATGATTCATTATACATAACATTTCTGAGTCTCATTTTTCTCATCTAGAAAAGCGTAAAAATTTCTGCTTCAAAAAATTCTTGTGACCATTATATGAAATGTAATATTTGAAAGTGCCTGGCATATAATATATGCTCAACAAATGTTAATTTCTTTCCAAGTAAGATTTGAAACAGAGGCCATGAGACTATTCATGCAAAATAATCAATTTTAAAGAACAATTCCTAAGTTGTCTTCTGTGTAGCAAAGAAATCTAGCATAAAAGGAAAAAATCTAATCTATAATGTAAGCAACATTCTACGCTAGGTACAAAGCTAAGTATTTTATACATTTTATTATGTTATCTGTAAGTTAAAAATTTAATACATCATAGTATTCTTTTCTTCGTAGTATGTAAATGCATAAGATAAAATGTTTACTTTATACCCCTTAAACAACCAAGGAAAACACAAATTCATATTTGTGCATTTACAATGACACCATATTCCTTTTTTTCATTGTGGTACCTTCATTGCAGCTGATGAAAGCTATACCATGTCCCTCTGGGAAGAGAAGAAATTCTAAATAGCACATCATGACACAGAGTTTCAGAAAAGAAAAATAGGTTCCTGAAAATATATCATGAAATCAATATATTTCCACAAGTGACCAGCTTAATCACCCAACCCTCCAGTCAAAAGAATTCCAATTGAAATGCTGTACTGCCTCTCTCTCTTCAAAACTGAATCTACTCAACAGTACATTGACCATTTTATAGGAGAAAGTAGATCTGGAGAGTTATGTATTGACTTGAAAGGAGGGCATTGCAAGTCTAGCCAGAAGGCTGCAATGCCTGTGCTTAGAAGTAATCAATAATTTTTAAAAATCACACTCATAGTTCTAGCCATGTATTTCTGTCAAATATATTATGGTGATCCTTTACATCCTATGAACTACACAAATATAACAAAAATAATTTTTCTACTGGATAAAGGCACTACTTGTTTTTGTTTTCTTTTTGAGGTTTACAAGCCACAAAAGTTACAATTTCATGTTCTTCCAAAAGTAAAAAAGAAATCTTTTTCTACTATAATAGGGTCTAGGAAAACATCATGAATTCTAGTGGAATATTATATGTATATGAAATATGGAAAGTTCTTTTACAAGTATCTTTTGCTCAGGATTTCTTTCACTGTACTCTACAAAACTACTTAATAGAAATAAAAAAACACCATTTTGCCACTTTTCTTTCTCAAAAGGAAAGGTGAAATGACAACCAGTACAACTGAGGCAAAAGTGAACTCTCACGATTTCATTATTTGCTTGGCAAAACATAAGTGCTGCCTGCCACAGCATCATTCTTTCTATAAAAGACAGACTATTACCTTTTCCATATGACAAAAGAACTCTTCTCATTTCTGAAATTGTTCCAGAAATACCATGTGGCTATTTTAGTTGGAGACTCCCCTCTAGGAGAGTGATGTATGGTCTGCAATATCCTCTGTTTGGAGCTTATGTTCTGATAAAGAAGATGATTGAGACAATAACTCTTCATTGTTTCCTTATCAGAGTTGTGTCTCTGCACTCTGTCAAATACTTCTGTGTTATGTACTGCTAATCTGACAAAGTCTATTACTTTACTTATTTTAAATTAAGCCACGAGGTTGTTTTTGAGTCTGTAAGTCTAGAGTTAAGACCCAAACAACCACATAAACAATAACAAACATTTCTTTCAGTAATTCCTTGCATTTGACTTGTATTCACTTTATTAATTTCATTGGGGGTTAAGCTGTTCATTTTAAATTCTTCACATCTTTGCACCAAATTAATGTAGACAAGCCTTTCAGCAATAACAGTTACATTGCTTTTATTACAGATATCAGCTCTGACACACTCCCAGCCTTTGACCTTGGACAGGTTGCTTAACCTCTCTATGCCTTAGTCTTTAGTAGTAAAAATGAAGATCATTATAATCTTTATATGAGATAATATAATGATTATATTGACATATTGTGCTATAGCTCTAATTAGGAGAGCAAAAATCTTTAAAATGTTTATTTCTATCATCAGAAGGAAAAAAAGCAAGAACTCTCTTCAGAAAAAAAAAAAGAGATAGACCAGTTTTATCAACAGCGGAGAAGATTTCAGTGTCTACATATGTCAGAACGATTTGGATCCAGTATACTTGGAGTGGGGGTTATAAACCATGTCAAAAAAACAGGCAAGGATGGAGAGATATTTGAGGATGAAAATGTGGTGTCCTTAAAGCAATTTGGATTTTAAGCTGCATGAGAACACTGACCAAGGGACTTAAGGAAACACCAATAAGATCATTTTTGTGTTGGTAAAAGATTTTTCAATGTATATAGGGTGATGCAGGGGAATACAAGACTGGAGAGTTGGACAGCAGCTGGTGAACCGCTGCCATAGTACAGACACGATAATCAAGTCATTTACTGAAGCACAGGGAATGAGGTTGAAGATGAGAATGAGGGGAGAGATTTTAAGAAGACAGAATGTACAGGACTACATGGCTGATTTGGTGTGAGACATAAGGAAGCCCAGGAGCACTGGGATACGTGCATCTACAACCAAGGAGAAATTTGTGCTGAAGTTCAGATTTGGGAAAAATTTGGATCAAATCATGGGAGCTGCTAAGCTTCACCAGAGAGTGTATAGTGAGAGGAGTTTAAAAATGATGTCTAGAGGACAGAAATATATTTACCCTGTCCTCTTTACCCCAGAAAAGAGGCAAATGAACTGGAAGAAAACTTCAGATAAAGTATGAGAATTCAGAAAAACTGGTGTGGTGAAAGTTCTGAAACTCAGCCTGAGGAACTTACCTCATCAGGAACTAAGGAAAATGGTGTTAGATTAGGATATAAAGGTTTCAGCAGTGGTAAATTAACAAAAAAGATAGATGGGCCATCACGGCTGAGGCTTCATATGTATAAGAAAACGGGGAGGACTAAAAGAAATTGAGATGATAATTAATCTGAGAGAAGTCAAGCTAAACAAACATGATTTTATAACAATTATCATATATGCACATGCAGATCTATATACTTGATATAATTATGATTAAATATTAAGAATATTTAAGAATTATTAAAATTGCCTACAGTTCTTGACAAAAATATTTGAAGCCTACTACAGAGAGCTTATGAATTAATTTTCTTTTTATTAGTGGTTACTTAGTGTTCTCTGTTTCTCTTCTATTATGCTAACATTTTGCTTTTGATGTTTAGAAATATTGCAATGAATTTGATACAAAATATCTCAAAAGAATAGGGAACAAATAAAATATTGATGTTAGGCTTGTTAAGTATCTCAAAGAGAAAACGCAAAGCTATTTCATAAAAGAATAACTAATGGAATTCTACTCAGATGCTTACAGTGAATAGATAATGTATTATTTCTCAGACATCAGATGTAGAAGCTATAAGATTTTTTTCACAATTCTTCATGGAAGGAATACTTAATATTTGTAGCATAAGCACCCCCAAACCCTCTATGAGTCCAGCATATATCTAATCAAGAGAAATGCCAGTAATCAAACTGAATTTAATATGCTGCACTTCCAGGTTTACTCTCTTGAACTTTCAGTGTCTCTTTACAGAAATATTGCAACATTTACATGGGTGTTAGAAGTTACATTTACCAGAGAAATTGTTTAAAAAGTGAATGGATACCATCCATTTGATCTGTTTGGCTTGTTGGGAGTAAGTGTAAATTATATATGAAAATAATTCACCAGAAAGCAGTTGAGAATGGGTCAAGTGCTGGAGAGAGGTCAAAGGGGAGGAACTCCACAGTGGTAATAAACCTTGTAATAATATGTGTGTCCTAAAGAGAGACACTGTATTGGGAATGCAAAGAAGGTGGGGAAGATGGAGAGAAAATATGAATCTTCAGATGCAAGACATCAACTGAAATTTATTCTGGATATTTTTACATCCTATACTTGACAAATAAGTGCCTCAAAAAACAAAAGTTGAGAGGGAGAAGAGAAATATATGTCATGATATATCTTTCATACTCTAAAGTGAACTAATACTTTATAAATAATTTAAAAACAAATAAAAATTATTATCTTCCATGAAAAATCAATCAGGGATATAAAATACTTATGTGAGTTGTACACTAGACACTCCAGGAGTAACCAGTCACATAGACCACACTGTTAATCCTGCTCCAAGTAGTCAGCAATGAGGTGGTCCTAAAAACTCTGTTGTTTTCATTCTTATTCTAGAATCCCTAGTACCTTGTGTTTAATGTTAGAATGATGAAAGACCATTAGGAAACACATAAAAACCACCCCCTTGGGTAATAAATACATGAAAGGTATACCTTTGTAAAAGAAAAGCTTAATATACCTAACAACTCAAATAATTTTTCTTGTTAAAAGTCTAAGAATAACAAGACTTTTCAATTATATGATTGTGAATTTTAAGAATACACTTCCTAATTCAATGATACCAGAATACATTGTTTAAAAGTTAGAAACAAAATATGAGTAAACCTTTAAACAATTAAGATGCTTGCTCTCTATGCAAAATAATTCATCTCCACTGATTTTTTGCCTTAAAACTCTCTAAACCAATTTCCAAACCCACTAAAGCACAACTTTCATATTATGAAGTATTCAGAACTTCACTTGGCCTAATATATTTTGTATCCTTATATTTAAACACACATACACACACGTTAGACACAGACTATCATTCTTACCATGTATCTTCTCCAGAATTTTCAATACATAAAATTGCACTGACCACTAAACTTAGTGATTTAAGTACTTTTAGTAGTAATTTGTGGGAATTTAATATAATTATTGTAGCAATATCTAAAGGAAACAAAGCTGTCAGTACATATACATCATTCTAATATGGCACCACTGAAAAAAGAAGGTGAGTTAGCTTGTTTTGTCCTGGGAAGTTAAAAGGGTACATTAATTTATGCTGACAAAGAAAAATCAATAGCACATTGTGCACAAAAGAAGAATCAATCATTATTTCTATGGCCTCGATATTCATAATGACATGAATTTATTGAGGAAAACATTGCCTTCAAATATGAATTGAGTATGCCACAAAAGTCACTAAGCTCATCAAAGGCATAATCAAGGCTACTGCATTAGAATCTTTTAGTGAGCCCCAACCTAGGCATAACAACCTGAACTCAGTGAACCAGCATATTCAGCCGGCTTCAGCAGCATTGGAGACCTATAAATCTTATATTTCAAATGCCATGATAATGGACACTTCCATCTTGTGTGTCTTCATACACTGGTTTTACTTTTATCGGTTTTTCGGTAAAATAGCTCTAGTATAATAACAGGCTCCCAAGATTATTTCAGGTACTTGCAGGGAAATACATGTATAGTCATTTGTGCCCATTCTTCATTTTTTTATGTGGTTTTTTGTTGTTGTTTATTTATTTGTTTCCAGTCATTCTTACTCTGAAATAACTTTCTACCACTCTGGCAACACTGGCAGAACAAGTAAAATGTTTCACTTTCTTAAAGTATATTTTAAGTATTTTCTCCAAGATGTAATTAACTTATTAATGACTAAATTTAAAAGTGTAATAATACAAAATTCTTCAAGTGAACAAAGCTTTTCCAAAATGAAATATATCTAGAATAAAAGCTCTTTGAAGAAAAGGAATATGTTTTTGGTGTGCTTTTTATGGCTTATTTATGTAACTTTTATTTCCTGGGTCATATATAAAGCAGAAAAATCAAGATTCTAGTTATAATCAAGATTCCAAAATTTATTGGCTCAAATTGAAGCTTATAATTTCTTGGTCCTGGCAAGTTAGACTATGTCTTTATGGAGTGAATATCTATTTGAATATTAAATAAGTATATAAGAAACCCCTACAGGTTCTTCCTTCTTTACTAGTCCTGTGATAACAAATTGAAATGAGCCAATGAGCCATCCCCACTGCAACAACATGTTTCTGAGTCTGTCTTGTAGTGACTAAAAATGTTGTTTAGAACTGCTGTCAACCCACCATCACTTCCAGTCTCATTCTGGCTCTGAGAGCAATGCAATTACTATCAGGCCAGTCTAGTTTTCACAAAGGTAAATTGAGTTCTTGTTTCCATGATTTGAAGAATGCTGTGCTGCCATAGAGGGAACTGTCTTCAGCTCAGGACAAATCCTTTCACACAAAATGCTTTGTAAAAAATTGTTTTCATGGTTATAACCGTTTACAAAGAAATAGTAGAGTAAGCCCTCAGTTTAGATGAGGGCATGCAGTATTGGCCATGCATACATGCACGTGTGTGGGTGCACACACACACCCAGTGTTACTAAGCAGAAGAAATTCTTTTAATTAACAGCATGGACCATAAAGTAAGAAACAGATATACCAGCACAAGTGACATAGGGCCAGATCAACTTGAGACACACAAAAGAAAACCCCAGGCTGAAACCACTCACCTTCTTTAGTTGTAAAGACTAGACCCTTAGAAAGAACTGGATACCCCAACATATAATTCTAGCTGGTGATTTCTGTTTATATTCTGGTGCCCAGAATAGACAAAATGAGAAAAGGGTTTTCCTTTACATTTTTCTTTTTTCTAAGGAGACTTCTGCCTCAAGGAGAAGCTGGTGCCATTTTGCAGCTGGGAGGTCCTCCTCAGCTCTGTGCTCACATGCTACTCCCACCACAGCTCTGTGGCTGCAGTGTGACTACTGACTACCAGTGCCCTGCAAGACTCCAGTGTCCTTTCCAACCCACTGGCTGGCTGTTTCTACTCCAAGCCTGCTAGCAATGTGTCTTAAAACTGTGATTCCCTTCATCATCCCAGTTCATCAACAAGTAACTTTTTAATAATATAATATAATGATTGAAATGAGAGAAGTATCTTTGAAACCAAGGAAGCCACTTATTACATATGCTATTTGGGCAAAATAACTTTACATCACTGACAGTCTATCATTATAAAAGAGGATTATTATAAGGATTAATGCAATAATATATGTAAACCACTTAAGTCATTGAAATTATGCAATATTTGGTACTTCTTATAATTAGTATTATTGTGAAAGGCCAAGGTAATTAATTTTGTATTTCTATCTAGGTTTCTTGGACAGCAAACTCTTCCCACTCTACCAGTGGTTCTTAGTCTTGGCTATGCACCCACATAAAAACAATACAGCTGTTTAGTATATATCCCAGACCTACTAGTAAAATCTCTTAGGGCAGAGCTCTATCATATTAATTTTGGAAAGTTTCAGAGGTAATTTTGAAAGGCAGCCAGGGTTGGGAGCTTCTCTTTCTAGCTATCATATTATACTAAAGCTTAACTCTGTATTTACTAAGCTAAATAATTAAACACAGAATTCAATGCAGCTTATTCAATGCAGCTGTCCAGATGTGACACAAGAATATCCCCTTCTGACATCAAAATATTCTACTTATGTTAATGCAGCATATTTTTCTGGATAATTAACAATGTCTTTTCTTTGATGAATATGATTTTTAAGTGAAGTTTCTATAATTCTGGGTTTGTCCTGTTGATTTTATTGTTTTGCCAAAATGCAGGCTTTGACATTTTCTTTCCTATTGTATATCCCATTGTTAGTTCCTGGAGGTGCTCTGGAGATGAATCACAATTCTCAAACATATTGTTTCTGCCCTCTCATCCAGCATATCATGGGAAAATTTGATGAGCACATCATTTATTTCTTCATCAAAATTGCTGGTAATCATGTTTAGTCAAAATAAAGGACAGAGTACATAGAAAGAGAAGACGCAGTATCTGACAACTCCTTCCAGCATCTCTGAGGGCCTAAAACAACCAAAAAATGTCTTCTTCAGAATTTAAGTATAGTTTATTTACAGAGGTGAATGTAAAAGTCCAAATGGATATTTGTTCAAATATAGCCAGAAATTCTTGTAAAGTTTGACAAAGGCTGCTATTCTTCAAATAGAGTTAAAAGATATTGATATGGAAATGAACAAAGACCTATATTCTGGTATAAAGAGCATTTCAAGCCATAAATAATAATATTAAATATGTTCTGGTATGATAGATTGAAATAAGAAGGCTAGAGCATGTCACTTGCCTGAGTTACTAGAAATGTCAGTATAAGGGAAAGGTAATGAGAAGAAGAAACTTCAATTCATGGAATTTTAGAGGTGCAAATTGCCTTAGAGATTAGAGATCAATTACATAATTTTACAGATGGGAGAAGTGAAGAAATGACTTGCCAAAGGTTGCATAGCTAAATAGTGGCAGAATTAATAATAGAATCTAGGTCTTCTGACTCCTAGTCAATATCCTCTTACTGCACTAAGTTGCCAAGCATATCTTATTGGGTCTATGACTATAACTAACCTCAGTGATAAATTTAAATTTATAAACAAGCATTTATTTGTTAATGTTTAGAAATGTCCTAATATATAGTATACCTATATCATTTATAATCCAGTTTTATTTAAATTACTACTCTAGATATAGCCAGAATCATGGAGAAAATCTTGTATGTTATTACATTTTCAAATTCTATAACAAGAAAGCATGATAGGATAAGAACACTCCTCTTAATCTTTCACATGAATAAAATATAAACACCTACCTTCCTGACTTGCTTTCTAAGCAGACGCAATTTAGAGATTTTTTTTTGAAAATCCTCTTTGCAGTAAGATTACTAAATACTTTTGTGTGAGAACATGTATATGGTATAACACTGAAATATAAATCAATTATTTTCGACCTTACACTAGCCAGAAGCTGTACTGCTAATTAACAAGCTGAACTCCAGGATCCCTTTGCTACTGCTCATTAAAGAGTTCATCACAAATGATAAAAAAAAAAAAAAAAAAAAAAAAAAAACAAACAAAAAAACCTCAAGACAGGCAAACTCTAGAGCATTGCTATTTAGAGAAGGAGGCAGATGTCCCTCTGGTTGGAATTATTAAGAATTCAAGTATGAAAAGAAATGGAGAAAATGTTCCTGAGAAGACAAATTGTCACATGCATTCATAGAAGGGCTGCACTGACTTTTAGCAGAAGGATATCTCAGTGTCATTTAAAAAAGCTACTGCAGTAAGCTAATGGTTACTAAGGCAGAGCAGCTCCGATTCCCCAAATACATAACAGAGTGGTGCAACTATGAATGCTGCTATGTATCTTAACACAAGTGAGATTGTTAGTTAAAGCAAGGACAAATTAAAGTTCACAGTCTTCTCCTAGTGCCTTGAACAACATCCTCTAATAGGTTAAATTTAAACTACTGTACTTACCTCCAATTTTCACAGATGATTATGCGCCATTTTGTCGGATACAGAGAGCTACACTGAAAACAAGCAAATGAACAATGAAAAGAACTCATTATCTGTAAAAGTAAGATTACTTTTAGATCTGGTCTAGAATCTAAGCTACTCTGGCTAAGCTATTCTTTCAGACAAAACCATTCTCAGCTCCCAATAATACCATATAAATGAATTTAGGGAGCATAGTGAATATGTAGATTAGGAATTGTATGTATTTTCTCCATTCATAAAAACACGTTTTGAATCTAAAACTCAAATGCTTATTTTTAAAGTTAAAATTAAATAGGAAGTCGGTTTTCTGGTTCATTATAGTCCCACTTATCCTGCAAATATGCAGTTAGCACTCTGATCAAGAATTCTAAAAATTTATTTTTATCAACTCCCTAGACAAAGCAACCCTAGGTTATCCCAACACACATAATATGTGTGATCCTACCTCTCCTAGAAAAAAATACAATATGCAATTTGCAGCTTTTCACTCAAGGGAAAAATGAGTATGTGAACAACATGAATATCATAATATTTTTAAAATACTCAACCTAAGTACAGGTCCAATATAAACTATTAGAGCTTTGATTTTAACCTGTGACATTTTTTAGCTCTGTATCTACTTTCCTCTAAAAAAAAATGATTTTTCTTTGTCTACTATATTACCTACATTCCAATTTTGTTATATTAAGCCACATATTAATATAAGAACAAGCTACCTATTGTCACCCCAATTTAAGCAATGTTTTCACTATTCCAAAGATGTATATTATTCAACAAAAATTATTAAAATTAAGAAAACTGTGGTGGCTTGCATAGTGCTACAGTAGTGGGGCAAGTTTACTGTAATTTTGGAGCATTGTGGAAGATTATGGATTGGTTGAGTATACATCAAATGCTACTTGGCAATCTAACATTACATGTTACCGTTAAGCAAAGGAAGTTTTAAACACCTTAGCAGTAATCTGAAGTTCCTCACAGAGAAAATGCTATACAGAACACTGAAATTATCTAAAACATGGATACACCACTATTAGATGCTGAGTGTTTATAAATGTAAATCTGTTAAGTCTGTCTTAATAATCATGGACTATTTAATAAATGTGAATAAATTACTAAGTTTAGAGAAATATGATTAATTTGATCATAATTTTTGCAACACCCTAAAGACTATCTAGTGAAATGTGAGCAAATCCTAACCTTCTTTATCTGGAAAGCCTCCAAAATTCTGTGGATGTTATGGTAAACATTTAATGGATCTCCTTTTTAAAAAGGGGTCCCTACATTTTTCATTTGTCCTTTCTCAATAGTAAAGTAAATCTGAAAATTTCCTAAATGATATTTTAGGCAGGATGGTCAGACCACTTGCCGGAAATTGGAGATGCTGCTTTCAACAATTCTTTAGTTTTTAATAAAGATTTAAGGCCTGGTGTGGTGGCTCGCGCCTGTAATCCCAGCACTTTGGGAGGTTGAGGTGAGCAGATCACCCGAGGTCAGGAGTTCGAGACCAGCCTGGCCAACATGGTGAAACTCTGTCTCTACTAAAAATACAAAAAAGTAGCCGGGTGTGGCGGTGTGCACCTGTAGTCCCATCTACTCAGGAGGCTGAGGCATGAGACTCACTTGAACCTGGGAGGCAGAGGTTGCAGTGAGCCGAGATCATGCCATTGTACTCCAGCCTGGGTGGTGGAGTGAGACTCCATCTCAAAAAAAAAAAAAATTAAATGTCTGCACTCTGTCTCTGATCCTCACCGCTTATTCACTCCACGCCTGCTCACTCTGACGTCCCCACCAGTATGACCAATAGAGTATTCTCAGAGCACGAACAATCTCTGTATTGCCAAGCTGGTGGACTCATTCTTGTGTTTAGCTTGCTTGACTACTTAGCAATACTCCCCACGGTTAAACAATTTCCTTTTTCTTAAAAGCCCCCTCTTTTAGATCACTCTTGGATTTTCTTAGTCTACTATTCTGGGTACTCTTCCTCACCCAGACTTCTACATCTATATATTCAGAATTCATTTTCTGGCCTTTCTCTACAATGTTATCTACCTCCCACTCTAATAAAGTCTCCACAAATCTATCATATTCACTAGGATATACCCCATACCTATAATAATATTTATTCCATAAAAGATGCTCACTGTATATGTGAGTATCATTGTACAGTGATATTAATCTATTCCCACGGATTTAAATATTGCCTTTATTTTGATGTTCACCAAATGTATTTTTCAAAATCTGATCTCTGTCTGCACTCTAGGCTTAAAAATGGCTTATTCCTTAAAAGTTACAGACTTTTATACTTAACAAGTATAAAATATAAATTATTGATTCAGTTCAGTTACCCCCAATTTTCTCCTATCTCAGAAAATGGTATGAGTATCCTTCATGTTACTAGATCTAGAAATTATGTACCATTCTTGAACTATTTCATTTGCTGAACCTCACACATAACACCTCATATATAATACATCAGAAAATCCCGTCAATTTTTTCTTCAAAATAAAACTAAAATTTATCTGTTCATCTCCATCTTCATTGTTACTATTCAAAACCTGGCTATTAGCAACCCTTGCTTACACCATTGCCTAGTCTCCTAATTTGTCAATGCAAAGAATACTGGAAGGAAGTCTACATAAGTTGATTGGACTGAAAACCCCAAAGAGATTCCGCACTGAAATACAAATCCTAAATACAGAATTAAGCCAATCTGGATCAAACTCGCTCTCATGAACCTGTCAATCTGTTTCCACATAACAACTTTTAAAAATGTATATCAAACTATATCATTTCCACATGAGATTTTTACTGGATTTTTATCGCACATAGAATAAAACCGCTATTTCTTACTGTAAAAGGCACATTCCCTTTCTTCCTTGTTTCCACTCTTCCTACCATATACTAGGTCCTGGAAACTCTGTTCTTTTCAAGTGCTGATCTCTTTCCCATCTCTGGAATTTGTATGTCTGTCCCCTATATTTACAACCCTCCACACTTGCTTGACTGCTACTTCTCAGTATTTTGAGGTCTTAGTTCATGTAGCACCTGCTCCTCACAGAGGCCATTTCTAATCAAGGTGCTTAAATAGGTCCTCTTTTGAGATGGGTAGGAGAAGAATGCAGGGAAACAGAGCAAATGCCATATTTTCAAGGGGGGAATCTGGATGATGGAAATAAAGGAATTTTTTTGCACTGTTTGGCAGTTTTTCTGTGAGATTGAAATTATTTCAAAGTATATTATTATTATTATTATTATTATTTTTTTTTTTTTTTTTTTTTTTTTTGAGATGGAGTTTCGCTGTTGTTGCCCAGGCTGGAGTGCAATGGCGCGATCTCTGCTCACCACAACCTCCGCCTCCCGGGTTCAAGCAATTATCCTGCCTCAGCCTCCTGAGTAGCTGGGATTACAGGCATGCGCCACCACGCCCAGCTAATTTTGTATTTTTGGGAGAGATGGGGTTTCTCCATGTTAGTCAGGCTGGTCTAAAACTCCTGATCTCAGGTGATCCGCCCGCCTCGGCCTCCCAAAGTGCTGGGATTACAGGCATGAGTCACCGTGCCTAGCTATTTTTCTTAGAAAAATAAAAAAAAATAAATTTTTTTTGTTATTCTCTTTAGCTCTGTCCCTCAGATGTTTCCTCAAGAATGTACACCAGATTAAAAACTCATTTGTAGCAATTTCAATTACTTTATTTATTTATGTTTGGGTGTTTTTTCCCACCAAACTGCATACTCATGAGGTAACATTAGCTTTTCAGTACCGTGGGGTGTCTAACACACAGTTACATGATTGAGAAATATTTTTTTGGAATGAATATATAGTGTATATATTTAAGTATAACATAATGTATATGTTATTCATGTAAAGTTAATTATTTTTAAGCAATAATTATATATTCTTTACCAATAACAACAATAGTAAACATTTTATACATTTCTAAGAAGAGAGAGATTCACCAATATTTCCAGTCACCATCCTGAAAATCAGACTGAGAATTGCAGAGCATAAACCTCTTCAGAATGATGCTTGAATGCAGTTTATTAATGTGTATGTATAACAGTCTTTTATTAGCAATAGCAAATACTCAATAGCATGTGTTTGTTCAATTAAGAAAAATATTAGCCCAACATATTATGTTTTTTTCTCTATTTCATTTATTGCTCCATTATTGGCTCCCAGAGTGCAGAAGCTTCACTCCTGGCAGGCCTCCATTCTCTGAGGATAGTTCCTAATTTGAACTTGAGAAAATTCATACTTTGGCATGCAGATGTTTTAGATAGGTCCAGCATTACTGTTGGTACAGTTGTTGCATGTCAGTTCAAAGTTAGAAAACCAAAGCAAAAAAAAACTATGCCACACTGTAATTTTTTCAGTCTTATAGATTCAAACTGTTCATTTTTGACATATCACATTAACACAAGATAAAGTATTAACTAATTTACATTCTAATATACTTTTGGCAGAATAAATTATATTTCAAATAGCCAAAAAATTGCTAAGTATAGAATACTGGAGATTATAAAAATGCAAAGATTTCCAGTAATGTTAACTCAGCCATGTTAAACATATTGTAGATTTTATACCTCTCATTTAAGTACTACTTAATGTCTATATTGACAAGTTACTATAGAAATGGTTGTAGAAATGTAGGAAACATAGATGCTTAAACTTCAGAACAAATAAAGTAGATAAATTACATAAGTATATTAATGTTTCACATTTTTAAGATAAGAAGAAATTGTAATATTTTTAAGGATAAATTAGAATGATAAAATTAAGAATAGTAATACTCAAAGGGATTCTCATTCTTAATAGAATACCTAGAATTGTAAATTTTTTTAACCAGAAGTCTAAACCAAAAATTTATAAACAAATGCTAGGAAGATTTACTTTTCTCAGTAGTTATAAATTTCCAAATTCAAAATGTGACATTATAACCAGGAAGTGTTTTCTTACCTCAATACCTTCTGTTCTTAGAAACTGAACAAATTTTAAATTGCAATTGTAATTCGTTTAAGCTAAAATAGACTCAGTTTTCTATTGTTAAATATAAGAATTTTGTTCACTGACATTTCTGTCAGCCTTGTCCCTTTTGAGTTCCTAAAGCTAAATGCTGTGGTTATTTCCATTATTCTTTTTTTCAAAAACCTTCATTAAGTGCACCATTCAGAGCAGATTTAGCTCCAGCAAAAAATAAAACATACAAGATAAATGACTGGAGCCTTTCTCTCCCCTCCCCCGCTTTTTTTTCACCTCTTTCATAATTAACTCAACACAATAAAGGCCACAGAGAAAATTTTTCTGCACATAAAATAAAGTGCACTGGTAAGAAAGTTTTTAAAGTTGATGGTTTTAAAATGATAATGTGTAGATTTTGAGAAAATGGCTTTCTTTAGTGAAATATTCTCAGATAACATGTCTGTTTCTTTCCTTATTAAAAATCATGCATAATAAGGTACAGATGATGTGAGGACTTATAAAAGTCGCAAATTAAGTTGTAACTAATTCCACTACTCAGAGATAACCACTAACAGTATTTTGGCATATATAATTAATTATTCATCCATTCGTGAATATAGAGAAGAGGAGGAGAAGGGGAAGAATGGAGAAGAAATAGCTCTTTCAAACATTTTTATATAAATAGGATGCTACACCCACAACAAACATTTTCATGATTATACAGTATAATGTCTTAAGATCAATTAACAACCTATTTAACAATCATCTGTTAAACTTCTTGGTTGTTGCTTTAATATCTATCATTAGAAACAATGCTGAAATGAGCATTATATACAATATATAAACCATCTCAAAATTTCAATTATTTCCTTAGTGTATGTCCTGATAATAGAACTACTGGTCAGTACTATGCTTATATATTAGTCTTTTGGAAAGTTTTATTAATTTACATTCTTCATAGCTCCACATTCTCCACATTTACAGTACTCTTGACCAGTATTTGCTTGTTATATGTCTTTGCAATGTCACACAAGCCTTACTTAGGTTCTGGAAGATGAAAAGTGTCTCCCAGTACCTAAGTAAATGTTGTGTTACATTTCTCACAAATATCTCATGAGAAAGAGTGAATCATCTTCTACTTATTAAAAAGAAATACATTCAAAATAGAAATAAGGAAGTAAAACTCTCTTTCACAGATTACATAATCCTTGGTACAGAAAGTCCCAAATAATCTACACAAAAAAACCTACTAGAGTTAATAAACTAATTCAACAAAACTTCAAGGTAAAAGGTAAACATACTAATATCAGTCATGTTCCTACATACCAGCAATGAACAATCCAAAAAGTAAGTAAAAAAATCTCCATTTATAATAGCATTCAAAAAATAAAATACCTAGGAGTGAATTTAACCAAAGAGTTAAAAGACTTGAATGCTGAAAACTACAAATCATTGTTAGAAATAAATTAAGTAAATAGACCTAAGTAAATAGAAAGATATTCATGGATGTGTCTATGGGTTAGAGACATAATATTGTTTCAATGACAAAGCAATTTACAGATTCAACACAATCCTTATCAAAATTCCAATGATCTTTTTATGTAAAAATTGAAATGTTAATCCTCACATTCTCATAGAATTACAAAGGGTCCTGTATAGCAAATTACAGTCTTGATAAGGAAGAGAAAAATTGGATGTTTTAGCTCAGGCTGCCACAACAAGATACAGTAATTTATTTTCTCATAGTTCCAGAAGTTGGAAGTCCAACTTCAAGGTGCAGTATCGTCAAGTTTTGATGAGGGCTCTCTTCTTGCTGCCATCTCACTGTATCCTCACATTGCAGGTGAAGGGGAAGAGCAAGTCCTCTAGCATCTCTTCTTGTAAGGGCACTATGCCCATCATGAGGAACCTACCCTCATGATCTTATCCTAATTTAATTACCTTACAAAAGCCCCATTTCCAAATACTATCACATCGTGGGTTAGGGCTTCAACATATGAATTTGGCAGGAACATAATTTATCCCAAAGTATTGGAGGATTAACACTTCCCAATTTCAAAACTTACTACAAAGCTACCATGATCAAAATAGTACAGTACTGTCATGAAGACTGACACATAGACCAACAGAATATTATTTAGTCTGGAAATAAACCCATATGGCTACGGTCACTTAATTCTCAATAAGGGTGCCAAGATCATTCAATGGGGAAAGGACAGTCTTCTCAAGAAATGGTGCTGCCATAACTGGATAGCCAAATAAAAAATAAAAATAACGTTGGACCATGTATTAGTTCATTTTTGTTGCTATAAAGTAATAGCTAAGTAGCTAAAACTGGGTTGTTGTTTTTTTTAAAGAGAATTGGCTCACAGTTCTGCAAGCTGTATAGGAAGGACAGAATCAGCATTTGCTCATCTTCTGGTGAGGCTCAAGGAGCTTACAATTATGGCAAAATGCAAAGGGGGAGCTGATATATCACATGGAGAGAGGGAGAGAAAGAGAAAGAGGGAGAATGTGCTAGGCTCTTTCAAACAACCAGATCTCACATGAACTCACAGAGTGAGAACTCACTCATTACCATGAGGGCAACACCAAGCCATTCATGAGGGATCTACCACCATGACCCAAACATATCCCACTAGGGTCACCTCCAACATCAGAGGTCACATTTCAATGTGAGATTTGTAGAAGACAAAACATCCAAATCATATCAGACCACTACTCACACCCTATATATGAAAATTAAGTCACAATGAATCAATGAGCTATACATAAGAGATAAAAATACAAAACTCAGAAGAGACAAATCTTCATGACAGTGAGTTTGTCGATGAATTCTTAGATATGACACCAAAAGCACAAGAAAAATACATTGGACTTCACCAGAATTTAAAAATATTGTTCACTAAAGGATATTATCAAGAAGGTGAAAAGGCAATCTATACTAGAAAAAAAGAATATTTGCAAATCATATATCTGATATAGTTCTAATATCCAGAATACAAAAGGAACAACTATATCCCAACGACAAAGATAAAACAATCTAAGTTTAAAATGGCACAAGACTTAAATGTACAAATTTCTCCAAAGATATACAAATAGCCAATAAGCAAATTAAAAGAGCCACAACACCATTATTTATCAGAGAAATACAAATCAGAACCACAATGAGATACCACTTTAAACTCTCTGAGATGGTTAACATAAAAATAAAAGTGGAAAATAAAAAGTGTTGGTGAGGAAATGGAAAAATTGGAAACTTCATACATTGCGGTGCTAATGTAAAGTGGTTCAGCCAACTGTAGAAAACATTTTGGCAGTTCTTCAAAAAGCTGAACATAGAATTACCATATGTCCACCAATTCCATTTCTAGGTATATGTCCAGAAGAATTAAAAACAGGTATTCAATAACTACATGTACATGCGTGGTCAAAACAGAATTATTCATAGTAACCAAAGGGTGGAAACAGCACAAATGTTCATCAATGGATAAATGGAGAAACAAATTTTGATATATACATATAATGAAATATTATTCATCCATAAAAAATAATAAAGAGCTGACATGTACTATAATATGGATAAATCTGGAGAACATTATTCTGAGTGAAAGAAGGCAGACACAAAACATCACATATTATATGATTCCATTTGTATAAAATATTCACTATAGGGTAATGGAAAATAACTGCTTAAAGGGCCCAGGACTTTCTTTTGGGGTGATAAAAATGTTTTAGAATGAGATAAATGTGATGGCTACACAACATTGTGAAGATACTAAATTCCACATCACTGTTCACTTTAAAATAATTAATTTTATGTTACGTCAATTTCACCTAATTTTGTGAAAAGGAAGGAGGGAATTAAGCTTTGAGAAATTATTCCTTATGCAAAAGTATAAGAGGTAAGTGAGGGATTTGGGTTCCATTATTGCTCCCTTTGCTCACTATGGTCTAATGAAATTGGTTTTCCTTCAGTTTCTTGAACACAAATACTTCTTTTCATAGGTAAGGCCCTTGTAGATGCTATTCCCTATACATGAGAACACTTCATGATATTCTACACATAACTGGCATCTTCTCATCTTTTAGGTCTCAACACAAAAATCATTCTCACAGAGAGGACTTCAGTGACAAGGCAATATAAAGTAGACCCAGCTCATCTCAAAGCATCCTTCCCAATATTTTACATGTTTACTTATTTGCCTATTTATTGTTTTCTCAACCAAATTATAAACTCTGTGATGAGAAGCATGATAGTACATAAAGATACTTAATAAGCATTTGTTATATTAATGATAAATGGTGTATATATATTTATACATACATACACACATGCCCCAAGTGAAATAGAATTGATACTAAGAGGTAGAATTGAGGGTTTAATAGTTGAAAATCTTCATTTCTCTCTGAATTAAAAATAAAATTCAATTACTTATGGTAGAGACCTTTAAAAATCATTTTGAGTTTTGTTAGGGACCAAATTAATGTCCTAAAGTCTTTTCACAGGAAGGTAAGATCTGAAGAATGAGTAAGTTTGAGCTGCTACATGAAGTTTGGTGGGGAGGTACTTGTTTATAAATATAGACAAAGGGTAGTCAGAAGGGCTAAAAAGGGAAAACAGGTATAAGAATTCTTGGTAGCACCCACAGTAGTGATTATCTCTCGTTGGGATAGCTGCACTGTTATTTTATTTTTATTGTTCCTGTTGATTTTGTATTTGTTTGATTTTTATTTAATATTTTTAGTCTATCACAAGAATCAATACCAAGGGCATATGTAATATTTTATATACATATAAAGGACAATATAAATATCCTTTTTTAAAAAAAATTAAAAATACAGAAGAGATAAGTTCAATAATTCGTTACCCCATCTCTTAACTCCCCAGAAAGCAACCACTTAAAAAAATTTAAGGCCGGGCGCGGTGGCTCACGCCTGTAATCCCAGCACTTTGGGAGGCCGAGGCGGGTGGATCACGAGGTCAGGAGATCGAGACCATCCTGGCTAACACGGTGAAACCCCGTCTCTACTAAAAATACAAAAAAAATTAGCCGGGCGTGGTGGCGGGCGCCTGTAGTCCCAGCTACTCGGGAGGCTGAGGCAGGAGAATGGCGTGAACCTGGGAGGCGGAGCTTGCAGTGAGCCGAGATCGCGCCACTGCTCTCCAGCCTGGGCAACAGAGCGAGACTCCGTCTCAAAAAAAAAAAAAAAAAAAAAAAAAAAATTTAAAAGAAAATTTTAGTCCTTTTAGTGATCTTCCATTACTCTAACATGATTTAACCCCTAATTCATGACCTACCAGCTTTAGAAGTTATCGCTTAATTTCTGTCTACTCATCCATTCCTTCTTCAAATAAAACTATATCAATATTCTAGTTTTCCCACTGATCTGTGCAATTATAAATGATCAACTTAAATCTTCATTCCTTGTTCCATTTAACAAAGGTAGAATCTTTGACTCCAACTTTATGAAAGGAAAACGTTAACCTACACCATTCCTGCCTCCTCTAGCTAACTAACATCTATCCACCACACTTTTATCTTTATACGCTCAAAGTTAATAATTTACATTTTGTCCAGTAATCACAATAAAGTGTTTCTCACCTTTTCAATAGCTTGACCCTAAAAGTTGAAAAACAATGTAATAGGGATATGTTTTATAAATAACTCAGCATCTAGTCTGCCCTTTTAGAAATCTAGAGATTTTTAGTTATTTTTCCCAGCAGTCCTTCCAAGCAGAAAGGTAAAATTTAAGTGAAATTGTCACCCCTTCTAAAGAAGAAGAAATGACAATTGAGAAGTTCCCATTAAGAATGAAAATAAAATATACATTCTTTCCAATTAGGGGGAGCAGAAAGAGAGAATGAGAAATGTTCAGGTAGTGTATTAGTCCATTTTCACACTTCTATAAAGAACTACCTGAAACTGGGTAATTTATTAAGAAAAGAGGTTTAACTGACTCATGGTTGCAATGCCTTAACAGGAAGCATGACTGCGAGGCTGCAGGAAACTTATAATCATGGGAGAAGGCCAAGGAGAAACAAGCATGTCTTACCATGGCAGAGCAGGAGGAAGAGAGAGCAAGGGGGGAAGTGCCACACACTTTTAAACCATTAGATCTCTTGAGAACTCACTCACTATCAGAACAACAAGGGAAAATCTGCCCCCATGATTCAAACACCTACTACCAGGCCCCTCCTCAACATGAGATTTGGGTGGGGATGCAAATCCAAACCATATCAGGTAGTAAGCCACAGGGTCTGAGTTATCACCCCTTACCCATCTCCATACTCTCACCTGCATTTTTCACTGTGTCAAAATCCCAGATTGAGGAGTGTATAAAAGCAGACAGGTTGAATAGGAATGTTTCACCTGAAATGTACATTGCCAATCCTGTTTTTTTTTCTTTCATTTGTATACTAATTTATGAAAAATTAATATTTCTCTCACTTCCAAAGATGCAGCTATGGACAATTTCAGCTCATTAGAGAAGTCTTGGATTCCAGTTGGTGCTGTTGATGCTAGTTAGTATCACAGTACAATGTCTAAGCAGAAAGTCTGAAGAGAGGCCCACAGAGCTCTGCCCTCATTCTCCTTAGTGTCTCAGGCTGGGAAGACATGTTTGTTCATTAAATGTTTGATAGGAACAAGTGGTAAGTGATAAAGATAAAGATAAAGATAAAAACAGCAAGATGAAAATAAAAGCATCATGAAAGAGATAAATAAAAAAATTTAAGACACAGAAAGCATTATTGATATTTTTAACAAGTTAAATTCAAAGTTTTGCATTGTTTTGTTCCCTAATAAAAGTAAATATACTTTCTGTATAAGCTCCCATTGACTGCTAACATTTTTTGTAGCAGTCAATAATACATAAGTTTTCAGACAATACATAAAACGTCAGTGAACACCAAAAAACTCAGTTTTGTACCATCAATGAATAAATGGATAAAGAATTTGCAGTACACACACATAGAATACGATTCAGTGATAAAAATGAAAATTCTACCATTTGTGACAATATGGATGAAACCTGAAGGCATTATGCTAAGTGAAATGTCAGATGTACAAAGGGAAATTCTGTACTTTCTCACTTACATGTTGAAGCTATAAAGGTCAAACTCCAGAAGCTAAGAGTATAATGGTAGCAGGGATTGAGGTGTGGAGAAAATGGAGAAATGTTTGTCAAAGGACATCAACTTTAGTAAGACAAGTTTTGGAAAGGTAATATACTGCATGAGGACTATATTCAACACTACCCTATTGGATATGTTTTCACCAGAAAAAAAGGGAAACAAAACAAAACAAAAGTGGTATCTAAGCGAGGAGATAGATGTTAATTGACTTGATTGTGGTAGTCATTTCAAAATATATGTGTATATCAAATCACCATATATGACGTAATTTGTCAATTAAAGGTGTAAAATAAAATTTTGAAGAACAAATAAATCAATTTTGCTGGCCACATTACTTTAATGCAAAATATTTAAATTGGAATTTTACGATAGAATTTTATATTTTTATTGTTGAATGATAAGAGGTGAAATCATATTCCTTTAAACCACAAAATTGCCATACACAAAGTTTTTAGGGAAGATGATTTTTAAAACAGTAGTCATCATTATTTATGAGATATGGCCAAAGAAAATTTGAAGTTTTGAATATTTTAATAGAAAAGAGTAAAAATAAATCAACTGAACATTCAATTTAAATTAGAAAGGAAAAAATAAAACAAATAAACAGAAATAATTAGGATACAAAAGCAGTAATCAATAAATTAGAATATATCTTATCAATGATTAAATCTGAGGTCAGATTTTATTAAAATTATAAAATATACCAATTTGGGGGAAATCTAGTTAAAAAAGACATAAAAATACAAATAAATGATACTAAGAACATATAAATAACTACATATACAGACATTGCATATATTTTCAAAACTATGAGAATTTAATATGTGACAAATGTTAATAACATTGACAAATCTCTATGAAATGGTTAAAGAGTCCAAACTGACTCAAGAAAAAAATAGAAAACATGAATAGTTGTAGGGTAATGAGCATGTTTTTAAATGCTTTTTAAATCTTCTGCATCCAAAAACAGCATCTGACCCTGATACTGGCATAATTTCTAAGAATGAAATTATAAATTACTATTTAGGTGCTAATACTGTTCCAAAGCATAGTGTTCTACATCATAAATATATACAACTTTTACTTGCCAAATACATAAGTAAAATCTATGTTTTAAATACTACCCAAAACTTAAAAGCTTGACAAAGTTAATAAACACACAGATTAATTATAATGTAACCTTAATTATACTTGGTTAAGCTCTATGAAATTGCTAATGCATTTCTTTTACCTACAATTATGAAAATAATAGTGTTTGAGATAATTAAATATAAATTCAGATATCCTAATTAAATGTTAGCAAATAAAACCTACAGCATATTCATATTCAAAGAATAATATAATTTTTATAATGGTACTTTTTGATTTTACCAGTTTACAAAGAACATTAAGCTCTTTGTAAACTGATAAAATAAAAACAAAAATTTTTAATGCTAAACATTTCAATACATAGCAACATATTAATAAAAAAGTAAAAATATTTTTATTAAATTAAGAAATAAGTTGAGAGGTTCACTATGAACCCTATTCTTTAAAATTGTTTTGAAATTGCTAGTCATTGAAATGAGAAACAATAACAAATGTGGCATAAATTTTTTAATGAGACAATTTTTTATTATTTTAGATAAAATGGTTAACCTAAAATGAAAAAATACATTAAATTATATTTAATAAATTTAACAAAGTGAATGAATATTGCTCTCTCACACTGTATAAAAATAACAGCATTTATATTTACCTCTAATTTTTCTAATATTCACTTAGAATATGTAAATCAAAACATCTTGGCTGGGCATGGTGGCTCATGCCTGTGATCCCAGCACTTTGGGAGGGTGAGGCAGGCAGATCACTAGGTCAGGAGATGGAGACTATCCTGGCCAACATGATGAAACCCCATCTCTACTAAAAATACAAAAATTAGCTGGGCTTGGTGGTGTGCACTTGTAAATCCAGCTACTTGGGAAGCTGAGGCAGGAGAATTGCTTGAAACCCGGAGGCAGAGGTTGCAGAGAGCTGATATCATGCCACTGCACTCCAGCCTGGCGACGAGTGAGACTCCAACTCAAAAAACAAAGCAAAACAACATCAACAATAAAATCTTTTTCACATCATCAAAAAACTCAATACTAAAAATTAACTTAATAAATATGTTAATTATAGGAAGATAGCTGTACAAGTATAAGCTCCAAAATGAATAAAGAGGAAGATATAGTTAGGAAATGGGCAAACTATCCAGAATTGAATTCACTTAAGAGACAGGCAGACAAAATAAATAGAGGTGGATATATCACAATGACTCCAGCCAAAAAAAGTATCAGGAGCATGGATAGTTAGCCTTTAAATCTCAGTAATGTACTTTTTTACTCAAGATAATTTAATAATGTTTTAAGGTTTATAAGTTCTAATAACAGTTAAATAATTATGAAAGTGATCATCTTTCATAATCATTTTTCTTTCTTTAATTAGGAATTTTATGATTTTAAAATTAGGAATTTTAAAATATACTACATTAATTGGAGATGTGCTAGGACTCACATATGTTCTGCTTTTATAGTGTTCCATGAGCACTTACTTTAGAAATAAACTATAGTCCCTTTTGTGGGGGCATAGTGTTTAGTGTAATCAATTGTAGTTATTCTAGTTACTTATATTTTTGTTTCTCAAACTCTTACCTACTCTTGGGCCATTTGAAATGTCAAGGTCTGAGTGAGTTGAAATAAAGCCTCTATCTCCAATGTGTTTCTATTTTTCTTATATTTTTGTAGCCCTTTGCTTAGTAAGTGTTGGTACTATGATAAACTCATGATATTATCCCTGTTTATTGCATTCACTATCATTTTATGTGGTACTCTTCATCTCATTTGTTGTCTTCTTGCTGAATCAGATTTTGTCTTATGTAATTTTACAACTACTCCTTTTTGTTCAGTTGCATTTACCTGATATTCATTTGTCTGTAGATGTGCTTTCAAATTTTCCAAAAATTTTTAGGTATATCTTGAATATAATATAAAATTTTATTTGGCTTTGAAAACCACGCATTTTTCATTTTATAGGTGCACTTAACACATTAGAATTTATTAATATGACAGATGTGTCTAGCCCTAATTCTATCATATTGTCTACAATCTTTAAATGTATGGTCCATATATTTTTTTACTTTGTTTCATTTTGGTATTTCATATGGTGATTTTATGGTATTTACTTTTTATTCTGGTGCCTAACCTCACAAAAGCAGCATTATATAAAGCACAAGATTTAGTTATTGAGTGTCCATTGAAACCTTAATGTTGGTAATGATGAGATTGAACATTTTCATTTCCAACTTCTCATAATATTTAGTAGCCAATTTTCTTTGATTGGTCTCTCTGTTTATTTAAGTATTCTATTTTTCTTATTTTTTCTTTGTTTAAGTATTCTTAAGTATTATTTTTGTTTAAGTATTCTTATATTTCTTTACAATAGTTTTTATTTTGATCATATCTTTTAAACCCCAAGTATGAAAGCTGAAAGCAGTATATTTATACTCCTTCCACACTCTTTCCTTTTTCCCTCCTAACTATAAATATATATGTAATATAGTTATAGTTTATGTAGCATATATACATATACTTACATTCATATTATCAGACTGTATAACATATATTCTATCCCATAGCAAAATTTGTCAGATTTATTTTAGTTTTAATAATTAAATGGGTTCACTGCTTAGCACTATTTCTTTAGCAAAAGGTTTTGTTTTGTTTTGTCATTTCCTATTTAAATGTCATTCCCTCACAGACTTCAGTGTGGTTTTTCAGTTTATTTATTTATTTTTTGAGACAGAGTCTTGTTCTATTACCCAAGCTAGAGTGTAGTGGCACAATCACAGCTCACTGCAGCCTCAACTTCCCAGGCTCAAGAGATCCTCCCACCTCAGCCTTCAGCCTCCAGAATAGCTGGGACTACAGGCATGAGCCACCACATTGGGCTAATTTTTAAAATTTTTTGTAGAGACAGGGTCTCAGTATGTTGTCTAGGCTGGTCTCGAACTCCTGACCTCACATGATTCTCCTGCCTTGGCCTCCCAAAGTGCTGGGATTACAGGCATGAACCACTGCTCCCGGCCCCTCACAGTTTTATCAACAAAAACAAAATGTTATTCAACATTTGTATAACTGCTTACATTCAATGAGCAAAAATTAGATTCTATTTTCATGTATTCACTAAAATTAATTTTAGGCTTATTGTATTAGAGATAAACATAAAACGAAATAAGTTTTACATCTTAAAAATATATAACTCAATATTTATTGAACCCGTGTATTTCACAGATTTCATAAAATATATCACGATATCACAATGTTAAATCTTGATAGCTATTATATAAAAATAAAAATGTTTCTGTGTTAGAAACCCCTTAAATATAGCTTAGACATTTCAGGTGGAAGAAATAATTTGAACAAAGATATGAAACTATTAATGGTAAGAATATTGCAGTTGGAAACTTCAAAACAGATTTTTCAGATGTTATGTACTCTAAAAGCTCTAAAATGCAGAAGTGAGCAGCCATCAATAAAGTGGGTTGAATATCTTGAAAATAAAAAAAGAAGAAGGAAGGAAAGAATGGAGGTGTGGGAGGAGGGGAGGAGGGGCTTTCATATCTGGGTTTTAAAAGATATGATCTAAATAAAAAATATTGTATAGAAATATAAGAATACTTAAATAACCTGTGTAGAAAAATAAGAATACTTAAATAAACAGACTAATCAAAGAAAATTGGCTACTAAAACTTATGAGATGTTGGAAATGGAAACGTTCAATCTCATCATTACCAACAGTAAGGTTTCAATGGACACTCTCAATAATTCAAAACTTGTGCTTTCAGGTCAAGCCAAGATGGCCAAATAGGAACAGCTTCAGTCTACAGCTCCCAGTGTGAGTGATGCAGAAGACAAGTGATTTCTGCATTTCCAACTGAGGTACCAGGTTCATCTCACTGGGGAGTGTCAGACACTGGGTGCAGGACAGTGGGTGCAGCGCACCAAGTGTGAGCCGAAGCAGGGTGAGGCATCGCCTCACCCGGGAAGTGCAAGGGGTCAGGGAATTCCCTTTCCTAGTCAAAGAAAGGGGTGACAGATGGCACCTGGAAAATCGGGTCACTCTCACCCTAATACTGCGCTTTTCCAACGGACTTAGCAAATAGCACACCAGGAGATTATATGCCATGCCTAGCTCGGAGGGTCATGTGACCACGGAGCCTCGCTCCTTGCTAGAACAGTAGTCTGAGATCAAACTGCAAGGTGGCAGTGAGCCTGGGGGAGGGGCGTCTGCCATTGCCGAGGCTTGAGTAGGTAAACAAAGCGGCCTGGAAGCTCGAACTGGGTGGAGCCCGCCGCAGCTCAAGGAGGCCTGCCTGCCTCTGTAGACTCCACCTCTGGGGGCAGGGCATAGCCAAATAAAAGGGAGCAGAAACCTCTGAAGACTTGAATGTCCCTGTCTGACAGCTTTGAAGAGAGTACTGGTTCTCCCAGCACGCAGCTTGAGATCTGAGAATGGACAGACTGTCTCCTCAAGTGGGTCCCTGACCCCCGAGTAGCCTAACTGGGAGGCAACCCTCAGTAGGGACGGACTGACACCTTACACGGCCGGGTACTCGTCTGAGACAAAACTTCCAGAGGAACGATCTGACAGCAACATTTGCTGTTCACCAATATCCGCTGTTCTGCAGCCTCCACTGCTGATACCCAGGCAAACAGGGTCTGGAGTGGACCTCTGGCAAACTCCAACAGACCTGCAGCTGAGGGTCCTGACTGTTAGAAGGAAAACTAACAAACAGAAAGGACATCCACACCAAAACCCCATCTGTAGGTCACCATCACCAAAGACCAAAGGTAGATAAAACCACAAAGATGGGAAAAAAACAGAGCAGAAAAATTGGAAACTCTAAAAATCAGAGCGCCTCTCCTCCTCCAAAGGAACACAGCTCCTCACCAGTAATGGAACAAAGGTGGATGGAAAATGACTTTGACGAGTTGAGAGAAGAAGGCTTCAGATGATCAAACTACTCTGAGCTAAAGGAGGAAGTTCAAACCCATGGCAAAGAAGTTAAAAACCTTGAAAAAAAATTAGACAAATGGCTAACTAGAATAACCAATGCAGAAAAGTCATTAAAGGACCTGATGGAGCTGAAAACCACAGCACAAGAACTAGGTGACGAATGCACAAGCCTCAGTAGCTGATTCGATCAGCTGGAAGAAAGGATATCAGTGATGGAAGATCAAATTAATGAAATGAAGCGAGAAGAGAAGTTTAGAGAAAAAAGAACAAAAAGATACAAACAAAGCCTACAAGAAATATGGGACTATGTGAAAAGACCAAATCTACATCTGATTGGTGTACCTGAAAGTGACAGGGAGAATGGAACCAAGTTGGAAAATACTCTGCAAGATATTATCCAGGACAACTTCCCCAAACTAGCAAGGCAGGCCAACATTCACATTCAGGAAATACAGAGAACGCCACAAAGATACTCCTCGAGAAGAGCAACTCCAAGACATGTAATTGTCAGATTGACCAAAGTTGAAATGAAGGAAAAAATGTTAAGGGCAGCCAGAGAGAAAGGTCAGGTTACCCACAAAGGGAAGCCCATCAGACTAACAGCAGATCTCTCGGCAGAAACTCTACAAGCCAGAAGAGAGTGGGGGCCAATATTCAACATTCTTCAAGAAAAGAATTTTCAACCCAGAATTTCATATCCAGCCAAACTAAGCTTCATAAGTGAAGGAGAAACAAAATACTTTACAGACAAGCAAATGCTGAGAGATTTTGTCACCACCAGGCCTGTCCTAAAAGAGCTCCTGAAGGAAGCACTAAACATGGAAAGGAACAACGGGTACCAGCCACTGCAAAAACATGCCAAATTGGAAAGACCATCGAGGTTAGGAAGAAACTGCATCAACTAACGAGCAAAATAACCAGCTAACATCATAATGACAGGATCAAATTCACACACAACAATATTAACCTTAAATGTAAATGGGCTAAATGCTCCAATTAAAAGACACAGACTGGCAAATTGGATAAAGAGTCAAGACCCATCAGTGTGCTGTATTCAGGAAACCCATCTCACCTGCAGACACACACATAGGCTCAAAATAAAGGGATGGAGGAAGATCTACCAAGCAAATGGAAGAAAAAAAGGCAGGGGTTGCAATCCTAGTCTCTGATAAAACAGAGTTTAAACCAACAAAGATCAAAAGAGGCAAAGAAAGCCATTACATAATGGTAAAGGGATCAATTCAACAAGAAGAGCTAACTATCCTAAATATATATGCACCCAATAAAGGAGCACCCAGATTCATAAAGCAAGTCATTAGAGACCTACAAAGAGACTTAGACTCCCACACATTAATAATGGGAGACTTTAACACCCCACTGTCAACATTAGACAGATCAACGAGACAGAAAGCTGACAAGGATACCCAGGAATTGAATTCAGCTCTGCACCAAGCAGACTTAATAGACATCTACAGAACTTTGCACCCCAAATCAACAGAACATACATTCTTTTCAGCACCCCATGACACCTATTCCAAAACTGACCACATAGTTGGAAGTAAAGCTCTCCTCAACAAATGTAAAAGAACAGAAATTATAACAAACTGTCTCTCAGACCACAGTGCAAACAAACTAGAACTCAGGATTAAGAAACTCACTCAAAACCGCTCAACTACATGGAAACTGAACAACCTGCTCCTGAATGACTACTGAGTACATAACGAAATGAAGGCAGAAATAAAGATGTTCTTTGAAACCAACGAGAACAAAGATACAATATACCAGAATCTCTGGGACACATTCAAAGCAGTGTGTAGAGGGAAATTTATAGCACTAAATGCCCACAAGAGAAAGCAGGAAAGATCTAAAATTGACACCCTAACATCACAATTAAAAGAACTAGAGAAGCAAGAGCAAACACATTCAAAAGCTAGCAGAAGGCAAGAAATAACTAAGGTCAGAGCAGAACTGAAGGAAATAGAGACACAAAAAACCCTTCAAAAAATTAATGAATCCAGGACGTGGTTTTTTGAAAAGATCAACAAAATTGATAGACCGCTAACAAGACTAATAAAGAAGAAAACAGAGAAGAATCAAATAGACGCAATAAAAAATGATAAAGGGGATATCACCACCGATCCCACAGAAATACAAACTACCATCAGAGAATACTATAAACACCTCTACTCAAATAAACTACAAAATCTAGAAGAAATGGATAAATTCCTCGACACATACACCCTCCCAAGACTAAACCAGGAAGAAGTTGAATCTCTGAATAGACCAATAACAGGATCTGAAATTGAGGCAATAATTAACAGCTTACCAACCAAAAAAAGCCAAGGACCAGATGGATTCACAGCCGAATTCTACCAGAGGTACAGGAGGAGCTGGTATCATTCCTTCTGAAACTATTCCAATCAAAAGAAAAACAGGGAATCCTCCCTAACTCATTTTATGAGGCTGGCATCATCCTGATACCAAAGCCTGGCAGAGACACAATGAAAAAAAGAGAATTTTGGACCAATATCCCTGAAGAACATCGATGCAAAAATCCTCAATAAAATACTGGCAAACCGAATCCAGCAGCACATCAAAAAGCTTATCCACCATGATCAAGTGGGCTTCATCCCTGGGATGCAAGGCTGGTTCAACATACACAAATCAATAAACGTAATCCGGCACATAAAGAGAACCAATGACAAAAACCACATGATTATCTCAATAGATGCAGAAAAGGCCTTTGACAAAATTCAACAACGCTTCATGCTAAAAACTCAATAAATTAGGTATTGATGGGACGTATCTCAAAATAATAAGAGCTATCTATGACAAACCCACAGCCAATATCATACTGAATGGGCAAAAACTGGAAGCATTCCCTTTGAAAACTGGCACAAGACAGGGATGCCCTCTCTCACCATTCCCATTCAACATAGTGTTGGAAGTTCTGGCCAGGGCAATCAGGCAGGAGAAGGAAATAAAGGGTATCCAATTAGGAAAAGAGGAAGTCAAATTGTCCCTGTTTGCAGATGACATGATTGTATATCTAGAAAACACCATCATCTCAGCCCAAAATCTCCTTAAGCTGATAGGCAACTTCAGCAAAGTCTCAGGATACAAAATCAATGTACAAAAATCACAGGCATTCTTATACACCAATAACAGACAAACAGAGAGTCAAATCATGAGTGAACTTCCATTCACAATCGCTTCAAAGAGAAAAAAATACCTAGGAATCCAACTTACAAGGGACGTGAAGGACCTCTTCAAGGAGAACTACAAACCACTGCTCAAGGAAATAAAAGAGGATACAAACAAATGGAAGAACATTCCATGCTCATGGATAGGAAGAATCAATATCGTGAAAATGGCCATACTGCCCAAGGTAATTTATAGATTCAATGCCACCCCCATCAAGCTACCAATGACTTTCTTCACAGAATTGGAAAAAAACTACTTTAAAGTTCATATGGAACAAAAATGAGCCCGCATTGTCAAGTCAATCCTAAGCCAAAAGAACAAAGCTGGAGACATCATGCTACCTGACTTCAAACTATACTACAAGGCTACAGTAACCAAAACAGCATGGTACTGGTACCAAAACAGAGATATAGACCAAAGGAACAGAACAGAGCCCTCAGAAATAATGCCACATATCTACAACTATCTGATCTTTGACAAACCTGACAAAAGCAAGCAATGGGGAAAGGATTCCCTATTTCATAAATGGTTCTGTGAAAACTGGCTAGCCATATGTAGAAAGCTGAAACTGGATCCCTTCCTTACAACCTTATACAAAAATTAATTCAAGATGGATTAAAGACTTAAACGTTAGACCTAAAACCATAAAAACCCTAGAAGAAAACCTAGGCAATACCATTCAGGACATAGGCATGGGCAAGGTCTTCATGTCTAAAACACCAAAAGCAATGGCAACAAAAGCCAAAATTGATAAATGCGATCTAATTTAAACTAAAGAGCTTCTGTACAGCAAAAGAAACTACCATCAGAGTGAACAGGCAACCTACAGAATGGGAGAAAATTTTTGCAATCTACTTATCTGATAAAGGTCTAATATCCAGAATCTACAATGAACTCAAAGAAATTTACAAGAAAAAAACAAACAACCCCATCAAAAAGTGGGTGAAGGATATGAACAGACACTTCTCAAAAGAAGACATTTATGCTGCCAAAAGACACATGAAAAAATGCTCGTCATCACTGGCCATCAAAGAAATTGAAATCAAAACCACAATGAGATACCATCTCACCCCATTTAGAATGGCGATCATTAAAAAGTCAGGAAACAACAGGTGCTGGAGAGGATGTGGAGAAATAGGAACACTTCTACACTGTTGTTGGGACTGTAAACTAGTTCAACCATTGTGGAAGTCAGTGTGGCGATTCCTCAGGGATCTAGAACTAGAAATACCATTTGACCCAGCCATCCCATTACTAGGTATATACCCAAAGGATTATAAATCATGCTGCTATAAAGACACATGCACACGTATGTTTATTGTGGCACTATTCACAATAGCAAAGACTTGGAACCAACCCAAATGTCCAACAGTGATAGACTGGATTAAGAAAATGTGGCACATATACACCATGGAATACTATGCAGCCATAAAAAATGATGAGTTCATGTCCTTTGTAGGGACATGGATGAAGCTGGAAACCATCATTCTCAGCAAAGTATCGCAAGGATAAAAAACCAAACACCACATGTTCTCACTCATAGGTGGGAACTGAACAATGAGAACACATGGACACAGGAAGGGGAACATCACACAACAGGGCCTGTTGTGGGTTGGGGGGAGGGTGGAGGGATAGCATTAGGAGGTATACCTAATGTTAAATGATGAGTTAATGGGTGCAGCACACCAACATGGCGCATGTATACATATGTAACAAACCTGCATGTTTTGCACATGTACCCTAAAACTTAAAGTATAATTTAAAAAAAAAGAAAAAGAAACCAAAAAAAAAAAAAAAACTTGTGCTTTTTACAATGCTACTTTTGTGAGGTTAGGCACCAGAATAAAAAGTAAATACCAAAAGATCACCATATGAGGGAGGGAGGGAGGGAGGGAGAGAGGGAGGGAGGGAGGGAGGAAGGAAGGAAGGAAGGAAGGAAGGAAGGAAGGAAGGAAGGAAGGAAGGAAGGAAGGCAATTGTAGAATATTTGGAGGAATTTGGATAGAGATAAAAGGCAGTTCTTAAGAATGGGATAATTTAGAAGTAAATATGAACATACTATTAACCAGCTGATTAAAGGATCATTAGAATGTTGGATCTTAGCATGTTTTGATTTCCAAAACTTACCTAGGTATCCAAGATTTTTATTTTTTCCATACTCAAGATTTGAACATTGTCTTGTAAATCTGTCTAATTCCAAAAACCATTCCCATCAGTTTCTTACAGACCTCCTCGTAAGAGATGCTCATAACCCAGAATAACATCCTTTTTTACTAAACAACTAAGCCCAAAGAAAAAATACACATAGGAGATTTCTCCCTGAAACTTTTCTCCTGTAAGAAAACTGAAGGAGAGATTTTCCAAATAATTATATTGATGAGGTAAGTAATAATGACAAATATTTTCATATATTCTATTTTTAAAAAAAGATGCCATTTTTGGCTCAGAATCCACCACCCCAACCATGAAGACACAAGGCAGTTTTCACCCAAACAAAAGAAAAGTGTGAAAGGAAACAGAGCTTGAAAAGTTACAATACAAAGATGCTGATTGCTCAAAAGTGCCCAGGGTCAACAGAACCCACTGGCCTGCAACCGCTGAAGACAAAGTAGTTTAATTTGTAGAAAACCATTACACTGTCCACATTGCAAAGGCAAAACAACTGCCAACAGTGGAAAATTCTCCAGGCCTTGGCCCTAGCTACTGTTCAGAATACAGGCTGTCACCTAATCAATGTGTATGACTGCGGGTCACCAATCTGTCTTCCTAACCAGGCAAGCAGCTGCACTATGAAAAGCAACGTCGTAAAAATAAACATGGATGATATAGTTTATCTGTAGGATGAAATTGGCACCAAATATCTAACTCAAACTTTTCACCATCTTTAACATCTACATCTAGGGATGCCATACTCTTCCAGTTACATCAGGGGCCAAGAGGCCATTTTGCCTTCCCATGTTATAATAATAGAATATTATCTCAAAATTGCAAAATATTTTAAAGCTTATCTTATTCTGGGAAGAAACCACTCTTATTTCCTCACAATGAACTTAGCGTTCATGATACAGAACATTTAATTATAGCAGCAGTAACCCATTTGAAATAGAAGTTTACTGTCTGCTTTTTTTTAATGTTATGACAAGGTAGATCTTCTTGAAGATGTATTTTTTTTCCAGAATATTCAAACAATTCCTCAAATGAGTTTGAGTCTTCAATTAGGAGAAAGGCATTTATATAGGCTTGGGGGAAAAGGTACTTAAACAGTGGCTTCAATTTTATTTTGCCAGATAATGATATAAACCACAACATATCAGAGAGGATAATGAGCTTCTAGAGCTTTCACCAAAACCTCATGATCTTAAATCAGATCTTAGTGTCTCTAACCTACATCTGAATAATCTACTGGACATGCAGAAAATTGCTGAAAGACAAAGATATATAGTTGTGAGGCTTTAAAGTCCTTATAACACGACACATATCATGCAGATTTTGACATACTTCCCAGGATATGAAAGATGAACTGCGATGAAATATACAGCGCCCATAGAAATAAGCTCCAATTAGCAATTTCATGAAGAATATACCCGGCTTAGAAAAACATATTAACCCAATTGTTTGCATAGAAGTTTAATTTTATTTTCCCCTCGGGGACTAACATCTCCCAGGAATGAAAGTTCCACATAAAAAGCAAATTAATAATTTTCTATAGTATGTTGTTTTTAAAAATGTTAAATTTTAAGTGTTTTTTTAAGCAATCTCAAATAATTGTTCACTTGTTTTCCATCCAGATCAAAAATATTTTTAACTATATTAGCTTCTAAAACAAAAGTTTTATAGCAAAACAAGCAAACAAGAAGAAAGCAAAACTAATCAAACAAGCACATTAAAAAATAGCCATTATCTTAAGTGAAACACCCAGAAACAGAAAGTCATTTGATTTTCTCACTTATAAGTCGGAGCTAACCAGTGTGTACACATGTACACAGAGTGTGGAATGATAGACCTTGGAGACTTGGAAGGGCAGTGGGGTGAGAGGCCAGTGAGTGATGAGAAATTACTTTATGGGTATGATGCACATTATTCAGGTGACAGATACACTAAAAGCCCAGCCTTCACCACTACACAGTATATCCATGTAACAACATTGCCCTTGTACCTCTTACATTTATACAAATAAAAATGTAGGAAGATCACTAACATTAAATCATGACTATTATACACTTTGCATCTTTCTGATCAATTCACTTAAAAAAGGCTAATGTTGAGTTTTTTTAGTTACTTTGAAATATTGGTTTTTCTTTTCCATGCTTTTTGACTTCAAAATGAGAAATAAAAGATAATAACATTCACTTTAAAAGCGTACTCTGCTTTAAAAAAATAAGTAACCCAAAACTCAATTACTGACTTTTGTATGAGGAGAAGGTGTTAACATGAACCAAACTTTTGATATTAAAAAAATACTGTATAATAAAACAAGACACTGCTAACAGGTTACTAAATAGGAGCCAGATATGAGATTTTCAAAGACTGTCTTAAAGAACACAACTAGGACCATCTAGGATCTCCAAAAGAAGTACCAGACTCAAGGGATAATCCTTTCACAAGGAGAACTTGCTTAAAAATCAAAAACTTTAAAATAGTTTGTGCCTAGCCAGGCCAGCTACATAATTTGTGGGACTCAGTGTAAAACAAAAGTTTGAAGACCTCTGTTCAAACATCGGGGGGAAAAAAGGCTTTATCTTTTCTGCTATTTCTCTACCTGTCTTGGGTCTCTTTTATTTGCTTTTTAAAGTTGCATTCCCTCAAGCATGATGGTATTCCTGGTGCAAGTGCAGACCCTCACAGGCACCCAGGACCCCTCCCAGTGACTCAGTACTCAGTGTACACGGGCACAATCACTGCCCTCTCTATGCCTGTGCCCAGGCCCCTCAAGGGTTGGAGAGTGGCAGAAGTCTCTGGGCAGGGGCAGAGAGCAGGCGGCTGAGAACTCATCTCAGGGAGAGGGAGTGGGAGGCAAGGGACTCTGTATGAGCTGAGATTCCAGGTCTCGATTGTCCCATGGGACTTCAAGTACAAAACATAATTCCAAAGATAAAATGTTTCAACATGTTGAGATAGTGACAACCAACATTAAACCCCAAGCCCTTCTGAGTGTGTGTGCCTCATTGGCCCTGTGTGACTGCACTGTTCACACTGCTAAGGAATATACTACGTTGCCCATACTTATAAGAGGTCAGCCCTGTACTTGTGACTAGGGTTTCTCAATCTCAGTGATATTAGCATTTTGGACCAGAGAATTTTTTTTCGGGGGGTACGGGATGCTGTCCTGTGCAATGCAGGACGTTTAGTGGCATCCTTAGTCTTTACTCACTAGATACCTGCCCTGTGTGACAGCCATGTCTAGGAACATTGCCCAGAGTCCCCGGCGGAGAAATTGTCCCTAGTTCAGAACCAGTGCCCTAGATTAATGTCCATCTACACAAACACAGGCTAATACCCATGCACTTCAAATAGTCCCTTACTGACTAGATAGAAGACAAAGATTCCAAGATGTAAAATTAACTTTATGATAATCATTCGGCAGTTACCAGTTAAAGAAATGAAAGGCATCAAAAGATGAGTCTTTTTGTGCTCAGGCTAACTCCTTACCAAGCCGTCTCCCACCTGAAGCCAGAAACAGGGGTCTCATTCAAGCAGGAGTGTTTAGGAGACAGGCTCAAAGGATATACTTAATGTTCTTCAAAGATATAGAGGCCAGTTACTACTTTATTCATCTTTTATTTACTCTGGGACAGAACTACATCTAGTAATTTTTTCCAACATTGTAAGTGTCTTGGGAGCTATCACTTGGACTTTGAAGGTTTTGTGGAGATGGCAGTAAAGGAAGATCAGATGGCATTAGGAGCTCCACTTAGAAAGCCTTGCTGGAAACATATAGGATCAGATGAAAAATATTTTCACCCATCACCTTCTGTGGGTGCCATACTGATTTTTAATATGTTATATCTTTATATATTTAGGCCCATTGCATCTTCCTAATTTTAAGAATCCAAATTTCAGTATAATGGCTTGATATGGTCAGCAGCTTATCATCTTCACTTTCTCTCCGATGCCTTCCCAGTCCCCCTTCCTCACCATTCTACCTTTTCCTCTACCATCCACCCCATTCTAGACTCTCTATTCTTCAGTTACAGCCACTCTTCCTTCTTCAGGGCCAAATGAGGTCCTATTTCCTGATGAAAGGGTAATATGTACTGGAGGGCAAAAAGAACAAAGTCTATTATACCATTCCAGTCTGATGTCTCCTATTTCCTTACACGAGCCCATGGGCTGACCAGGCTGCACTTAGTTGCACCTATTTGCACCATCTTATCCTTCTTCGTGATGTTCCCATGTCAACAGCTTACCTCTACGCCTGTTTAAAATCTTATTCTTTAAGATCCAGATCAAATGCATCTTCCTCTAGAAACCTTCTCTGACCATTCCATTCCACAATAACCACAGGCTTTCTCAATTTCATGAACAGGTGTTATGGGGCATGCTGCCTAGCACATGGCAGTCAGTCAATTATCATCTATAGAAAAAAATACAGCTCACATTTTAAGTCAGTATTATATGTTATAATGTTATTTTTTGTCATCCTTTCAAACTCTGTTATTAAACTCTTGAGAGCAGAAGCTTTCCCCCCATGCTAAATGAAGAATGAATGAATTAATGCATAATTAGTCACTACTTTAATTCTATTCTTCTACTCTGTTCCCTTCTCATTCTGAAGCAGACATTAGCAAGGAGCATTTATTCTTTTCCTCATAAGCTGTATCAATCCTTAAATTCAGCTCTTCCAATGCCCTCTAGATAGTTTCCCCAGTCAAAGAAGACATTGAGAACATTGACATTTTTCTCACTGCTTCCTGCCGAAATATTGACTATCTGTCAGCTCTTGGATCGTGTTATATTGGCTGAATAATCATCCCACAGGGGGCTATTTCTCTATGTTTTATAGTACAAATAACACACGGTAGGCACTGAATATTGTGATCATTATTGTAACAAAAGGAGCACAGTGCCCTATATTCTTATGACAAAATTAAGAAGCATAAAAGATTTGTTTGTGTCAAGCCAGGATCAAACTGAGAATAATTTTTTTGTTGTAGGTATCCAGGTGAATCTGATTTGCACAAATTATTATTAACAAATGTTTTGTTATTTCATTTTATCCTTTATTGTAAGAAGATACAATATTTGGTATAAACATGTCTAAAAATTATTCATAGGGAATTTATGATGTAATGGTGAGTATAAAACAGAATGTTCAAAAATACACATACAAGTGATTTAAACTGCATAAACATGAAAGAAAGATGAAAAAGAATTCAATTAATGTAGAAGAATGATTGTCTCTGGCTAAAGAGAGGTGTAACAGTAAGGGATTTTTCCTGTTTATATATACTTTCTTGTATTTTCTAAAGTTTTCTTCAAGAATCATGTGTTTTGCTATCAGAAGAAAAATGACTATATGTAACAAGTTTGAAAAATCATGACTAATAAGAGGTGGAATAGGACTTTTTTGGTTTTGGCCTCAAAATTATTCTTGCATCCCCAAAGCTAAAGACCACAGATGCTGGGACCATACATGCTCTTCCAAATAAAGAGATTACCAGGCGTTTCTTAAGGACTTGCTCAGAACCAGCAGAACAGCTCTGTTACCCAAAACATCGCCATCATACAGCACCACCACCACCCTAACCCAGATTATAAAGTTCACTAGAACAATCGTTCAGCATTTTAGATTTGTCCACTCAGGGGCTTACTGCTGTGACTTTCTCCTTTTGTCTAAATCAAGCAAATCGTTCTGCAAAATAATCCCTCACAGAAAACACAGATGTTTACAAGAAGGGGAAAAGAGAATCTCATTTTTTCAGTTGGATATATATTTACACAATGGCTTTGCTTCTTTCTCCCCTTGCCCATACAAACAGGAACAAAGGAACTGCAGAGATGACAAGAAGGAGAAAGAAAGTAGCTGCTGATCTGTCTGGGTTCCTCCTCTTTGGCATGGTAACAGTGGATGAGTCCCCATTGTTCAAGTGAACTCTATGAAAAACCAGAGAAGCTTGAGCTGCTTCCCAGGCAAAGATCCCAATATCAAAGCATGTTACATGGTGTATTATCAGGATTTCTTACTGAAAGATGAGGACATGCTGAAACTCAGAAGACATTCCCAGGTGAGGACTTCTGAGGGACTCATGTTAATTAGCTGGAAGAGGATTACCACAGTAGCAGTTCAGTGAGGGAATTTTGCTTTTTTTCCTATCCATCATCCCAGGCTCTAATACTGTGAAGGAGAAATGGAGATACAGAATGGTCTGTTGAATAAATGGCTATCAATGCTGAGAAACAAGCCATTATAAACTTGTGAGGCTTAAAAGAATAACTGTTTTACTCTCTCTCTCTTGTTTTTCTGTGAGTTTACTGGGCTAATCCGGGCAGTCCTTCTGGTCTCACTTGGGGCCTCCTTTGAGATTACAGTCTGGGATTTGGAGCTGGAGTCTCTTGGAGGCTCAACTGGGACACTGAACCTCTCTCCTTTTCTTATAGTCTCAGGACCTCACCTCTCCACATGGTCTATCCAGCATGAGCAAATGTTCCCTGAGGAAGAAATCAGAAACCTCAGTCCTCTTGAAGACCAGGCCCAGAACTGGTGTAGAGTTACTTCTCCCACAGCATAATGGTTAAAGCAGTTACATGGCCTTCCCTGATTCAAAGAAGGAGGAAATAAGCCCCTTCTCATGATTCAGGGGTGACAAATGCTTTATGATCATCTTTAATCCATCAAAGATGAGAAAGAAACTAGGAGAGAAATGAAAAACTCAGTGGAAAAGCATCCCTTCTCAAGACTGATTCCTAGGGCCAAGTGCAAGACAAAGCTAGGGAGAGATAAAGAGCTCTACATTGGATGTGAAATTGAATTTAACTTGAATCAACTTGGACTGCACAAGATTTGTATACTTGAACACACTTAGAGAGCTATGGGATCAGTCCTTCTTATCATTTACAAATAAAAGGAACATGATTGGACCCAGGGATAGAATGATAAAATTACCTTATACTTGTACCAAAAGAATAGTGCTTATTCTATTCAATAGAATTGTTACTTTCAAATGCTAATTGAGCCTAGACAATAGAAAAGGGAATTTTTCACACAGAAAGTAGCCTGAATGATTTAACTTATATGCACTTGTAACTTGTCTTTATAAGCTATTCATTTGTTGCATACTAATTAGTGCTTTCCAAATGCCAGATGCTGTGCCAGGTTAGACTTTGAGCTTACTTTATAGTGTGAAAGCCTTGTCCACCTGGGTTTACAGCTACCAGAAACAAACTTTTTTCTTATCTTCAAAGCTGATGATAATCCCAGGATTGTGAAATAACATAGCATGGGCTTGTGATTGGCCAAACGTAGTCTCTCTGGCATTTGAGTTGCTGGCTAGTTCAGGGTGCCAAATCCCTTCTTTGGGTCTTGACTCAACTATATATGAAACCTTCTTGGAATGTAATAATATATAGGAAAATACCAGATACTGTCTTCATGATTCAGAAGTCATTAATAGCAGGCCCCCCAAAGTTTTCCCAAAGCTCATGCAGTTTTCTTGGAATCTCCTGGATTCAGACAGCACCATCAGGGATAAGGGAGGGAAGTGATGAGTCTTACACACTGCAAGCTATACTTGAAATAATCTCTCTATTCCCTCAAGGAGATACTCCTTTTTGACAAATCTTTAAGATGCAAGAAAAGAGATACTTCTTTCAAAATATCTTTGTATGGAGCAGAAGAAATCAATATAAAAAGGTATACTACTCCTTAGATATCAACCAAAGGGAATTAATTTGTATAAGAGGGCTTCACTGAAATAAGTCACATGGAGTGTTAGTCTCAGTGATATTTCATTGCACATGTACCATAAAAATTCTCATATTGCACTGAATTGTTGAACTCACCCTAGATTTAATTATGCAATTTCCCAAAGTTTTGGGAATGATATTCACATACCAATAAATTCAAAATCAATCTTCTTCCAGCATGAATCAGATAACTTTGGATATAAATGTAGAAAGAAGAACAATATCTTTATGAAATAAACTACAAGGCAGGCAATTTACACATTACTGCAATGAGACAGAAAGACCTAATTGTGCATGTCGTTTTATTATAACACAGATCCATATAGTTTATTTATAATTACAAAATCTTTTTTAAAAAATCTTAAACACTGAAAGGTTATTGTTTCTTGTAACATTTTGTTTTGTTTTGCTTGATAAATCACTTGGAGGCAAAACTTAACCTGAATTAATGAAGGCAATTTACAATTCTTAGTCATCATATGTAGACAAAATACTTTCACCATAAAGATATTAATATGTTTGATTACAGGCCCTCAACTTCACTTAGGGTATTACAGTATATAAGATATATATTCCCTACTATCTTCCTAAAATCCAAAATATGCTGAATTTCAAAATCCATCTGACCTCAAAGGTTATGAATAAAAAATTATGGACCAGTATGGGATCTTTAAATCCCTTATATTAAAATATATGTTCCATTTCTAGTATAGGTAATAAAGCACTGGAGAAAACTCTTATTTTCCCATTCTCTTAGTGAATACTTTTCTATTAATTATTTCTCATATCTCATGTTTTTTAGAGTCAGTTCTACATTTTTGCTGGCATAAAGGCAAACAAAAAGTGTTCTATTATTGGTAAGTTCACTAGTCATTGGCTAAAACACAAAATCTTCAAAGAACAATGTCACCTCAAAAGCCCTAGGTAAGAAAGCATAGTTTTTACTTGATAGCAGAGTATTTGTAATCTGAAACACTTATGATCTTACAAAAGCATAATAAATTGGACTTTATTGTGACCTGATAGAATCAGTTGTCTGTCTCTTCACGCTGAGGATAGAACAACATTTTAAGATTTATGATCTGAGTTAGTAAAAATAAAATTACAGAGAATAAACAAAAATTATAAGCATTTAGGGGTTCAGACTGAAAAAAATAGCGAGAAAGCAGTCAACCCTATGCAGTGCTAACTAAACCTCTATTTATTAGAATATTTATAATCTCTACAAATCAAAGAATAATTTGGGTCTCAAAGGAAAGGTTCAACAGAAATAGGCAAACTTGACCAGAAGGAAAAGAAAGTTATAACAGTTAATATAGACCATAATTATAATTATGAATATATTTTATTTCTTGGAACACTTGACCTACCTTTGATCACTGTAGGAGAATTATAAGATATGCAAGATATGCAATTATAAGATATGTAAAGTACATGGCATGGTTCTGCCTATTTTAGCTTTGTGTTATCATTCCAGTAATTAATATTATAATAGCATCCAGCCTCTTAAAAGTAAAACTGAATGTTCAAAGAACTTTCAAATGATTGTATATAATTTAGACATATTAACGAAACCAAAAAAACTTGGAGGAAAGGATTTTTTATACTAGTTTGTTTTTCTTTTAACAGGAATAATTCATTTAAAATTGATTATGGGGTTTTTCTTTAAAAATTAAATTAAATACTGTTAAGGAAAGTAGATGTATCAATTAAGGAAAAATGGAGAAAAAAATGAAAATGAAACAAGCAGAAACGGTGACCAAAGAGCAGAAATCTTTACGTGTCCTGAAAGACAAGAGGATGGACTGGAAGAAGAGCAGTCATGACATTTTCCATTCAGAACAGATGGACCAGGAAGACTCCACCTGCACAGGCAGCATCAAAGGAAACAAATACCACACCAGGATGGGCACTGAATTTTGAAGAGACTGTGTATTGCATGCTTTCAATCTCAAAGGCACTCAAGCAGGAGAGAATTGCCATCAATTCACTCCAATCAGTGTCACATTTTGGCACAGCAGAAATCCACGCAACATGGAGTTCCAAAATTTGTACATAAGCTGTTTTAAGATTGTATCGGGTACTATGCAGCATGAGAACCAGAGAATGTTGGAAACCCATTAAACAAATGAATTAGGTTTGAAAAAGCTAAATATCATCTTGAGGTACCAGAGATCAGAACACATTTTTCAAACCTAAAATGAGTTTTCTACTTCTTGCTCTGTCTTCCAAGTCCAGGAAAAAGAATGTGCTTAAAGGTGCTTTTCCAAGTTTACACCTTAATTAATACAGACCACTGAGGCTTGAAAACCATTTTCTGAATGTATTCCTGGAAACTTATTGTGTCATTTTAATAATATGAGTGACAGCCAGAAACTTTGGGTTTGTCTTCCCTTTTGACAAGAACTTACCTTTTTGCCTTTATTTCTACCTGTAAAAAATACCATAATAGAAACTAGTTAGATAAAAATTACCACTGTGCATAATGAGTGCATAAGGTGACATCCAAGACACTAAAGAAAAGAAAACAAAACACTTTTTGGCCTGCAAACACTTCTATTATATCTTGGAGACAAACTACAAATTCAAAGATGTGACCTCTTATGAGACACTTGGAATGATACGCAGTTTGTGTCTAATCTTTCCTCTTGAAGCCTGCCAGAATGCAGTGAGAACCAAACTGCACCCAACAGTGATTAAGGCAAGTGGCATTCATTAACTCACCCAAACAAAGCTCCTTGACAAATGACAGACTCAAGTTTATTCTAACATTGGCAAAATATGGAGAAGTGTTTAAAATGATCAATAGTAAATTCGCTTTCTCTCTCTAGCTCTCTCACTGTTTCACAGCAAGCAATCAGCATTTTCTATATTGTAAAAACACCAGAATCACTCATTCTTCATGTACATAACATTTTCTATTCTTTTTTAAGTTTGATTTTATTTTTAATTTGCACATGATAATTGTACATATTTATGCAGTGCAATGTAATATTTCCATACGTACATGCATATATTCTGTAATGATCAAAACAGAGTAATTGGCAAAATACTAACTCAAAATGGATTAAAGATTTAAATGTAAGAATGGAAACTATAAAATTACTAAAAGAAATCATAGGGGAAACACTTCCTGACATTGGTGTGGGCAAAAATTTTCTGTTTCTTTCCATACATATACCAATGTGATCTTCTCAAAACATCATGTGGATCATGTCACTTTACAGCACAAAACCCTTCCAGGCCTCATGTATCCTGATTAATATGTAAAATCCTTAACGTGACCTATAAGGCCTTTGTAGACTCATCTGTGCCTCTTAAACACATCCTTAACCCAGAGATTCCAATAAGGGAATTCCTACCACCTGGTCCTTGAGTGACATGGATGATCCCCGACTAAGCCATTTCCCAGCAGCCTTAGCAGCTCCTCAGTAGCCCCATCCTCTTTGTTTGATGTCACAAATCTGAAAGAAAGTTGCTTTACAAATACCATTGATGCTAGATTATACAGCTTAGACCAGAGCAAATGAAACCTGTTCTCATGTGTTCTTACCACCTCATCATCTAAGACAACCAACACCGAAGACTCAGGCATTGTCAGGATTCTGGTTTTCTAAAAGTAAAAAATGCACACAAGCATCACACTCACAGGAAGCAATAATCATGGCAGTCACTGTTCATACAGAAAATTTTGTTTAAAACATTAGTAACTATTCTAATTGTATATATAAATATTTGGTAGCTCAAAGAACATTTATATGTTGTAAATAAATGTAAGTATAAAATAAATGCATGCTCACTTAGTATAATTATGGCCCTAGGCATCAGTAGATATAAATCTTCCTTCTCTATATAAATTTTCCCAGGTTACATGAATTAGAAACTTTCATTTTTCAAAATGTTTTAATGACTATTCTTCTGATAATGAAAGTCACCAAAAATATAGGTTAAATGAAAAAATTCTAGGGTCATGGAGCTTTGAACTCAAATCCTATTATTTGGTTTCATTCTAATTGTCCACATCAGGATTCTGGCAGTAAGCATATGAAACACATATATAGGTTAAATGAATAATGTTTAATAAGGAGAGGTTTATATGTGTAGGCAAGTTTCAGGGAAACTGACAGGCAGAGCTAGCTTCATGGGCTTCTGATCTCTACAGCTGCACGATTTTTGTGTTTAAGTGCCCTGCACTTGGTTTAATGCTCTACTGTTGCCATCTTGAAATTCTAAATAATATTTTTAATAAGGATCCCCACATTTTTATTTACACTAGGCCCCACAAATTATTCAGCCAGCCCTGTCAATAGGAAGTGTCGGAGCACCAGAAGGAATTCTGCTTCATACAGACTGCCTTTCAATTCAAGACTGCAAGGTTAACTCTTCCCTGGGTCTCCAGCCTGCCTATGTACTCTGCAGATTTTAGACATGGCAGTACTTAAAATCTTGTGAATAAATTTCTTAAAATAAAACCAAAAATTGACTTCTAAAAAATAAAAATAAATCTCTCTCTGTTCTCTCTCTCTCTCCATATATATACATATATATATATACACATACATATGTATTATGCATATATATACTTAATTCTATCTACAGCTATACTTATATATCTATATATAGATATCTATATATATTTATATAAGTATTCATATATATATACATACATACACACATATGTACATACTACATATATAATACACATTTATATACACACACACACACAGAGAAAGAGATAGGGTGTAGGGGGAGAGAAATGACTTTATCATTCCTGAACTGAAAGGGGAAAGAAAAAAGAAACTAAAGAAATAACCTGTAAGAGAGAGAGATCCAGAAAAATAAATACCCCAGATCTTTCTCTGCTCCATCTGGCAATTTCCCTCCTGGATCCTTTCTTTGTATAAAGAAAATTGGAAGCCAGAGGGCAACAGAATTCATTCATGTAACCCACAAATGTCAGCTTCTTGAGGCCAAGCACCAAATGGAGAAAGGTGGTAATATATCTAGAAGGCAAAACAACAGTACTAAGCATCCTAATACGATTTTCTAAATGTAAAGTTATAAAGAGTTTCTAGCACATGCAGTGCATATCTATGAGCATAACGGTTGCTTCCTCATATGACCTTCTTTCAGCTCCATGAGATACAGTTGCTATTTCCTTCACACAGATATAGAAAAGGAGACTTAAAAAGTTGAAGTAAAATACCCCAAATCTTACAGCTAATAAAATGGCAGAGCTAAGGTTCATGTTAGTCTGATTCCCAGAGACAGTGGTCCTGGCTACTTCCTAAACTGATGTAGGTGTTTTTCTTTGTTGTACACTTATATTTAATACACTCCCTCACATAAATTATTCAAAATATTTCCAATGTCTTCCTTTATATCTCATGGTCAACTTATATCTAACCCAAACAATCTTGTTCTTCCAGATCATTCTCTTTGTAGGAAATAATCTCTGCTGAAATGAACCTAACAGCATCATCCTGAAAAGTAGGAAGAGCTTTTCGCAGATTCCACATATCCATAGTCTGCAGCAGACTCCATGAAATATTTTTCATATTTTTTGTATTTAGTTTGTTTAATCTACCATCTCTTTTGAATATTTTTAGAAGTATGTAAGAATAATAGGTTTTTTTTTCACCATCTTTTGCAAGTCTGACAGCATAAGTAGTTGACAAATCAACATGTAGTGAATAAACTTTCCCATAGTTCAATAATCTGGTATATTTGATTATTTTCAATAGGAGACCTGAACATGAAGAGAATATTAATCTGGTTTTACACCTACTCACCAGGTCAGAAAAAGTACCAGATGCTGACTCAGCTGCAAGTTCTGACAGGAGATTAAATAGGACAGGCAAGCAGAGTCTAATCTCTGATCATAGTCTATGCAAATCTCCAGCAAGTGGGGCTCTAAGACCAAAGGCAATTCAAGATCAAATGTAGAAGCTGGACATGGCAGGATCACTGAAGTTCCAGAAGACACAGTCAACAGCAAAGGTAGCTATCAGGGGTGGCAGAGTTCCATCTAATGGCCAGAGTTCAGGGTCAGAACACTCAAGTCAGGTGTGAAAATAATAAGAACAGGTCAGAGTCCATAAATAGAAATTGTCCTGCATACTAAGCAGGTTACCACAAGAGAAGTACAAATGTAACAACTAGGTCATAGAAAAAAGGAACAAGGTAGAAGGAGATTTACCCAACTAAGGCCTCATACAAAATTCTCACAGCAAGGATTAACAATGAGCACAGGCATGGCATTCTCTGATGATGCCTGATTCAAGATGAATCAGACCGGAACAGTTGATAGAGGCAGAGAGTCAGGACCAGACTGAATTCCACAAATGCAGGCAGCCTGTATTTCAAATGTCAGACAGTATTTATTTTTAAATTTAGGTGCAAAGCAGATTCCAATTTGGAGCAGTGATATGCTCTAGGCTATAAACTCATTGACTCATTCAGAGCATATATTATCTTTTGTTTTTGAGCTCTAAAGCCCCAATCAATTCAAATCCTCTTAGTCAAAGTAAAAAGGAACTTGACGAGGCTAGATGGAATGTAACTTTGAACCAAGGGACTTCTATCCACTTTTGTTCTTAAATTTTTCAGAAAGTATGAGTTTTATACAATTTATAAAATTTCATATAATTATGAAGTTTCATGTACAAACTTTCTACAAGTTTTATGTAATCCATTATGTTTACTATATGGACAGGGTTCTATACATACACATAGTCTTACAAGTGAATATGTGAGTTACTTTCTCAGTCAGGTAGCAGTTTGGTCATTGGCCTGCTACACTTATGCAGGAGCACTTATATATCAAGACTCTAAGTTACAACTAGATAAGCTATTGTTCATCTATTTATGCATCTTTTATTTAAGCAGCAATTTATACATCCATAGAAACTGATGAAAATGGCATAAGTGACAAAAGAAAGAAAGAGATAAAATTTTGTGACAATTCAAAGAGGATGAGAATGTCCCTTGTGCAGAGCATAGACTACTGAGCTGGATAAAATTTTTTAATTCACTGCTAATTTTTTTTTAAATTTTTGAATACCTCATGTAAGGCTTTTACCATTACTTTGCTTATTGCCATTTTTAATCTTTATAATTTTGACAAAAGCTGGGTGTATTACCAAATGAGGCAGACTACTTAACAGAATGATTAGGAAATAAGGCAGTCAAAGAAAACTCTGCTATAACCAATGCTATCCAATGTGTGCATGCCCAAGGCTGCATTCTTAATAAGCAACACCAAAGGCTTCACACTATAGGGAAAACAGATTTTATGAAAATAGTCTAGCCAAATTAATACACAAGCAAACAACAACAACAACAAAATCTAAGCCCCTGAGAGCAGGAAGAAACTCAGTATTCAAGTTGCTAAAATACATTAACTATAATAAAGCGTCAAGTTTTTTAACAACAACAAAAATATAATACATGCAAAAAAACCAGAAAAAAATGTAACCCATGAATAGGAAAAAAACAAAAGCAAGCAATACAAATGATCTGTGAGAGGGCCCAGATGTCTGATTTAACAGCCAAAGACTTCAAAACAGCTACTACAGAAATCTTTAAAGAACTAAAGAAATCTATGCTTAAAGAATTAAAGTAATTTTGGCAATATCTTATCAAATATAAACAAATAATAAATAAAAATTACTTTTAACTTCTAGAGTGACAAGTATAATAACTAAAATGAAAATTCACTAGAAGGACTCAACAGGAAATCTGAAATGGAAGAAGAAAGAAAGAGCAAACTTGACGATAGATCAATAGATATTGTGCAATCGGAAGCACAGAGAAAAAAAGAATGAAGAAAGGTGAACAAAGAAGCAGAAAAAAAATGTGGGACATCATAAATGCAGCGATATACATGTACTTTAAAGTACCAGGAGGAGAGGTAAGAAAGAAGCATAAAATATATTTTAAATTATAATACCTAATAATTTTCCAAATGTGACAAAATTATTAATTTATCATGAACTAGCACATTCCTTTATACATCCAAAGCTCAGGGCCAGGCACAGTGGCTCACACCTGTAATCTCAACACTCTGATAGGCTGAGGTGGGAGGATTGCTTGAGTCCAGGAGTTGGAGACCAGCCTGAGCAACACAGTGAGACCCCCATCTCTAACAAAAATTAAAAAAAAAAATTAGCACAGCATGGTAGCACACACCTGTAGTCTCAGCTACTTTGGAATCTGAGGCCAGAGGATTGCTTGACTTTGGAAGGTCAAAGCTGCAGTAAGCCATGATTGTACTACTGCACTCCAGCCTGGGTGACAAAGTGAGACCCTGTCTCAAAAACAAACAAACAAACAAAGTAAAGTTCAACAAACTCCAAGTAGGATTAACACAGAGATCCACACCCAGAAGCATTACAGTCAAAATGTTGAAAGCTAAATGCAAAGATAAAATTTTGAAAGCAGTAAGAGAAAAATGACTCATCACAATGCAATTCCTATGAGGTTAATGGCTGACTTCTCATCAGAAACAATAAAGGCCAGAATGCAATGGAATGACATACCTGAAGTGCTGAAAGAAAAGGGTGTGTCATCTGGCAACTCTATATCTAGCAAAACTATCTCAATGAAGCCAAAATGTAAACATTCACAGGTTAAAAACTGAAAGAATTTGTTGCTGGAAGAAACAAGAAATTCTAAGAAACAAGAAATGCAGAAATACTAAGAAATTTCTTTAAGCTAAAAGCAAGTGACCCCAGATAGTAATGTGAACCCACACATACACACAAAAAGAACAGTTAAAATAATTACATGATTACAAAAGACAATTTAAATGCATATTTTCACCTTTGTTGCTTAATTGCTATTTAAAAGTTAAAATAATATATAAATAATTATGTTTTTGAACCTCTAACATATAAAAATCTAATACATTTGACAATAACATTATTAAAAAAGTGAAAGGAAGCTAAGTTTGCTTGAAGTAAAAAATGATGCCATATAGTAACTAGAATCCAGAGGAACAAATAAACAGAACATAACAAACTCTATAAACATACAATTGCTCTTTATTCTTTCCTTAATTTCTTTAGTAGTCATGGAAATATCTAAACTAATAATCATAACATGTATTTGGGGGTTTTTAATCTACAGTATCCCCCTGATCCATGAAGGATATACTCCAGGACCCCTAGTGGACGCCTGAAACTGTGGATAATATCGAACCCTATACATACCACGTCTTTTCCTATATGTATACACTTATGATAAAGCTTAGCTTATAAATTAGACATAGTAAGAGGTTAACAACAATAACTAATAATAAAACAATTATAACTGTGACAGCTTCACTACCTATTTTTAAGTCAAATAAGTGTTACTTGAACACAAGCACTGCAACATCACAACAGTCAGTCTCATAACCCAGGCAACTACTAAGTGACTAATGGGCAGGTAGCATAGACAGCTTGTGCAAAAAGGAATGCTTCATGTTCCACTCAGGAAGGAGAAGGATGGAGCAAGATTCTATCATACTACTCAGAACCCAATGCAATGTAAAATTTATGAATTGTTTGTTTCTAGAATTTTTCATTTACTGTTTCAAGCCACAGTAGAATGCAAGTAAGTGAAACCATGAAAAACAAACTACAAATAAGTGGGGACCATTTCACATATGTAATATTCATAATAATGATAACGATAACAAAGATGGCACAATAATAGCAGGAAAAAGAGGGAATAGAACTACAGTTGACTCTTGAACAATGGGAGAGTTAGGGGTGCCAACTCCAGCACAGTCAAAAATGTGTGTATAACTTTTGACTCCCCAAAAACTTAACAACTAATAGCATATTGTTGACCAGAAGCCTTATTAATGATATAGAAAATGTATTAACACATATCTTGTAAATCACATATATTATATACCACATATATTATATACTGTATTCTTACAATAAAGTAAGTTAGAAAAGAAAAAAATGTTATTAAGAAAATCACAAGGAAGAGGAAATACATTTACAATTCAATAAGTGGAATTGGATCATCATAAAAGTCCTCATTCTCATCATCCCCAAGTTGACTAGGCTGAGGAGGAGGAAGAGGAGAAAGTGTTGGTTCTGCTGTCTCAGAGGTAGCAGAGGTGGAAGAAACTGTGTCAGTAGACATGCAGTTCAAATTTGTGATGTTCAGGAGTCAACTGTATATAGGAATAATATTTTATATCCCATTGAAATTAATTTTGTATAAATCTAAAGTAAATTTGGATAAGATGTGAATGGCACACTATAGGGAAACTCTTAAAAATTTTAAGTGAAAAATAAACAGTTAAAGTGTTACACAGAAAATATTTACTTAATGAGAAAGAAAGTAGCAGAGGAATAGAGGGAGGAAAAAGATGTGAGACACAGAAAATAAAAAGTGGCAGATGCAAATCTAACTATATCTATGATAACAGTAAATGTGACTAGAATAATCAATCCAATTAAAAGGTAGAGCTTTGAAGAATGGATATGAAATAAGGTCCAATTATGTTCTGCCTAAAGGAACATACCTTGATCTGTTATTGCAGGATGTCCGACAATACAATTGTTGCAAGCACAGACTCAGGAGACTGATGTCTATGCAGGACTCCAGAACTACTACTTTCTAGCTGTGCAACTTTTGGTCAGTTAAAACTCTGAGTCAGTTTCCTCACTTGCAAATAAGATGAAAATAAATGTATCAATCTCATAAGATAGTTGAAAGGATTAAATGAATTATTACACTTGGGCACGGCACAGAGTAAGTGCCATAAATGTTAGATATTTTTATAACATTACTATCTTTTGGTGGCCTGGCATACAGGTAGAGGGCTTAGGATTAGAAGAGAATCTTGCCTTCATATCTCAGCAGATGAGGTCACTAAAGAGAGATCAGGAAAAGGTTACAGGTCTAGGATACAACCTATTCCCAAGTCTTACCAGAAAACACATATGACAGGTTCCTCCTGCCATAGGAAGTGGTAGTTAAGTTAAATTTTGAGTTGATAGGCCCTGTCAGTGAGTTGCACATGATCATAATTATCTCATGAAAATATCTGGACTACCTCTTACAACAAAGGTTAAGTGGTTCTAATATTACGTGCCTGAATAAAGAAGCCTACCCTTACTTTGACCGTGTGATTGATGATTTATTGTAACCTAAGGCAAAGACTGGTCAGACAGCAATTCAGTCTGACCGACTTGTTACATATGCAGAAAATAGAGGCTATAATTTCAACAAACTGCATATTTTAAAAATTGCTGGCTGTGTTTATTCAATAGCATGTAGATTCAAATTAGTAGAGCCCATTCATATCCCACTCCATATGAGAGAGCCTACAGAAAGAGAGAACTGACAGAATCCAATTCCACTTTCTCCTGTTGTTGGGTTCCCCAGCATCCTTCAGAATAAATCTTAAGAACTTTGGACTTACAGACTTTCTAATATCTAAATCGTGGAAGAAGACATTGAAAATGAATTCCCAAGGCAAGGTTAATATTTCCATTGGCTTTGATGTGAGAGGTATTAAGACCCTTCAAAATAAAAGGTATATAAACTCAACTCTGTAAAAAATGCTTAGAAAGAAATTACATTTTCTCAAATCAAAGACAGAATATTAGAGAGTTCTTATTAACAAAATAATTGTCATCATCCTCTGTCACTTCACAATGGTGTGTACAAAATCAGGAAAAATACACATACAGGCTCTGTTTTACACTGAATAACTGCCCTAAAATGGATCAGAAAACTATATTCGGGACAAATTAAACCATCTGCTGGAGAGTCATTATTTTTAATATTAAACTTGAATGAGCATGATTGTCACTTACTGATGCAAAGTAAACACTACCTTCACATACTCTTTAGAGCTTAACTAATTTGAAATGATTCTCCCCTAATTTCAGGTGATTAAAGATACAACATGTAAAGGATTTCAATAATTCGACAGTATAATTGTTTTCACCAGGGTTATGGACAAACTTGACCATCAACTCATTATGATACTGATCTAGAAATTTTGAGAAATGTGAGCTTGAAGTAATTATTTGATAAAAATAGAATATACTAGACTTTCTTGAAGAATGCCAGATATATATGGTAAACACCAACTCTGAAAACATATCAGCTAGCGTCCATTGGCATTTATTAACAATCACTCAGACTCAAAACTTTCTTAGTATTAAATGTTTATTTTAGAAGTCTTATGACTCAAGTTCACCATGTTAATCCAGGGACACCATAAGCAAACAAAAGAAAGTCTCAGGACAACATGATGATTACTGCTTTTGTGGACAAGAGTTTATCTGAGGATCACCCCAAAATTTGTGAATACTGATAAGTTTTAGGAATATGTATATTGGATGTTTGGGATTTTGTTAACTATGGATAACAATGCACTTAATTTTTGGTTGATCATATTCTAGACGCACTAGGACAAGGAAAATGGTCCAAGCCACTGCTATAATTTTCTTATTAGTTATTGGTACACACATGCAGTTCATTAAAGGCAGATCAAGGGCTCTTTGGATTGTTCAAGAGGTAGGATATATTATTTAGGGAAATGTGGCCAAGAGATTTTAGGCAGTTAGTTATGTAATAGTCATATATGCATCATAGAGGAAGATACAAGAGAAGGTTGCATAAAGCTGACCTAAACTAAGGAGATAGATTTTTTTAAGTATATAACTAGGAGAAGAATCAGGACTTTCTCCAAGGATAAATTAAAATTTTGTTGCTAAAATGAATGAATTTACCAATAGAGAAGAGCAGACTAATAAACCATGAGGTGGTTCTTTGCAGAGAAATTACCTGCTGGATAAATCATTAGCTAACCTACTCAAAAATAAAAATGAAAACTCCAACACAATATATAAAAATGAGAATGTGTGAATGACCAAAGGCATAGGACATTAAAATAATTGTGAGATTAATTTGTTTGTATATTTAGAAGTGTATTTGGAAATCTGAGTAAAATAGGTTTTTTCCCCTTGTGAAAATGTTAAATATGCTCATTACCTTCATAAAGTTTCAAGGAACTATTACCTTCAAACATATACCAATCAATTTACAGAATAAGTCTGCCAAATTAATGTGGAAAGGAAGAGGAAAATCTCTGTTGTTGTTATTGCTTCATTTGTGAACTGCCTGGATTCAAAACCTGTCTTCAACTAGCTTTTTACTGGAGTTATTAGATTGGTGCAAAAGTAATTGAGGTTTCTGCCATTAAAAGTAATGGCAATACTTGGCCAGTCATGGTGGCTCAATCCTCTAATCCCAGGACTTTGGGAGGCTGAGGCCAGCAGATCACCGGAGGTCAGGAGTTTGAGACCAGCCTGGCCAACATGGTGAAACCCTGTCTCTACTAAAAATACAAAAATTAGCTGTGATTGGTGGTGCACACCTGTAATCCCAGCTACTTGGGAGGCTGCTGCAGGAAAATTGCTTGAACCCAGGAGGTGGAGGTTGCAGTGAGTAGAGATCATGCCACTGCACTCCAGCCTGGGAGACACAGCAACACTCCATCTCAAAAAACAAAACAAAACAAAACAAAAAAGGTAATGGCAATATTTAATCTCCCTCTGCTTCTATCTTACAATTTGCAAAATGAGAATGGTAATAGTATTTTCTTCATAGGTCTATCATGAGGATTAAAGCAGTTAATATTGATGAAGCTTTTAGAACAGTGCCAGATACATAATGCTATATATGTTTTTATTAAATAATAAAATATTTAACAAGCACATATATTTTAAAACCACAGATAAATCTAACTTATAAATATTAATGGAAACATTACAAATAAACAGTCACAGAACTATTTCATCAATGCAATGAACAAATAATACACAGTAAAAAAACAGGTCATATGCCAAGAATGTCATAATAGTCTAGTAATATTAAATTTAAATATTAAATCATATAGTAATTTCCATGGATATTGAAAAAGCAGTTAATAAAAATATGATATTTATTCCAACTGAAAACGTCAAATAAAATATGAAGACTATACACTGCTTTGGATATGTATTTATGAATCTTGCACTACTTTTAATTGCCAAACAATAAAAGTAAAGTTGGAAACAAAAGAAAGATATTGTTCTGGAGATACCAGTTGATGGAATCAGAATTGAAAAAAAATAATAAGTATACAATTTTAAAATGGATATACATAATTATTTTTTAGAAATGATGCAACTGTATAACCCAAAAAAAAGAACTTAAAAAATACTACCAAAAAAATAAAAACAGTCATAAACATAGGACAGAAGACGACATGTACTTGTCTTAACTTTTGCATAAGCCTTTGATTGAAGGACCTGACTTGGGTGGGGTGCTTAGGCAACTGTAGCAAAGTGACCTCAATGATGTTTATCTCTGTTTCTAAGGATACTTTCTCCTGGGGAAGTTTTCTAAAACTAGTGACCAGAGCAAACATGAAATAAAAAATGAGAGGGCAGGAAATAGAGACTTTCCTTCCAACTTTGAAAACCATTTATTTGACCATAGGTAAGTTAGAAATTGAACCTCTCCAGGATTCTCTATCCTCACATGAAGGTAAGAGGATTAAGGAATGATGCTATCAGTCCTCACATTCCATTTTATACAGTCATAGGACAGACAAGATTAGTATTTTTAAAATTCTATAACTCTGAAAACCATTTGGATCTATAATAGAAGTTCATTGTAGGAATAATCAGTGTCTTTAATGTGTAGGGAGCATATGAAGATGAAACAAGTTTACCAAAATGTTGATAACTGTTGAATCTGGGTTATGGGTAAATGGAAGCTCGTTATATTCTTCTCATCATTTTTGTTTATTTTTGAAATGTTTCATTATAAAAAGTAATTTAAAACCAATATTATTTCAAAAAAGTGGTATTTCTCTATAATAACCACTTACATAGAGGAAGGAGATTTAAGCAATTTGAAAAGGAATAAGTAAAAATGTAAAATACAGTATTTAATATAACTTATTTTCTAAGAAATAGCACTACAGGCAACAAATACTTTCAAAGATTTTCTCAAAAAGCCTCTAGAGAAATAGACATTTTGCACAGAACTCCCTTTTGAACTAAGACAAAACTGTGATCTATGTAAAATTTATGCCTTTTAGGAATCAAATCATTCTATATTTCAGTGTCCAGAGGAAATAGAAATAATATATTCCTTATTTTCTTTATGTTAACCATAGTTTTAAGAACAATGAGAACAGAAAAGTTATATTGTTTCAATCACAAGCAAGATAAATTTTAATTTTATAAATTTCATGCTTGGGAATATAGTTTTTTTCTACCATGAGTTATTTTCCAATATTAATCTGCATCTGGAATCACAAGACAACCTTTAGCTAGACAGCTTGAATTTCCATATTAAACGAAGAAATAAAAGAAATACAGCTGGGTGCAGTGGCTCAGGCCTGTAATCCCAGCACTTTGGGAGGCTGAGGCAGGCAGATCATCTGAGGTCAGGAGTTCAAGACCAGACTGGCCAACATGGTAAAAGACGGTCTCTACTAAAAATATAAAAATTAGCTGGGCATGGTGGCATGCGCCTGTAATCCCAGCTACTCAGGAGGCTGCAGCAGGAGAATCACTTGAACCTGGGAGGCGGAGGCTGCAGTGAGCTGAGATAGCACCATGGCACTCCAGCCTGGCTGACAGAGCAAGGCTCTATCTTAAAAAATAGACAGACAGACAGACAGACAGACAGACAGACAGACAGACAGACAGACAGATAGATGGATACATAGATAGATACATAGATAGATACATAGATAGATAGATAGATAGATAGATAGATAGATAGATAGATAGATAGAGATTAGATATAGATGTGGAAAACGGTAGTTTTTTTTTTTATTCTTACGTTTTTAAGTGAACAAATGGTATCAAAAGCATTCCTCAATCTTACATTCAAGAGAAATAAAACAGCGAAAATTTGTTCAGTACCTCCTCTATTTCCTAAAATGTGTAAGCATCTATGGAAACTAAAATGATAAAAAATGACTTCTGTCTCCACCTGGAAGGAATAACACAATTGTAAGTGAAACAATTTGAGAGCAAATCTGTGCTAGAAAAAAAATGGCACTTGTGCTAACTGCAATGTGAATTCAGAGAAGAGAGGTAATGAATGAGGTCAGGGAGAGAATGGTAAATATGGTCTTATGGAGGATATGACTTGAGCTAGTCCTGGAAGAACAGGAAGATTTCTGTGAGTAAAAGGGAAAGGAAGTCGGGGTGTGGTTTTAAGACAAAAGGCAAGGAGTCTGATTTTTGCAGTGCCCTGTGGAAATGTCTTATCTGAATTGCAGAATCTTTTAACGTAAAATGGGATTTTATAACAAGAATCAATTCATGCTATAATTTAGCCTTTATACTTTAGATTATGGGCAACACTGGAAATTAGACACTGGCATCAACTTGATGCAACAGCTACAGGAAATTTTTGTTCAGTTTTTAAGCAGAAAAGCAATATTTAAAAAGAGAATTATTAGAAGATAATTTTGTTACTCTGTGCCAAGTGGATTTTAAAATGAAAAGCTTAGGGTCAGAGAGACCTATGAGGAATTTGTTTTAGCATTCTAAGTTTTAAGGTTGTAGTGGTTTTAAAATACGCTCCCAAATTCTTTAATACTCCTTCCTTCATGAAGTAGAGCTTAATTTCCCTCTCTGTAACTCATTTGCCCTGGAGATAGCTGTCATGTCATGAGGAGCACTTTGGAGGAGCTTACATAGGAAGGAGTTGAGGCCGGCCAACAGGCAGCTAGAAAGTTAAGCCTCTACGCAACAGTCATGTGAGTGAGCACTCTTGAAGAATTTTCTTCCCTCCCCAGTTAAGCTTTCAGATGACTACACCCTCTGCCAGTATCCTGACTGCAACTTCATAAATGATTCTGAAACAGAACCAACTAACTGAGCCACTCCAGGGTTCCTGACACTGGAAATTGTGTGAGACAAACGTTTGTTCTCTTAGGCTACTCTGTTTTAGGGTAATTTCTTACACAATAATAGAAACCAAAAAGAGAATGAAGAGCTAAAAAAGCTAACAATAAATTGATTGGTTTTTGATGTTATCTGGTTTGGTTTCTAATTTCTTTATTATTTTTTACTTTTAAAGGAAAATGTAAATATATGCACTATATGACAGTTTGACTATTTTGAGCTAAGAAAAAAAAAGAAACTCAAATTATTGCTGTAGCATTGGTAAGGCTAGAAGGCTGTCTTCATAGACAGCATTGAATAAACATATATAATCTTGCTTGTGAATTTCCTAGTTGACATACCCCACAACATACAGTTTATTTACATCAGTTTCCTTTTATATTGGTTGTTTCTTGATGATATACTGTATGTCTTCATCCTAGTAATCAATCTCAAACACTAATAATGGGTAATTTTGCCCCTAGAATTAGCACCATGTAGTGTGTGTGATACGCATTCTTCTCTTACTGAAAAAAAAAAGGCTTTATGACTTTTTGTATGTGTGTATTAAGTGACTCACAAGAATTGGTAAATGTAGTAAATGGACAATTCTATGGGAAGAACTAGTCTTTTGGCCTAATAAGTACAATAACATTAAGATTCTACTTTGAGAAAATGGAAGAATTGTGGTATTACTAACATAAATAAAATAGTTAATATTACAACCAATTTTAAATTGAAGAAAAAATTGGATTAGATTCAGGTTCCCCAAACAGCGTTCCTTAATATAGTAGTTCAAAAATATATTAATAGTCATTGCTCATAAATAGATTTCTTGGTCAAAATATGTAAGTAGCAGAACTCAGGCAAACACATTTTGATATGTGATAGACTTGATAATCCCTGTATCAATTTTCATTATTTCAAACCTATAATAAATTTAGTTTCTGTCATGTAGATGGAAATAATATATGAAGAACACAAATTAAACCATGAATCTCCAACAACAGTTTAAATGATATAATGATGCTCTAAAAAGTTATAATTATCTTTACCACCCAACTTAAAATGTGTAAAAAACATAAGACACTTGCTTTGTGAAATGGATTCGTACATCTCTCCCTATATTCCCTTAATAAAATTAAATCCCAAAGTGAAAATAGCTGAAAGCCATTATTTTATTATTAATTCAATAATGTTCAAACAGCTTCCCTTTTGCCTAGGTAAATACAAATTATTTGGATTGTGAGTAATTTTTAAGTAGGAAAAAATCAGAGGGTATAGAGTCAATAGGCAAATGTGAACCTTACTATAATCGTCATTTCCCAGTATTCCCAAGATACAGCCAAAAAATATAATTTTACATTGTCCATGGTAAATAATTCTATTACTGAGTAAGGCAGTACCTATCATTGTATACAATGAGCTAAAAGAAAGATGAGACATTTGCAATTATAGAAAATGTTTCAAAAAAGGTCTTGGGATGAGAAGTATTGTCCAACATGCATTGGTGTTGCATATAATGGAAAAATATATCTATAAATTTTTCTACCCCTAAATGTCCAACTATATGCATTTTATTCAAAATTGTATTTAAAAAATTCTGGAAGATTTGAAGGGAGGATTGAAGACATATTTTCTATCACTGGTGTAGATCACGTAAGAGTAAAAAAATGGGTTTCATTTAAAACTTTGCTCTGTTCCCATTATATTCTTGTATGTTTAGGTCATGATAGAAATAGGCATTTGAAAATTCACAGTATGGTATTTCTCTTCTTTTGTGAATTGAAATTTATCTTATAAATACCTGTAATTTGTATTTTTTTTTCAAAAATTATGGTAACAGAGATCTCTTAAAAGTTAGTTGCAAAGCAATGATTTGACATATACCATGCCAGCACACAACTTTTTACAACTGGTTGTCAAGCTTTCTTTTATCATCATATAACAATAGGTAGTGTTTTCAGATAAAATATGGGACATCCAGAAAAAGTTTAGTATTGAATCAACAACAAATCCTTTTTTGGGTATAAGTATGTCCCAAATAATATATAGAACATACTCCTCCTACGCTACAAAAAATTGTTGATCCATTGACCATAAATATAAGGGTTTATTTCTGGAAGCCGATTCTATTCCATTGATCCATATGTGTAGCCTATGCCAGAAGCATACTATCTTCTTTGCTGCAGCTTTGTAGTAAATTTCAAAATTGAGAACTCTGTCCTCCAACTTTGTTCTTTCTTTTCAAGATTGTTTTGGCTAGTCTATGTCGCTTTTATTTCCATACAAATTTTAGGATTCACTTGTCAATTTCTTCAAAAAGTCCTCTGAGAACTTGGTAGGAATTAAGTTCATATAAGAATAGGGATTAATTTGTATTAAAAAATTTGAGAAATATTGCCATTTTAGCAATATTAAGTCTTCTAATCCCTTAAAATGGTAGGCAGAGAATAACACTTCAAAATTACTAGTATTCTAATTCCTGGAACCTGTGACTATGTTACCTTTCAGGACAATAGAAACTCTGCAGATATGATTAAATTAAGAATATTGAAATGGGCATATTATTCTGGACTATGCAGGTAGACCCATTATAATCACAAGGGTATTTATAAAGGAAAGAAGGCAAGAGACTCAAAGAAGAGATGAAAAAGATGCAGGAAAAAGCAAAAACAAAAAAGCCTCCAAACGGAATACAAATTTGCAGACCTATTTTAGACATCTAACTTCCAGAACAGTAAAATACTAAATTTGTGTTGTTTTAAGCCACTAAGTTTATGGTAATTCGTTATTGCAGTACTAGGAATCTAATTACAACATTGTATACCTTCTTACTTATTTAGAACTTCCTTTTATTTTGAAATTTGTAGTTTTCAATGTGACAAGGTTTGAACTTCCTTTTATAAATTTATTCCTAGGTTTTTTTTGAAGTTTTAAAATAAAATTTTCTGTTTTATTTTCATTGCTTCTATAGTATAAATACAATTGATATTTATATATTGGTCTTGTATCTTGCAACCTTGCTGAACTTATTAATTAGTTATAATTTTTTGTTGATTCCTTAAGATTTTCAGTATACAATACCATGCTGTCTGTGAATAGGATAATTTTATTTCTTCCATTCCAATCTGAAAAGGAAGTCTTTTTCTTTCAGCACTTGTTTCATGGCCTAACATAAATATTCTGTTATTATGATCTAACATTCTCCTCCATCCTGAAGAATATTCCATGTGTAATTGAGAAGAATGTATATTCTGCTCTGGTTGCATAGAGTGTTTTATAGACATCTGTCTGGTCTGGTTGATTAGTCTTCTACTAAGTTATTGATATTTTTGCCTAGTTGTCTTTACCTATTCTTAAAAGGAGAATATTGAAGTCTCCAGCTACAATTCTGTCAGCTTCATATATTTTGCTGCTCTGTTGTTAGGTACATATATGTTTATAATTACTGTATGCCTGATCGATTGTTTATCATTACAAAATGTCCTTCTTTGTCACTAGTAACAATTTTGTCTTAAAGCCTATTTTGTTTGATAATATAGCCATACTAGCTGTCCTCTGGGCACTGTTTGAATGGTATATTATTTTCTTTCTTTTTAATTTAAACCTATTATTTGTTTTCAATCTAAGGTTTGTCACTTATAGATAGCAAGTAGTTGGATTACTTTTTAATAGTCTGCAAATCCCTGACATTTGACTGAAGGACTTTTACATTTGATATATTTACTGATAAAGTATAATTTTTGTTTATCATTTTGCTGTTCGTTTCCTCTATGTTTTATGTCTTTTTTCTGTAATCATCTATTAGTTTTGTATTTAAATATTTTCTATTATACCATTTTAAAGTATAGCTATTTCTTTTACTTTATTTTTAGTTATTCTCTTAATAGTTGCACTTGGGTTACAATAGCTTAATTTTTAAAAAATCTATTTGAAATAAATACTAACTTAATTTCAAAATGTACAAAACTTTGCTTTAACAAAAGTTTTTCTTTCCTCCCCTTTTAAGTGTTATTATCATACAAATTATATCTTTAGGTAGTGTAAGATAATCAACACAGTTTTATAATTATTGCTTTATGTACTTTTCCTTTAAAAATAGGATAACAAAAGAGTTACAAACAAAAATGGATTTATACTATCTTTTATATTTCCCTATGTAGTTACCCTCCTGGAGCTCTTTACTTTGTCATATAAGTTTGTGTTACTATCGAGTGTCCTTTCATTTCAGCCTGAAGGACTCACTTTAGTATTTCTTGTAAGGCAGGTTTAGTAGCAAAAAATTCTCTGTTTTAGGGATGGGAGGTAGTTTGTTTCCTGAAGCTACTTTTGCCGCATATAAAATTATTAGGTGATAATCCTTTTCTTCCAGTACCTTGAATTTCTGGCTGTTTAGCTCACTGAAGAAAGCTTGTATGTAATGATTTGCTTTTCCCCCACTGCTTTCAAGATTCTTTGTCCTATTCTTTCAGTAGTTTGCCTATGATGTACCTAGGTGTGGATCTCTTTAATATAATCCTACTTTGAGGTTATTGAGCTTCTCGAATATGCAAATAAATTATTAAAATAAAATTTGGAAATTTTTCAGCCATGATTTCTTCCAGTATTCTTTCTACTTCCTCTCTTTCTCTTCTGCTTCTGAGGTTTCCATCATGCTTATATTGCATAGTTGGTAGTATCCAGAGGTCCCACCTATATAAAATAAGTGAGCCATCATTTATTTTTATTTCTGTTTCTCAGATTAAATAATCTCTATTACTCTATATTCATATTTGTTTATTCTTTTTTCTTTCCGTTAAATCTACTGTTGTGCCCTCTAGTCAATTTTTTGTCTAAGTAATTTACTTTAAAACTCCAGAATTTCTATTTGATTATTTTTAAATAATTTAAATTTGCTATTGTTCAAATTTATTTGGTGAGAATATTCTAACAGCTTCTTTGAGTCCTTTAGATATGTTGTTCTTTGGTTATTTAAGCATATTTAAAATAGTCAAGTAAAATCTAGTAAGTCAAATGTCTGGGCCTCCTCAGAAATAGTTTCTATTGACGGTAAGTTTTTCTTTATGTATGGTTAATACTTTCCTGGTTTCATTTTTTGGTTTTCTTTTTCACACCTTAAATTTTTTTGTTGTAACCTGGACATCTCAAACAATGTAATTAGAGCTCCTTTCCTGGGGTTTGTTGTTATTATTTGCTATTGTTGTCATTACTGGTGAGGATTTCTTCTTTAGGAATTTTTCTGGCTTACTTCTGCATAGTTTGTATTCATTTCCATGTACGTTCAGTAAATTATTTCTATTATGTTAGCTCTGTTGTCTGCTAATGATTAGACACAGATTTTTTAAAGTGATGTGCATCATTAAGTCTCCCAGCCTTGCTGAGGGTCTTCCTGTGTATGTGAATTCTCTAGCAAGCAGTTTACAACTTTAAAACAGTCACTTACTGCTGGCACAGAGCCTCAAGACCAGCCCCGACGAGAGATTAGAGCCTTCACAGGTCTTTCCAGGGCATGCACACAGCCCTGCACATAGACATGACTAGATTCTCAGAGAGATATTGAAGACTTCCAAAGCCCATATGGACATTATATTCCTTCATTTTTCTTTTGACATTTTTGTCAGCCTCATGTTAGTCTCAAAAGGTAATGGGACTGTGGGCAGCTCTTAAACAATGACCACTGATTTTTTGACAATGTTTTTGGTATAGGGCTTTTTTCATAGAACAAGTTCTGAATCAAATTAAATAAAGACAAGCCTTGAGAATGGAGCTTTTTAACCAACTGTCAGATGGGTAAATATGGACAATTCTATGAGAATGGGAATTCTGAGGCGGTTCAAACCTGCTCTGCACCCTCCAGCAACTACCATTATGCTGGTTTTCACAGCTATTATAGTTGTGAACAGATTGGAAGTCTTTACTATACCACTTCAAAAGTGATTACTCAATCACTTTTTAAATATTAAGTTAAAAATTTCTTTAAAAATTAGATGCACCTGGGCCAGGTGTGGTGGCTCATGCCTGTAATACCAGCACTTTGGGAGGCCGAGGCGGGCAGATCATGAGGTCAAGAGATTGAGACCATCCTAGCCAACATGGTGAAACCCCATCTCTGCTAAAAATACAAAAATTAGCTCGGTGTACTGGTGTGACAGAGTGAGACTCTGTCACAAAAGAAAAAAAAAAAAAAAAAGAGAGATACATCTGTTTGCTCTCTTCAAGAGACCCATCTCATACATAAACACATCCATATGCTCAAAGTAAAGGGTTGGAGAAAGATCTACCATGCAAACAAAATGCAAAAAAGAGTAGGAGTAACTATTATTATATCAAATGAAAAAGACTTTAAGCCAGCAGTGGTTAAAAAACGAACAAAGAAGAGCATTACATAATGATGAAAGTTTTAATTCAACAAGAAGACTTAACTGTGCTAAACATACATGCACACAACATTGGAGCACCAAAATTCATAAAACAAGTACTTCTAGACCTACAAAAAGACTCAGACAGCCAATAATAATAGTGGGGAACTTTAACACCCCACTGACAGCATTAGACAGATCATTGAGGTAGAAAACTAACAACAAAACTCTGGACTTAAATTTTACACTTGGTTCATTGGACCTAATAGAAATGTACAGAAAACTCTACCCATCAACCACATAACATACATTCTTCTCATCTGCACATGGAACAAACTCCAATATTGACCATATCGTCAGCCATAAAGCAAGTCTGAATAAATTCAAAAAAATCAAAATTATACCAACCATATTACAGACCACAGTAAAATAAAAACAGAAATCAATACCAAAAAGACCTCTGAAAACCACAAATTACATAGAAACTAAACAACTTGCTCCTGAATGACTTTTAGGTAAAATATAACATTAAGAAAGAAATTTTTTAAAAATTGCAATTAATTGAAACAGAGACACAACATACCAGAATCTCTTGGATGCCACAAAAGCAATGTTAAAAGGAAAGCTTATAGCACTAAACAGCTACCTCAAAAAGAAAGACCTCAAAATAATGATCTAACAGCACATTTAGAAAAACTAGAAAAACAAGAACAACCTAACCCAAAAGCTATAAGAAGAAAATAAATAACTAAAATTGGGGCAGAATTGAACAAAATTGATACTCAAAAATCCATACAAAGATTTAATAAAAACAAAAGTTGGATTTTTGAAAGGATAAACAAGATCAATAGACTGCTAGCTATATTCAAAAGGAAAAAAGGGAGAATATCCAAATAAGGACAATCAGAAACAACAATGGTGATATGACAACTTATCCTACATAAATATAAAAGATTATCAGAAAGTATTATGAACACCTTTATGCACACAAACTAGAAAATCTAGAGGAAACAGATACTTTCCTGGAAACACACAATCTCTCAAGATTGAATGAGGAGAAATAAACCATGATCAGACCAATATCAAGTTCTGAAATTGAATCAGTAGTAAAAACTCTACTAATCAAGTAAAGTTCTGTACCACATGGATTCACAGCCAAATTCTCCCAGAGGTACAGAAAGTACTGGTACCAATTTTACTGAAACTATTCCAAAAATTGAGGAGTGACTCTTCCCTAACCCATTCTATGAAGCCAGCATCACCCTGATACCAAAACTTGGCAAAACCACAATGAAAGAAGAAAAGTACAGACCAATATTTCTGATTAACATAGATGTAAATATCCTCAACAAAATACTAGCAAACTGAATCTAATGGCACATCAAAAAGGTTATTTATTGTGGTCAAGTAGGCTTCCTTCCTGAGATACAAGGTTGTTCAACATGTAAATCAATAAATGTAATTCACCACATAAGCAGAATGTTTTTGAAATATGATCATTTCAATAATTGCAGAACATACTTTCAATAAAATCCAACATCCCTTCATGATAAAAACGCTCAAGAAATTAGACATGGAAGAAACATATCTCAAAATAATAAGCCATCTGTGACAAACCCACAACGAACCTCATACTGAATGGGCAAAAACTGGAAGGATTACCCTTGCAGAAAGAAAATAAATCTCAGATCCCCAAACTCACTAAGCCAAAGGGAAAAGTCAAGCTAGGAACTGGGTCACACAAATCTGCTTCCCATTTGGTTCCTAAATAAGATAGCTCCAAAGACAAAAAGCTAAATACCTTCCTCATGATTTGCCCCTAAGGAAACTCCTTGTGGGACCCAAGATCTTTAACCTAAAATAATTCTGCTGAATTTCACTCTGGCAATGTAAATTGAAGTTTATCTTCACAGGTGCAGAACAAAGGACAGAACTCCATCATCCCTCTGCTCACCTGAGACAAATGCATATCTGATTGCTTCCTCTGCCTTATTGTTCATGTTATCTAATGTAAATATGCAGATTCACTGAGACACACAAAGGCGTAAGTGACTATTTTTTCTACCATCCTTCTCACACAAAAATTATATATTCAGTGAAAGACTGATCAAAGACCCAAAATGATAAAACTTTTGTCTCTTATCTACTGATACATTTTTAAAAAAACATTTCTTCCTCTTTTGCCAATATCTGCCCCTTTCCCTTTAAATACTGAAGCCCTCAAAATCATCTTTTGAGAAAGGCATAGACCTGCCATCCAAGCACATGATCTTAACTTTGGCAAATAAACCTCTTAAAATAATTGAGACTAGCCTTGCATATTTTCATCAATTTAAATGCTTGAGAGCTAGAACAAGACAAGGATGCCCACTCTCACCACTCCTATTCAACATATAATAGTACTGGAAGTCCTAGCCAGAGCAATTAGGCAAGATAAATAAATAAAAGCCATTCAAATAGGAAAAGAAGAAGGCAAGCTGTCTATTCATTGACAGTATGATTCTATACCTTGAAAATCCGAAAGAGTCTGTCAAGAGGCTCTTAGAACTGATAAACAACTTCAGTAAAGTTTTAGGCTACAAAATCAATGTAAAAAATTAGTAGCATTTCTATACACCAATAGCACTCAAGCTGAGAGCCAAATAAAAACATCAAATTTCTTTTTCAATAGCCAAACAAAAAACAATACCTAGGAATACATCTAACCAAGGAGGTTAAAAATCTTTACAAGGAAAACTGCAAAACATTGCTAAAAGAAATCATAGCTGACATAAACAAACAGAAAACATTTCATGCTCAATAATTGGAAGAATCAGTATCATTAAATAGTCATACAACCCAAAGCAATCTACAGGTTCAATGCTATTTCTATCAAGCTCCCTATGTCGTTTTTCACATAACTTGAAAAAACTATTTTAAAATTTATATGGAACCAATAAAGGGCCCAAATAGCCAAAGGAATTCCAAATAAAAAGAACAAAGCTAAAAGCATCATATTACCCTACTTCAGACTACACAATAAGCCCACAGTAACCAAAAAAACATGGTAATGGTACAAAAACAGACACATAGACCAATGAAACAGAATAGAGAACTCAGAATTAAAGCCACAAACCTACAGCCATCTAATCTTCAACAAAGTTTACAAAAACAAGCAATGGAGAAAGGACTCCCTATTCAATAAATGTTGCTTGATAGTTGGATAGCCATACACAGAAGAATAAAACTAGACCCCTACCTTTCACCACATACAAAAGTTAACTGAAGATAAGCTAAAAATATAAATGCAAGACCTTAAACTATAAGAATCCCAGAAAAAAACTTAGGCAACACCATTCTACATATCAGCCTTGGCAAAGAATTTATGACTAAGTCCTCAAAAGCAATTGCAACAAAAACAAACATTGACAAGTGGAACCTAATTAAACTAATGAGTTTCTGCACAGCAAAATAAACTTGATATGGTTTGGCTCTGTGTCCACACCCAGATCACATCTGGAACCGTAATCCCTACATGTTGAGGGAGGGACCCGGTGGGAGGTGATTGGATCATGGGGGTGGTTTTTCTCAGGAGATCTGATGATTTTATGAATAGTAGTTTCTGCTGCTCTCTCTCCCTTTCCTGCTGCCTTATGAAGAAAGTACTTGCTTCTCCTTCGACTTCCACCATGATTGTAAGTTTCCTGAGGCCTCCCCAGCCATGCAGAACTAGGAGTCAGTTAAACCTCTTTTACCTAGTCTCAGGTATTCTGTATAGCACTGTGAAAATGGACTAATACAAAACACAACAGTGTAAACAGAAAACCTATACAGAATCAGAAAAAAATATTTGCAAACTATACATCTGACAATGGTCTAATACTCAAAATCTATAAGGAAATTAAACAATTTAATAAGCAAGAAATAAATAACTTCATTAAAAATGGACAAAAGACATGAACATACACTTCTCAAAAAATGACATACAAGCAGACAACAAACAAATGAAAAAATGCTCCACAATGTTAATCATCAGAGAAATGCAAACCAAATCCACAATGAGATACTGTGTCACACCAGTCAAAATGGCTATTATTAAAAAGTCAAAAACCAACAGGTTGTGGTGAGGCTGCAGAGAAAAGGGAATGCTTATAAACTGTTGGTGCGAATGTAAATTAGTTCAGTTACTGTGGAAAACAGTTTAGAGATTTCTCAAAGATCTAAAAACAGAGCTACCATTTGACCCAGCAATCCCATTACTGAATGTATACTCCAAGAAAAATAAATTGTTCTACCAAAAAGATACATGCACGCATATGTTCATCACAGCACTATTCACAATAGCAAAGACATGAAATCACTGTAGGTGCCCATCAATGGTGGATTGGATAAAAAAAATCATGGTATGTATAAAACATAGAAGACTACACAGCCATAAAAAAGAATAAAATTATATTCTTTGTACAATACGAGTGCAGACAGAGGCCATTATCCTAAAGGAATTAATGCAGGAACAGAAAATCAAATACCACATGTTCCCAGTTATAAGTGGGAGCTAAACAATCGGTACTCATGGACATAAAGATGGTAATATTAGAAACTGGGGACTAATAGAGGAGAAGGGGAAAGAGGCAGACAAGTGTTGGAAAACTACTGTGTACTATGTTCAGTACTGGTGTGATGGGATCAATCATACCCCAAACCTCAGCGTCATGCAATATACCCATGTAAAAAACCTACACAGGTACCCCAGAATCTAAAATAAAAGCTAAAATTATTTTTTAAAGGGGGAAAAAAATCCCTGAAACTGACAAGTATTATGGTTCACTTTTAAATTATAAATAAGTAGAAATAAGGGCTTAAATATTTATGCAAAATATCCCAGAATTTTGATTATAGATTTTTTATTTACTTATTTTTTAATTGACAGATAAAATTATATGTATTAATTGTGTTTTGAAGTACACATGCAGTATAGAATTACTAAATATAGCTAATTAGTATATGCACTTCCTCACATAATCATTTTTGTCATGAGAACATTTAACATCCACTCTCAGGATTTTTCAAAAATACAGTATATTGTTATTACCTATCACCACTATTTTATACAATACATCTCTCGAACAGATATTTATTTTTATTTGTGGGTATTCATAGATTTTCTCAGGATTTAGCACAACGAAATCTCAGTGGAAATGGGCTCTGCTTCAATAAGATTGAAGAAACCACAAAAATATTTTTGGAGAGAATCCTTGTGTACTATTTTCAATTCTTATTATACTTTGATAACAATAAGTTGTACTGATGTGAAAACACGTGAACAATTAGAAAGTAACGACAATAATTTTATAAAGTACAATAACTAGCGGAATTTTTCTGTAAGAGAAGCACTGTCATTTTTTTCTAAGTTTCCCATGCATGGTTTCCAACACCTTTTACTCTGTGAAAACTGAGAATATATTGTAGCATGCAATAGTTTTAGAGTTTATTTTACTCTTGGTAACATGGTCAGTGCTACTGTAACATGAAGTAGTACATTTTTAAATAGGTTAATCATTAAAAAGTACATAAATACTACAATAAATATGTCACTTTACCATGAAAGTGACCTGAATTTTACTTGTAGGAATGAGCATAAGACAGTTTTTAGCTAGTGAGTTATTATGAAATGGTGGAAGCAGCGTTATCTGAAATAGGAGGGAAAATCGTAAGAACAGATGTAGATGAGTGTCTCACAGATAAGCGGTGAATAGAGGTAACTGATACATATTTGAGATGTGCATATATGTGTTTAGTTTACACCCACATAGCTTCATTCAACTGGGTGCATTTTTTTGCATACACCTTGTGTTTCTAGTGGAGAAAATTGCATATAGTCAAATGCAAAATTAATGTTATGCTTCAATTATCTCTTACCTATCACTTTGCAACAAATCTGAGTTATCATAGCAGAGCTGACTGTATCTTAAAAGTTGTACGTTTAACAAAAAAAAAAAAAAAGGTCTGACTGCATACCCATCTAAGATACATGCTTCAGGAAGGAGACTGAGCAAATAAATCCATCTTTTACAGTTGGCGTTCCAGAGGCTGTTTGGGAAGTCATTTGAACTGACACAGCTGAAGTGGCAGGGAAACTGATGGATCTGTATGGTAAACAGAAAATAGGCCGCATGACAGAGCAGCTCCAGCATTCATAAGCCTCAGAGAAAAAGACACTTACGCAGTCAGCTTTACAATACATCTGTTCTTGTACCATGCTAAACCCTGGATCACAAATACAATGCAGTTCTCTTAAACAGCCTTTATTCATTGTGTTAGGGGAAAACATATGGCTATTTCTTAAGCTTTCTTGGAGAATAATTTAAGAAAGCTGATTTTATTTTATATCACCATTATAAATGACATACTAGTTAATATGCTTCTCTGTATATAAGGAACATAACAATAGAACCAAAACTTTAAGGATATTTAACTTCAGAATGGCCAGGATCTCTTCATTTGTATAATTTTGTACTCTAAACATTTTATTTACAGAAGGAAATAGTACAAAGATTTATATAAGGTTCAAAGTCTTTCAATTCTTTCTGTTTCATAAATACTTATTTTTAAGGATTTGGCATAAAATCATTCAGTTTTTTGTTTCTGTCCTATATTTTACATGGTTTCATGTGTTAGTGATATTCTACTTCAGTATCTTTTCATCTTATTTACTGTATTTGAATACAGGTGTGAAATATTTCTTACTTTCAATTATACCTATAGTCTTTTGACTAAAATAATTTTCAAACCTTATTTAAGCCTAAGTGTTTTAATATTTTATCCTTTTAAGTGACATTTAAAGCAGAGCTATAGTTTTGATTATTATATGGGTGATCTATATTTGATTACTATGTAGCATAGTAATCAAAAGTAGAAAACATTGTTTTTATATTTAATTATAATAAATTAGTTATAATTATATTTGTTTTATTATAATTATATATATTTAATTTGGAATAGTTAAACTACTAATATTTTTCAATGTTTTTATATTGACATCTGTACAATTAAAGATATAACAGAAAAATCAGAGATCTATCATTCTCAAATTATCTAAGCAGACAGGAAGAATGTTAAAAAAAAAAACTCCGCAATTTTATGTTTAGATCTTAGTGTTTTCTAACCTAAGAATTATGTTATTTTCTCCCATAGTTCCTTGATATTTGGAGTGAAAGAAGTAATTGCATGGTACTTGGTGTGAGAGGCTGCCAGATGTACCTTCCATTTAGTCTTTCTTTTCTTTACCAAACATCAAGCAAAGAGAATTATTCTCATTCTCTTCTCCAGTCATTACTGGGAGATTTTCAACGCACGTATTAGGTGTGTAGGTAACATTGCAGGTGCAGGCATTCTCTGGGTGTTTTGTTCCCCTCTATAGCCCATGATTATAGCTGGCTTGGACTTTTACTCCCTCATATTAGAGTAGGTTAAATTATACTATCAAATAGCCTAATAATAAACTCATGGCTGTAGCATAGTAACACTATAATTTTTTATGCGTCCTTAATGTAAATTGTATTTCCAACAGAAATTTTCTTCTTAAAAACAATATTTTACCTTGCCAGCCTCCTAAGTTTTATTTAATTTATATCTACTAAGTTTAGGATCTTATTTCACATTTTTACTTTTCAAATTATCTCCATATTCTACTTTGGTCATATTCAAATATTTGCCTAAAGAACTTCAAAGAACTTTTTTATTGATAATTTTAGAATTTTTAAATAATTTCAGAATTCAGAATTTTACATTAATTTTCTTGGCTTACGGTAAATCATTTTATTTTACTAACATTATTATTTTCAGTCAATTAATTCAAGGATTATCATAGTGCTATGCTCATCAGTTTAGGTTGAATGCAGAGATTTTGGTTTGAAAGCAGTCAATGTCTCTATTTCTGTGTTAAGACTTTTATTAATATAGGCCGGGCATGGTGGCTCACCCCTGTAATCCCAGCACTTTGGGAGGCTGAGGCAGGTGGATCACGAGGTCAGGAGATTGAGACCATCCTGGCTAACACAGTGAAACCCCGTCTCTACTGAAAATACAAAAAAATTAGCCTGGCGTGGTGGCACACACCTGCAGTCCCAGCTACTCGGGAGGCTGAGGCAGGAGAATGGCATGAACCCAGGAGGCAGAGCTTGAAGTGAGCCGAGATCACACCATTGCACTCCAGCCTGGGCGTCAAAGCGAGACTCTGTCTCAAAAAAAAAAAAAAAAAAAAAAGACTTGTACTAATATGACAAACCTAAGAGATATATGAAATCACATTCAATTAAATTAAAAACAATAGAATGCCATTATAATGCAGTTTGTCATAATTCATTTGATTAAATCATCCCATTAAAAATAGTTAACTATTAAACCTGGCATGACATGAAAAACAGAAAAAAGAAATCGATATAACATTCCAGTGCTGGCAATATTAAAGTGTTCAGTGATTCTTCATATGATATACAGCAAATTTTGGCAGCTCCTCACACCAATAGAGACTTTTATCTTAAACTTATTAATTTTATAACAAAATATTGAGTGTACTATTCATTAGAAAATGTGTGCCCACAAAAATTAGACTTTTTTCTGAAATAAAGCTTAGGTTTGATTTAATTTTATTCTAGTATTTGGACAAAAATTAAAAATATATTATTTCTATACATATTTCAAGCTATATTACTCATGTAGTTTATTTACTAAAATTCAGATTTTATTTGGGTTTTTCTGGAGCATTATTTTTACTATTTCATATTTCTTTATATTGAATGTGTCTGATATTTCTTTTGTTAAATAATCATGAAAACTTGGCACTCGCAATGTTACCCTTCTTCCCAAATCATGCTTGCATTCTCAAGTTCTAGGTTACTGCCTATTCTACCCAGTCACTCATTCATTTATTCATCCATATATTTAAACAATCATATATTTAATATCTCCTCTGTAACAGATATATATTGTAGATGTAAAAAATAAGCAAAATTGAGTCACTATTTCAAGATGCACTGGGGGTAATGAAGAGAGAAACAAAAAGATTAAAGAGCATATTATACATGTTAAAGTGGGTATAAAAACAAGAAACGCTGAATTTCCTGGAATAATTACACTGTGTTGAGCCCTGAAGTGTTTTATAATAAAGGTTAGCTTCGTGGAATGTGATGAGGGAGGTGGGGGAAATTATCATGAAATAGAATGAATACCATGAGCAAAGATTTTGAAGTGCACACCACATTTCAGGCAGGCTAATGAACATGGCTAGAGAAGGTAGAATACGAAGATGGGACAATGGAAGTGATGAGAAAGGAAGCTGAAAAGATGTAGAGATAAGACCAAGAGCCATGTGTGCCTGAAGTCCAGTGAGCCACTGACGCTTTGAAGCAGAGAAATGTCTCCAATAAACTTTTATTAAAGAAAGATTATGAAGGTTAAAGTAGTTTTAAACAAGCTAAAATGTGACACGAGAAAGTTGGGGACATAATTAAGCTGTTGCAATCATCTAGAACAAAAATAGTATGAAAAGCCAAACTAAGAGAGTGAAGTGGGAATAGGGATAACACATAGACGTCAGCAAAATCATGGAGGCGATTTGTGTTTGACTTGCTGTTCATTTGGAGGTAAAGAGCAGAGTAGACAGTCATGGTTGTTTTCCAAGATTCTGGCTTTAGCACTGAAAGTAAATGTGACATAAATGAAGAGGAGGAAGTTTAGAACATGAGTTTAGTTTATATATATATTTATCTGGTGTATATCTGATGTGTACTTGGAAATGTTCCTTACAGGATTGGACATGTTGATCTAAAACTAAGAAGAGAAAACTGAATTAATGATATAGACTGATATCGTTTGGCTCTGTATCCCACCTAAATCTCATCTTGAATTGTAATTTCCATGTGTCAAGGTAGGAACCTGATGGGAGGTGACTGTATTATGGGAGCAGTTTCCCCCATGCTGTTCTGATAGTGAGTGAGTCCCACAAGATCTGATGGTTTTAAAAGTGGAAGCTTTTCCTGGGGTCTCACTCCCTCCTGCCGCCTAATGAAGGTGCCTGCTTCCCCTTTGCCCCTCGCCTTGATTGGAGGTTTCCTGAGGCCTCCCCAGTCATGCGGAACTGTGAGTCAATTACACCTCATTTGTTTATAAACTACCCAGTCTCAGGTATTTCTTGATAGCAGTGTGAAAACAGGCTAATACATAGACTTAGGAGTAATTATCACATTAAACAATAAGTTCAGGCATGGAACAGGTGCCCAGGAGAGTCAAGGATCAAAGGTTGCCAGGTAGATTTTTTGAACCAGTAAGGCATTTATTAAATGTTTGAATATGAACATCATTTAATAGGGCATGCCCCTTCTGGTTTGTCTCAGTTCTCACCAGGCACTATCCTATTAAATCCTGCTCCACTCCTTTTGTTACTGGCCTTCTCCTAAAGGCACTTGATTCTAAGATCTATAAGGAGATATAAGGAGGAAAGGATTAAACTCTGGAAAACATCAGCGTGTAAGTCTCAGGCAGAGGAAGGTAATCATGTGAATCACACTAGTAAAGAGGAAGAAAAGGAAATTCAGAATACATCTGCTTGTATTGGATTCTTCAATTGATTTCCTTCCCAATCACTGTTTCTAATTCTCTTCAGAAAGATACATAAGATATATGGGGGTGGGGGGGTGAGATTTAGGTATAGATAAAGATTTAATTGACTAAGCAAAAATAGTACCACATTTTTTCACTGAAGACTCGATGTTGTTTGGGGAAGTCATAGGATAAAAATATTTGACATACCAAGAATTTAGAGTAGCTCTCCTTGATTTTGCTTGTTCCCTACTTCCTTCTTTTATTTTGAGAATCTCTACAGTTAAGATGCCTGACATATAGAAGTTCGCAGAAACATGTTTGGTCTTCTCTTCATATACCATAATTTATTTTGCACAAAATTGGTAATGCAAATGTGTGTAATGACACCCTGTATCCCATTAGCAGCAAATTTTTCTAAAAAGAAGAGGAAATAAAAATGAGAAAGGCCTGGAATCGAGAGATAATCATTTGTTTATTCTTGAACAGCAATGTTGACTGTTTTTATACTAGCCAGGAAAAACCTGTGAAGGAGAACTAGCTTTATAATAAATATATTTTGAAATGGCAGTAATTGAAACTATTTGTACTAGAGAAGAAACAGAAGGACATAATGAAGAGCCTAGAAATGAAGCTAGGTGTGTGTGTGTGTGTGTGTGTGTGTGTGTGTGTGTGTAGTAATATAGTTTTAGAAAATTATTAAATATCTCTCAGTAGAAAAAAAGGGTAATTAATAAATGCCATTGGGATTAACATGTATCTATTTAGAAAAGTTATATCCTCAACTAATATACAAAGGCTGACAAATATAATTACATAAACATTTTAAATTAGGATAATAAAAGAAACCATAAGCTAGTGAAAATGCATATAACACACTATAAGCATTAGTTCTTAAAAGAAACGGGATTAGTTTACCACAACAAATAAAGTTTATAGAAATAAATAAGAAAACGATATATATCTTCAAAAGACAATGGGCAAAAAAAAAAACAATAAGTTTGAAGAATGAAGAAAATTAAAATGAAGAAAAATATGGAAAGTATGCTTATCCAAAGAAATACAAATTGAAATAATGAATAATGTTTTTCTGCCCAATACATGGGTAACATGAAAAAGACTGATAGCCTTTATTAATCATTCATCTAGAGGAAATGGCCATTCTTACTCCATATTGGTGGAGAGTAAATTGGGGGCTTTTTTGAAGATTATTTTAAAGGATTTATTAAAATTGTAAATGTTCATACAGTTATATTAAATTTCCACCTCTACATGCTTATTCTGAACAAATACTTGCACATGTACATAGAAGCAAGAATTAAAATTGCAATTGCAACATTGTAATACTGAAAAAAATCTTTATCACAATCAATATAGTGAAAAGGTGCCAGAATACTTTGGGATATTTATTACCTAGCAATTAAAGTGTAGAGCTACATGCACTGACACTGGAATTCTTCAAGGCATATGAAGAAGAGAAGAGTGGTTCAAGTGATGGTTGGGGTGGGTTTTGGTTTTAGGTTGTTACTATTTACTTTGTATCACTGTTCCTCAGTTGGAGGTCCACAAACTAAATGAAATAACATGGGATCTAAGATAGGACTCGGCAATCTGCATTTTGGCAAACATATACTTTTTCTAACTTTGTTGAGACATATTTTACATATTATATATATCATCTATTTCAAGTATACAATTCAGTTATTTTACAGATTTTACCAACCTGTGCTATAATCATCATAAATCAGTTTTAAAGCATTTCCATTGCCCCAATAAAATCCCTCATGTATTTTTACTGTTAATCTCCATTCTCCACCCACAGGGCATCATTAATCTATTATCTATCTCTATTGATTTGCCTTTTCTGTACATTTCATACAAATGAAATCATACCACATGTCGTGAACTTTAACATTCATAGGAATCACCTGGGCATTTTGTTAAAATGCAGATTCAGTGGGTCCAGGATAAGACCTTAAAATCTGCAGTTCTAACATGCTCTAAGACGATACTGATGCCACTGGTCCATAGACCACCTTTCCAGGAGCTTCCCCAGGATGCTTCTGATTCTTATACATGGAAAATCTTGAGAACCATTGCTGCATGCCTTTCTTTACTTTTTCAGTTTTTAACAATGAACATATTAGCTAGGCATAGTGGCACATGCCTATAGTCCCAGCTACTCAGGGGCCTGAGGCAGAAGGATCGCTTGAGCCTGGAAGGTCAAACGCTGCAGTGAGCCGAGATGACACCACTGCACTCTAGCTTGGGTGACAGGCGAGCCTCTGTCTCAGAAAAGAAAAAAAAAAAAAGAACTTTTGTTCTTGTGTTCCTATCTTACATTTATCACTTGTTTATTAGAAGATAACAGAAAACGTACAGCATTATCAAATAACAATAACTGAAAACTTTAGTAAGTACGTGAAACCTTTGCAACTACCCTGAACTTAATTGTTGTATTTATACTGTCTTTTATTGTCTAGAAAGAGGTTAGTCATAAAACATGAGGATTATCTTGGTTCACAGGAAAATAAAGAGCCAGCATCATGAAGATAAGACTCTCAGGAAATAGAGAAGAAAAACATATAACAGGAAAATAAAGCCAAATAATTTCCTGGGGCCTATGGAAAAAAATATACAGGTGGCTTAGCATGGACTGAGGTAGGACCCAGCTGTTTCTTACTCTTGATAGAAAAAACAAGTGACAAAAGGTATTTTACTTATAGGCATCCTCTCTTGACAAGTTTATTTTTAGTGCCTGCGCTTAAAATGCTTCTCCAGCTGATATGGTTTGGCCGTGTCCCCACCCAAATTTCATCTTGAATTGTAGTTCCCATAATCCCCACACATCAAGGGAGGAAACAGGTAAAGATAATTGAATCATGCGGACAGCCTCCCCCATCCTGTTTTTGTGATGGTGAGTTAGTTCTCACGAGATCTGATGGTTTTATAAGGGGCTTTCCCCGTCACTGGGCACTCATTCTCTCTCCTGCCACCATGTGAAAAAGAATGGGTTTCCTTCCTCTCCTGCCATGATTGTAAGTTTCCTGAGGCCTCCCCAGCCATGCGAAACATGAGTCAATTAAACCTCTTTTCTTTATAAATTAATTACCCAATCTCAGGTATGTCTTTATTAGCAGTGTGAGAATGGACTAATACACTGACCTTATTAGTGGTTGGACTAGCTCATGCTTTCAGAAGATATTTTCCACGTGTCATATAACATAAAATCTTTAAACAGCACTTTTCTAGTATTATGTGTATCTATTTCGGGTTGGAAGAAAGCATTACTAGTTTATATTAGCATTTAGTTTCTCCTGACCAATATTCTGTTGTGAATATAGATAAAGAAAAAAAATATATAGATGTCCAGAACACTGTTATCTTTATTGTGAACTCTTGGTGAAGTCAATTCACATTATGTATCATTTTAATCCAAGCCAATCAATTTTATTAAACATGTACTTAGCACACTCCCTTATTCATCTCCTTCTATTTTTCAATACTACCAACTACTGAATTTCCATTTGTATGAAATAAAGCTGTGGTTTGGTTAATCCAAAACAATAGTTAAATGTGGGATATTTGGTTTTGAAATGCTTTATAAAATTCTGTCATTTTTGTTCACTTGGGCTTTGAAACCCCAGAAGTTTAGTCCAGAGAATGATCATGGGTCTATCAGAGGTTTCTGAGAAATATCAGAAAGAAAGGCATATTAGTATTTCTATTTTTTCATACTTTTTGCATCCCTGCAAGTATATATTTTCTCATAAAAATCATAGCCCATTTTATAGAACAATAAAACATTTTTGATCTGAAAACCTAAAATTTTACAATACAAGGAATTTTCTATTTCTCTGTCTAATTACCTTAACAGGTATATTTTAGGTTTTTTTCTAGGAAAAAGTTTATATCTTTGACCTAGTGTTATCACTTCTACAAATATATCTGAGAGTTTCAGAAGCAGAAAACACTTCACATTTGAAGATGTTCATCATATAATTACCTATTTTTTTAAAAAAAACTGAAAACAACCTAAGTGTCAGATAATATGGGAATGGTTACATAATTATGGCAAATTTGCTTGTTAAATAAGCCAAAACTTAAAAATAGTGCTTATGGAGAATTTCAACAAGCATGGTCTACAACAACTGTATTCACTAAATAATTCATGCATTAAACAAACGTCTGTAGCATATGCCAGGTACTGTATAATTTAAAAAATATTTATATAAAAATAGGTTTTAAAAAGCAGCATGCAAAATTATAAATAACATATCATTGAAACTGTTTTAGTACTACAACAACAAAAACTATAGATATAAAAAGATCAGAGGGAAAATTGGCAACTATGTCAAACTAATGTTTATGTTCCACTTTTCAGTATGTTTATAATTTATATACTGATTTTTACAAAGGCAATTTTAAAATGTAAGAAATAGGTAAAGTTTGAAAAACATGGCTTAGCAAAATTAGTGATAAAAGAATTAAAACACCTTTTGAAGCTTTTCTACATACTGAAAAAATACAATGTCTTCTTCAGTTCTCTATTCTCTTTATGCATAACAGTTTGTCTACTCTGGTTATTTTCCATTTCAATATCAATGATACCCAGGCCAGAGGGCTCCTAGTCTTTGAAATTGTACTGTATAACAGATGATTAAGAGGGTATTAGTAAATTGGATCTAAACCCAAGGCATTTCTCACAATGCATCTCAATGTTGTTTTTTGGATTCTTGCTTGTAATGTCAGTGGCAGCGCAAGTAGAAAGCTAGTTTAGCCTACAGAAAAACCTTTTCAACTGATATTAATTTTTATGTCCAAAATAAAAAAAAAAATAGAGGTTGACTTATTGGCTGGCTGCACTGATACTAAACCAAGTGAAATTCCCATCTAGTTAAATAAATCCCTCTCAGGAGGACTCTAAACATTTTATAGAATATATCTGAATTTTCTGGCCACAAGACAATGATAAGAGAAAGGATACTGATGTAATCAAAAAGGTATGTTTTCTGCTAAAGATTTTCCTTGTGTCTTAGAAGCTATGGAGACCATCTATGATGGTTAATTTCATTTGTCAACTTGGCTAGACCACAGCGCCCAGATATTTGGTCAAATACTATTCTACATGTTTCTGTGAGGCTATTTTTTTAGATGGAATTAACCTTAAATCAGTAGACTTTTAGTAAAGCAGATTGCTCTCCAAAATCTGTGTGGGCTTCATCCAATCAGTTGAAAGTCTAAGAAAAAGACTAACCTCCCTGGAGAGAGAGGGAATAGAGGGAATTCTTCCAGCAGATTGTCTGTGCACTTGAACTGCAACTCTTCCTTAGGTCTCTCTCCTGCTGGCCTTCCTGGCTTATTTTGGGCTTGTCAACCTCCATCATTTCATAAGCCAATTCCTTTAAAAATCTGTGTCTCTCTCTTTCTCTCCACACACTGTTTCTCTCTTTATTTCTCTGGAGTAACTTGACTAGCACATCATCTTATTTTGACAATTCAATACATTGGCTCTTCTCAATACCAAATGGACTGGCCTTCTCTAAGTATATCATAGTTATGTAGAGTTGCTTATGGAATGTAAAATAATTAGCCATATTATAACATTCATAGGAAATTCTCTTGTAACTCAGATAGTGAGCGAGGTCTGGACTCCTCATCCAGGTGTCTTACCCATCCACCCTTTTCAGATACTTGGCCAATAATAAGACATCTTGGATATTATGGCCTAGGAATGATTGTCATAGCAATAAAACCATAAGTAACCAAGGTTTTACAGAGAAATTTTTAAGAAAACAAGTCATTATAATATTTGGAAGTTTAATTACAGTCTAGGTATATTATAGAAGTGGATGCTTATTTTGTTAACAATATTTTCAAGGTGAAGGAATTATCCTTCAATCTACTTTTTTAAGACACATTGGTCAATCCAAATGGCTATGTTAAGACCAGCATAACATTGTTTTCCTATTGGTTTGTCTGATGGAAAATCTGGCCTCTTAAATAATTTTACATTTAATCAAAAAAACTTGCACCAATCCAAGAAAATGTTTTTACAAAAAGTCTTTATTTATACCTCTTATCTGCATCATAAAAGGTACTACTTTAAAATGGAAAAATCCAATCAAAATCACCATGTCTATCTGATATACCAAAATGAGATCAAGATTTAACTGCACATTTACTAATAATTTTATTAGTTGAGTCAAATTTGGACTTATCCGCTATTAATTTGAAACAAAATATTAGATTGATAATGCTTGCCAGTTCTGTTGTTTTCACTTGCAGCTGCAGTTCACCATGATGCAGTGTTAAGAACAAAGAACACAAACAGTAAACATGCCACATTAAAAGAGATTTGTGATCTACTCACTACATTGTAGAGCTTATTCTGAGACATGTGATGGAATTGTTTGCATGTATCTGTTCTGAACTTCATGTCTTAAGACTGTACACCAGACTCCCCCAAGCTACTAGGTAAAAATACAGAAAAAACTTTGGGGAAGAAATTTGTGCCCTGAGAAACAGAGATTAAGGTAGCCAACTGAAAAGGAGAAAAAAAATGATGTGAGTTTGAAAGTTAGGTGGATGGATATAGAAACCTTATGAAAGAGTGTGATATGCCTAAGCAGGGACGTATCAGCTGAAGTAAACAGTGTTCTAGAGTGTAACAGGGAAAGTCATTTCAAATGTCTTAAGATCTAACTTCTATGAAACTTGCTTCACAGAAGGAATTTGTGGGAAGTTGGAGGAATTACCCAAACTCAAGAGTGCTTGTAAATGAAGTCAAGAATCTGCTCTTAACTAAAGTAGTATACAAAGTGAAAACTGGAACATCATATAAACAATAGGAAGAAATGTCTATGGCTGACTATGTGAGAGTATGAACCACAAATGAGCCGTGATAAAAGGAACTGCTGGTACCTTGCACTTCCAACATTTACATTAAAAAGTTGCACTGGAGGCTGGGCACAGTGGCTCACACCTGTAATCCCAGCACTTTGGGAGGCTGAAGTGGGTGGATTACCTGAGGTCAAGAGATCAAGACCATCCTGGCCAACATGGTGAAACCCCGTCACTACTAAAAATACAAAAATTAGCTGGGCATGATGGCATGTGCCTATAGTCCCAGCTACTCGGGAGGCTGAGGCAGAAGAATTGCTTGAACCCAGGAGGTGGAGATTGCAGTGAGCCGAGATGGCGCCACTGCACTCCAGCCTGTCAACAGAGCGAGACTCCGTCAAAAAAAAAAAAAAAAAAAGTTGCACAAGTCATGAGTGCACATGTAGCCCTGAACCTAAAATTAGAAGTAAAATATTTAAATAAATAAAAAGAAAAATTATCTTTTCTAGTTCTAATGAACAGTGATGCTATGATTCTAAGTGCTTGCCAATAAAGTAGAAGACCTGGAAAAAAAAAAAAAAGTTGCACAGGACTCAAAGCCATTATAGCTCTTCAAATCTTTACTGTTCTTCAAGAAGTATGAAACCAAAAAACATTAATCTAAGGTACATGTATTTAATTTATTTTCTAACTAGCAAAATGATGAGTATTAGAATGTTGGCTTTGAGTATCTGTATAGTCCACATTTTCATCATTGATCAATGAACAATACTGATAAAATTCTTATTTCCCAGAGAAAATACACAACCAATATCCTTGATTGGAAAGAATAAATCTAAATAAAGTCACTGTGGTCTACCATAATTTTCAACCCTCTTGGATACAGTTTTCTCATTAAAAACAAAACATCCCAAAACATGCAACAAAAGTTTAACATTTAAGAAATAATTTTGCTTAGCTGTGAAATAATCACAGTTCTAGCTTTCCCCTTTTCTTGATGTCTCCTCCTTTTCAACTTCTGTAGCCAGCTTCTTACTTATTCTAAATATTTAATAGTCAAGTTTCTCAACATTGGGTAATAGGCCCTCTTCTCACTCTACATTCTATCCTTGATTAGTCTTGTCATTGTCAACTCTCTTGCCTTTAATGACCATTTCATGGCCAATAACTCCCATGTATGCAGTCCAATTACATTGCCTATTTCTTGCATATGCATGTATATAAGAGCAGAGGCCATAATATATGAGTAACTTGGCATCTTGGATGTCAATGTGGATGACTTACAACTATTACAAACTTTTCAACATTCACATATTTAGAAACATGAATTGTTAATCTTTTTCTGCAAAACTTGCTTTTTCCCAGTCTTTGTTTTAACCAAAAAGGGCATGTCTTAGCCTTGTCATTTCCCTCTCCATCATTCTATAGATTCATCAACAAGTCCTCTTGACTCTACTTCGTGTGTGTGTGTGTGTGTGTGTGTGTGTGTGTGTGTGTGTGTGTTATTTTCTTCTCTAGTGTCACCACCACAATTTCATCCACCATTATCTCTTACCAGGATGGCCACAAAGGCCTTCTAATAAGTTTACCTGTATCCCTTCTATTTCCACTCTAATTTTTTTCACACATATGCCAATATAACCTTCTCAAAACATAATGTAGATCATGTCACTTTCCAGTACAAAACTCTTCCAAGCCCCATTACATTCTGATTAATATCTAAAATTTTAAATGTGTATCTTATAAGGCTCCTATAGAATTGTAAGTTGCCTTAGTTCTCCTGCTTTCACCTACCCTGACCTGCATCCCTTTGATCACTCAACTCCAGACTCAATAGGAATCTCTCAGTTCCTCAAATATGTCAAGATCTCCTGTCTGTACAGTTCCCAAAGATACAGTTCTAACTGGACTATTCTTTCTTCTTCCCAGTTTCCCTTCTCATGATTCACTTAGATAATTCTTAGTATCCACCACATTAAAACTTCCTCTGAGAAGACTTCCCTAAATACTTAACCAAAGTTATAATTCCATCATACTTTCCCATTGCAAACAGTGCTTTCTCATAACACTTTATGTTATGTAATCCTATATTAGAATAATTATGTGTTGAATGCTCTCCTTTCTTCTTAGACATGGGATAATGTGGTCATATTTGTTTTGTTTAGAATTGTTTACCCAGATGTAATCAATAAATAGATCATGTTAAATAAAATATGGGTTTTATTCTGTTTGATATCAATGTAAAATATTCATAATGACACTGACACAAGTTGTTTCCTTCAAAAGGTTTTCTTTTCAAGTTATATAGCTTAACATGACTTGTGAATTTGTAAACAGTTGCTAAACTTCTTTATGAATAATCTTTCTTACATCACAAAGGATTTCTCAAATAATTTCCGTCATGGGATTTAAAAGTACTTGCTCACAGCTTGCTTAGAAGACACTCTATTTGTTTCCTTTAGTAAGTTAGTTTCCCTTAATTCAGATGTAAAATATTTGAAGACTGTGTCTTAAAAAATGTATGAATTAACCCTCCCACATGTAAAATATATTGCATATACTGCCTGTCAAGCAGGCAGACCCTCTCAACTTCCAGATTTTTTCTATCCATAATTACATGAACCTGATATGTATTACGTCATTAAATTTGTAAGGTCATTTGCATTTTACAAAGTGCTGTCAGCACGTAGGTCATAACGGCTGTAGAAGATAGGATACTTCACTGGGAAAAACACATTACAAAGAAAACATAACTGTGGTAGTGTCACAGCAACTCACTCCAGAAACTAAAGTGAAGCAATGTTATTTTAATAAGATACTAGAGAGTTAGCAGTTCATGTGACTTTGAGTCATCTTGTTTTTCTTTTATTCTTACCAATTGTGCTATCATTTTGTTCTTAAAAGCCGGATTTTCTATTAAAATTCTGAAACTGTACATCACTTCCTTTGTCCAGTAACTTGCTCCCCCTGGTGGTGGTCTTGCCAAGCTCAAACAGTCATCAGATATAGATATTTAATTTTATGATTCGGATTTTTCTTTTTCTTAATTTGAAGACTGACATCTCGATACCATATTTCTAGGGGGATATAAATTGTCATGAGTTGTCACTGAACTTATGGTTAAAAAGTACTGTCCATTGATTTGGAGAGATCATCCCAGTGATATCTCTATTTCAAAAAATTCATTATTATATTTTCTAAATCAAACCATTTTATATGCTAATATAAGGGTTACTATTAAGAAGCACAGTGACAGATAATAATTGAGTGTTCTGCTTTTTGTAAAGTAAAAGCAAGTTTCTTGGGAAAGTAAAGGAATAAAAGAATGGCTACTCCATAGTCAGAGCAGCCAATAATTAAATGTTTATCATAAAAGTCTGAGAAAATGGACTAATATTCAAGAATGTGGCTGTGGGGAGGCCAAAATGTCCTGTTTGGGAAAAATCTTGCATCTTGACAGCAACATTGTTTCCCATTTTACTGACTATTACTATAACTTAAGGAGTTCCTTTTGAAATCACTGAGTGCTTCTGGCATAAAAGAGATACAGGTTGAAAAAGAATTAGATTAAGGGAAATAGCACTTACTTGAACCTAGTCATCTGAAGTAAGGTGGAATATTAAAAATAAATGGCCACATCTCTGAAGATCATTAAAAATAAATGATCTTTTCTAATTTGACATCAAGTAAATACTTCATATATTTAATGCTGGCAGTATACAAGCTTAATTCTAAGTCAAATGCTAAAATCATATATTTGTGTCAGAACATCATACTGGCATCCAACTTAAGAAGACTTTAGTGAAATGCTCTCAGAGCAAAGGGGAGGGAAGCTGTCTTCAGCTGAATGTATATATGCTCCCAATGCGTACTTGAAATGTTTTACTTGGGACTCTTCATACTGAAGAAGGCATTCAGAAGGAAATCTACAATATATTTTCCTCAGATGTCCTATCATGAGGACTTTGCATTTTTTAAGCCTTTCTATCTGTCAGAGCCCAGTGAAAAGATGGATTCACTCCAGTAAGTTTTAAAAAAGTGACTGGCTTTTAAGACTAATGAATAAAAAGAGAAAATGGAAAGAGAACTGGGAACAAGGGAGAGAGTTGAACATTTACATCAGAAATAAAAAGACTTTCAGAATGTTTTTGGCTTAAAAATATTGTTTACATAATAAATGCTTAATAAGATTTGGAATGGTTTGGAATCTAAGGAGTTAGGAGATTTTAGGGACATTTCACTCAACCATTCAGCACAGATTTATAATAATGCTACTGGATTTATCCCATCGACATTAACTATTTATGGTCTAGCAGGTACCGTAACTATGCCCAAACAGTAACTAGTAATTGCAGTGCATTAAAAACACTCTGGAGAAATCATCTATGACATTCTCTTGTAAGATCAGGGCATCTGTGAAGGTCTTCTTTACTGATTTTGAGATATTGGAGATTCAGGAAGGGAGTTAAACCTTTTCCACTTATGGGACCCCTAATCTTAACAGAGAGCCAGCAAGTCCCTGCAAAGCACTCTGTTCCATTTGCCATGAGACTTCGTTGCACATAATTCTCTTCAGCCAATTAAAACTTAACATTTTGGACCCTTCTGTAATTAAAATGTAAATGAAGCAATAAATTTTGTCTCTAACAACAGTTTATACAGGTTAATTAAGACAAAAACTTACCTAGACTCAGTTTTTCAGTCAAGTATGGTTTTCAAAGAGCCTACTTATGTGGTAGAATATGAATTCTGGACCTGAGTTCTACATAATAGAAAGATCCATTATCTACTTGTCAAAGCAAGGAAAGAAAGTCCCAGAGAGTAAAAAACAAAATACGATTATTAAATGTACTTTTTAAAGTGATGATAAGGAGGAAGAGATTCACTAGTTTCTTTTTGAAATTAATTTTTTATTGTTCAATTTTGCTTCTAACTTAGAAATTGCTAGCTTTAAAAGCAAATAGCCTTCAAATGGTATGGATAATAATGAAAATTGCTACAATGAATGCATTTATGGAAACCATAAGTTTTGTGCATTTACTTTATTTTTATCTATCTACCTGAGTAATTAAAGGGGAACTTCTAGACACATTGGAGACATTGGGGCCACATAACCTCCCTCCCTAAGAGGAGAGGTGAACAAAGCACAGAAAAGCAAACACTTTAGAAATGACCTTGCATTATTCTTGATGCTACTGCAGGAAGATGCAATTCTAAGGGTGATGATGGAAGGGAATAAAATACAACATTTATTTTTCGCACTGAAAAGGCAAATAATGATTTCTTAGTGGTTTTTGCAAGGGAGAATTTTCTAGTTGTTGCCACTTAATCATAGCTGAACTCCTTGCACAATGTCACATTTAATTTTTAGCCATTAGAAAGATGGATACTGTGTAGATGTTAAAAGCAGCAAAGATAAAGAAACAATTACATGATATTTATGACATGAGAAATAAAATATTTCTAGATATCACAGATCACATATAATAATTATTTTAAGAACTGAAACATAACACCAAATTGAAAATTTGGGGCATGGGATATAATTAACATTGGGGTTAGAAAAGGTCATCATAGCTACCTTGAAAGTAAAACTATTGCCACAATATAAATTAGGTCATTAGAAATTGAGAGTAGGAGTTGAACCAGCATCCATAACATGATATAGCACCCTGGAACATCTCATTAAATACTTCAAATTGATGAAGTGTTTTAACATCCTTATGTTTTTATTTACTGATTTAAATTCAGTCCTACAAAGAAGAAAAAGAGACAGACTACAGGCTAAGGCCTAAAACAGAGCTAAGAGGTAAAAAGCATTTTTCGTGGATGTTTCAGAATATATTTGTTTCTCATGCAAGTTGCTTCAGTAGACTTTTAGGGCACAGCTTTTCTCAAGAGAAAACTAAGACAATAGATTTTTTCCCTCATCTAGACATTTACCGCTTCATCCTCATTCGAAGAAAACCAAACCAAAATTAAAAAAAAAAGTATTTAATTTCCTGTAACTTTATTCTACAATTTGAATTAGATATTTTAAATCCCAACCTAATGAAATGTGTATGCTTTTCACTTAGAAATTAACAAATGAATTTCCCAAAGATGTTGCTTTCTTAACATTTTTATTATACACTCTGCATGTTAGTCATTTTCTTGGTTTTTTTGTTATCTGTTTTGCATACACACACACACACACACACACACACACACATTTCTTCATGTTTTACTTTCTGAAAAAAGATTCTCCTGAGCCTTATAAACATTTTTAAGCATCCCAAGAGTCTTTACTCTCAAGTATGTGGTTATTGGTTTTCTGTTTTTGTAAAGCTCCTTAAAACCTTGCTTTGAATCTTTTTCCTCATAATTTTAGTCATGAGGTTCCAGAAGGCATTTGCTACAGAACTTCCAGATACGGCCAAATGTCTTACTCTAGGCCTTCTAGCATGGTGAACTGATAGAAGGGCAATGACTCTGAGTATCTAGGAAATTCAGCCCTTTATCCATTCAGAGACACAACAAGAACTCACAAGCCAAATTCAGAGCACTCTTAAACTGCAGCAGAGACAGTAATTGTGCCCCTGGGGCTACCACACACCCTTTCATTCCCCAGCTGTTGGTCAAACCCTTTAAAGAAGACCATGGTTTTAGGTCTAATATTTAAGTCTTTAATCCATCTTGAATTAATTTTTGTATAAGGTGTAAGGAGGGGATCCAGTTTCAGCTTTCTACATATGGCTAGCCAGTTTTCACAGAACCATTTATTAAATAGGAATCCTTTCCCCATTGCTTGTTTTTGTCAGGTTTCTCAAAGATCAGATGGTTGTAGATGTGTGGTATTATTTCTGAGGGCTCTGTTCTGTTCTATTGCTCTATATCTCTGTTTTGGTACCAGTACCATGCTGTTTTGGTTACTGTAGCCTTGTAGTATAGTTTGAAGTCAGGTAGCATGATGCCTCCAGCTTTGTTCTTTTGGCTTAGGATTGACTTGGCAATGCGGGCTCTTTTTTGGTTCCATATGAACTTTAAAGTAGTTTTTTCCAATTCTGTGAAGAAAGTCATTGGTAGCTTGATAGGGATGGCCTTGAATCTATAAATTACCTTGGGCAGTATGGCCATTTTCACGATATTGATTCTTCCTATCCATGAGCATGGAATGTTCTTCCATTTGTTTGTGTCCTCTTTTATTTTGTTGAGCAGTGGTTTGTAGTTCTCCTTGAAGAAGTCCTTCACATCCCTTGTAAGTTGGATTCCTAGGTATTTTATTCTCTTTGAAGCAATTGTGAATGGGAGTTCACTCTTGATTTGCCTCTCTGTTTGTCTGTAATTGGTGTATAAGAATGCTTGTGATTTTTGCACATTGATTTTGTATCCTGAGACTTTGCTGAAGTTGTTTATCAGCTTAAGGAGATTTTGGGCTGAGACGATGGGGTTTTCTAAATATGCAATCATGTCATCTGCTAGTTCAACCATCGTGGAAGTCAGTGTGGCGATTCCTTAAGGATCTAGAACTAGAAATACCATTTGACCCAGCCATCCCATTACTGGGTATATACCCAAAGGATTATAAGTCATGCTGCTATAAAGACACATGCACACGTATGTTTATTGTGGCACTATTCACAATAGTAAAGACTTGGAACCAACACAAATGTCCATCAGTGATAGACTGGATTAAGAAAATGTGGCACATATACACCATGGAATACTATGCAGCCATAAAAAATGATGAGTTCATGTCCTTTGTAGGGACATGGATGAAGCTGGAAACCATCATTCTCAGCAAACTATCACAAGGACAAAAAACCAAACACCGCATGTTCTCACTCATAGGTGGGAACTGAACAATGAGAACACTTGGACACAGGGAGGGGGACATCACACACCGGGGCCTGTTGTGTGGAGGGGGAGTGGGGAGGGATAGCATTAGGAGATATACCTAATGTAAATGACGAGTTAATGGATGTAGCACATCAACATGGCATATGTATACATATATAACAAACCTGCACGTTGTGCACACGTACCCTAGAACTTAAAGTATAATAATAAAAAAAGACTTAGTAATACTTAATTCGAAAAAAAAAAAAAGAAGACCATGAGCAGCAACACATGAGTGTTGCCAAGGGAAATTCCACCAGCCCAGGAAACAAGCAAACCACCCCTTTGGGAAAAATAGAGAAGCGACTGTCACCACAGAGCTAGCCTGGCTTCTACCTCATTTATTTTCTTCTTCATTACTGCATAGCCTATCCTCAAAAATCGTTTATTTCTCTTTCTTAGACCTTCTTTCAGCCTCACCTCAGGGAAGAGTCCCATTTACATTTTGCTCCAGCCTTAAGGAAGTTTATTTTCCTTGGTTAGCCATCAACATCTCATTTGGAAATGAAGAATCAATACCATGGATCATTATGCTAAGAACTAGTTTAGTATTCTATGGTTCCTTCTGGAGAAGTCCAAGTTTTCCCAACCACCAGAAACTGCTACAATTTACAAAGAAGACATATGTCCTAGGAACTGCATTATCGTCCTCTCTAACCTTAGCCTGGAATTTCTGCAGAGGCATTGTACATGTTGATGTAGCATTCTGCATCAGTAACATTCTGTCGGAACCCTAAAGACAGCCCATCTACCTACATCATAGTTTATCTGACTCCACCTGGACCCCAGCCCTGTATAAATACTGAAGTAACTAAACCAAGTGTCCCCAACCTCTGGGCCACAGACTGGTCCATGGCCCGAAAGGAACTGGACTGACTACACAGCAGGAAGTGAGCGGAGGGTGAGTAAGTGAAGCTTCATCTGTATTTACAGCTACTCCCCTTCGCTCGCATTACCACCTGCGTTCTGCCTCCTCTCAGATCAGCGGTGACATTAGAGTCTCATAGAAGCACAAACCCTATTGTGAAACGCGCATGCGAGGGATCTAGGTTGCAGGCTTCTTATGAGAATCCAAAGCCTGATGTTCTGTCACTGTCTCCCATCATCCCCAGATGCGACCATCTAGTTGCAGGAAAACAAGCTCAGGGCTCCCACTGATTCTACATTATGGCGAGTCGTATAATTATTTTATTATATATTATAATGTAATAATAACAGAAATAAAGAGCACAATAAATGCCATGTGCTTGAATCATCCCAAAACCATCCCCACTCCAATCCATGGAAAAACTGTCTTCCATAAAACCAGTCCCTGGTGCCAAGGTTGGGGACTGTTGAACTAAACAATAGAAATACTTGAAACTCAGCAATATCACCATGCGTAACATTCTTTTCACCCTTAATCAGAACATAGAATGTATCTCATCACTCTCATTTCAGCATAGCTATGTGACTTACTTACCCCACTTAGCTTTTACTGATATTCTCCTCCAAAATCTTAATATTGATTCCTTCTAAAATGACTGTTTCATAATAAAGCAAACAAAGCAAAACAAAACAACCCTCTTTTACATACGCATTTCTTTATCAGTTATTTTTCCCAGTCCTTGTTTTTGCTGAAAATTGTTTCTTTCTCCTCCACTAACTTCCCAGCTGTCTGAATTGGAGAATGCTAGTCACCAGAACAGGGAATTCATGCCCCAGGAAAGGTGTCAGCTGCTAGTCCCCAACTCTAGCCCATCCTCAGATCTAGCTCCTTACAACTTTTACTCTTCCACCTCATTGTGTGCATCTGACCTCCTTTCAAAAGATGCCATTTGGCTCTACAATCAGAGACATGCATGAGCCTCCAAGTCCTTTCTTCACATTTATCAAATAATTCAATACCATGTGCACGACTTTCCCCTCCACTCAAAATCTTTTCAATATTCTGATTAGTTCAATGCCTATGCGGAAGACCAATTCACTTGTTTGCTTTATAGTTTATTGAGCTTTTCAACGCTGATGACCTTCATATCCACTTTTCCCCAGCCCCTCAAACCCATAACTCTGCATTGGACCTTGTAATTACCTAGAACTGTTCCATTTCTGAAGTTTTCAGCTGTAAACTCCCATTTGTACTACCACTTACCCTTTCATTTTCTCACTTATTTACTCCTACTACAATTAAAAGCCATAAAATTTCTAGTTCTGTATCTCCCTACCTTTCCTCAATGTGCAAATAAACTCATTTTTCCTTCTTATCCAGTCTAGACTCACTAACATAAATGCATCCCTTGTTAACATGAATGCATCCCTTGTTAACAACATGAACTTACTTTCTCCTTTAACCTTCTGCCACCTCTACCCTGAAAAAACTTCAACCTAGATCTGTAACAGTCTACCTTCTCTACACTAATACAACTGCCGAAATGAGATTGGAGGTCATTGCATAGCTATGTACAATAGATTCCAAGCCTCTGACCTCAGCCTGGCACCATACACTGCTTGGCAAGCCCTCTAGTTAGTTCCCTTAAATATCAACTACTTCAGGTATGCTCAATCCTTATATCCTGCCACAACTACATAAGCTTTAAGGTTATTTTTTATTAAAGTACAACATGACATAATGAAAAGCGCATAAAGGTATATATAGCTTTATGGGTTCTCAAAAACTTAATATGCTGTGTAAGCCTGCACCCTAACCAGAAAACCAAACATTATCAGCAACCCAGAGCTCTGCCGTGCTCCCAAGCTGCTGCTTCAAAGAGTACAGGTTATTTTGCATTTTCTCTTTTTCCTTTTCTCCTCTTCTTTTTTAATCATATAGTGTGTACTCTTTTGTCTATGGCTTTTTTAGTTCAACATTATGTTCCTGAGGTTCTTCAATGTTGTTGAGTATAGTTTGAAATTATCAAAGCTATGTAGAATTCCATTTTATGAATACACCATAGTATATTCATCTATTATACTATAGACAGACATTTGGTATGTGTCCAGTTTGGAGGTATTAAAAATAGTGCTGCTATAAAAATTTTAGTACATGTCTTTTGTTGCAATACTTGTACATTTCTGACAGATGTATACTTAGGAGTAAAATTATACTTAGGTATCTAATTGTTAGATCATATTTCCTGCATATGCTCAGCTATACTAGTTGTTAAAAAAACACCCACCTTCCAGAGCAGGTGTAACATTTTACAGTTTTGCACAAAGTACTAGGCCATTCTTGGGTTGGTATAAAGAAATATATAAGACTGGCTAATTTATAAAGAAGAGAGGTTTAATTGGCTCACAGTTATGTAGGTTGTACAGGAAGCATGGTGCCAGCATCTGCTCACCTTCTGGAGGGGTGCCAGGGAGCTTTTACTCATTGCAGCAGGCAAAACAGAAGCAGGCACTTCACATGGTGAAAGCAAGAAAGCAAGAGAGAGAGTGTGGGAGGGAAGTGCCATACGCTTCAAATAATCAGATCTCATGAAAACTCACTCACTACCATGAGGATGGCACCAAGTCCTGAGGGGTCCACCCCCATGATCCACACACCTTCCATAAGGCCCCACTTCCAACACTGGGGATTACATTTCAACATGAGCTTTGGGTGGGGACAAATATCCAAACTATATCACATAGTGTCTCAATCCATTTTGTGCTGCTGTAACAACATATCTGATGCTGGGTAATTTATAAAAAATGGAAATTTATTTCTCACAGTTCTAGAGGCTGAGAAGTCCAAAATCATGGCACCAGCATCTGGTGAGGGCCTTATTGCTTTGTCCTCAAAGGCAGGAGAGCCAAACAGGGCAAACCCACTCCTACAAGCCCTTTTAATAACAGCATTAATCCATTCATGAGGGCAGAGCCCTAATGACCTACACACCTCCCAAAAGGCCCCACCTTCCAATACTATTCCATTGTAGATTAAGTTTCCAACACATGAATTTGGGAAAACACATTCAGACCACAGCACACAGTGTGTAAGGGTTCTGGTTGCTCCACTCTTGGCATTTTTTGTCTTTTTCATTTTAGCTATGCTGGAGAATGTGTAGTATCATCACATTTAATTTTTACTTTGTGTTAAAAACTCAGAATATTTTACTTGGTTTCTTGAATGATGGTAATTGAGCACCTTTTCCTGGTTTTATTAGGATATCTTCTTTTGTGATGAGTCTATTCAAGACACTTTCTTTCTATTACTACTTAATCATCTTTTTCTTATTGATCTTAGGGACTTCTACATATGATTTGGACTTACATATAGTGAATACTTTTCCATTTTATTAATGTAATCTTTTGAGGTACACAAGTTCTTAATTTTAATATAGTCCAAGTTATAATTTTTATGTGACTATATCTCAAATTTGTGCCTTCTTCAAGGTCATGAAGACGTTATCATACATTTTCCTCTAATAGCTATATTTTTCCCTTCAAATTTATGTCTTCAATCCATCTGATACTGATTTTGTATGTGTTGTGAAGTAGAGGTCTAGATGTAGTTTTTCATATGGATATAATTGACCCAGCATAATTTAGCAAAAGGATCATTCTTCCCCCAACCCCACTATACAGTAGTGTTACTTTTATCACTTAATAAATACATACATATGTAATGTGTACATATATGTGTACATATGTAATGTGTACATGTAATAGATATGTACATATGTAATGTGTACATATCTATTTTTGAAATCTAGTCTATTCTTGAACTACGCTTCATGTTTTTTTGTAGATTAATTTTTCTTTTACCTTTCAGAAAAAGTAGAGGCCATTAGCTAAGAATTCTTTCACTGATTTCCCCATTGCTAATATAATTATTTGTTACCCATATATTCACTCAAAAAAGTGTTTTTGAGGGGTGGTTACTATATACAGACACTGACTAGAGCATAATAATGACTGAGATAGACATGGACTTCGACCTCATGGAATTACCTATCAGTGAAAGAAAACAAATAACACAGAAGTAAACAAAAAATACATAATAATTATAGGTTGTGACAAACTCTATGAAGAATATAAACACGTAGTAGGGTAGATAGTGTCTGGGAGGTTAGAAGTGTGCTACTTGTGTGGTGAGGAAGGAATGTTCTGAGGTGATGACATTTGAACTTGGACTTAACTCTTCAGAAACAGCCACCCATAGGATGAGTCAGGAAAAGTGCACCCTAGCTGAAAGAAGAACAAATGAAAAAGCCCTGAGGTATGACAGAATTTGTTTTTTGTTGTTGTTGTTTGTTTGTTTGTTTTTTAGCTATATAAAGTAGGCAAGAGAACTATTTGGCTGATGGATTCTAAAAAAGAAAGATGGGCAGTGGGCCTAGGATCTGAAACAAGTTGGAAAAGGTGATCAGGCCTCAGCTCATGCAAGGCCTTGCAGATTATTGAGGGGAGTTGCTTTTAACTGTATGTCTAATAGAAGTCTCCAAAAAGTTTGAAGGTGGGAATAGGTGAGGAGGAATGCTGGCACCATTTGATTACCCTTTACTCTTGCAGTCATATGAAGAACAGACTGCACAGGAACAAGAATGGAAACAGGGGAATTCATTAGTGGGATGATCATTCCTCTTAGGCCCTTTGGGTCTTTTCTAATACTCCTTTTAAGTATAAATATCTTTTTAATCCATTTCAAAGAAAATGCTCTCTTTAGGTTAGGAAGTTGTCTACGGTCAACCTACCCATTAAGGAACTTTAGCAGAAGTACAGTAGATAGATAGTGATGGTTTGAGTTGGTTGTTGGTGGTAGAGAGAGTAAGGAATGATTACATTCAAAACGTATCTTGAAAGTTGCACTGAAGGATATATTGACGGATTGCATATACAAGGTAGAGGAAAGGCACAAATTGAGGATGACTTTTAGATTGTTGTCCTGAATTGATGGTGGTACCATTTACTAAGAACATCTAAAAAAAGAGAGAGAAAAGAAAGAGAGAAAGAAAGAAAAAAAATAGAGAAAGAGAGAGAGAGAGAAAGAGACAGAGAGAGAGAAAGAAAGAGAAGGAGATTTGGGTAGAAAAACAGAAGCCTAGCCAATTGACTTAGAAGTCAGAACAAAAGAGATATAAGAAAAATCAAAAGATAAAATTGCCCAAAATAGATATTCACCTCTTTTCTTCATCATTTGTTAGAAGAAGGACCCTTCTAACTTAACCTGAACAATTATTTCACTTGTTATCTGGGTCTTCTTTCTTTTCTTTTTCATTTGCTCACACTCTTAATTATCCCTGTTTCTATTTTATCTTCACCATCTTCTTACTTAATCTCTCTGAAAGTCAATAGATGTAAACAACTATTAACCATTAACAAAAATAGAAAACAGACCAAACAAGCGAACCCTTAACCCTCCAGGGACCCTACATTCTTTCTCACTACCATAATTCCCTGGAACTTTAGAGCCATGTTTCTGAAAAGGGTAGTCTATATTCAAGGTTACCATCTCCTCACCTCCCATTGCCACAAAATCACTGGCACTACGATTTTTACCCTCATCATTTTGATTAAAATCTCTCCCACAATTGCTTTCCTGTGCCAAACTGGTGGATATTTACCATTTTCATTCACTTGATTTTATTACTTTTATACCCTGTGCCTTTTAAAACCTGTCCTCATCATTTGTTTCTTCCTACTGTTATTCCTCCTACCTTTCTTTTGACTTCTATTTTCTCATCTCTTACACTTTTTCTATCCCTTATATAAGTTAATATTCCTCAAAAATCTATTATCAGCATAATGTTCTTCTCATTATAAAAAGTCTTCCCCCTGGGTCTTATACTTACCTCAAAGGAGTGACAACTATGTTCCCTCTCTTATGGTGATGTTTACATGGATGTATACACCAAACTAAAGCTTATCAAATTATAACTTTAAATATGAGAAATTTATTAGAAATAAGCTCTTTTAAAAAATACACTCCTTAATTTGAATGAATCTTACCAGAAAATCTATAAAAAGAGAAAACTTGGCTGGGCGCGGTGGCTCATGTCTGTAATCCCAGCACTTTGGGAGGCCGAGGCAGGCGGATCACCTAAGGTCGGGAGTTCGAGACCAGTCCAACCAACATGGAGAAACACCATCTCTACTAAAAATACAAAATTAGCCAGGTATGGTGGCACATGCTTCTAATCCCAGCTACTCGGGAGGCTGAGGCAGGAGAATCACTTGAACCCAGGAGGCAAAGATTGCGGTGAGCCGAGATCGTGCTATTGCACTCCAGCCTGGGCAACAAGAACCAAACTCCCTCTCAAAAAAAAAAAAAAAAAAGAAAGAAAACTTGTTCCCATGACACTCTAGTTATGGTGGACTCTTGCTACTTTCTTTTCTCCTGTGAGACACACTAACCATGATGAGTTAAATCATCTATCACCAGGTATTTATTGCCCAGATGTGCACAATTTGTTCCTAGAGACAAAATTCAATAAAAGTAACTTCAATAACTTTTCAGGTATGAATCTAGTTATGACTTTTCAGATATAAGCCTGGTATGAATCTGCTTTAGTGTTTTTCGTTTGTTTATATCTGGTGAATGCATCAGGCATAGGCTTCACGTTTTGTCTGATCACTTTTTCCCAGCTTATGTGAGAAGAACAAAGACGGAATTAGCTCTGTGTCTATTTTCTTTCTGGCATTCCAAAGTTACCACAACTTATTTCAGAGTGCTGTAGTATGCTAGGGAGTGCCTTCATTAAGTAGTGACATCATTCCTACAGCAGCAATTTCCTGTCTTTGGAGAACGTCTAAGGTCTCCCACAAGAAGGACCCAGTTTCTCCCTCTTAGGATGGATTTCTAAAACTCCAAATCTCTAAAGTTCATCATTACTGCAGTAGGGAGTCCAGAGATAGCCCCAGACATTAGCTTTGCCTAACATTTTGGAATAAAACAGCCTGTTTGCTGCCCCTAGAGGTTCTGCTCCTCCTGTTAAATAGTGTATTTGTATTCTGAGAGTACAACCTATGGGACAGAGCAAATGCATCTTTTTTGCTTTACTCTGATCTAAAATAAAACTTGGAATACAGACTCCTACAGTAGCCATTCTGAAATACTTTGCAACATCCAGCATAGCACTAGTCAGGGCTAAAGGAAAGGAGATGGTATTAATTTACAGTTAGAAGGGTAGTCTACACATGCTCTTGATTATATTCTTGGATGATCCGCCTCAACAGGAAAAAACTTACATTTAGAAAGTGAGCATGGAACTTAGCTGTCAGATAGGTTCCTAATCAAAAGTGTCCTAGGGAATCTTGCCTTGAACAGTGTATAACACCACTCCTACGCTTTCCAAATGGGATTCAGTAACATTATGAAAATTTTGGTCAGTACTGGAGTATTGATTAGTCATTAATTGAAGATCACTGTCAGGCTTTTCCTAACTCTCATCTAATGCTTAGATTTACTTTTCGATGTGCATATTGATAAATATTCACTTTATATTAGCTCCTACCATTTTGCCTAACCCAGTCCTGGTCCACCTTGTCCAGGATAATGTTAAACTCACAATCTCTAACAGTGGTCTTCAAACTTCTTTGAGAAGTACCCGTATCAGCAATTATTAATTAATTAATTTTAAAAAAAGAAAATATAAATAATGAAATAAACAGTTACACATGATCATAACCTGTATATTTACTTGATTTCTTTAAAAATTATACAGATGTATAAATATACTATTATTAGCCAATATTTCAAGATATGATATGTTTATCATTTACAAAATGTATAGGGTGTTTATTGTTAAAAATAGAGTATTGAAGTATATCATTCATATTGTTCAAATCTTTTTTTTTTTTTTTTTTTCTGAGATGGAGTCTCACTCTGTCACCCAGGCTGGAGTTCAGTGGCACAATCTCGGCTTGCTACAACCTCCCCTTCCCGGGTTCAAGCAATTCTCCTGCCTCAGCCTCTGGAGTAGCTGGGATTATGGGCGCACATCACCAAGCCTGGCTAATTTTTGTATATTTAGTAAAGACAGGGTTTCATCATGTTGGTCAGGCTGGTCTCAAACTCCTGACCTCAACTGATCCACCCCGCTGGGCCCCCCAAAGTGCTGGGAATACAGGCATGAGCCACCACACTCAGCCAAGTTTCTTAATAATTTCATAATTGCAAAGAATTTAGCTGACCTTTTTACCTGACCTGATTGGATCTTCATTAATCTTGCTTTGGAATGTAGCTAGTGAAAAACCTATACATGAAGCAGAATTTCAGCTCTTTTTTTTATGGAGTAGGGAGGAGAGTTGTTTTTTTGCTTGTACTTACAAATATTATCTACAATCCAGAGTTATTCACGAAATTCATTTTGATCATTTATCCATTTGCAGAAGTTTAGTGTAGTTAAAATTAGATAATATAATCCATAAACCACCTAATGAGATGCCTGCACATTATAATGCATTGCAAAATGCTGAAAGCAAACATTTTCTTAAGGTTGTGCAACCTCCACTCTTCCCTCAGGGTTCTTCACAAAATAAGAAATATGACATAATGAACTAGTGAAGACTCCAGTACCAATTCATATTTAAAATATAGGCAAAGCTTAACTTTAATTTTTTTTCAGCAAATTTGTAAATGCTAGTGCTACTATTTTCTTCCCATGCTTCAGTGGACTATCATTTGTATCTGATGTTGCAGTTGCACCAGTTCAGAAACCACTGATTTATACAATGAGTTCTTCAGTCATCATTCCTGCTGCTTCTATTTTCTCCTATTTTAGCAGAACATGCAAGATTTCATCCACCCTGGTAATACATATTTATTTTTAACACAATTAAGCTAAATTATATATCTCTACTTTTTCTTAGTCCACATATTTCTTGACACTTCATTAATACCTTCGTAGATTCCACAACTCTTTCATTAATAAGAAAAAATAATTTATAATTTTAACTTTATCCTATAACAGCCTCTAATTACTTCAGTAAGTAAATGAAGGTAAGTTATCTAATTTAGGAAATCCAGCAAACAACTATTAATATACAAATGGTACTGACATCTCACACCCAATAATTCAGGCCTCTGGCTATCTCTATATGATGGACATTTACTTAGTTTTGTGCTCTATAGCAAACTATATGCTCAAGAGATGCAATGATTATTGTTTCACTACCATTATCTAAGGGAATAAAATATGAATCCCATTTTTATATATTCCTGCCCTCCAAGAACATGAATATTTAAGCATTATTAAATATTCAATAGTTTAATTTCATAGCTAGATATTTAGAGAAAGTCACTGAGTCTTAGGCATGCAGGGTATTAAATGGACAATACCTGTAAAGGCATTATCCATTAGTAGAGAAAAATAATCTAAAATTGAACATGCAAGCTTAGCAATAATTTTGCATGTGCATGAAACATGGAATTAAATCCATTTATTTAATGAGTGCTTACTATGTTTAGAACAGGTTAGTGGATCCTGTAGGGAACTATCAAGTTGACTGAAAGACTAATGCTCAAAGGAAATGATGATGAGGCGAGGCACTAATACAAAAATGAGGGGAAATAAATATATAAAAGTAATGGGGATAGGAAGTTTCACTGAAAATATTGCAGTGAATAAATAAGATTTGTTCCCTTTATCAGTTAAGTTCTGGAGTTTAGAACTTAGGTAGTCCCAGAAAAACTATCATCTTGATTATTTTTCTAATATTTTAATTTATAACTCCTGACAATGTAATCTTTTTCAGAATGTAAGTTTTACTTAATGCTTAATATTTATTAAATAAAAAATATATAAATTAGAAAAAGATGGATACCTGACACAAAGTGCATAATTCCACTGTTTTCCAGTGCCCAGAATAAATTTACATTATCTGTTTTATTATCTGATGCATTAAGATTATACTATACATAATTTTTCATAATCTCAGAACAATGGGAAATTTTTTTAATTTTGAAAACATGTGGCTTGCTTTGCTACTTATGAAGCAGAATGGCTAGTATTAGGGTTATAGTTGGGCTGAGTTTAGAGAAAAATTATTCATAATCTATATAATATCTACCCAATGTTTTTGGGATGTTTGCAATTGTTGGAATAATGTGACAACAAACATTTTATAAACAAACCATGAGCAGTCCTCAATACATTTATGTTTTGCTAGCACTTTTTTCTGACTACTTAATAGTAACTTTTGAAAATTAGTACACTTTAGGGTAAAAAGAATGAAAGTTTACCCACAATTGAAGATTAGTATTTCAGTGGATTTCAGGCATGTCTTTGCTTATGCATTTACATATGTAACATATGAAATTGTATTCCTACCATATGTAATTTCATTCTAATTGTTTTGTTTGTTCAGTTCCCTTTTATAAACATTCCTCCATTCATTAAAACTCTCTAAAAACATAACTAAACATTTTTATAATATTCTATTCTATGGGTGTACTGTGATTTATACAGTCTTTCTCATATCTGTGGATATTTAGATTATATCTAATCTAAATGTACTTATTTTGAAAAATTCCTATTTATGAAATTTCTAGTCCAAAGGTTATTTAAAACTCCTAATTCAATTTGCCAACTAAGCTTCCAGAAAGGCTGTAGGTTCTTATATCCAAGCTAATAGTGTACAAGAGAAACTCCCATTTTACGACTGTCTAGCACTAGATGTTATGTTGCTTACTTGTCATAATGTGGAAGATGAAAGAGTATTTTGTTTTAATTTTATTACTTTCCTTATAAACCACTAAGAAACCTATTTTTACATGTTAGCTTTTATAGATAATTTTTTAGTTTACTCTATTTTCTGAATTTTATACTGATGTGATAATTTTCAAACTGATTTTAGTAATATATCTCTTTACATAGAAAAATAATACTTCTACATTTAATATATATGTTCTGAATATATCCCTTAGTTTATTATTTCTAATTCTTTGACTTTTAAAATATTAGTAGTCTTTATTCAGTCAAAGCAATCACTTTTTCCATATCATTTCTTCTGCCAAGTTTATGCTAGAAAGATCTCCATTCTGAAATTGTATTTACCTATATTTCCATGTGGTTGTCATGTTTTCTTGTTTTTAGTTATTTAAAATAAGTTGGCTGCATAGTGAAATAAGTCGGTGAAATAAGTTGGGGGCATGGTGTATGAAAAGACTCTAAGTTTATTTTTGTTCTGAATCCATTGTTCCAGCACCATATAATGAATCCACTCTGATTCAATCAGCACTCTGCTCACAGAGAGCCAGACACTCCCCTAAGCCTAACAAATTCAGTCATCTTCCTTTTACCACATTGGTCATAGTCAATCTTTTTAAACTGCGCTGTATCACTTCTTGGCCAGTAATATATTACTTTAAGAACTGTCTACTTATAGCACATGTAACATGCAATGGGGTGGCTTCTTCAGATATCTCAAGCTACTCTGTACATTTGGACGCTTTGGGAAAATGTGTGGGGCTAGAAAGGAGAAAGAAAGGAGAAAATCTTTAAAAATTTTCTTCATTCAGTTGTGTATGGTTATATTTTTAATAACATAGATGTATTTTATAATTTTATGACTGCTTTATTACTTTGTAAGTACTTTTTCAAGTTCAATATTCTCTTCATTCTGTTTAGAATCACATTACCTTGATGAATTAATATGAAAATAATTAATGTATTTATTTTTGTAATATTTAGTTTCTCATTTAAGAACACATTATGTCTCTTTGTTTAGTCATTTAATTTCATCCTCATTACCGATTTGTAGTTATTTTCACAAAGTCTCTCTGTGCTTCTTTTTATAATTCAATTGTTAGGTCATTTGGAATATGACATTTTAAAATTATTTTTGCTACTTTTTTTGGCTACAATATAAAACTATATTGTTTATACATTTATTTATAATAAGTTTCTTTAATAAGCTTTTAATATTTCTAATTTATCTTCAGCAGAATCTCTAATTTACACTTATTTGTTCAAGAATTCTGTGAGTCATATTTTCCCTCTTTTTTTAATGGTACGATCTCTTATAACTGCTGATTGTTTCAGTTGATTGGTTCCTACTCCCAGAACAATGCTAATAGTAGTGTTAGTGCCTCTAAGTCTTGTTTCTGATTTTAATGGAAATGCCTCTGATGCTTCAAGGTTAAATATGAAGTTCTGTTGACTTCAATAGATAGCCTTTCATTATAAAGGTAACTGTCCATTCCTATTTCTTCATAATTTAAAAATAAGAACTGGTTGTTATATATTATAAAATTACCTTTCTGAATCTTTTGAAAATAGTATTTTTCTCTGACCTATTAATTATATTAGTAGGTTCCCTAACATAAACCCATTTGTTTTCTAAAATAAACCCCATTTGGGCATGTTGTAGTAATCTCTTAATAGAGAAATCTGAAATATGAAAATGTTTTCTCTTTTATACTATTTTTAAAAGTTTTGGTATGCTAATTATGATGGTTTAATGAAATAAAGCAATACATTTCCAAATGAAAATTTTGGGGGGAGATGGTTTATATAAAAAGAGAATTTCTAGTTAGTTGAAAACTAAAAACAGTATATTTTTAAACTGACTAGGTTTAGAACCTTTTGACAATTAATAATTCTATATTGCATTTATTTGCTGCTGTACTACTTAAATGGGGTTCCAGGTGAAGAGGAAAATATTATTGAATTTGCTATTCATAACACTATGAATTAGGTAGAGCAGACAATCATTTCTCCATCAAAAATAAAAACAGTAGCTCAAACACACTGTTACTCATCCAATATCACACACTGTTATAACAAGCAACAAACAACAGTCAGGCTTAAAACCTCAAAATCTTTTGACCATACCACCTTGCCTCTTAACTTTTAAATGGCACTGTGAATCATCTTAACTTATACTGCCTATATAACTGAACTATTATCTTCCTGTATGTTCCTTGAGATAAATATTCCAACATTCCATTGATTACTCTGTACTAATCAAGACAGCCTTCATGTTCCTTTCCATCAGCTTGAATACATTTTGAACAGGCAGGTTTCTTCCTGCCTATTGGCCCCTGACTTCCCTTTTCTTGGAGCATTTATTTGAGAATACTTGAAATTGTCATTCTTTCTCTGCCCCCTGGAGATATGAATTTTCTCCCAGCCTCTTGCCAGTTTACAACCCAGAAATGTATTTTTAAGGAGCTGGGAGCCACCCTTTGAATGTACTCACCAAGAAAGATAGCACTCCATTGCTATCTCTGTGGGAGGGGAGGAGCCTAATTTCCCTGAGCACCAATTCCAAACACCCACCACCTAATTACATTGACCAACTTTGCCACTAATATCCTCCAGTACTTTTTCACTGGTTTGTCCCAGAGCTTAGAAACTCTCCTGCCTGTTTCAGTAGAATTAAGTTCAATCTCTCTTCCCTATGGCAATAGTCTTAAATAAAGTCTTCTTTGTCAAACTCTATCAGGTGCAATTTTTCTTTTCTACCCTTAAAATGTTTCTATTTATTTAGCAGCCTTCCTCTCTGCTTTCTGAAGTTCTTAAGGGCTACGCTAGATTTTACTGTACTAGATTTTAGTTCTGTGTTGAATCCCCAAGGCTTAACAAAAGTGCCTAAACATATGAGGTATAAATGTTGATTGAATATATGAGATATATCTGAATGAATGAATGAATGGGCTGCAGGTAAGTAACTCTGGGTCTAGAGTCCTTGTTCTTGGTATAGATGCAGCTCACCTAATTTTTCAAAAAATGTTATAACATTTGGAAGTGCTAACCCTTTACCAATGCAGAGATGGAAAATTAAAAAGTGACTGGTACCTCAGAGGTACCCCCTCTAAAGGGCCCAGATATTGTTGAGGGGAAGATGGCATCCTTCTAATTTAAATCCATCCTCCATTTTTTCATGGATTGCTACTTGGAATAGTACTAACAGGCCTGGGTCTCAAGAATAATAAATGAGTGTGTCATTGGTAGATGGCCCAGAAATACAGTAGCCTTTGTTTCAATGAGAGAGTTTTTTCCCACCTACCAACATTCACCTTTCCTCAGACATCAGAAGACCACAAAGACGTTTTTGCTATTAGTTGAAGAGGCAAGCACATAGTTTAGAAAAAGAATCAATTAAAAAAATATCAATGCTTTCTCCAGACTCTTCCTTTTAAAAGCTGTCTTCTGCTAATGGCAATGTAACTGGACTCTTTATTAATGAAAGATGGATCATTAGAGTACTCACTATGACACACCATGATAATGCAGCTTTCCTTTATCATCACTAGTTACAAGGTCTCGGAATTTGCTTTTGCTTTTGTATCATACTTGCTTTATTTCCTCAGTTTTTCACCATTGTATATAGCCAGCCAATATGTAGAGTGTGTGTAATTATGTCTGGCTTCCAAGACATATTCGTTCTTTCAGACCGAACCAACCCTATTTTTGTCAAAGTTCAACTTCTCTCTGTAGGATATGTGCATTCTCACGACCTTCCTTCATGAAATACAGGTCCCTTAACTTGAAGGTTAATAGGCCTAACATAAGCCAGCCAAGGGACCCTTCTCTTCTGCCCACCTCATCTGGAACTTAGCCTTCTGATGCTTCTTTACCACTTGCTGTTTTAGTGTTTCCTTTATAACACTTAGCACAATTTGCAATTGTGTCTTTATTCATGTTTATTTGCTCAATGTCTGTCTTTGCCACTAGACTAAAAAAATCTGTGATCATAGACCATGCCTTTTGCACACTTCTACATTATAAAACATGATAGATATTTGAAAAAACACCTGACCGAAAAAAAAAAAAAAAAAGGCAATCTCTAAGGAGCCAAGCCACAACTGAGAGAGGCAGCTCACAGCCTCGGGTGGAGAGTTCATATAAGGTTAGCTGTCCGTATCAGTTCATTAAAATACTTGAAAAATGTATAGTTGAAATTTAGGATTGTAGTACATTTTTAAATGGGAATCTATGAGGCATCTATAATATCTTGATAACTTTACAAAGCGAAACATTTGAGCAACAGTTTTTACAATTGTTCTAAAATAATTTTCAGAAAATTTACCTTCTAATAATCAACAAACATTTACTCAGAAACTATCTGGGTCTAGACACAGGGGAGCAGATTTCGCAGGAGGCCAGCTGAAGGTTCATTTTCCATACTGGGATCCTTCTCCTCTGCTCACCCTACCCATAATTACCTCCGGGTTCTCCTCTGCCACTCACCACTTTGCATCTTCTTGACACATGATACACATTTTGCATGAGGTATTGCAAGGGGAGTTGGGAAAATACGAGGTATTCTGGAATGCTACCTGATAATAAAATCTTTCCATGATGGTATAAAAGACAAATTATGTCATTCTGTTAATATTTGTATTTTAACAGTGGTGAGCTGTGGGCTGATGTAAATAGTCATTAGAACACAGGTTTAGAGACCAAAGATGCCTGGATTTGTAGCTTAGCTCCATTATTTAGTAATTGTATACCACTTAAGCAAGTTTCTTATGCTTTTTAAGAACAGTTTTTGTTAAAATAATGCATATTTCTTTTTTTAAGAACCAAGGAGGGGAGGAGCCAAGATGGCCGAATAGGAACAGCTCCTGTCTACAGCTTCCAGCGTGAGCGACGCAGAAGACGGGTGATTTCTGCATTTCCATCTGAGGTACCGGGTTCATTTCACTAGGGAGTCCCAGACAGTGGGCGCAGGTCAGTGGGTGCGTGCACCCTGCGCGAGCCGAAGCAGGGAGAGGCATTGCCTCACTTGGGAAGTACAAGGGGTCAGGGAGTTCCCTTTCTGAGTCAAAGAAAGGGGTGACCAACGGCACCTGGAAAATCGGGTCACTCCCACCCGAATACTGTGCTTTTCCGACAGGCTTAAAAAACGGCGCACCACGAGATTATATCCCGCACCTGGCTCGGAGGGTCCTACGCCCACGGAGTCTCACTGATTGCTAGCACAGCAGTCTGAGATCAAACTGCAAGGCAGCAGCGAGGTTGGGGGAAGGGAGCCCGCCATTGCCCAGGCTTGATTAGGTAAACAAAGCAGCCCGGAAGCTCGAACTGGGTGGAGCCCACCACAGCTCAAGGAGGCCTGCCTGCCTCTGTAGGCTCCACCTCTGGGGGCAGGGCACAGACAAACAAAAAGACAGCAGTAACCTCTGCAGACTTAAATGTCCCTGTCTGACAGCTTTGAAGAGAGCAGTGGTTCTCCCAGCACGCAGCTGGAGATCTGAGAACGGGCAGACTGCCTCCTCAAGTGGGTCCCTGACCCCTGACCCCTGGGCAGCCTAACTGGGAGGCACCCACCAGCAGGGGCACACTGACACCTCACACGGCAGGGTATTCCAACAGACCTGCAGCTGAGGGTCCTCTATGTTAGAAGGAAAACTAACAAACAGAAAGGACATCCACACCAAAAACCCATCTGTACATCACCATCATCAAAGACCAAAAGTAGATAAAACCACAAAGATGGGGAAAAAACAGAACAGAAAAACTGGAAACTCTAAAAAGCAGAGTGCCTCTCCTCCTCCAAAGGAACGCAGTTCCTCACCAGCAACGGAACAAAGCTGGATGGAGAATGACTTTGACGAGCTGAGAGAAGAAGGCTTCAGATGATCAAATTACTCTGAGCTACGGGAGGACATTCAAACCAAAGGCAAAGAAGTTGAAAACTTTGAAAAAAAATTAGAAGAATGTATAACTAGAATAACCAATACAGAGAAGTGCTTAAAGGAGCTGATGGAGCTGAAAACCAAGGCTCGAGAACTACGTGAAGAATGCAGAAGCCTCAGGAGCCAATGCAATCAACTGGAAGAAAGGGTATCAGCAATGGAAGATGAAATGAATGAAATGAAGTGAGAAGGGAAGTTTAGAGAAAAAAGAATAAAAAGAAATGAGCAAAGCCTCCAAGAAATATGGGACTATGTGAAAAGACCAAATCTACATCTGATTGGTGTACCTGAAAGTGATGGGGAGAATGGAACCAAGTTGGAAAACACTCTGCAGGATATTATCCAGGAGAACTTCCCCAATCTACCAAGGTAGGCCAACGTTCAGATTCAGGAAATACAGAGAACACCACAAAGATACTCCTCGAGAAGAGCAACTCCAAGACACATAATTCTCAGATTCACCAAAGTTGAAATGAAGGAAAAAATGTTAAGGGCAGCCAGAGAGAAAGGTCGGGTTACCCTCAAAGGGAAGCCCATCAGACTAACAGCGGATCTCTTGGCAGAAACCCTACAAGCCAGAAGAGAGTGGGGGCCAATATTCAACATTCTTAAAGAAAAGAATTTTCAACCTAGAATTTCATATCCAGCCAAACTAAGCTTCATAAGTGAAGGAGAAATAAAATCCTTTACACACAAGCAAATGCTGAGAGATTTTGTCACCACCATGCCTGCCTTACAAGAGCTCCTGAAGGAAGCACTAAACATGGAAAGGAACAACCAGTACCAGCTGCTGCAAAATCATGCCAAAATGTAAAGACCATCGAGACTAGGAAGAAACTGCATCAACTAACGAGTAAAATAACCAGCTAACAGCATAATGACAGGATCAAATTCACACACAACAATATTAACTTTAAATGTAAATGGACTAAATGCTCCAATTAAAAGACACAGACTGGCAAATTGGATAAAGAGTCAAGACCCATCAGTGTGCTGTATTCAGGAAACCCATCTCACATGCAGAGACACACATAGGCTCAAAATAAAAGGATGGAGGAAGATCTACCAAGCAAATGGAAAACAAAAAAAGGCAGGGGTTGCAATCCTAGTCTCTGATAAAACAGACTTTAAACCAACAAAGATCAAAAGAGACAAAGAAGGCCATTACATAATGGTAAAGGGATCAATTCAACAAGAAGAGCTAACTATCCTAAATAAATATGCACCCAATACAGAAGCACCAAGATTCATAAAGCAAGTCCTGAGTGACCTACAAAGAGACTTAGACTCCCACACATTAATAATGGGAGACTTTAACACCCCACTGTCAACATTAGACAGATCAACGAGACAGAAAGTCAACAAGGATACCCAGGAATTGAACTCAGCTCTGCACCAAGCGGACCTAATTGACATCTACAGAACTCTCCACCCCAAATCAACAGAATATACATTTTTTTCAGCACCACACCACACCTATTCCAAAATTGACCACATACTTGGAAGTAAAGCTCTCCTCAGCAAATGTAAAAGAACAGAAATTATAACAAACTGTCTCTCAGACCACAGTGCAATCAAACTAGAACTCAGGATTAAGAATCTCACTCAAAACTGCTCAACTACATGGAAACTGAACAACCTGCTCCTGAATGACTACTGGGTACATAACAAAATGAAGGCAGAAATAAAGATGTTCTTTGAAACCAACGAGAACAAAGATACAATATACCAGAATCTCTGGGACACATTCAAAGCAGTGTGTAGAGGGAAATTTATAGCACTAAATGCCCACAAGAGAAAGCAGGAAAGATCTAAAATTGACACCCTAACATCACAATTAAAAGAACTAGAGAAGCAAGAGCAAACACATTCAAAAGCTAGCAGAAGGCAAGAAATAACTAAGGTCAGAGCAGAACTGAAGGAAATAGAGACACAAAAAACCCTTCAAAAAATTAATGAATCCAGGATGTGGTTTTTTGAAAAGATCAACAAAATTGATAGACCGCTAACAAGACTAATAAAGAAGAAAACAGAGAAGAATCAAATAGACGCAATAAAAAATGATAAAGGGGATATCACCACCGATCCCACAGAAATACAAACTACCATCAGAGAATACTATAAACACCTCTACTCAAATAAACTACAAAATCTAGAAGAAATGGATAAATTCCTCGACACATACACCCTCCCAAGACTAAACCAGGAAGAAGTTGAATCTCTGAATAGACCAATAACAGGATCTGAAATTGAGGCAATAATTAACAGCTTACCAACCAAAAAAAGTCGAGGACCAGATGGATTCACAGCCGAATTCTACCAGAGGTACAGGAGGAGCTGGTATCATTCCTTCTGAAACTATTCCAATCAATAGAAAAACAGGGAATCCTCCCTAACTCATTTTATGAGGCTGGCATCATCCTGATACCAAAGCCTGGCAGAGACACAACGAAAAAAAGAGAATTTTGGACCAATATCCCTGAAGAACATCGATGCAAAAATCCTCAATAAAATACTGGCAAACCAAATCCAGCAGCACATCAAAAAGCTTATCCACCATGATCAAGTGGGCTTCATCTCTGGGATGCAAGGCTGGTTCAACATACACAAATCAATAAACGTAATCCGGCACATAAAGAGAACCAATGACAAAAACCACATGATTATCTCAATAGATGCAGAAAAGGCCTTTGACAAAATTCAACAACGCTTCATGCTAAAAACTCAATAAATTAGGTATTGATGGGACGTATCTCAAAATAATAAGAGCTATCTATGACAAACCCACAGCCAATATCATACTGAATGGGCAAAAACTGGAAGCATTCCCTTTGAAAACTGGCACAAGACAGGGATGCCCTCTCTCACCATTCCCATTCAACATAGTGTTGGAAGTTCTGGCCAGGGCAATCAGGCAGGAGAAGGAAATAAAGGGTATCCAATTAGGAAAAGAGGAAGTCAAATTGTCCCTGTTTGCAGATGACATGATTGTATATCTAGAAAACACCATCATCTCAGCCCAAAATCTCCTTAAGCTGATAGGCAACTTCAGCAAAGTCTCAGGATACAAAATCAATGTACAAAAATCACAGGCATTCTTATACACCAATAACAGACAAACAGAGAGTCAAATCATGAGTGAACTTCCATTCACAATCGCTTCAAAGAGAAAAAAATACCTAGGAATCCAACTTACAAGGGACGTGAAGGACCTCTTCAAGGAGAACTACAAACCACTGCTCAAGGAAATAAAAGAGGATACAAACAAATGGAAGAACATTCCATGCTCATGGATAGGAAGAATCAATATCGTGAAAATGGCCATACTGCCCAAGGTAATTTATAGATTCAATGCCACCCCCATCAAGCTACCAATGACTTTCTTCACAGAATTGGAAAAAAAACTTTAAAGTTCATATGGAACAAAAATGAGCCCGCATTGTCAAGTCAATCCTAAGCCAAAAGAACAAAGCTGGAGGCATCACGCTACCTGACTTCAAACTATACTACAAGGCTACAGTAACCAAAACAGCATGGTACTGGTACCAAAACAGAGATATAGACCAAAGGAACAGAACAGAGCCCTCAGAAATAATGCCACATATCTACAACTATCTGATCTTTGACAAACCTGACAAAAACAAGCAATGGGGAAAGGATTCCCTATTTCATAAATGGTTCTGTGAAAACTGGCTAGCCATATGTAGAAAGCTGAAACTGGATCCCTTCCTTACAACCTTATACAAAAATTAATTCAAGATGGATTAAAGACTTAAACGTTAGAACTAAAACCATAAAAACCCTAGAAGAAAACCTAGGCAATACCATTCAGGACATAGGCATGGGCAAGGTCTTCATGTCTAAAACACCAAAAGCAATGGCAACAAAAGCCAAAATTGATAAATGCGATCTAATTTAAACTAAAGAGCTTCTGTACAGCAAAAGAAACTACCATCAGAGTGAACAGGCAACCTACAGAATGGGAGAAAATTTTTGCAATCTACTCATCTGATAAAGGTCTAATATCCAGAATCTACAATGAACTCAAACAAATTTACAAGAAAAAAACAAACAACCCCATCAAAAAGTGGGTGAAGGATATGAACAGACACTTCTCAAAAGAAGACATTTATGCTGCCAAAAGACACATGAAAAAATGCTCATCATCACTGGCCATCAAAGAAATTGAAATCAAAACCACAATGAGATACCATCTCACCCCATTTAGAATGGCGATCATTAAAAAGTCAGGAAACAACAGGTGCTGGAGAGGATGTGGAGAAATAGGAACACTTCTACACTGTTGGTGGGACTGTAAACTAGTTCAACCATTGTGGAAGTCAGTGTGGCAATTCCTCAGGGATCTAGAACTAGAAATACCATTTGACCCAGCCATCCCATTACTAGGTATATACCCAAAGGATTATAAATCATGCTGCTATAAAGACACATGCACATGTATGTTTATTGCGGCACTATTCACAATAGCAAAGACTTGGAACCAACCCAAATGTCCAACAGTGATAGACTGGATTAAGAAAATGTGGCACATATACACCATGGAATACTATGCAGCCATAAAAAATGATGAGTTCATGTCCTTTGTAGGGACATGGATGAAGCTGGAAACCATCATTCTCAGCAAAGTATCGCAAGGACAAAAAACCAAACACCGCATATTCTCACTCATAAGTGGGAATTGAACAATGAGATCACATGGACACAGGAAGGGGAATATCACACTCTGGGGACTGTTGTGGGGTGGGGGGCGGGGGGAGGGATAGCATCGGGAGATATACCTAATGATAGATGATGAGTTAGTGGGTGCAGTGCACCAGCATGGCACATGTATACATATGTAACTAACCTGCACAATGTGCACATGTACCCTAAAACTTAAAGTATAATAAAAAATAAAAAAATAAAAAAAAAAAGAACCAAGGATATAATGTTTGTAAAATATCTAAAAGTGTCGGGCACATTATTAGTTCTCAAGTAATGATAATGGCATGACGATGGTGATACTGGTGATAATAACAAGTATTTAAGTCACCTCCATATTCTGTATATCTTAAAGAAATCTTGTATCTTGAAGAAATGTGTTATGAGGCTGGGCGCAGGGGCTCATGCCTGTAATCCCAGCACTCTGGGAGGCCAAGGCCAGCAGATTACGAGGGCAGGAGTTCAAGACCAGCCTGGTCAACATGGTGAAACCCTGTCTCTACCAAAAATACAGAAATTAGCTGGGCATGGTGGCAGGCACCTGTAATCCCAGCTACTAGGGAGGCTGAGGCAGGAGAATTGCTTGAATCCGGGAGGTGGGGGTTGCAGTGAGCCGAGATCGTACCACCACACTCCAGCCTGGGCGACAGAGCAAGACTCCATCTCAAAAAAAAAAAAGGAAAAGAAATGTGTTATAAACACACCCCTCAGTCTTTAATATTAAATTTGGTAGGAAAACATATACATATACTACCCTCTAATAGCTTTTGAAATTATCATTCTCTTGCACCTGTTTTTCTCTCATCAGTAGCCTCTTTTGTTGTTGTTGTTTCTTTGGAAGAGTCTACATTATTCTTGATTCAGGGTAGGATAGGGCAAGGTGATATCCAGGAAAGATGCCCAATGTCAGAACTGTCAATCCAAGATTTCTCTGGAGATTGGTATTCCAGTCCTAGCTCTACTACCAGTTAATGATATGACCTTGGGCAAGCGACAACCTATCTGGCCTTAGCTCCCTTATTTATAAAATGAAAGGATTGGCAAAGATCCTTTTCTAAAGCTCCTTCCAGTTCTACAAGGACTATGATTAGTGCCTGTCACTCTCAGCAGCATCTTACTGCCATAGCTAATAAGGTCACCTATGGTCAAAGTTTATAAATGCATCATTTTGCAGAGGTGTTACAGTTCTTTATTGATGTTCTTCAGATCATTTTGGACAAATGCTGTTAGTAGAAATGCTCTCCTTAAAAATGTACCAGGTAATAAACTTGTAGTTTAACCCACACATTCATTAACGAGTGATTCCCAGGAGTTCAATAACAATATTTCTTTAGGCATACTCCCTAGCTTTGCAGATACCACACAGTTAATCCTGACATCAATGGCCATCACAAGCCTCATCAACTACTATTATTGGTGATCACAACAGACTCACATGTTTTTTAGGATATCCAGATATCATGTATCTTTCAAAAAAATAAAAACAAGACAAATAAAGTAGCTCTTTATATAATTTCTATGCTTTATTTATTTTTATTAAGAGTATTTAAAAGTGGGGTGCCTTAATCTTTGCATTTAATTTTGCTGGTTGCATTTTAAAATGTTATGTCATTTGTTCAATTAGTTTTTACTCAGAATTTTTTGTTGTTCATTTATCTTCCAGAATTATCTTTCTAACCCTTTATTAACTTAATCTCAGTTGGTCTCAACAAGATTTTTAAAAAATTAAAACCATTCAGTAACCTTCTTTATAAGGCAGATCTTTTCACAAGACTTGACTTCCTTCATCAGAGCCTTTAGAAATGCTTACTACACATGACATAATAGCCCCCTTGTTAAATATCCTGAATAGACAGCATAATTAAATTAAAAGTTGGAGGCCTATTCCTCCATTTTGTGGTTCTGGTAGCTGGATTAGAGTATTTACATTAGTACTTTAATCCTTTAATCTAGGAATCAATGTATGACCCGAGGCAATAAGTTAACAGCTTGCCAAAACTAAGCCTGGGCAGATGGCAACATTGATCCAGATTTCCATTTTTCAAGACCCCTGGAACTATCTAGTGCAAAAGCTGGACCAACAGTCACAAAAGCATCAGGGGCTGCCCACAGCAGATCACTGACCCTGTGGCATCCCATTTACTTTCTCTCTCACCTCAAGGCACAGAGTTTCTTGCCTTTTCTGTAATAATTATACGTTTAATTAAAAATTCTGTTTTATCTGGGATACTATGAATCAAGACAAATTATATTTCTATTTAATTCACTCATCATTACAAATCTGCCTTCTTCCTTCTCGATGCCAGTAACATATCCCTGTAACTCTTTGCAAGATTTTTCTTTCTTTCTTTTTAAATTCTGCCTTGTTTACTTGTCATTATGCATTCTTTGGAGCTCTTGAGAAAATTTTGTGGGTTTTTTTTTCTTTTTTTTGAGAAAAATTTCCAAAACATCTTAAGAATTTAAGTTTTTCTTTGTAGGTAAAACCTTCAGGGCCTTGCTTTCACAGCAGATGGCAACAGAATGCAAACAACACAACGTTTCATTCAGTTACAGTTTCCACGTTCAAAGCAGCAATATGGTTTCTGGGAGGCACTCAGACGAATGAGTTGAATCACTCTGCTATTTTGAATTTTTGTACTCCTTAGCCAAGAGCACACTTCCTCATGTGTTTGCCTTGTTCATTTATGTTCTTTACCTCTTTTTCCTGTAACTCACAACCTAAAAGGCTTATTCTTTTTATTCTGCCCAATTTATTTTTTTTTTCTTGTAAAGACAGGGTCTTGTTATGTTGCCCAGGCTGGTTTTGAACTCCTGGCCTGAAGTTATCTTCCTACCTTGGCCTTCCAAAGTGCTGAGATTACAGGCAAAAGCCTGGCCTTACCTCCCCCATTTTTATCTTGCAGATTGTGTTTTCTCCCAACAACCATTTGATGGTGACTATTTATAGCTTCTGTATCATCAATTGCGTAGATCCCACTCAGTCTAGTTCTTTCATTTCCCCTAGTCCTTTAAAAATTGCAACAACTGACTTAGTTGCTTTACTTATTTCATTCTTACATTGAACACACATAGCCCTATCAGTTCTCTTGCCAATTCATAACCCTGCTCAAAATCCAACTTCCCCCAAATTATCTAAGTTTATTTTCCACTATTCCCCAACATGCAATCTCCATTCAGATTTGCCTTGTCTTTTTTTCATAGCTCACTCAGTGTTTGTTTCTACTTCTACCACTTGCCCTGCCTGTAACACCTTGTTCTTTAGGGACAACTTGAAATTTCATCAGCCTCAATACTCTTGAAGTCATTCTGCCTACAGCAGCTCGTATACCTCAATCTACTCTGTCCCTCCCCAGTACTTCAATCAGGCCTTTCAATTTAGCATACATTAAATGGACTTTTGTACTATTTCAACCAGATAGCTAGCTCTCTGCCCCCAGACACCTTCTGAAGAAACTTCAATACCATCTACAACCATATGCAGTGCTTACCACATGGTAAATACTCTTTGATTGAACCATATCAGAGGAATCTTTGTACAGTATCTTTATCTACAATCTCAAGATATAAAAAAGCTTCCTAAAATTAATATCTCTGGTTTTTTTCAAATAAAAAAGTAACACAAAACTTATTGTACAAGATGTAGACAATAACAATCTATTACCCAAATACCCAGATATCTACCGTCAACATGGTGATATATTTCTTTTTAGTCTTTTGTAGACAGACAGAAAAGTCACTTATTTCTTTAATTATAAGAAAAATGTGTATATACATTTATTTTTCCCACTTAGTAGAAAATGCGGGTTTTTATAATATACAGCCTTCAGAAACATAATATGCAATCATCTAATTATTTTCACATTATTGAACATTTCGATTTAATCCAATATTGTAATGTTTTAATATTATGAATAATGCTTTTATGAAGATACTTCACATAAATTTGCATTTTTTATATCCTTAGAACAGATTCCTAAGGTATAATTGCTAGATCAAAGGGTAGGAATTAATTGAAGACATTTGATTGATATTACCAATGTGGCAGGGTTAAAGTGCCTTCTTGATTTCTTTTTATCTCATTATTCATTCTCTTATATAATTATATATATTCTTATACATAATTCATGTATTCTACAAACATTTGTTGAATAAGAGTAACTGCTGCTCACTGAGGAGATACAGAAGCTGATTTCACTCTGGGTCTGCTGTTGTTAAAATTAGAAATTCCTCCAGGATAAGGGTGGCAGGGTATCTGTCTGTGTTAGTTTTCAATGTTGAGTTTCTGCCTCAGGCCCTGCTAACCAGATACCATTTGAGAGAGAACATAATCTTTCATCTGATTTTCTTTTAGGATGTGTGCTTTTTTTCAAATAAGGTAGTTTTCTCGGCTTCACTCAAGTGACTTCCCAGAGCTTCATCACGGGTTCTTGGTTATTCCTTTTACCAGGTACAATTCTATAACCCTAATAAAAAGCAACTGGGTGGTATTTGCTCTTTTTCAAATCACTACTCCTCCATGCCATTTTATCAGAACCATTAAAATCCAAGTGAGAATGCCTCATACCTACGTTTTCATTCCTGAAGGCTCCAAAGAGTGTTACTTGGAATAACCTTTTTACTAAAAGTCACTGTACTTCTCTACATCCACTCCTAGACATTTCTCACTGGACTTAATAAGTTATAAAGAATAAGTTTAATTTCTCCACTGACCTAACGATCACACTTGAACTCTTATTTCTGGAAATTAAATTACCTACAAATATTTCCCTTCAGCTTATCCTAATGAAATATGATGAACCCCACCATTTTACTCTGTGACGGTATCTCATCCAGAGTATTCTAAAATTTTACCTCATCAAAACTGCAAATGCCCATATATGACTTTTTTATAGGCAGCAGAAGTCAGAAGGCTAGGCAAGTAAGCCAACAGGAGCAGGAAATTAACAGATGAGTTGTCTCTAACCCTCACGTAGAAAACTTTTTATCTTTTATCCTAGTTTTACATTTTTGGCAACAAGAAAAGAAACACTTTTCTGAGGATGTTATTTGCCCTAGTTTATATCCAACAAGAAATATAGGGTATAGATTCTAACACTTTGAATAAAGCTGCAAAGGTTTTATTCACACTCACCTTCTTTTTCTTTTCTTTCAGAGACTGTTGAGAAAATAACAAAAAATGGGATGCATTTTTTTCTTTCTTCCATGCTGTCCTTGTACCCTGTCTACCCCAACTTGTCTTCCACTGACAGAGTTGCAAAGGAAGCTGAAATAGGAAAGCCAGGGTTGAGTGAACTGACCTAATACAGATCTCCTGATAGTGGTTACCAGAATCTAAATTTCTACAGAAATGGTGAGCTTAAGTAAACCTGGTCCTTATTCAGCGACACCTGAGAGAATCTATTTCAATTAGATGGGCAGAGCAACTAACAGAGGCAATGATTCTCAGCTGTGGCAATACATGAGGATCACCTGGGGAGCTTTCGAAACTACCTATATCCAAGTGATTCTGATTAACTTTCCTGGACTGGGGGCTGAGGTATCTGCATTGGTTTTTAAATGCCCCAGGTGTTTTTAATGTGAAGCCAGAGTGGAGAACCACTGAGCTGGAATTTCCCCACAGTGGTAATTCTCACTTTCACGCAGCAGGCTACAAAGGGGTTTTTGGTAAAGTGTTCATTTCTTACAGAGCCTCAAAAAGCATGTCAGGGAATAATGTCTTGTGTATTCTCCTAAGAGGAAGGACCCACAAAAGACGAGAGATAGGCTGAAAGTCAGAGCCTCTGTAAGCTTGCTGAACTTCTCAACAATGTGTCAACCTTATCAGAGAAAAGTAAAGTTCTCATCAGAAACCAAAACAGAAGTATAGGCAAGAGGACTTGACTAATACAGTGTCAAGAAGGGTGGCATGTGAGATGCACACATAGAGCTTCCCCAAGACACAGAAGACCCTACACCATTTATTCTAGCTTCTCCACAGTTGAGGATGAGTATGCTATATAGCCCTCACTCTGGTCAGAATGAGTAAGGTATTTTAGTGAAGGAGACTTTTTAAGGGCAGTGTATTGCAGACCTCAATTTATCAAAGCTGAGGAAATCTAAGCTTGAAGTTCTGTAGCTTCTTTATAATGGCTCTCTATTACAATAGTGCCATTTGATTGGAAGTGTGAAATTGAATCAACTTCAAAGTTTACTTTAAAATATAGCATATCTTATACATATGAAACTATCCTAGATTTTATTCTGATGACCCAATTGTCTGTCAGTCTAAGCTGTATCTTCTCTATGAACACTCCAGGAAAAGGAAAATCAAAATTGATCAGGATAACCAGAAAATAAAAACTAGAAGCAGAAGAAAACTGGATGAAGAGAGAGGAAATCAGCATTTTAGGTGAAATGGATAAACAGAAACATCAAATTTATCTGGCTTCTAGATCAGCTTCTTGCCCCTACCCTAGAAGACAGACCAGGAGGACATACCTGAGTTAAGTGCAAAGTGAAGATGGCCTTTGTTCTGCCTCTTTCTGTGATTTTCTTTTGCCTTTTATTTCCCTACTCTTGCTTCTTTTCTCTGACCTTTTCCTCTTTCATATGATTTTCATCCTTAATTTCACCTCAGAATCGCCTGATCTGCAATATGATTATGTTAAGTTTGTTCAACTTCTTTAAATCATTCAGCGACAGTTTCAGATTTGCATTTCTATTTCTGGAGTTCAGAGGGAGTATTTTCAAATTTCCTCCATTGTTCCTGAGAACTACCTTTATCTTATCACATTTCTAATCAAACTTTAGTCTTAAAATACCTGTCATTTCTCTCAGATTTTGGAAGTTTTTCTTGCTCTAGGAGAAGTTTTTGAAGAGTTTTTTTTTTCACTTCAAAAAAAAAAAAAACCATAGTCTGAGAAGATGATTTGACTTATCCTATGAGTTTATTCTGTTAATTTTAGTCATCAAAGACAATTTTTGCATGGTTTTCTCTCTCACACACACAGTCTCTCTCTCTCTCTCTCTCTCTCTCTCTGTCTCTCTCTCTCTCACTCTCGTTGGTAAGGTTTAAGTCTATTAATCACAGGAAGGTTTTAAATAACTGACCAGGACCTTTGAATGAATTCAGCGACACACATTTATGAGTCTTTAGATTAGTGTTTGGTATCAATTTGACTGGTATCAGCAACTTTTGGAAGGTCACATTTGACTATCCTACAGCTTCTCAGATTTTTCAGGGGTATCATCCAAGAAGGGAAGCTGAATGCATGCTGGGGACACTCCCTTGATCTGGATATTTTTATCCCTCCATAATTGCCAGGTAGGCTCTTACCTGCTACTCACCCTCCCACCCTGTCTCCACTGACTGAGAGACTAAGTTGCTGGCCCCTCAACTCCTAAAGGGAAATTCTCCCTATCCCCAGCCATAGAAAGGGCCCATACAAAGGTCTGGCCTATTACCCAGGTGTCCGACCTCAGTATCCATCTTATTGCCCTCTCAGCACTGCAGCTTCTTTGTAGGACTGACACTCTGCCCTCCTGATTGTCTTGTACCCCACATCTGTCTACCAGCAAGGGCTCTGCCATAAAGGAACAGTGAAAACTAAAGGGAGGAAATATAATTTGGCTTTTGTCACCTCCTTAGCAAGCCTCCCTTGACTACCCTAAAAGAGCCCCTTCAGTACTGATATACTAGCCCAGAATTGTGTGTGTGTGTGTGTGTGAGTGTGTGTGTGTATATGAGATATGGTTTAGATGTGTCCCTACTCAAATCTCATCTTGAATTGTAGCTCCCATAATCCCCACTTGTCATGAGAGGGACCTGATAGGAGGTAATTGAATCACGGGGGTGGGTTTTTCCCATGCTTTTCTCGTGGTGAATACGTCTCATGAGATCTAATGGTTTTATAAAGGGTAGTTCCCCTGCACATGCTCTCTTGCCTGCTGCCATGTTAGACATGCCTTTGCTCCTCTTTTGCCTTCTTCCATGATTGTGAGGCCTCCCAAACCATGTGTAACTGTGAGTCCATTAAACCTCTTTTTCTTTATAAATTACCCAGTCTCAGGTATTTGTTCATAGCAGTATGAGAATGGACTAATACTGTATGTGAGTGTGTGTGTATGTATGTTTTTCCTTATAACACTTGTAACACTTAGAGTCATGATATTTGTTTGTCCTGAAATGTGGATTTTGTCTTGTCTTCATGGACTGCCTGTCCCTTTATCTGACTGAAATTTAGATATTTCATTATCAAAATCTAAGACAGTGTTGTGAACATATACTGAAGCACTGAATAAATGTTAATTAAATGAAAAAAGGGACTATAACTGATAGGCTAAATATTTTCATGCCATGATCTGTGCTGCCCTCCTCAAAACTAGCAAATCATCCTCATTCTTACTGAGAGTCTCAATAGGAACCTAGTCTAACATGAACCCAGACATTGCAAATGATTCTCACTTCTCTGATTCTAGCACCTGTCCTGAGCACCTGCTATAAAATCTCACTATCTCTTCTCAAGTGAACACATGATTACAGAATCAGAAGTCAATTTTACGCATTACAGATTCTGTAATTGTTACCAAGATACAACTCAAATAGAGAATGTGCTTAGGTAGCATCATGTTCCTATCACACACCAGCAGCTGTCCTGTCCTTGGTCTGACTAAATGCATGCACTGAAGCTCTTCAGCCAGCATATACTCAATACTAATTAATACTTCAACTCATTACTAACTAAGGCTGGCCATATATCAGCAGCTCTAGTTCCTCAGTGCTTGAGGTCTAGATTTACCCACTGCTACCCTCATTGTGGCATCTAGTAGATCTAGGACAAGCCAATATTAATTTGTATGCTTACTTGGCTGTAGCCTTTCTTTCTGACTTCCTGTGTATAAAATATATATAACCAGATATTCATCTTGATTTCTGATGTATCCTCGAGTTTTCTCAGTTGAAACTAAAGCATTTCACTAAACCTTGGGTCATTTGACTTGACTAGAACCCTGACAAGCCATCCAGTTCTTTCCAGAACTCATCTGCAGGAGCAAGACCATACTTCTCCCTATAGCTGCAGGCTCCGAACATAACCCACAATGCCACTGCCACCTGACAATCCTGGCACTGCCTGTTGCTGCTCACCCTTCACCTCAGCAGAGCCCATGTGCATGCATTGGCTCAGGTCAGGCCAAGGATGCCAGAGACATTCAGCTTTGTGGTTTGGATTGTAAGCTTTCAGTCCTCAGAAATGAGACCTGGAACCAGGAGAGGGCCCTGGCTCTTGTCGCACCTGTCCTCTGATTATGGTGTCTCTCAAAAATTCCATCAGGTTCTGGTAGGCTGTGAGGGCTTTGGATTATAAATGTGCCCCTCAAACACCACTGGTATTCTGAGCACTTCTTGCCAATTCCATGTAGGCATTTTGGGTCTCAGTGGAAGAAAACTCCTATTAAGAAATTCTTAATTTAAAACCTTTCTTAAATCCTTGTCTTCCCAAGTTATAAGCCCGTCTCTCTCACTTCTGAGGCCTTAAAGAAGCCCACTTTTATCTAGTCTAGCTCCCAGGTTCCTGAATACACCCCTACTGTCTCATTGATGTGATAGGGCTAAGTCTCAGCTAGCCTTCATAGCCCAGTGGGACTAGATCTAGCAGATCTTATGAGAACAAATTACTGACTAAACTCCTAGATTTGTTGTTTGTATATCCCACTGAATCTGTCCAAAGCAACTTTAGCGAAGTGACTTCTAGGTCTCTATTTAGAAAACTATACATAAGTCGGTAAAGGCAGCTGACCGCAGCTCAAAACAGCTCCAAGAGATGTGTATTTAAATGACTGAAAATAGAATACCAGAAGCTCCACTCATGAATCAGGCAGAGGAGGAACATCATGAAAAACAGTTGAAAAATATGACCCCTCTTCCATGAAAAACCATTAAGCTTACAGACACACAAAAGTATGTCTACAATTTGAGGGACTCGCAGACACCTAAAACTCATTCATGGACCTCAGGTTAACAACTGCTAAAATAAGATCCACCAGAGATTGTTAATCAGCTCATGTAAAGATTTGAGTGAGTAATGACAGTTCTGCATTATTTTCTTTTATGCTTTAAGGATACACGTTTTTTTATAAAATAAGTTAACAGTATCTAAAGACAATGTTAAGACAAGACTACATTTGACTCTTGGACAACACAGGTTTGAACTGTGTGGGTCCACTTACACATGGACTTTTTCGACAAATTGAAAATAAAGTATTCATAGGATGTAAAACCCAATTAGATGATGGGTCAAGTTTTTCCATTTGTGGGTTTCACAGAACTGACTGTGGGACTTAAGTATGCTCAGATTTTGGTATATGCGGAGGTCCCCATATAATTGGGGGGGTATATGGTACCAAGGGAAGATTTTATAATAATCTAGTGTCTTCATACTCAGAGCCTGAGAAGTACAAAATATTAGGTCCTGATTCAGACCTACTAAATCAGAATCTGAAACTTTAACAAGGTCTTCAGGTGATGTAGGTACACATTAAAATAGAAACATTTATCTAGCAAATATGAGGGAAATACTGGCTGTCTCTAAACACAGAGTAATGTTATTTGGCCGGCATTGAAAGTTAATCTTGTCTTTGTCTACTTAGCAAGCTTCTATCTATCCTTGAAAACCCTACTCAAACATTACCTCACATGAAGGCTTTCCGGCACTTGCCTCCAACCCAAGAAAAAATAATTTACTCCCATTCTCTTGTTAGCTGATTTTATTGTATTTTATACATGTTATTTATATTAAAAGTTATTTAATAAATATATCAATTATGTAAGTTCCTCTGTAGTTAACATTATGAGCACACAGGTCATAAAATTGCAACAGGTCATACTTTTGAACACTCTGTGACAATGTTCTGAGCGATTATAAATGTATTAACTTATTAAATCCTCAAAAGCCTTACGAGGTGGATGCTAGTAAACTGTGAGACAGAGAATGAATTAGTATTTGGAAAATGCCGTGGTTCACAACTAATCTGGTTTGAATTTTTTTAAGTTTTGAAATTATATGTAGAATAGAAACAGGCCATCTATTCAATAGTTTCCAAAGTTTCATGTTTCTATGGAGCATTAAGCATACAGTTTCTTTGAAACCTCATTTCTACATTTAACAAGGGGTTATTTTCTATTTTATAGTAAATAAAGGGGTTGATCTTTAAATTGTTAGCAGGAATAATACCAGAATCTCCAAGATCATCTCTAAAATGTTGCTTCTCTAAGGTACAGTACTCTACGGTAAGCGGCTACATGTAGGACACATCTCCAAGTAAGAGGTTGACTATGGTCTCTCCAGCCTATCTGGTGTGCTGAAACGCACTTGGCTGTTTTATTAATTCTCTTCTCTTCACTAGTTAGAGTTCCATACAGAAGAAAAATAAACAATAAGCAAGTCCAATGTTGAAACAGCTCTCTCAGGTTTCTGCAAAGCATTGGATGGTGCTGCACTATTTGGTCTGATTGAAGCCAGGTAAGGGCCGTTTGGCTGTTACCTAGCAAGTGCCCGGCAGGGCTCTGCCGGAAGAGCATTATCAAGGTGGGGTCTCTAGGATCACCAAAGTATGCTTCTGGGTTCTGATACCCAGTAATTCTCTTGGAGAGGTTTTATGCAACTGGAATCTGATCCTTTAAATCGTCTTCACTACACACTTTATTTCAGAAGAATTAAAACACACATGCAAGTACATGGAGAAAGAATCAGGGGATGAAGGCAAGGTGAATTAAACAATAGAAGATAGAAGGTAAAGAAGAGACAAAAGTTAAAAAAAGTGAAAAGAAATTGTAATAGTCAATAGTCTAAGACTTGATTTCCAATATTTTCCAGTATTATTTTATGTAATTCTGCTTATCAAAATCATTATTTTGCAGAAGATTGTATGCTCCTATTTCTCAATGCCTGTCTAAATAAATACTTTAAAATAATAGGTGTCATAGTACTAAAAAAAGAAGCTACCTAATACAAGGCATACAATGGTCAATCTAGTGATCTAATAATAAGTGATTTAATACCAGGGGGAAAAATACTTTAAGTGGCCAGGAACTATGTTGCATTCAACTGTATTATGTAAGATAATAGAGTAACTGTATCAAATTTTTAAGCATTTGATCCATCAGCACTTTTTTACACTTAAAGAATTTGTCTGTCATTTATGAATTTTATACGACTTCTAGCATGACTTTGCTATCAGCAGCAAATCCAATGGGTCTGCAGCAAACTTGATCCTTGCCTCCTCAGAGGAAAGAATTTGGCTGAGGAGCAGGAGGAGATTTAAGGCAGAGGAAGAAATCAAGGCAAGTTTTAGACCAGGAATGAGTTTGTTAAAAAGTTTTAGAGCAGGAATGAAAGGATGTAAAGTACACTTGGAAGAAGCCAAGCTGGCAACTTGAAAGATCCAATTGTGCCATTCGGCCCTTGACTTGCAGTTTTGTACATTGGCCTGGTCCTGGGGTTTGCATTTTTTCTCCCTTGATTCTTCTCTTGGAGTGGGCTATCTGCACGTGCAGTGGCCTGGGAGGGGCCACATGCCCAGTGTGTTTACTGAAGTTGTGCACATGTTCACTTGAGGTGTTTTTCCCTTACCAGTCGAGTGTTCTAGAGGAAGGTCATAGGCCAGTTAAACTCGGCCACTTTGCCTCTTAGTGTGCATGCTTGGGACTGCTCATCCTGAGATTCTATCAGGAACTGCTAATCACCAGCTTCAGGTGTTTTCTTTGTATTGGGAGACTATTTTTCCCTAGCACTGGCTGTGACCAATTATTATTTTACAGAGACAGTTTAACAACCGCCTGACCATCAACTAACTGATCATTGCCTGACATTCTTGGTAGGGGGCCCTCTCCTGTTCTGCACACTTGTGCCTAGCTACCTACTCCAACAATTTTATAAATATTAAAAGAAAGCATACACAAATCATAGGTTGCTGAAATTTAGACACAACTGAAACACATATATGCTAGGTATAGTAGCAAAACAAAAAAGCAGAGATCAAAGTTCAGTAAAATATTCTACTGCAGTCTAGCACAAGTTAATTCACTGTTTCTAATTTGTCATTGACTATAGAATTACCCATTTAAGGTATTTTAATAAAATTTATGCCTTCTGTGTCTTTTACTCATTTCTACTACATGTTGAAGTATGAATTTTGGGGGGATTTGGGACCCTCAAATTTCCTTAATTTTCCACATCTGCAGTCTGCTGTTCATGCTGCTACTAACATGAACAGCAATGCTCATTCTGTCACTAAAAACAGCATCAATGCTAAGAAGCATTTTAGAACATTGATCCCTAGCAGTCTCATATAATCTAAAGCCACTATTTATTATCCATTATCAGCCATTGCTAGAAAAACATTTCCCGATCTCAAATTTCAGGCCATTATCTAACGGCTGAGGCTGCTGTTGCTGTTATTATAGAGTCAAATGCTTTCAGAATGAGACTCTATAATTGTACTGCAGGGGGAAATTCCACAGAAACTGCACTTGAGTTTTAAAAAACAGGGCGGATAAGGAGAGAAGGATTTTCTCTGAGAAAGCAGCCTTTCTAGAGTTCCTGGAACAGCATGGCTTCAATAGACCCTCCGAGCTTCTGTCTGAACAACCTCCATTGATTCCAGCTGCTGCCTAATTGGCCCATGACTGCGTATCACCCCTAAATGTATTGCATTTGTATCACCAGAGTAAACAAGCAATTCACTCTGCATAATCCCAATGCTAACTAAGGCTGCCTGGAAAGAAAATGCTCTTATCTAGTGTTTTATTCTTAGATTTCTGGATGCCTGTGGCCTGTTATACAATCTCTATCACTGAAGTCTCTGACAAGTGAAATCTTAACAGGCCTTGGTGGGATACCATACATTGCAGTTAGAAAATTTAATAATATTAAATAAATAATAATAGTTGAGCAGTAGCAATAAATACTTATAGCAAAGTCCATTGCACGGTGTGTAAAATCTTCAAAGAAATACTCATCTATCTGTATATATACATACACATATTCCTAAAGTTAGAATTTATCTTTTTTTAATCAAGAAAGTATGATTAAAAGCAAATTTTTCAGTTTATCTTGCTCTCTTGATAAACAAGATAAATTCTAATTTCAGGGACATGCCAATAATCTTTCTCTTTTCCACGTTTCTGGGGTGAATTTGCTCTAAATATTTAATTTTAGAAATAAAAGTTGTCGGCCTTTTAGGCTGAATTTCTTTTTCCCAGAAGAAAAAGAGAGGAAAATGAATTTATTTTATAATTGATCTGGGAGGGCTTTTTGCCATCCTTTTTGTTTGGATGGATGACTAGGATAACAGCTGCCATCTGCAATGCCAATGGTGAAGTAGAACTTAATTATCACCAGCTGGTTGATCAGGTTAGACTTGCTTAGTGAAGACCCAAAACAAGATCTAAATAAGGCAAACAAATTAAGTGAATAAGATTTAATAGTTTACCTTCCAGCAGCCATTTTCAAAGGATGTGTTAATTTTAGTAGAACTTTCCAAATCATACTTGGGTTAATTCATATAATCTTATTTAAAGGGAAAAAATGTGTGTCCGTATAATGTCTATATCATATGCATGACACTATAATACAGTTTAAACCTCTTTCTGATATAGCAATATTGGGAATAGATAACAGTGATCTATTACTTTATGAAAGCCACATTTTTGGGATTCATGAATCTCCTTTTCTTTTCCTAAATGCCCAGATGATGCTTTGGCTTGTTATTGTTGTTGTTTTTAAAGTTATTTTTTAATTAAGTAATTTTTGCCCTTCACCCCAAGATGTTTAACTCCAAGGAAACCATTGAAAAATACAATTTTTTTTTTTTACAAGTAAGGCTCCTAGAAAAATTTGGTGATCATGTTCTAATCATTTTCTGATGTGTACACAGAGAATCAGGTCATATAATGACCAGAGAACCTGGTCATAATCATCAGACTGATGACTGAGATGGACCCAGTCCTTCAGATTGCCTTTTGATTTTTATAAAGCTGAGCTAGATTTAAGATGTTGGCCTTGGAGGCCCAGAGTCCATGATGCTGCTTGTATGTTGAAGGTAGTACTGTTACACTGAGGGACAGAGTTTCATGGAAAGAAACAAAGGACCCCAACACTAATGGAAGGCAAGTTTATGAATTGAGAATCCTCAAAATGCAAGACACTGCTCTACCTAGCTAGGAGTTTTGAAGTTCAACAGTCAAGGATATCTTGGTTCCCACATCTCTAAAAGAGTATATGGTATTAAATAATAAGATCCATCCCACATCCCTCATCCTATAATTCAGACAATTATTATTTTATCTGAAATAACTTTATTCTACTAATTTATATTTGAATTTTTATTACCCTTATTGCTTCAACCTTCTTTTTTATCAGCAGCCATTCTTGTGTATCTTTTAAATGTTTAACAGAACCTTCATTTCTATTTTAAAAGACAAAGAGGAGATTTATGGTATTTTATGAGCAATAATATTTAATCTTAAACTGAAGAAGTTTATCTTTTGAATAAAAGATTAGACCCTCCCAGCATGCTTACAGCAAAATATAAGTCCCATTAGTGAAACCAGGTACAAGAACTCAGCTTTGTGACCTGAACACTTGTGTCTGCTGGATGCTCTGTGTAGCACTGAAGGATGATGGGTTACCACTAAGACAAGCAAGGGAAGACAGTAAGCATTATAAGTATTAGAGGATGCCTCGCCAAGCTCCAGAACCCACGGTTACAGAACTTAGGAATCAAAAATGATTGTGTTCTTATGTAGAGATTTTCCAATTGCCAGAGATTTATTTCATTATCTTTCTCTATCTTCAAAACTATTTAACTGAAGTGAAAAGCATGCAAATTAAAATCTCAAACATAATTAACCAGAAGATCTAGTGGAAAGCAGACAAGTCTTTAAATAATAAACCAAAATAAATAACAAGCATTTCATCAAAAAGTTGTAAGTTTCTTTGATGAAATGGGTTTGGTCTCTTTGTTGTAAAGACAAACAGAAAAAAAAAGTGCATAAATAAAGAAGACAAAGGCGATTAAACAAATTTTAATAAACACATTAAATTGTAAATAATATTAGTCAGCTTATAGTTTTCAAAGAAAGTACATAACATTATGAATTTTATTCTATTTTGTTGATGAGGCTACTTTAAGTAAAAACGACTGTTTTCATTATTCGGCTAAAAGTACCATTATAAAAAGCTGCTGTTAATTATGGAAGCTCTGAAATGGAGTAGATAAGTATGTAGAGAAGCTTTAATAATTGAAAGAATATTAATGAAGGGACCCAGCTGCTTCAAAAATTGGTAGTTCTGATCATAGGGATAAATGATGTTCAGGGTGAACAAAAAGATCTGAAGAATTAACATGGAATGTATAAGCCATTCTCTGAATTCTACTAAAGACTCAAGGAAGTCATATGCAAGGTTGTGGGCCCATGATAAGCATACTCTCTAGAATATATTCTTTTTGTTTCTCTTATGTTTTATACTTACATCCCAGGGTGGCTTTGCTCATTTAAAATACAGGAATATGTCAACAAATATTCAAACTCTTGTCATGGGTCCTTTGAAAAAGTTATGGATGTAATATGCTGTCTCCTGTGTTTTCTGAAAGCTGAAATGGTTTCATTATGACTCTATTTATGGCATAACAAAAGTAAGAGTTTCCATTGTTATTTAAAGCTTGACTAGGAGAGACAACATCATGGAAGAGATGTATCACACATTCACATCTTGGGAAGCTGATTTTAATGTTCTTTAGAAGTGTGATTTATTACACATTTTTGCTGGTCTGGTGAATTTAAGCTAAAAAAATCACTATATTTTTATACTATGAGAAAAGAAACAACAATAGGAAAAAAATAGGAAATGATGATTGAGAATTTCACCTTCAATTATAACAAGGAAGAAAAAATGAAAAAATGAAACACAAGTTCTTCATGAAGTATACAAAATCTACCAAGTGTGACTTAGAGTCTAAAATATGATATGACTCAGCAAACACATGTACACACAAAACATCTCCTGTAAATATTACAATTTGTTACATATTTTTGTCTATCGGGTTTAATCAGAATATAAAATTTCATAAAAGCTATAGCTCAACAGAACAAAATTACCATACTCCTAATTTTGCCAAACATAATTAACTTTGAATTGTGTGAATTAACAGTGCCTAACAAATTATCTTTCAGCTCTGAAATTAAATTCTTTCGTACCATTAGATTTGTTTGTTAAGCTCAAGTAGACAAAAGTAGTATTTAATAAAGTAATAATGGTGCTTTGCTGAGAGTGCTGTTGAGAAACATATAGATGTACTCAAAATAAATCAAAGAATTTCTATTAATAGCTAATCTGTGAATATCACAGCATCTACATAATATAATTAAGGGGAAAGTATGATGCTGTGACAGGGTACTATATTTTTATTACAGGAAGCCTTTATCTAATTGCCTCTTTAATTAGGTATATTATAGAGTTATTTTGTGGTTGTATACACGTAATATAAATATCTTTAATAGTATTTTAGATTCGCAGGTCTTTTTCTTTTAAAATCATACTATCACCTCCATTTAGAAAAAATAAATTTAAAAATCAAGATCATCTAAACTTCAGTTTACATAATCCATCTCAATAAATCTCTCCATTCTTTCCCAAAATATATTTAAAGTTAACGAACAAGAAAATGAGGAATATAATATTCAAACATTTTGTATAATAACAAGACTTGGAATTTGAAATACCCACCTATGCTGCAGAGCCTATCCATGTAAATTCTAATGTTTCATTAGACTGAAAGTTTAATACATCAAGAGTAGGGATGAGGACGTGCTTTTACTTCTTTCTGTAAAGAAAGAAACTTAGCTCATCTGTTTGATTAACTTTTCCTGCAGGGTATCATCTGAACACTATAAACCCAAATGAAGACTTCAAAGAGTCCTGTGGAATAACTTTGATTGACAGAAAAGACAAATGATTTAAAAACGAAGTCAAACAAAATTCTAGCAGATTCACTTTACTTGAATGCTAGCCTAATGCCGCTGCTTTCTCATTCCAAAGTGACTCCAAGATAATTTCCCAAGATCCAGGTACCCTGGCAAGCTTAAATATCTTAGGTTCTTCAGTGATATTTGAGTGTGGTTTGAGACTAAGTGTTTCATTAGGGAAAACAGAAAATGTTTAAATGGATGGTGTTTGGAACCTGATTTTAATCTTACGGGTTATGTTTCAATGCTACCTTACATTAAAACTTTCTGCAAATTCTGGTTATAAAATTGAACTGAAGAGATGACAAGAAGAACCTTTATCAGGAATTCTATCCTGCAGTAATGACTGTTACTACTGTGAGGCACATAGGTCTTCTTTCAAAAGTCATCTTACCTACCCTTACCTTTAGGAGGACTCAGGATATATGAATAATTTTTCTACTAAAAGAGATGGGTTTGTCCTTCTTCATTCCATACCATAGCCCCTTTCTGAATCCCTCTTGCAACGAGTGGTTCAAACACTCAAGGTAAATGGTCAGGGTTAGCTGTTAGTGGCTGTGAGGAAATAAATAAAAGAGACAGATAATAGAGATGTAGAGTAGGAGAGAGGGAGGGAGGGAGGAAAGGCAGGAGGGAGATAGATTAGAGAGAGAGAGACAGAGAGAGAGAGAGAAAGCTATGGTTCCAGAAAGATAAAAGGTCGGTCTTAAAATAATTAGAACAGACCATCTAACTTCAAGCCTACTTTCAGCTGAAAAATATTTTGTATTATTTTAATGAAATAAATTGTACCTATTTTCCCCAAACAGTAAAATAAAAAGTTTGTGCTATTCAAATTATGTATTAAAATGCTGGTTCTTAAAATATTTAGTAAAATAATTTTCCAATAGAAGATAAAATTTACTCTTTGAGATAGTTGTGTAGTTTTAGAGAGAAAAGTCCATATGAAAGCTATGGGACAGCAGAGGAAAGCTGGCTTGCTGGCCATCAAGACGTGGCCCTTTTTAGGAAGGCTTTATCTTGAATATACATCCTAGTCCCATATCTGTCCCTCATGGCAATAATTTTTGTCAAAACCCCATCAGCAACCTTATGTCTTAGGAAGGCAGATTTACATTAACCAAACTCAGAAAGATCCATATATAAAATCTAGAATGTCAACTTATCTAACAAGTAGCCAAAGTCTCTAGGAAACAGACCTCTACATGTTTGTGGGACAGAACAACTCCTGTGCTGAAACCTAGTAAATTAGTAGAATCTATATGCATATATTCTCTTGGAACTCTTACGGATGCCTGGCTAAGATTAATCCATCTTTGAACACATTAATACACTCCTTCTTCAGAAGAAGAACAAGCTGACTATAAAGACATTCTTAGTAACACCCTTTGTGTGTCTCAGTAAGTTTGCATTCTCTAAGAACTTGGTTGCATGTAGGTTACTCTCAGACATCTCTTGGATTGTTCCCACACACAGCGGATTATATTCCTCACTGATTTACTTATCCTGAGATTCTTCCTAATTTTCTCAGAGGATATGTCCCAGTGATTTATTTATTTAAGCCAAATTACTACTTTTAAGAAATATCCATTTAGTATTTCATATGTAAATATTTATTTTGAAAATACTGGTCAGAGAAGAAAATGCCTACATTTGATCATTACTAAGCTAGTTTGAACCACATGCCAAAGATTATACTAGGAAAATCCTGGTCATCTATCATTCATCCCATAAAATTGGAGAGTATTATTATTCAACTATATTCAATTAATCTTTAAATTCTAATGAATAGATCTCATGAAATTCTAAAAGTTTGTATATCCCCTTTACCACTGCTCTTGTGCTAGTCACCAAGACCTCCCTCCTGTATTACTACTAACAGTCTCTTAACTGGCTTTAGGATCTCCATCACTGCCTCCATTGCAGTTCACTCTCTACATTGTGAAAGGAGTGTCTTCCTAAGGTGTATCTTATTTCTCTGTTTACAATATTAACTTCCTTTCCCCCCAGAAAAATACTACTTAATATTAGGCTTAACATATCGTAAAATAATCTCCTAGTTATTTGACCAGTCTTCCTAAAGATAGTCACTGTACTTTGTTCACCATTTTACCCTACTACTGAGCAGCATCTGACAAATGACAATAGCTCAATAAATATTTATCTAGTGAATCAATGAAACAATACAAACGTTGATAAAAGGAATACCTCCAAACAGAAAATAATGCACTCATAACATTAGGAACATGTTAAGGGTTAAGGATATGAAAAGACATAACAATATCATAAAAATTGCCATGTGTGTAAGACAGTAGTATGCATACCAAGAAACAGGAAGGAGGAATGATTTCATGTGCATTCCCTTTATTGAACCTCAAAACCAAGTAGTGAATTAAAATATTCAAGGGAAACAAAAGAAGATAAAAGTAAACATTGTAGGTGATTACAGAGCTCTAATTTTGCAGTACCTGTTTTAGACATAACATTATAAATATTTTTATTCCAATAACTTACTACTCTTACTTGATATTAAATGTTTTGACTAGCAGTATTTATATATAATTAACCTTTAACATTATTTTCTTAATGGGTACATATGTGTATCTATACCTAGAGAAAATAGACCATGGGTGGGCTTGTGAGCTTTGGCAAAAGGTGACTTTATGCCTCAATTGCCTCTACTATTAAATAAAAATTATAATAGTACCTACCTCATAAGTTTGTGTGAGGATTAAATAACTTTACTTATAAAGTAATAAGAACAGATTCTGGGACATAATAAACACCTATTATTAGCCCCTATAATTATTTTGCATACATGATGTTACTAATTTGAATTCTATCATTTTATCTGGAACCCAATATCAATCTATGTGTGGAGGTCACTGTCAGAAATTTGTACTAAGCTTAGTAGAAGGCAATTAATTAATTAATTTTTAATTTATCATTTATTTTCATTTAAATTGTGTTTATGCCATTTTTCTAATTATAAAATAACTCTCCTCGGTTTTTATTTTTTAATATTATTTTTCTTAATTGGTAGGGAAATTTGCAATTAAAATACACAAATCTCTTCTAGAATCAATTCACTTTTAGCAAATTCTATACTCAGATGTCCTTAGTGTTTTGAGTGTTTTCCCTCCTCACTGACATTTATATTGATAGCATTTTTATTATTTAACTTCTAAGAGCAAATGACTGTTACTAAAATCAAATTTTTATGGGCTGTTAGTTTGTAGCAGATCACTGCCTCTAGGTGTTGCAGAATCAAAATCAAAACTACTAAATAATTTAGAGGTAAATTAGCAATAAACTGAAAATGACTTATCACAAACCATGGTGGCTTATATGTGGGAACTGATCTGATAGAATTGTTACCATCTGCCAGACCCACGGTCACACCCTCTCTTTTTCCCAAAGAGATAAGAATCTACAGAGGATGTAAAAGTGTATTTATACAGTAAAAATAATTAATACATTTTTACTTCTCTTCTCTTGCAAAACTAGTTGTGCCTGAAAACTCTATAATGTGCTAGCATATAATGGCTGCTCTCTTCTTATCATTTAAAACAATCCTATACTTAGAAACAACTTGGGGGTAGGGAAGAGGCATTTGATATTGAGGTAGAAGATTATAATTTCATATCATTTTCTATCCAGCTATATTCTATATCACTAAATCACTTTAAGGAAATTTAAAAATATCCATTTATTTGGGACTAATCTAACATTTTATTTTTGTAGTGCTTCACATTTGAAAGGAAAAAATAAACAATAACAAATACTACCTTTTGTCTTCAGACACCATCATGAAAGGGATTGCAATTACAGAATTGGAAAGGATCTCATAGATTTCTCCCAGATTTTACAGTTGAGAGAAGTGAGACAAAGAGGGGAATAAATGTCATTGCCAAATGCAATACACAGGTTTGTACCATTCCTGGAATGAGAACCTTTGTCGACTAATGCCAACTCCCATGTTCTTTCTATGTCTCAATTCAAAACAAATTATTGTGGATCACTGGCTCCTGTTAATAAATTAGTTTTTAAGACAAAATATTTTTGTCTGTCACACAAGATCACCCATACTTTAGAGCACAGAGAATGTGGTTTGACTCTAAGCCCAATAAATATAAGCAAAATCCACAGGGTTGCAGCAATACACACAATTTCTCACCTTGCCTACTTTTCCTAGAAATGATATGAGATCTAAAGGCCAATATTAAGGTCCTTCTTAATGTTAATGCATGTCTTCATTAATAAACAATCCAATATAACTGAGATTGATTAAAGTATTATTATAATGATCAAGGCCCTATCTAAGCCAAGTTTTGCTTTTCCAGTCTAGGAACAATAGATCTTGTAAGAGCTTTCTCTTCAAACAGTGATTACACCCTGATTCTTCATTTTTTTCCACAGCTGACTTTGCTCAGTGGCCTTCTGCATTCTGGCCACTCTCCTTCAGGGAAATAGAGAAATAGAAAGAGTTGAGCCAACAGGAAGTCTTTTATCAGCCATTTCCTTTTTGCTCTTGTCCTTCTTTCCCCAAAGTCGAAAACCCCCTGGCTAATAGCTTTTAGCTTAATTTTTAGTTCCAGCTACCTATCTGACCTCCTGATTCTACATTTATCAGACTCTCATCTGTCTATTTGGCTTTCTTTCCTGCCTTACCCTGACCTCAACGCTTACGTGTGTCTTTCATTAGATTGGCCAGTCTACTGTTGCCCTCCAGTCTGACACCAATTTCTATTATTAGCTCATCTCAACAGGCCTCTTCTTGGTTTTCACTCTTTAATGTGTCTTTACGGCCTACATATAGATCCCAGTCCTAAAGGAGAAAAGGGGATCATACTCATAATCCTGGTTGAAAGCTTAAACAATAGTATTCGTGTATATTGAAATGCAAAGAAAATACACATTTGTAGATTAGGCATTTTATTTTTTTCACTAATTGGGGACAAGCTCATTTAGAAAGATAATTATCTTTCTGTCTTGGGATGTTATTATAATGGATGACTGCCTAAGTGCTAATACAGGAGAAATAGACCCTGGCAGGGAAGGGGAGGGTTTGAGAATGGATATTAGGCTGATCCTGAGTCAGCAGTAAAACATTATTTTCTTTAAGGAAACATGGTATTTAAAACTAAAAGCTTTCTCACAATTTGAAATTATAAAGTAATCTTTCCATTTAATACTGAATGTTTGTGCTCTTAGTAGAGCATGATGCCCAGTCTTGTACTTCTTTACTATTGAAAAATTGGGAGGAAAATTTTAAAGAGTAAATAAGCTTTACAAAAAACAATAAAAACGGCCGGGTGCGGTGGCTCACGCCTGTAATCCCAGCACTTTGGGAGGCCGAGGCAGGCGGATCATGAGGTCAGGAGATCGAGACCATCCTGGCTAACACGGTGAAACCATGTCTCTAGTAAAAATACAAAAAAATTAGCCAGGCGTGGTGGCAGGCACCTGTAGTCCCAACTACTCAGGAGGCTGAGGCAGGAGAATGGCGTGAACCCGGGAGGTGGAACTTGCAGTAAGCTGAGATCATGTCACTGCACTCCAGCCTGGGCGACAGAGTGAGATTCTGTCTCAAAAGAAAAAAAAAAAAACAATAAAAACTAAACTGTAAAAAGTTAAAGGAAATTTTCAACATGAAGAAAATAGTCCTCAAGCTCATAAGTGACTGATTGAATAAATAGTTTATTTATTCTAAATTGTATTTGGCACCTATTTGGTGCTGGGCACACATGTGGGCGGTGGAATTAAATCAGAATTAACTATTGCTGTCAAGAAAGTTAGACTTAGCAAACTGTTGAATGAACTTCTAAGTAGGGAAAGCACTGAGAATGTTGATCCAGGCTTCATTTTCTTACTGAGAGTGAAATAATATGAAGGAGACCCTCATATATCTAGACGAGAAAGGAGAGAACTGAGATCTATCACTGGATTAGTAGATGTTAAATTGTAGAAGAAGATAGTAGGGCCTTGCTTCTATGAAGGTTAAATTAAGCATAATCAGTTACTCTTTTTCCTGTGTGGTTCTGTATTACCTTTTCCATATTGTCTTCTACTAGAGAATCACTCTGCATTGGAAGTCAAAGCAGAAAAAGGACAGAGAGCTGGCCAAACTCTGGATGACACTCTGGAAGCTTCTCAGGGTTCCCAGTAGACCTGGCTTTCCTTTCCACTTTGTCAAATACTCACTGAGCCCCTACTATGAGACCAATGGTTCATCATAGAACATGACTGCAATGTAGAGATGGACTCTAGGAGATGAAAAGATCAAGGAATGCCCCCACCCAATCCTCCTGATTTCTAGCACACTGCCCTGAGATTTCATATTATAACTCTGGTTTAAAACTTCATGTTCACTAAACAAAATCAAATATATTACCCACTCATATATTTTGAGAATTTTTAGGATTGTTCCAGTTATTCAAAAATCAATGTTAAAAAGATATAGTTCTTGATTTAGATATTCCATGGTCTGTAAAGGGAACATACAGAAATCTTGAATACCATCTCCTCTTGCCAGAAAAGTATAAGCAAATAAATGTTTCATTTATCCTATAAGAATTGAAGAGAATTTTGATTCTGGAATTAGAAAAAAAACAGTCAATCATTCTTATTGAAAAAACAATAAAAGGAGATAACTGTGAATTAGAATTTGAAAAGTACAAAACAAGAATAGCAGAGAAGAGGTGTACATATGTATTTTTCACACATTAATTTCATATATTATACACACACACGAGAGTATATATATATATATATACATATATATATATATATACATATATATATATATATACATATATATATATATATATATGTATATACTCATCCTCCAAGTTGGAATCAGTCTAAAAGCCTCTTTTGAGTCTGAGTACATTTCCCCATGGATGAAAATAGCTTGTGATAAATTCCAGATGATGGCTTCTACTGGCCCATGGCTGAGCTCTAAATGTCCCCAACCTTACCAGTCTTGGATAAACCGAGTGCTTTGAATCTGGGGCAATGATAATGATGGTCTAGATACAGCACTCACTCTATCAAGCCCCAGAAGAAGGCTTAGAATTTTTATACTGTCAGTTTCTCCACCCTATACACCTATCCTTTAGACCTGACAATCAGACTAAAACTCTCTTTTCCTGATTGCATTTCTTCCAAAGTTATTTAGAGTTGAGCAGCAGAAATGGAGACCAGTAATCTCTCACTGACTTCTTTATTTTTAGGCACATTGATAGGCAAAGAGTCCTGCTTTGTTTTATCTCAGGAGATAAATTAACTACCTCAGATATTTTTGTGGTTAGGTCTTCTTGATCATTATATATTTATCTTTTGACCCATTGGATTAGTCAGTTCACACTGCTATAACAGAATACCACAGACTGGGTAGCTAAACAACAGAATTTTTTTTCTTGTAGTTCTGGAGGCTGAGAATTCTAAGATCACGATGCCAACAGATCTAGTGTCTGGTAAGGGCACCTTTCCGGGGTACAGATGGTATTTTCTCCTAGTATCCTCATATGGTGTATAAGAGAGAGGAAAAAAGCTGTATCTTATCTTTTTATAAGGGCACTAATATCATTCATGAAAGCTCCACCCTCATGATCTAATTACACCCCAAAGGTCCCACCTCCTAAAACCATTACATTGAGGGTTAGGATTTCACCATATGAATTTGGAGGCAGTGACAAAAATGTTCAGTTTATAGCATTCTGATTCTGGCCTTCCAAACTTCACATCCTACTCACAAACTAAATACATTTATTTCATCCCAACAGCCCCAAAACTCTTAACTCATTCTAGCATCAACTTGAAAGCCTAAAGTACAAAGCCTCTTCTAAATGTCATATGAATCATATATGGGTGAGACTCAAGGTATCATTTATCCCGAGGCAAAATTCCTCCCCACCTGTGAACCTTTGAAACAAAACAAGTTATATGCTCCCAAAATATGAGTGGAACACTCATAGAATATTTTCACTCCAAAAGGGAGAGATGGGAAAGAAACAGAGTGCCGGGTCCCAAGCAAGTCTAAAACTTAGCAAGCAAAATTGTATTACACCTTAAGGCTTAATAATAATCCTCTCTGGCTTGATTTTCTGCCTTCCAGACCCACTGGGGCAGTGGTCCTGCCTACAGGACCCACTGGGGCTGCAGCTTTTCCTCTGCAGTTCTGCCTGGTAGAGGTCTGAAGCCAATGGCTCTGTGCAGTGTCACCCTCATGGCTCCATTGAGTGTTGGTCCATGTCACTCTCATGGCTCCACTGAGTGATGGTCCCACCCCTTGAAATTGAGGTAGCAACAGCCCTATCCCTACACCTATTTACTCTGGTTCTGTGGTGGGAGTGGCAGGCTTGATAGCCTCTGCATCACCTTCTAGGTCCTTCTTTCCTTGTCTTAAACAATAGCATGTTCAGAGATAAATAGTTGTATGGTATGTTCCTATAAAGTCTAAGAAGTTCAACAGTCTTTCCTCATTTGGGCCCATTTTCCCTGCTTAATTATGTCCCAGGTAGCAGTGTTTCTGCTACCATAATCCCATATCTATTCCTGGCTTCTGTTGTGATGGTCATTTAAGCCTGTGGTTCACAGCCACACTAATCTTCTTACCAAATATGCCATCTACCATATCCTTAGCATTATCTTCCTAACACTCTTTCACATATTTTAAAATATAAAAAGCCTGATGAGAATTTTCTAAATCTTTAAGTTCTGACTCCTTTTTGTTTAACAATTCCATCTTCAATTCATTTCCTTCTTCACATTTTACCCTAAGCAATCAGGAGGAACCAAGCTACTCTTTCAACACTTTGCTTAGAAATCTCCTCAGTTAAATATTCAATTTCATTGTTCCACAATTTCTAATTTCCACAAAACACTAGAATATGAAGATAATTCAGCTAAGTTCTTTGACAAAATATAACAAAATTTGCCTTTCCTCCAATTTTCAATAGCATGTTCATTTCTATCCGACGTCTCATCAGAATGGCACTGTTATGGTCTGAATGTTTGTGTCCCACCAAATGTATGTAAGCCTAATCCCCATTTTGATGATATTCAGGTAGGACTTTTGGGAGAAGATTAAGTCATGAGGGCTTAACCCTTATGAATGAAGTTTGTGTCCTTATAAAAGAGGCTTGAAAGAGCCTGTGTCCCCATTCTGCCATGTCAGAATGCATCAACAAGGCAACATCTATGAAGCACAGACCTCTTACCACAAACAAAATCTTCTGGTTTCTTAATCTTGGGCTTGCCAGCTTCCAGAACTGTGAGCAATAAATGCATGTTATTTATAAGTTATCCAGTTTAAGGTATGTTGTTATAGCAGCAGGAACAGACTGAGTTTTTTACTGTCCATATTTCTAGCAACATACTATTCCTGATTAATTTTGTTCCCTCTAAGAAAATGACCTCTAAAAGTCCCTTCATGCCAATATCAGCATTTTTCTAACATGCCCCTCAAAATTCTTCCAACCTATACCCATTACCCAGTTCCAAAGCCATATATTTTTATGTATTTGTTATAGCAGCACCCTTACTTCTTAGCATGGTAGCCCCTGTCCCCTGCTATTATCCATGGTTTTGCTTTCCATGGTTTCAGGTACTCACAGTCAACCATGGTCAAAACTTGTTAAATGGAAAATTCCAGAAATAAACAATCCATAAATTTTAAATTGCACATTATTTGAGTAGTGTGATAAAATTTCGCACCAACCCAGCTTATCCTGGTTGGGACATAAATCATCTATTTCTCTAGCATATTCATGCTGTAGATGCTTCCAACCCTTAGTCACTTAGTAATCTCAGTTCTCAAATCAACTGTCATGGTAGCACAGTGCTTGTGTTCAGGTGACTCTTATTTAACTTAATAATGGCCCCAAAGTGCAAAAGTAGTGATGCAGACATAATGTTGTAATCATTCTATTTTATTGTTAGTTGTTAATTTTTTACTATGCTTAATTTATAAATTAAACATACATATATGGTTTGGAACTCTCCATAGTTTTAGGCATCGACTGGGTGTCTTAGAACATGTCCCCCACAGATAAAGGGGTACTTCTATACAAATTGCTGTCTTAGTTAGTTCAGGCTTCTACAAAAAAATACCATAGACTGGCTGACTTAAACAACAGAAATTTATTTCTCACAGTTCTGGAAGCTAGAAAGTCCAAGATCAAGGTGTTAAGAAACCCACTCTCTGGTAAGGGCTCACGACCTAGATTGCAGACAGCCATCTCACTGTATCTATACATGGCATAGAGCAGAGAGAGAGAACACATTTTACCAATTGCTCCAGTGATTTTTTACTTAATGATTTTAATGCTGTTGATTTTTTGACATAAATCATGTCTTTTTATAATGGCACTAATTTCAATCATGATGGCTCCAACCTCATGACCTAATTACCTTCTACAGGCCTTACCTCCTAATAACATCACATGGGGCCTTGGGTTTCCACATGAATATTGGGGTCTCATAAACATTCAGCCCATAGCACTCATGATTTAATTCCAAAACAAACTTATTAATGAAATATGGACGTGTATACTTTAAATCCTCTTATTTTTAAAAGGGAATAAACCATAAAGTTCCTATTCACAGGCTGAAATATCTCACTTTTTAAAATCCAATTACAAAGGTTATATAAGCTTGATGTTATAGAGCAGAATGGCTTTTCTTGTTCTTACTCTTTTTCCCTGCTTTGTGACATTTAATAAGAAATTGTAAATCTTCAGAATAATTTCTAATAGGCTGTAAGCAAACAAATAATTTCTGATTGATAGGCTGAAAACAAAATTATGAAGAAAAGGAAGAATGACCCAGCTGAGAATGTGAGACTAAAGGCTGTATAAATGAAGTTGATTAAGTAAAAAATGAAATTTCTATCAAAAAATTAACAGCATTAAAAGCATTAAATAGAAAATCACTTGAGCAATTGGTAAAAGTAGGTATCTACAGTCTTCCACTATTTCTGAACAGATGTAGATCACTAAAACCAGGAGTTATTTCTTTAAATAAAAAAGCAGTGGCTCACCAGACTGTAACAAGATTTCAGCCTGAACTGGGGGTTTTGTAGGAAAAGAGAATAAAATAGTTTGAGATAAATCAAAAGAACAGTAGTACTGTGGAAAAGAGGGCTGCAGGGAAACCCAACTTTTTCTCCTAGAACCAGATTGTGCAAGGGCTCATGCCAATGCTACTCCATATTTTTTTTAATTCTTGTGGGTACATAGATGCATATATTTATGGAGCACAACATGTTTTCATACAGGCATGCATTGTGAATTAATCACATCACGAAAAATGGGTTATCTATCACCTCAAGCAGTTATCCTTTGGGTTATAAATAATCCAAAAGCTATTTGGAGGGCTGAGAAGAAGAAAGGAAAATGTGGGAAAGTTTGGAACTTCGTAGAAACTTGAATGGCTTTGCCCAAAATGCGAATAGCGATATGGACAATAAGGTCTAGGCCGAGGTGGTCTCAGATGGAAATGAGGAATTTGTTGGGAATTGGAGCAAAGGTGACTGTTGTTATGTTTTAGCAATGAGACTGGCAGCATTTTGCCCCTGCCCTAGAGATTTGTGGAACTTTGAGAGAGAGATGATTTAGGGTAACTGGCAGAAGAAATTTCTAAGCAGCAAAGCATTCAAGATGTGGCTTAGGTGCTGTTAAAGGCATTCAGTTTTATAAAGGAAGCAGAACATAAAAGTTCAGAAAATTTGAAGCCTGACAATGTAATAAAAAAGAAAATCCCATTTTCTGAGGAGAAATCCAAGCCAGCTGCAGGAATTTGCATAAGTAATGAAGAGCTTGGGCCATGGCATCAGGGGGTGCAAGCCTCAAGCCTTGGCAGCTTCCTTGTGGTGTTGAGCCTGCAGGTGCAGAGAAGCCAAGAATTGGAGTTTGGAAACTTCTGCCTAGATTTCAGAAGATGTATGGAAATGTCTGGATGCCTACGTAGAAGTTTGCTGCAGGAGCGGGGCCCTCATGGATAACCTCTGTTAAGGCAGTGCAGAAGGGAAATGTAGGGTTGGAGCCCCCCAACAGAGTCCCTATTAGGGCACCACCTAGTGGAGCTGTGAGAAGAGGGCCATCATCCTCCAGACATCAGAATGATAGCAATCCACTGGCAGCTTGTACTTTGCACCTGGAAGAGACACAGACGCTTAATGCTAGCCCATGAAAGCAGTGATAGTGAATAAATTTCACGAGATCAGATGGTTCTATAATGGGGAGTTTCCCTGCACTAACTCTCTCTTTGCCTGCTGCCATCCATGTAAGATGTGACTTTTTCCTCCTTGCCTTCTGCCATGATTGTGAGGCCTCCCCAACCACATGGAACTGTAAATCCATTAAACCCTTTTTCCTGTATAAGTCACTCAGTCTCAGGTATGTCTTTACCAGCAGCATGAAAACTGACTACATTAGATGTATAACCTCAAGCATATTAATTAGCCTCTTTAAGCCTTAGTTTTCTTCTTCTTATAACCAAAGTAATAATTGCATGTATCATATGGAGCTATTGTGATAAATGAGATAATACATTAATGCCCACTAAACATTAACCATTATTATTAGAAACTATTATGTTGAAGTCCTAATCCCCAGTACCTCAGGATGTCAGACTATTTTGAGATAGGGTCTTTACAGAGATAAAGAGAGAAAACCATATGAAGACATAGGAAGAAGATGGCCATCTGCAAGCCAAGGAGAGAGGGCCCCAGAAGAAACAAACATGCCAAAACCTTGATCTTAAACCTTGGGGCTTCAAAATTGTGAGGAAAAATAGCTCTGTTGTTTAAAACACCCAGTCTATGGTACTTTGTTATGGCAGCCATGGTAAACTAGCACATAAACTAAACAATTAAATTTTAACAGTTGCTTCATTAAAAGTCTACTTGACCCTCAGAAACCAGTTTGACTTTTGTTTTTAATTTTCAAAAGTTTAGTGTATACGCAGTTGTATTGGTTACCTATTTCTGTATAACAAGTTACTCTAAAACTTACCCAGTTAAAAAAAAAACAAGCATCATCAACTCATGGTTTCTGGGTATTGGGCATTCTGTTGAAGTTTGTCTGACTATCTCTATTTCAAGACATCCCATAAGGTTGCAGTTAAGCCACCAATTAGGGCTACAGTCTTATCTGAAGACTCAACTGGGAGGATCCTATTCCAAGCTCCCTCATGTGGTTTTTGGCAGGATTCATTTCCTTACACGTTGTCAGACTGTAGGCCACAGTTCCTCACAGGTTGTTGGCCAGAACCTTCTCTCAGTTTCTTGCCATGTGGACTTCTCCACAAGGTAGCTCATGGAAGCTGTCTTCCCTCAGATCAAGCAAGCAGGAGAAGGAGAGAAAACATTCAAGAGAGAAACCACAATCTTCTAAAACATAATCTCAGACACTTGTGAAAGTACCACGTTCCCTCACATCTATATATCACTATCAAGAGCATTAGCACAAGTTCTGAATCTCCCTCACCTCTGCCTCATTCAATTCACTAAAAATACATTGTTGTGGGAAGTCAGGGACCCTGAACGGGGGGACCAGCTGAAGCCATGGCAGAAGAACATAAATTGTGAAGATTTCATGGAAATTTATTAGTTCCCCAAATTAATACTTTTATAATTTCTTATACCTGTCTTTACTGCAATCTCTGAACATAAATTGTGAAGATTTCATGGACACTTATCACTTCCCCAATCAATACCCTTGTGATTTCCTATGCCTGTCTTTACTTTAATCTCTTAAACCTGTCATCTTCATAAGCTGAGGAGGATGTGTGTCACCTCAGGACCCTGTGATGATTGTGTTAACTGCACAAATTGTTTGTAGAGCATGTGTGTTTGAACAATATGAAATCTGGGCACCTTGGAAAAAGAACAGGATAACAGCAATGTTCAGGGAACAAGAGAGATAACCTTAAACTCTGACCGCCGGTGAGCCGGGCAGAACAGAGCCATATTTCTCTTCTTTCAAAAGCAAATGGGAGAAATATCGCCGAATTCTTTTTCTCAGCAAGGAACATCCCTGAGAAAGAGAATGCGTCCCTGAGAGTAGGCCTCTGAAATGGCCGCTTTAGGGGTGGCTGTCTTTTACGGTCGCCGCTGTAGGGATGAAATAAGCCCTAGTCTCCCATAGCGCTCCTAGGCTTATTAGGATGAGGAAATCCCCGCCTAATAAATTTTGGTCAGACCAGTTGTCTGCTCTCAAACCCCCTTTCCTGATAAGATGTTGTCAATGACAATGCATGCCCAAAACTTCATTAGCAATTTTAATTTAGCCCTGGTCCTGTGGTCCTGTGATCTCGCCCTGCCTCCATTTGCCTTGTGATATCTTATTACCTTGTGAAGCATGTGATCTCTGTGACCCACACCCTATTCATACACTCCCACTCCTTTTGAAAGTCACTAATAAAAACTTGCTGGTTTTATGGCTCAGGGGCATCACAGAACCTGCCAACATGTGATGTCTCCCCCGGACACCCAGCTTTAAAATTTCTCTCTTTTGTACTCTTTCCCTTTATTTCTCAGACTGGCTGACACTTAGGGAAAATAGAAAAGAACCTACGTGAAATATCAGGGGTGAATTTTGCCTGATAATACATCATTAAATTCAGTTAACTCAAGGGTAAGGGATCACACAAAGGCATAAATACCAATATATTGGTATTGTTAAAGGCCATCTTTGGAGTTAATATAAAAGTATATTTAAATCAGAATTCTAATCAAAGAGATTCTACAGATTTAGAATTGTATTTGCAAAATGTTTAGAAAAGGGAAATAAATTCTCAAAACAATAAGATAATCTTTTGATGAAAACACTTAATCTCATTGATCCCACGCTAAAATGTTATATGCATAGTTTAAGATGAATTATCCTGATTCTAGTAAGTGTCTCAATTATGGCAAATTAAGCAGCACCTGGAGAAGAATTCTAAAAATTTCTTCTTACTTCTTCAGAAATCACACACCCATGGTCAACATGGGTCACGATACCACAAGGATTATGGACTACAGTCTCCTCTTAACTTTTGGGCTTACTTCATGAAAAGTTCAACTGTCATTATACTAACGACTTGAGAGAATAAAATTAAGGCAATAATGCTTATACAGTAACATAAGATTAAGACAAACCTGAAGCAAATACTCTGTAACCATATCACACAACCAGTCTGAGCTAAAATTGAGCCATTAGGTAGTTGATGAATCCTCAGAGTGAAAGAAAATTCATTAACATAAATTACCATATAATAATTGAGTTGCAGAAGTGTTTGGAAACAAAAAGAACTTTTTCTACTGGTGTGTGTATAGGCTATAAGTACCATGTTCCCTCACATCTATGTATCACTATCAAGAGCATTAGGAAAAGTTCTGAAAACCCAAGCAGTCATAAATTCTCATCTGTGTTTAATTACCTGAAATAGCTAGACAAGTTTGAATCATCCAAGTCATTGGTGTTTTACATGACCAATTGTTTCTAACAAACATACATGATCAGAAGCAGTTCTGTTTCCTTAACCATTAGCAAACTGAAATACCCATACAGAGAAAAGCAATACTAGAGAGCACATAAAATGTACCCTGTGGAATGTTACAAGGCAATGTATTCATTAAATACTTCTTATGACACTTTACTCATAAATGCCATGTAAAATTACAGCCTTTCTAATATTGCAGTTAGGAAGACTTTACTTACACGTCTATTTCCCCATTCCCATGATTTTTACCTTTGATTCTTCCCAAAAAGGACCACAAGCTTCTATTCTATAAATTTAGATTGGTTTTACCAATTCTAGGATAACCCCACATACAGATATTTATCACTTTGAAATGATCCTTTGTAATATTTAAATAATCATGTATCACTGCTATCACCTTTAAAAAGTCATCTGATGATGACATAATTGAATAACGGTTGAAAAATTCTTAACTGTAAACAGGTACTGATGAGACCTACAAACACCTAGGTAACGTGAACTATTTGTAATCTATAAGGGAGAAAAAAAACATGACATGAGGGAAATTTTTGTATAAATTCACTCTAATAGAAAATTATGTAGTAAAACCTCACAAGTCTGAAATAATTTAGGAAAGTTTGCTTGAATCATTGAATACCTCACGGAAATATATCACTAGTACTTTCAAACAAATGAATGAATGAATAAGATATCCATTTAAGGGCCTATCTATCTCATTTAAAGTATTGTAAGAATAAAAGAGCTACTTTTGGACTGGCCACTTCGATTTTTAAAAAATACTTTGAGGCTTAATTTAGACAAATCTTTTGATCTGGTCACATAACAGTAGTCCCTGTCTTCCCCAGCCCCACATATTTGTGGATACCAAAGACACAGCATTTTTACAACCCCACTCAGTTTATCTGCTCTTGAGGATCTTATAGACCAGTGAAGGAGATAGATAAATAAATAATTGCAATATGATGAGATAATATAATGTTAGACAAATATACAAAAATTCAGCAACAGCACAGGTAAGAAACAAATTGTGCTACAGTATATTACTCTCTTATTGCTTTGTTTCAATCAGATTTAATAGGTAATAAATAACAACTAAAGCTGGCATGTTAAGCCAATATGAGAGATGAAGTGCTATTTTCAAATGCTGATTATGAATAACCTTTAAAAAACTGCTACCCTACAATCTTTTAAAAGTTCAGATAATATGGCTTTTTTAGTTTGGGGTACATAAAGAAGAACAGTGTGACAGGGAAATAAATCAAAGATCCATTTGTCTAAGAGTCTCAACTAAATTTGTTTCTATAATTAAGTTGGACCCTGAAGTATTTTTGATAGTGAGGATAATTCTCACTATAAATGCATAGGATTACTCATCACTGACTGCTACATGTTGAGATATTGGCTGGTAAAACACTATTCTAGGTAATTATTCATTTTTTAATACATGTGTTTTATGTCAAGTATGACTTACATGAAAAGTGAAGAACACATCACTTTTTTTGTTTGTGATTTCGATCATTTCCAGGAGTCCCAAGTTACATTTCTATTTTGTTTAAAACCACGAAGTGTGAATTATTAGCCTTCTACTTGATTCACAGGCCACACGCCACATTAAGCCACATCCCCCTCTCACTTTGGATGTGTGAATACTGTTCATTTGTGCTTTGCAAAGATTTTATTCAAATTACATATTTTAGTCATAGTAAAGCTATAAAACTTCATGAAATTCCATTCAGAAATCACTTATCATGAGAAATGTGCTTTCAGATATGCATAACTAATGTATCCTGCTATGTATTGATAAAGCATAAGCAAATAAATTCTCACCCCTTCCCACCATTTAATTGCATATGTTTAAGAATTGATGATAAAATTTCAGCCTAAGATAAAATGATTGCAATTTTCCAAATATATCACTTGAGCAATCTTTAAAGATAGAATTATTCACAAATAAATGTATTTTACTGTATTGGCTTCTCATTGGTTGTTTTTAGCTTTTATTTAAAGGATAACAATTATTAAAAGTCTATCATGAATTTATAATGCTCCAATATAAGATGACAACCTCTGAGTTTCTGTTGCATCTAACAAATGTATAAAATTACACACAAGGAGCAGGCATCCTTGTGTACAAATGTAATTATAGAAGTTAAAGAAGTGGTTGAAAGATAGTCACTGTATTTTACTAAGTCACAAATGGCTCTCTAGATCTGCATTTTTCTGATTGTTAGAACTTCATGTTATTCCTCATGGATCTGACTTTGTGCATCTTTGAGTTTTTCAAGGTTGGCAAAAGTGCCAAAGCAAAATAGCTTTATTTTAGGTATATTAATAGCTATACATGCCAAATAAAATTCATCAGCTGCACAATTTAGGACCAGTGAAAGCATATAAGGGTGACTGAGGCTATATCCTCATCCAGTTGCAATACTTCTCTTGGTGCCCCAAGTCAGTAGTTCATGTAGTCACTTTCGCTTCAAAATCCTTAAGGCTGATCACACAATGCTGCTGGTCTCTTTTTGTGTACTCTAGAGATGGCCAACTCAGTGTTATGACAAATTATCTTGATATGCATTTCTGCGATTTGCATGTGTCCCCCAAAAAGCATGCATTGGAAATAACCCCCAGTGCAAGAGTGTTGGGAAGTAGGGCCTAATGTAAGGTGTGTAGGTTGTAAGGGCTCTGCCCTTATAAAAAGGCTAAAGGCTGCAAGTTTAATCTGATGCTCTCTCCCACAAGTGGTCTTTTACCTTTCCGCTTTCCATCATAGGATGACAAAATAAGAAAGCCCTCTTCACATACCAACCCCATGCTCTTGGACTTTGCAGCCTCCAGAACCAAGTAAATTTCTGTTTATTATAAATTACCCAGTCTAAACTATTCTGTTATAGCAGCATAAAAACAGACTAAGAAAACATCTATATGGTATGTGTGTGCTGTGTTGGCATTAAGGATAATAGTGGGTGTTAATGGAGGTGGAAGAGGAATCCAGTGAGAAAAATGTCTTTGCGTGAGGATTCTTAATTCATTCGGTAAGAGTTTATAACGCGTCTCCATTTGGCTTGTACCATGATGTATCCTGTGTAATAATAACATCAAGCATCCATTCAATTGCTTTTTAATTCTTTCATGCCCCATTACATGTCTGTTACTTTTGCAGGATATATTTTAAAGATTTATAAAATCAGAAGAGTACTGGGATGAAGGAGTCATAATTAAAATTACAGGCTCCATAATTAACCACATGGTTTAATCTCAAAGCCACCATTTACCAACTGTGTGACCCCAAAAAAGTTTTTGGTTTCCCATGTCTTAAATCTACAGCACTTAACTCTTTTTAGTGAGGATTAACTCAAATATTACAAAGCACGTCAAATGGTATCAGACATGAAGTAAACACTATAAAATTAGCTTTTATTATTATGATAAATCTTATTAGCAAAAAAGCACATGAAGTTTCTGCTTATTTCCTTTCCTTAGAGACTGACAAATGTTAAGTGATGGAATGTGCACTGGAGAATGAAACAGAAATTTCTGATATCCCAGGTCAAGTGCTCCTTCAGCTTTATCATTTCATTACTTTATTATATAAAGTCCTATAATGTTCTCTAATTACAATCTTTGTGTTGAAGTTGATTCATCAACCCCAAAGTCTGTTAGACTAATTTACTATTAGTAAATAGTATTGACCTAATACTATTTACTAATAAACAATTTATGGTTTATATTTACTGTTTATTTAATAAACAATGTAGCACAATGTTGAGCACATAGCAGGTTCTCAATAAATAATTGTATGCAATTGTGACCTTTGACAATAGAATGAATAAGGCACTTTTCTCTATGGCTTCCATCCATCCATTTATTTAAGATTTTTTTTCTAGTTAGTCTTAATGTCTATCTTGGTAATTCATTTCTGTCATGCTAGCATGCTTTGTATAATTTTATTTCCCTTCTGTACTCTAAGCCAAAAATTGTTTGATTCAAAGAATATACTAAATGTAAAGGTACATTCTATTTCTAAACTATTTCTTCTTCACCTACTTCTCAAATTTAAATTTTAAAATGCCAAAATCCTAGATAATAGTTAGTGTGAATATGTCTCCCAAAAAAAGATACGTTATTCAATTTTATCATGTAAAAATTATTCTATCCTTCATCAGGTACTCTCATATGGGTGTCATATAATCAAATGACTTCTGGACATCCTATTTGGCTACAGTCTAGTTCAAGGTACATAAATATTGTCTTTCTTCATAGTAATTCAAAGGTTCTGCTCAGTGACATTTAAGTTCTATTAGCCAACATAATATTATCATAGAGTATATTTAAACAATTACATGAATATTAATACCTGAATTTTAATATACTTAACTATTATTATATTATCAATTAAATCATTAAAAACCTGAGATACCAGAAAGATGGCGGGCGGGAGGCAGGACTAGACAGCAGCAGCTCCGGACAGAGCAGCGGGCAGTGGCTCGCGTTGTGAATTTTAGCTCCAGATCTACTGCAACAACAAACCAGCAATCCTGAGAGGACCCACAGACCCTCTAACGGAAGCGGACTACTCCTGCAGGACTCAGCAGTCCCCCCAAAACTGTGAGTGCCCCAACTGGGGAAGTGGGAAAAGGAGAACCTTCTCTCCCTAACACACACCCCCCTATGGCGAAGCTGAAGGTCTGTTTGCCAGAGAAGTTTCCGGCGTTACCTGGAGCTGAGTCAATTTGGAGAGTTGAGCGAAATACAGGAGTAGAGAAAACAGCAGAAAGGCCCTGAGAGCTTGCTGGTTCCACCACAGGGATCCAACAGGAGAGAAGCAGGGGGTAAAACTGCACAGGGAGAAAAATAAATAAGGAAGGAACTTACTCATGTAACCAAATACCACCTGTACCCCAATAACTTAAGGGAAAAAAATTCATCAAATACTTTTTACTGTATATTTTCTCTGGACATCTTCCTTTCCTTAGATTTAAAAACTGTATTTCAGGAGCTCAAATAGTCATAAAGAAAGAAAGAAATAAGTCAACTTTTCATTTATTTTTAATTATTGGAAAGAACCTCATTGATACGAATTTTCTAGAGATTATAGCTGTCAGATGTTATTATATTGCTTATGGAGAGCCAAATGTCACAATATGCCATATCCCAAACTTAAATTCTTCACTGTTAATCACCTTTATTTACTAAACTTGTTTGCTCTCCATCCATGAGCTCCTGCTTGTGTTCCTTATTTATTTTATATCACACATTGGACTTTAGTTTTTGCTGTCTCTTTCAACCCATTTTTGATGCATTTCTTCCATCTCTGGTTTACCTGTACCTTATTCTTTAGAAATCTCATTGTTCATAGCTCACAAAATTAGAGACTGTAACCACTTCTATAACATCCTCTAACTAAAAATACCACACCCATCATTATTTATTTTTTACTAAATATAGCTGAACTGTGGGGTTAAGTCAGGGCTTAAATGAAAAAAAAATGGCATTCCAATCTAACATTTGACAATACACTGCAGGTAATTATTCATGCTTAAAGCATTTTTTCTATAAGTTCCAAATAGGGTTTTATAATGTTAGCATTGTCCTCAATCTTTTCACTAACACCTTCATTCAACAGTTGGAGAAACAATAACTGATTAACTGACTTATTCAAGTTATCTCTGCTAGTCAATGACAGATTTTGAATTTGGTTTAAGTAGGATTTAATAGTTATAGATGGTAATTACTTTTGTATAAATATTCACTTGGGATTTGTAAAAAATTACGATTATAAACTCATCCTCCAAAAATTTGAGATAGTAATAATACATAGTTAGAGTGACAAAGATACCAATTTGGCCAAGAACTCACATCTAGTTACTATTTTTATGAAACAAATAATATCCAATTTATATATTTTATTTCTACTTCAGTAGTCTGCCTTTGTAAGAAAATTCCAAAACTAGATCAGAATTATTAATGTCATTTACTTGATTGTTTAGCAAAAGGGAAAATGTACAATGAGAGAAAAGAACAGGTATATGGACAGTTTGAGTGGAAGTGCTGAAAGAAGACTCTCTCAAAATTTATCTCAGAATATTGAGCTGTCAGGCTACACAAAAGAAGAATATTTATTCTTGTAACTGCAATGAGAGTCATGAAGTTTCTGCTATTTGTAAATATTCCTTGTATTTGGATAGTCCGTAACCAAAATCCTTTTCCTCACCACTTCCCATACCCTAGCAGCTGACCCCTTACCCACTTCTAAGAGAATAGCATGTACAACCAATTGCCAACCATGTTGAAGACTTAAACAAAAAATTGTCATGTGCAAATAAAAATTATGAAAAGTGATTTTCATATAATATAGAACAGTGGAATTTGATAAATAAAAAGAAGAAAAGAGAGCCAGAAATAGAGAGAGAGAGAGAAACCAAGAAAAAGAGAGAAGAGAACTAGTTTAGAAAAGCATTTGATTAAAACTTAGCTCTACTATGATTTATCTTGACCTCTAGACAAATGCATCACATAATGTTTCATTCTGTAGAACAGTTAAGACAAATGCCTATCTCACAAAGACATTATACAAACTAAAGAAATAAGAAGAAAGCCTTTTAATGTATAATGAATAAGGCCTTGTAAAAGTGTAAGTATTGCTGAAATTTCTAAAAACTGAGGAGGTTAGTAAAAATGAAGCAGAGATTTGTGTGGACAAATAAATAACATGGAAAAAAAGGAAAGTAAGCCAGGTTCCAATTAGGTTTTCTATTTTAATAATGGTTATTCCTTCACATTTTAAAACCATTACTAAAGTTCAGCAATTTTACCTGTAGAGGCTGACTTTGATTTTGATACCTGTTTTTACAGCATACAAGTTTAACAAAAATACAGATCAGTCATCTGGGATAACAGCAATTCACAAAATGTATTGCTAGTAACAGGAGATAGACAAATTCCTAGGTAGACAGGGATGGATCCCTAGTGAAACTTGACCTTCAAGCCACGGACAGTCTAAAGCCTGAAAACTGAGCTACCATTTCCAGATAAGATCCATGGACCAGAGAGACAAGTTCCATCCCTGTCTTACCCACTCTCTCTCAATTGGTCCTTTCTGAATGGTGCCTTTTAACCAATTGCAGAGTGCCTTTTCCAAGCCCACCCATAAACCAATCAGCATGCATTCCCCCATTCTAAGCCCATAAAAACCCTGGACTCAGCCTCACAAAAGGCTACCCACTTTTGGGTCCCTGCTCACTGTCGAGAGCTTTACTTTTACTCAATAAATTCTACTCTGCCTTACCCTCTCTCAGGAGTCCATGTACATTATTTTGCTTGGTCGTGGGACAAGAACCCAGAACTCACCAAGCTGTGGAAGTGAAAAAGCTGTAATGCTCTCTGAGCTGTAGGCAGCAGTGGTAAAATAGCTGTAACATTCCTGCCCATGTACCAACAACAGGAGTTAAAAAGCTGCAACAGTATGTCTACAATTTATTTCACCAAGTAAGAGTTATGAATAGCAAAAAGAAGCAGAGTGATTGAATGCATATATCATATAAAGCTGTGAGATGAAAGATGTTTAATCACACTAGCCACCATGAAAAGAAATGTTGGCATAATTTCATCAAACATTGGCTAGCATCACCACCAGTAGGGTTGTGTACTCTGTCAAGAGGGTTTTCTACAGAACTGAACATTACTTTAAACATTAAAACTTTATGCCAGACCCAGTGGCTCATGCCTGTAATCACAGCAGTTTGGGAGGCTGAGGTGGGTGGATTGCCTGAAGTCAGGAGTCTAAGACCAGCCTGGCCAATATGGTGAAACACCATTTCTACTAAAAATACAAAAATTAGCCAGGTGTCATGGCACATGCCTGGAGTCCCAGCTACTTGGGAGGCTGAGGCAGGAGAATCAGTTGAACCCAGGAGGTGAAGCTTGCAGTGAGCTCAGATCATGCCACTGCATTCCAGCCTGGGCAACAGAGTGAGACTCCATCAAAAAAAAAAAAAAAAACTTTAAAAGCTAATTTATAACTAATGGTATGCTCTTTAACATGTTTACTCTTTACTTTTATTCCATCCTTAAATGGGGACATAACAAATCACACACACACACACACACACACTCATGCATGCATGTACAAACACAGAAATAATCAAATACCTGTGCTTTCTAAGGAGACTTAGGTAGAGGTTTCTATATGCCAAGGGTTCTGGTTGATGGGTGGGGGTGTCCCACTTATTATCTCTTTATCATGAGCTCTCCCAACTATCCATGTGCCTTCTCACTTACCCAAATCCAGCCTTTAACCTCCATTGTTAATGCAAAAGGTTCTCACCATGCAGATGCTTTTTACCCTCCATTGTTAATGCAAAAGGTTCTCACCATGCAGATGCTGCCCTGTGGGCTACTGTCACTTCTCAATTCCACTTTTATCTTCTCCCCTTGTTTTGATTTTTAATCTTTTATCTCTCTAATTGCTCCCCTTTTCTTGAATTTCTCTTGAAAAGCATTCAGAAAACTTTTTGAAGAAACTCTTCTTTTCGAACCTTTCCTGCAACCCATATACTGAGAAAGTACAAATATCTTATTATATAGATATATCTGCTATAGCATACACCCTACTCTAATTGTATTCATATTCTGAATTTGTGTAATTTGTGTCACAAATTATATGGAATATAATTGCCTTTGTGGTATTTATATGTGGTGTTATTTTCTATTGTAACATTTAATATATTTTATTTTTTTGTTTGGTATTTTCTTCCTTTTGGTTTTAATTTTTCTTTTTTTAAGTTTTAGGTTTAGGGGTACAAGTGAAGGTTTGTTACGTAGGTAAACACATGTCATGTCACAGGGGTTTATTATACACATTATTTTATCACCCAGGTATTAAGCCCAGTACCCAATAGTTATCTTTTCTACTCCTCTCCCTCCTCCCACCCTCCCCCATCAAGTAGACCCCAGTGTATGTTGTTTCCTTCTTTGTGTTCATAAGTTCTTATCATCTGGCTCCCACTTATAAGTGAAAACATGTGGTATTTAGTTTTCTGTTCCTGCATCAGTTTCCTAAAGATAATCACCTCCAGCTCCATCCATGTTCCTGCAAAAGACATGATCTCATTCTTTCTTATGGCTGCATAGTATATAATTATATATTTACCTATATATAATGTATATTTGTATATGTGTATATACTGTACATCTATACACATACACATACAGACATATTTTTATAGTAGTTTCTGACTTGATTATGAACTCTAAGAAAAAGACTGAATTTTATCCAATTTGTAGGCACATGCTAGGCAATCAGTAAGTATTTGAAGGATGAATGGGTGATGAACATTGAACTCTTTCTTCTCTTATTGACCTCAAACCAAGAACTCACAGTGAAGCAGACATCATATTTAAAACTTTGAGTTGGCATGTGTGTTTAATTACAACTTCCTGCTGAAGAGTTATTGCCTTCCAGTCAAAGATGTTCTATTTTTTTTTCCTATGTCTGTTTTTTGTTTCTCTTCTTAGTTTTTAAAATTATTCTGGGTAATTGAAAAGCTAGTAGTGGTTCACAGAAACCCAGTTTTTACTCCAGAAAAAAAAGGTACACAACTGCATTATCTACATTGACATATAAAGTTAAATATACCTTTTGCCGTATGAGTTCATGGCACTATTTTTAGGGATATGTATCTACTTTGAAATAAACACAGTAAAGGGCTACCAATAGTTGAAAACAATCAGTATTCATGAATTTTAACAAAGTATCCCTTCCCTGTTTTTGAATGAAAAAAAAAGGCATTAAGAAATCAAGTATTCACTGGATGAAACTATCTAGTATAAATTAACTTAATTTCAGTTATTTAGCTCCCTGGAGCTTAGACTTTTTGTTATCTTATTGACTGAGGGTTGAGACTGAAAACTGGGCAAGTCAAGCCCACCAGGTCAACACTTTATAAATATAATTAATTATCTTGCCAATATAATAGTTTTATTAACTAGCTGAGTTTGGCAATAAAAACCTAAACTAGGCAACCCCAGAGGGGTCCTTTCAAGTGCCACAATTCAGTCACCCCTGAATGACAATAGAACCACCAAATAAATTAATGCAAAATGGTCAACCTACAGACTTTTGCCCCAAAGTATGTTTTAGCATTCAAATTTATAGCAAACTCTGATGTAGAGACTCCAATAGACAGACTCTCTGGATTCGTTCCCATGAAGAAGGAGGCATAATTATCTGTTCCTTGAGAGGCCACAGTTGTTTTATAGAAATTAGAAAATTCCATGGTCTGTATACTTCAATTGGTGATTACAAAATAATTAATTATTGATGTTATCAAATATAACATGCTAATTTAAATTTTTCTGGTCATTTATAGCACATGAATATCTGTGATGCAAGACCAGATCTGTTTTCTTACCTTTGTCATCCACTCAAGAGGATCAATAGTCAAAACAATTCAGGAAAAGCAATTGTTCTATTTTACAGTAACTGTGCAAATATCAATATCTACTAAATTTAATAAGATAAACATCTAGCTTAAGTGCCAAGAAGTATTTGGAGTGCCTTTCGTACTCAAAAAGGACACTTTTATAATCTGTAAGAATGGTATTATTATAGTATCGCATTGCTGAAAAACAAAAGATGCTAGCTTTTGCTTTCAAAATAATGTATTTGTCAGTGATTTATGGAGTGTGTAGAAAAACCAAGAGTTACTGATGTAAGACTTACTCACCTCTCTGATAGATAAATTCCATGCAGCTATAACAGAATGTTTAAATAAGTTATTTTTGAATAAGGGCTTTTATGTTCAATGCAATTCAGTGCCTCAGGCTGCAAGCTCCTATAACTTGGCTTGAAGGATGTCTAGTTTCTGTTGAAACAAAAGTACGAGACGAATTGTGTCAAGAGAAACCCTGGTTTATGTGCTGTGCTCCAGCTCCCTTATGGAGGTTTCTTTGTAACATACAGTGCCTGAGGCTGCAGGCAAGGTGCAGATTCCAGTATTTCTCTGGTCAATTCCAAGCAAACAAATGAAAATGAAATAAAATGTCAGTAATATAGTCTTACAAGCATATAGAAGCTTGATTCTTCTGTCAGCCTCTTTAGCTTTTTCCAACTGTGTTTAGTGTTCTTCCTTTATTATTTATTTATTAAGAGGCAAAGCTTTCCTTTGCACATGTCTACTGGCTCTACGAAAAGTAAATCTCCAGAATAATAGCCAGCTGGAATTTCTGATATCTAAAGCATTTTATTTTATGTGTTTGCTTCTAAATTTTACCTTGTTGGTGAGATCTTTATGAGCATGCAATACTCTTATTTCCTACCCTCTCCCCTGACTTTATTTTTCTCGAAAGCATTTACAACTGTCTAATGTACTGTCAACTGCCAGTTTGGCTTTACGGATTGCCTGTCTCTCTCTCACTCCAGATTATAATCTCCATGTGGGAAGGACTTTGTGTCTGTTTTGCTCACGTTTAAATTCCCAGAGGCTTAAACTGACTGGTACATGAGCTACTAACCTTGGATCAGCATCCTAACAGCTAGGATTCATGGAATGAATAAGAGAGCAGGAAAGTAGGCTAGAAACACAATAGATATGTACATGTGCTCTCTATAGAAGGTTTCCTTACTGATTCTGGGGGGATTATTGATCAAAGGAAATTTTTCAAAACAGTCTAGGTTTATTTTTTACTTTAATTCTTTCTATGTCTTTTCTAAGCCCTTGCTTGTTCGCCCCCCAAACTCTGAGTGATTTTCCCCACCCCATTCCTCTATAGAGCTCCCATACTTCTACTTTAGAAAGGTAAGTAAGGAAAGTCTCCTCTCTCTTAAAATATAAAGTTCCCCATGATCCCAATTATTTCTATTTTGATCCTTCCCCACATCTTACCCAAAACTACCATTTCTTTTGAGCTTATAGTAGATAACTTTTAAGAATAGAGCCATAATTTTAAGCAAAGTTATTTTAACCCCTTAATTTCCTCAGGTTCTGTTAGCCTATTTATTTTTCTTAACTCAAACTAACCTTGAATTTTTGAAATATTAGGAGTGTAACACAGTCAAATGAAATATTCTGGACACTTTTAGAGATCTACCTTTGGGGACAGAACCTAGGATAACCAACTTATCACAGTTTGCCTAAGAATGTCTTCATTTTAGCCCCGAAAGTCCCACATATGGGGAAACTTCTCAGTCCCAGGCAAACTGAGACAGTTGTTCACTGTGAAATTACCTCAACATATAGGCAAAGTTTCCAGCCTGGGAATATGTCCCTGGGCTCAGGTCTCTTAAGTTGTCCCAGCTTATCTCCTCCCTCTACTTCCATTCTTTTAAAGCTGCAGAGCTTTGCACAGCAGCTGTCAAGGTAGTGGAAATGCTGGCTCTGATGGTGGGGACGTGGGCCGTAAGTATAGCTCCAGCTCCCCTGGAAATTGGGAACTTTGATTACCTACCTTGGATGCTCACTTGGGATAATTCACTCAAATTAACAATGCAACCTAAACTGTAAGATAATGAGTCTCTGAAAATCAACACATATGTATATGTCATCCTATAATAAATAAGCACATTTTATTGAAAATACATTCTAATTTATAAGAAGTGGTATGCTGTTCTGCAAAGAATAATTTGATACTTGATGTTTGAAGGCCACAGCAAAAGCTATTTGCTTGTTTTTCAGTTTACATCACAGATGAGTGAATACCTTTTATTCATTGAGAAGGTACCATAACTGTGTAAGAGAAGCATCAGCTATACTATAGCACCAGTTAGGAGAGATTCACTGTAATATAGAACTGAGCTCCAAGCTTCTCACTCTGCTATTCTGCTGTGTTTTATCTATATTATGGAAAGAGCACTATTTTAGAACTTAGAAGTCCTGTTTCAGTCTATGTTCTGTTGTTTATTAGATATGAGAATTTGGATAATGACAAAACATTTCAAAGGTAACCAGTAAACAAAGAGCAATAAGAACTAACCTGCACAGTTTACATGACTTGTTCAATCAATGAGACAATGACCTTGAAAAGTTTTCTCACACATATAAAATATTCTATTTGATAACAACAGTAGTTCTTCCTATCAAATTTAATGATGGGGCATCAATCTATTGATACAAAAAAATGAATTATAGCAACCAAAGATGTTAGTGCAGCAGATGCCTTGAATTCATAGCACTTTATGTAGTTAGCAAAAGCATAAACTATGGCATCATAAAACTTAGAACCACTAAATAAAGTAGTCATCGGTGGTTGAAGCACTGAAAAGTGGGTGTGTGGAAACCTGTAAAGTAGGAAGCAGGTTAAATAATTTGTTCAAGGCCATACAGAATTATCTTTATAAAAATCTGTGCTCTTGCTTACTTGCAGTAAAAATGTAAGATATCTTACAAAACTGAATGTAGAAGAGCCAGCCCTGAACCTGGTAGTTAAAAATTTAACCCTGGGTTCTTTTCCTTGAATCATAATAGAAAATATTCTGTCTTGGGCGCTCAGAGATCTGCAAGTAGCAGCCTGCTTGTCCTTGGGAAAATCACACAACCTGTCTGGGAAAGTGTCCTCATTTGTAAAAAAAAAAAAAAAAAAAAAAAAAAAAAAAAAAAAAAAAAAGAGTGTTATTTTGTGTTTTTTAAACTATTAGGTGAAGTAGAATAAATTAAAAAAAAAATAGGCCAGTCCAATACATAAGGAACTTAGATGTCACCACTCCATGGCAACAACTAAAGAGCTAAACAGACTGAAAACCAAGTCCTCCTCTAAGATCTATCAGAGAAGGAAGATCACAGGGCAAATTACTGCCCCTAAAATTGGAGTGACAGACAGATACAGAGATTCACAACTTAGTGGAGCAGAAAGTCCTAAGCATAAACCACTTTAGGAATCAGTGCTGAGGCAGAAAAACTTGAACTGGAGGCTCAATGTGCACAAGTCTGAGGGATAAAAACTCCGGGAAAACCCAGTCATAGGGAGACCCGCACACTTTTGTGAGTTTTGTCTCCAGGGGCTCTACCAGGTATTCACAGTAAATATTTGAGGAAAGTCCCCCCATGCTTCCAGCAATGTGAGGGGAAAATAAACCATTTGAAATACATCAAAGCATTCTGTTCTTAACATGGCCTGTCTGCAAGAGAAACTATTTTATCAGTTTCCTTATCAGGGTAAGGAAATTTCCAACTTCTAAGCAGCTGTAACCTTCCTCCTGGAGGAAGGGAAAACCTAGCTCCAGCCCCTTCTAGCCTTCCACTTGAAGGAAAGGATATAAACAACTCCAGCCCCCTCCAACCATCTAAAAAGGGACAAATTGAGAAGCACTGGGGAAATTCAAAGTCCAGGGGCAAAGACTCACCAAAAGACCTAATTATAGGCCTATAGGATGCTTCCTCTTCCCTCTGAAATTCAACCACTACATTATTAAGGGCCTATTTACTGCCATTTGTTTTACCCAGTATATCATGCCTACTCAATAAAAAAATTATAAGGTATATTAAAAGGCAAAAAAATACAGTTTGAAGAGATTAAATAAACATCTAATCAGGGTCAGATATGGCAGGAATGTTGGAATTATCAGACAAGGAATTTGTAATAACTATGATTGATATGCTATGAACTTTAACAGAGAATGTAGTCTCTGCAAGAGCAGATAGGTAATGGAAGCAGAGAGTAGACAGGTGAATATTCTAAGAAAGAATAAAAAAGAAATGCTAGCAATCAAAGACACTGTAACACAGATGAAGAATGCTTTTGATGCCCTCATTAGTAGATTGAACAAAGCCAAACAAAGAATCTCTGAGCTTGAGGATATGACAATAGAAACTTCCAAAACTGAAAAGCAAGGAGAAAAAATACTTTTAAAAAAAAACAGAGTATCCAAGAACTGCAGAACAACTATAAATGGTGTAACATACATGTAATAGACACCAGAATAAGATGAAAGAGAAAAAGAAACAGAAGCAATATTTAAAGCAAAAATGAATGAGAATTTATCCAAATTAATATCAAACATGCCACAGATCCAGGAAGCTCGGCGAACACCAAGTTGGATAAATACCAAAAAACAAAAAAATAACCATACACTTAAGCATATCATATTCAAACTTCATAAAACTAATGATAAAGAAAAATATTGAAAGAAGCTGGGCATGAAGAAGGGGAACAAAGATAAGAATTATATCGTAATTCTCAGAAACCATGCAAGCAAGAAAAGAGACAAGTGAAATATGTAAAGATTTGAGAAAAAAAATCCCACTGAACTGGGATTCTGTATCCTGCAAAATTATTCTTCAAAAGTAAAAGAGAAATAAATACTTTTCAGATGAACAAAAAATAGAGGGAATTTGTTGCCAGTAGACTTGCCTTGCAAGAAGTTTTAAAACAAGTTCAGAGGGAAGTAAAATGATATGGGTCAGAAACTTGTAAGTACATAAAGAATAGCCTCAGAGAATTAATAAACAACGATAAAATAAAAATTGTTATTTTTCTCATTCTTAATTGATCTACTTGAAGACATTTTGTTCAAAAAATAATAGTAAAAATGTATTTGCTTATGTGTGCTTATATGTATAGATGTGACTATGTATATTTATGTGTCAGTGAAATGAATATCAGCAATGATACTCGGGACAGAAGGAAGGAATTAGAAATATATTGTTATTGTAAGGTACCTTGCATGACCCATTAAGTAGTATAATGTTGTTTAAAAATGGACTTGGATTAGTCATAACTATATATTGCAAACGCTAGGGTAATCACTACTAAAGTAAAAAATATATATGTATGTGTGTGTGTATTATATATATGTATATGTGTATATAGATGTATATGTATATATGTATAGGTGTGTATATATATGTATACATGTATATATATGGTTTTTAAAACCATAAAAGATAGTAAAAGTGTGGAAGACAAAAATAGGAATAAAGAACAAGAGCAACAAATAGAAAATGGTAACAAATACAGTGGATATTCATCCACTCATTTCAGTAATCTTAAATGTCAAATGGAAATTTGTAGCGCTAAAAGCATATATTAGAAAAGAAGAAAGGTAAAATAACCAGTGTTCTAAGTTTCAACCTTAGGATACTAGAAAAGGAAAAGCCTATTAAATACAAAGTAAGCAGAAAAAAAGAAAAAGTAAAAATTAGAAGGAAAACTAAGAGAATTGAAAACAGGAAACCAACAAAGAAAACAAAACCAAAAGCTGACTTTTTGAGAACATCAATAAAAGTAATAAGTCTTTGGTCAGGCTAACTAAAAAAAAAGTGAGACACCAATTATTAACATTAAAAGTGAAAGAGGGAATAGGTCCTCAGATCTCATGGACATTAAAAGATAGTAAAGGATTATGAACATCTCTATGCCCACAAATTTGATAACCTATATGAAAATTCACACAAGAAGAAATAGTTTGAATAAACCTAGTTGAATCAATATTGAGTAACCTTCAAAAACAGAAAGCAGCAGGCCCATCTGGCTTCACTGGTGAATTCTACCAAGCATTAAAGAAATAAATTATACTAATTCTCTAGTCTCTTTCAGAAGACAGAAACAGTGACTTCTTCCTAATTAATCCTATGAGGCTAGCATTACCCTAAAGCCCAAACCAAAGACATTACCAAAAAAAACATAGCTACAGACATACATATCTGATAGACATAGATGCAAAAATTCTCAACAAAATATTAGCAAATCAAATCTGACAATGTATAAGGAGAATTTTATACCATGACCAGGTGGGATATGCAAGGCTGGTTAAACTTTGAAAACCAATTAATGTAATTCCAACAGGCTAAAGAAAAAATTCACATGATTCTAACAATAGATGCAGAAAAAGCATTTGACAAAATCCCACACTTATTAATACTAAGAACTCTAAGCAAATTAGAAATAGAGGGGAACTTCCTTAATTTAAAAAAAAAATGCCTACCAAAAAACCCTACAATTAACATCGTACTTAGTGATGAGAAAATAAGAACTTTTCTGTTAAGATCAAGAGCAAGGCAAGGATGTTTCTTCTCACTGTTCATTTTCAACATTATTCATGAAGTCCCAGCTAATGCAATAAGACAAGAAAATGAAATAAAAAATATACAGATTGGGAAGGAAGAAATGAAAGTGCCTTTTTCAAAGATGACATGATTATCTATGTTGAAAGTTTAAAAGAATAAACAAAAAGATTCCTGAAACTAACAAATGATTAGAGTAAGGTTGTGGGATAGAAGGTTAAATACAAAAATCAATCACTTTTTGATATATCAGCAATGTATAATTAAGAACACATTACCATTTACTTTTGAAAATGAAATATTTAGATATAAATCTAACAAAATATGTATAAGATCTATATGAGAAAACTATAAAACTGACAAAAGATATCAAAGAAGTACTAAATAAATGGAGAGACAGATAGGAAGATTCAATATTGTCAAGATGTCAGTTCCTCCAATTCAATCTATATATTCAACTTAATCCCATTGTCGGAGGAGGGGCCTTGTGGGAAGTGATTGGATCACAGAGATGGACTTCCCCTTGCTTTTCTCGTAATAGTGACTGAGTTCTCATGAGATCTGGTTGTCTATAAAAGTGTATAGCACTTCTCCCTTCACTCTCTCTTTGTCCTGCTTCAGCCATGTAGGATGTGTCTGCTTTCCCTTCACCTCCAACATGATTGCAAGTTTCCTGAGGCTTCTTCAGTCTTGCTTTCTGTGTGTCCTGCAGAAACATGAGCCAGTTAAATGCCTTTTCTTTATAAATTACTTAGTCTCAGGTAGTTCTTTATAGCACTCCAAGAATGTACTAATGCATATGATAATGACCTTTGAGATACAATACCAAAGGCAGAGTTGGTGAAAGACAGAATAGATAAGCTGGACTTTATTAAAATTAAAAACTTCTGCTCTGTGAAAGATAATGTCAAGTGAATGAGAAGACAGGCCACAGACTAGGAGGAAATGCCTGCAATAGAAATATCTGATAAAGGACTGTAGTCCCAAATATACAAAGAACTCTTGAAATTCAAAAATAGCAAAGTGAACAACCCAATTAAAAAATGGAAAAAAGACCCGAGCAGACACCTCACCAAAGAAGATACACAGATGGCAAATAAGTATATTAAAATATGTTCAATATCATATGTATTTAGGGAATTCCGTGTTACAACAGCAATCAGATACTACTACATATCTATTAGAATGACAAAAATTCTAAATGTTGACACCACCGAATTCTGGTAAGGATATAGAGCAACAGGAACTCTGATTCATTGATGATGGGAATGCAAAATGGTGTAGCCACTTTGGAAGATATTTTGACAGTTTCTTACAAAGCTAAAGATATTTTTTTCCATATGATCTAGCAACTGTGCTCCTTAGTATTTACCCAAATAAATTGAAAACTTTTGTCCACACAAAAACCTGCATACAGATATTTGTAGCAGCTTTCTTCATAATTGCCAGTTCCTAGAGGTAACCAAGATGTGCTTTAGTAGGTGAGTGGATAAACTATAGTACTTCCAGAAAATTGAATATTATTTACTGCTAAAAAGAAATGAGCCATCAAGTCACAAGAAGACACGGAGGAAACTTAAATGCATTTTACTAAGAAAAAGAAGCCAATCAAAAAATATTGCGTTCTGTGTGATTTCTACTATATAACATTCCAGCAAAGGCAAAAACTGAAGTAAATATATTAGTGCTTGTCAGGAGTTAGTGGTGAAGGAGGGATGTATAGGCAGAGCACTGAGGATTTTTAGGTCAATGAAACTATTCTGTGCAATACTACAATGGTGGATTCATGTCATTTGTATGTTTACCAAAACCTATAGAATGTACAACACCAAGAGCGAATGCTAATGGAAATTGTGTACTTCGTGTGATAATGATATGTCAATGTGAGTTCATCAGTTGTAAGAAATGTGCAGAATGTTGATAGTGGGAGAGGTTGTGCCTGTGTGAAGGGAGAGAGTATGTAGAAACTCTCTATTCTTTCTGTTCAATTTGTCTGGAACCTGAAACTGCTATAAAAATAAACTTTACTAATTACAAAATAGGTAAGATAACATAGCATATAGTAAGTATAATTTTCCCTTCTTGAAATGTTCAGTACTATATGTGTATGTTTACATGCACACATTGGGTCACAATGTAAAATGTACTTCTTACATTTCATAGTCATAATTCATAGTCAAAGCCACTTTCTTTTGCCTTCCCTTTTGCTTCCCTTATCCTTCCCTTTCCCTTCCCTTCCCTTTCTTTTTTCTTTCTTTTTTCGGTGTCTTCTAAGATTTTTCCTAACTCTTCTTCTCCATTGATTTTATTAAACCTTCTCTGGTTTTAGAATTAAAAAAGCATCACCTAGATTTCAATTATTTCCATACTTTGTCTATTAGCTTAAACATTTCCATGAGATCTTGATACATATTCTATTTCCTTATTTTTTTCTTTTTCATTCTTACTCCCCCACTCATCCCTGCTCATAAATACTTCAACATTCTGTGATTTTAAAGGATCACCATGTTATAATAATATTCCTTCTCTGACCACAGATTAATTGTAATTTTTTTTACTTGAATGTAGATTAACTTGCATGTATTATACTATAAATATAATATTTTAAAAGTTAACATATTTGATGTCAACTTTATTGTGTTTAACGAATGTCCAGCAACAGCTCTAGAGTGGCTGCTTTTGGAGATTTTAATGTCCTTTTTAATGAAATTTGTCCTGGAAGGAATAAATAGACAAAGAAAAATAAAAGTGATTTGAAGAGCTAAACAGTCATCACAAGCTGGATCAGCAAAATGGAAATCCTCTCTCCTACACTCACACATATGATCAAACTGAGATAAACATGCACATGCTTCAGTTACAAGCAAAACTTTCTTGAGAGACAAGTGGCAGGGAGCACTGAAGCTGAAAGCAGTGTGACAACACGGTGGCACACAATGGTGAGAAACAACTCAACCCTGTAATGAATTTATATCATTAAAGTCCCATCAATATCACTTAGCTAGATGGCTCTGACAGGATGGGAATATTACCTAGAGATAAATTTCCTACTTCAAAGGTTATAGTACTGTTTTCATAGGTACCTTAGAATAAATTATAAAAAGGTGAAAATATGCAAGCCATTCTGTATAACCTGAGAATAAGTTTGCAGAGCATACATGTATACGCTTGATGTTGTCTATGATTAATACAATGCATTGCATCTTTTTCCCCTCTAAATGGAAATGCAGAGGTTCAATTCCCAAAATTGGATTGAGAAAATAATGTATATTTAGAATCATTGTATAAAAAATCCTAGGACTTTCTATTTATACTACATAATGATTAATACCTATAAAGTATACAAAATTTTCTCAAACTAAGCCCATTGTTAGAGAAAACAGAAAGGAAGGAAAAAATGGATTTTTTAGCCCATTGCTTAGAAGACGCTTGGTTAAATGGATATAGAATGGAAAAAATAATAAGAAAAATTTTCCTCTGTAACTGTACCAGTTTGGCTAAAGGAAAATTATATAATAGTGGACATCATGAAAAGAATTATATGAAAAGCCATAAAAGTTTCCCTTAGGCTCAAAATATAGTTTCTCTCACCCTACCAAAGATTGTCAAGTGAGTTATCTGAAAGGCTATTCTGAACTCCCCCAATTGAGAAATACCACATCATTTAATCCTTCCTGTCCAAGATATATTATTGCATGACACTTATTGTATAATTAAAGCATGAGTACATCACTTAAAATGATTTCTAATCCTCCATCTATGCACCCATTTCACTCTCTTTTTTTCTTTGAAATTCTGAGTAGATGATGATACTAATGAAATGTATCTAATGAAATGATGATAACTGCACTCTATTTTGTGACATAAGACAGGCTTTGGACTTAAAATTTGAACTTAAATTTTACCTTCAATTTGAACTTAAATTAATATGGAAAATAAACTTTTACATTCTTTCTTCAGATTAAATCTATAAAAACAACAAAATGACTCTCTTGGCTATTTCTGACTTTTAAATTAAATTTACACCTTGAAAAAACATGTTTCAGTCATATGTATGAATAACATGGTGATATTTTCTTCATCATTTGAAAAAATCAGAAAATATTTAAAAAGGGATGAGTTACTTGAAGAAGAGGTTCGTATTTCTTCTTAACTTTGCCTCAGGGACACTATCTTCATTGCACTATTTCTAAGTTTTTAAAAATGCTTTTGAATTATCTCATTGTGAGCCTCAAGATCAGTTGAAGGTAAGCTGATGGAATGCAAATACCATATTCTGTATAAGTAGATAAAGTTCAGAACTCAGATTCTATAGTTTATATACCAGATATTGTAACTCTATTGTTGGTTAATTCATTCAACAAATATTTTTTAGTGTCTAAAAGACACCAAATATTGTGTCAGGCAGTATGGTAGGCACTAGGAGTATAATAATTAATAGACAGCTGTGATCCCCGGAAGAAAAAATTGAAAAAGCAAACATTCCTAAACAATCAGTAAAGATGAATGCAATAAACAAACAGGATTCTGTAAAAGAAGTTAACAACAGAGACCAAGGCAGGCAGAAAATTCAAGGAGCGTCCTGGAGGAGATGTCATTCAGGTTGAGATATCAAGGATGAAGCCGGCAAGAAAGACCAGGGGTAGAGCTTTACCAGAATGGGAGACTGGCTTATATACAGTCTTGAGCCAGGAGACAGCTTGCAATGTTTTAAGAACCGAAAAAAAAAAAGGCATACAAGGCTGGGGCAAAGGTGTTTTCACAAATGGTAAGCAAAGGAAAGGAGGATATGAGATGATAATAGAGATATCAATCAAGGTCAGCTCATAGTATTTTCTGTTAAGCCATAGTAGCAAGTTGATATTTGATTCTAAAGGGACTGGAAACCATTGATGAATTTTTAAGAAGAAATATTAAAGCTGATGACCTACTAGCTATAATTATTTCTCTGCTTAATAAATAGCTGTTGCAAATTAATACTAGTAAAGGAATGGACATTTAACTGAGGGCCAAAAGCAGATGGGAGGGTGCAGTAAAAATATAGAGAGTTATACTAAAAAGAAACAACTTAGCATTGTGTTTTCCATAGAAAATGTAAAAGGCTAATTGAAAAGAATAGTTCAAACATGTTCTAAAATTAGGCTTGCTTTTCTACCACCATCCCACTCTTATCTCCTTCTAGGCAATAAAACATATTATAAATGTGTGAATAATGAAGCAAAGGTAGTGGCTACTACATAACCACAGTTATGACCACTGCAGATATTTCCATAGTATTCTATGGATCTGACTCTCTACTAGAGGATTATAGGTTTTGTAATAATAAATAGCCAAAAGCCCTTGCCTTTTTTTCTTATGGTTGAGAAAACTAAAGTTCAGTGAACCAAAGCCATGTCATCTTGTCTAAATTCACCCCAAAGTCAGAGGCAGTGTGAGACTGGAATCCAGATCTTCAACTAAATAGCCTTTAATAGTATGATTTATTTAATGATTTAGACTAAATGGCAATTTCTAGGTTAGTTTGGTTTATGTCTAGTTTGTGTTTGTTTGTGTGTTTGTGTTAGGATTTTTCTTTCAAGTGACTTTTCTATATGCATGTATGTATGATGTGATACATTGGGGATGGGGTAAGTTTGTCACATGTCCATATTTTTCTTGTAACTATTACACAAGTAGCTAAAAATAGATAAGATTTATTGAGCTTCTACTAAGTGTCAGGAAATGAGAAGGCCATCCACTAGGTTTCTCAAGTCAAACATCTCTGAGTTATCTTTAATAGCGCTCTCATTTACACTGAATATCTAAACAAGTACCAAGTCCTGTGAATTCTACCAATAATACTAAACATATCTCCAGTCCACTTACTTCTCAACATTGTCATTGCTGCCACCCTACATGAAGCCTTCCAACTTTTGGCCTAAATCACTATAATAACAGAGCTTCCCACATCTTCTCTTAGCTTCCATCACTCTCAGCACAGCAGCCAAATTAATCTTAAAATATTTCTCTACTTAGACACTTCAGTGGCCACCCTATCTTGAGAAAAGGATACATGCTTCACACGATCTACAAGATCCTGCAGAGTCTCTAGGAATCTCCTTTTCTGCAATTCTTCCCTTTGTTTTTTGTGTTATACTCTTTCTGTGTTTTGTTTGTTTGTTTTCTATTTTACTTTATTTTCTCCGTGCTCCAGCTTGGAGGTCCAGACTTCTGTTCTTCTCCATTACAATTTCCTTTCTCTGAAATGCTCGACCCATCTATCTTACATTATTGAAATTCTTATTCTAAGAGAGTCAACTTATATATCACTTCCTAAGAGTGAACCTTCTTAGTTCACAAGTTACTCATATATTTCTCCATTCTAGCAGCTATTACAATGGTAAATCAAACATTTCTTTATTTATAAATTTGTTTATATGATCATATGCTATCTCTTCTTCCGCTTTGAAAGCCTCGGGTGGGTAGAGACCCTGTTGCTAGGTTTACAACTATATTTTCAGGACAGAGCACAGAGGCAAGTTTACATTAGCATTCAATAATTATTTCTTGAATAAGTGAAAAGAATGTTGCTATGCTCATTTTTTTTCAACTTTAATTTTGGATTCAGGGGATACATGTGCAGCTTTCTTACCTGGTTATATTGCTTGACACTGAGGTTTGGGGTACAAACAATCTCAACACCCATGTACTGAGCAAAGCACAAACAGTTAGTTTTCATTCCTTTTTATGGCTGCATAGTATTCCATGGTGTATATGTACCACATTTTCTTTATCCAATCCACCACTGATGGGCACCTAGGTTGATTCCATATCTTTGCTGTTATGAACAGTACTGTGATGAACTTGCGAGTGCACATGTCTTTTTGATAGAATAGTTGGTTTTCTTTTGAACTAGTCTCATTTTTAAGAGTGTTTGCTTATGTAGGAAAACTCACCTTAAAGAGGCCCAGTCTGCCTAGATCAGCAAGTTCTCCTTATAACCTAAATGAAAACATTAGTGTAGCTAAGGAGATCACAAGTCAATAACAGTGCATTCCTCAGTCCTGAATGCCCAAGCACTGAGCTAAAGCTGCTGGTAGTGCCCTTCAAGAGGAGTAGGAAACTCAACCAGAGATCACCAGAATATCCCATTCTTACTAGAAAGAACCTCCTGCTGCTATATTTTTGCATTGATCTTATCCTTGTACCCAAGATATTTAATCTATTTAACTCACTCTATTTGTTCAAAGAGCTAACTTCTGAAGTTGATTAATACCTCTTATAGGTGTTCCTTTGGAAAGAATGAAGTGGTCACTAATATGGGAGTTTTCCCACAACAGATATGTTTCTTATTAGTTCACATCTTGGGTGTCTGGTTTTGTTAACAAAATATCCTAATGAGTTTAATGTGGATTCACATCTTAGACATGAATGCACACTTGAGTATAAAACTTAAAATATATTTTCTCTCTGTGAGGTTGATGACCAAAACATGGACCATGGTAAGTGGTCAATGTAATGATTATCACTCACTTAGATAACTGGAAATCAGCTTCCTAAACTGTCTCCTGATACTGATTTTCTGTCACATTTTTAAAAAAATTCTACACTTGGAAATTTAAAAATACTTTTCTTTAGTAATGATTTTTCAAAGTGAAAAGCAAATGTGCAATAATAAATTATTTAACAAAAACAAATCAAAATGTATAAGATACAGCAAGAGCTGTACATAGAGAAAAAAATCACTTGAAGGCAATGTATTTCCTTCTTATTAAATAAGAGAAAATAAACATTTCAAAGGCAAACAAAATGAAGTTAGAAAAAAAAGTGGAAGAAAGAAAATGATGAAATTATACAGTGGGGAAATCTCTAAAAATGATAAAACCCAGGCATACCTTTTTGAATTTCAATAAAATTGAAGTGATAAATTGTGTTATGGCTTGGATTGTGTCTACTTTCCCCCAGCAGATTTTTTATATGGATGCCCTATTTCCCAGGACCTCAGAATGTGACCTTATTTGAAAATAGGGTTGTAGCAGATGTAATTAGTTAAGTTGAAGTCACACTGGAGTAGGGTAGGCCCTGATACAACATGGCTGGTGTGCTTATACAAAGTGAAAATTTGGATACAGATATGTATATAGAAAGAACATTATAGGAACATGAATATGGCCATCTCCAAATCAAGGAGAAAGGTATGGAACAAATCCTTCCCTCACAGCCTTCAGAAGGAGTCAGCACTTTCCCTTCAGATTCTTTCCCTACAAAACTGTGAGACAATATATTTATTTTGCTTAAACCACCTAGTTTGTGCTATCTATATTATGGCACCCCTAGCAAATCAATACAAATCGAATCAAGAAAAATGAGAGAAAAACACAAATGCAAAATTAGACTAAGGGGGAAAAAGTAAATATACTTTTTCTACAGTACACGCTATATTTCTGTGTTAATAAATTTGGTGATTAAAAATTGATAACTTCTGTAAAAATATTTAGAAATAGGCAAAATTAAAAGACAAATAGTTACTACAGATCTTTAAAATAATCAAAATACTTCCTGTTTAAGAGGCTTCAGAGCTAGATTGTTTTAACCATAAATTGCATTAATCTCTCAAGAAACATGTAATTCCGTTTATAAAAAAATCAGCTGCCAATCAAGTAATTACTAGGTTTATTGTATAACATTGATACTAAAATCTGTTAATATATTTATTAAGTACTCCTATAAATATGCATGTAAAACTCAACCTTCACAAAAAACATATAGAATTTATGTGGGAAAAATATCTATAAATTTTTTGAATGATACGGGAGAATTGTATTACTCCATTTTCACACTACTGACAAAGACATACCCGACACTGGGAAGAAAAAGAGCTTTAATTGGACTTACAGTTCCACATGGCTGGGGAGGCTTCAGAATCATGGCAGGGGGTGAAAGGAACTTTTTACATCGTGGCAGCAAGAGAAAATGAGGAAGAAGCAAAAGCAGAAACCCCTGATAAACCCATCAGATCTCACGAGACTTATTCACTATCACGAGAATAGCGCAGGAAAGACTTGACCCCATGATTCAATTATCTCCTCCTCGGTCCCTTCCAGGAGATAGAATTCTGGGAGATAGAATTCAAGTTGAGATTTGAATGGGGACACAGCCAAACCATATCATTCCACCCCGGCCCCTCCAAATCTCATGTCCTCACATTTCAAAACCAATCATGCCTTCCCAACAGTCCCCCACAGTTTTAACTCACTTCAGCATTAACCCAAAAGTCCACAGTGCAAAGTCTCATCTGAGACAAGGTAAGTCCCTTCTGCCTATGAGCCTGTAAAATCAAAAGCAAGTTAGTTACTTTCCAGACACAATGGGGATACAGGCATTGGGTAAATACAGTCATTACAAATGGGAGAAATTGGCCAAAACAAAGGGTTTACAGGGTGCATGCAAGTCCGAAATCCAGAGGGCAGTCAAATTTTAAACTCTAAAATTATCTCCTTTGACTCCAGGTCTCACATCCGGGTAACACTGATGCAAGAAGTGGGTTCTCATGGTCTTGGGGAGCTCCACCCCTGTGGCTTCATAGGGTACAACCTCCCTCTCAGCTGCTTTCACCAGCTGGCATTGAGTGTCTGTGGCTGTTCCAGGTGCAGGGTGCAAGCTGTCAGTGGATCTACCATTCTGGGGTCTGGAGGACGGTGGTCCTGTTCTCACAGCTCCACTAGGCAGTGCCCCAATAGGGACTCTGTGTGGGGGCTCCCATCCCACATTTCCCTTCCACACTGCCCTAGCAGAGGTTCTCCATGAGGGCCCTGCCCCTGCAGCAAACTTTTGCCTGGGCATTCAGGCATTTCTATACATCTTCTGAAATGTAGGCGGAGGTTCCCAAACCTCAGTTCTTGACTTCTGTGTACCTACAGGCTCAACACCACATGGAAGCTGCCAAGGCTTGAGGCTTGCACCCTCTGAAGCCATGGCCTGAGGTCTACATTGGCTCCTTTCAGCCACTGCTGGAGCATCTGAGATGCAGGGCACCAAGTCCCTAGGTTGCACACAACACGGGGACCCTGGGCCTGGCCCCTGAAACCACTTTTTCCTTCTGGGCCTTTGGGCCTGTGATGGGAGACACTGCCGTGAAGGTCTCTGACATAGCCTAAGACATTTTCCCCATGGTTTTAGGGAATAACATTAGGCTTCTTGCTACTTTTGCAAATTTCTGCCGCTGGCTTGAATTTCCCCTCAAAAAAATGGGGTTTTCTTTTTCACTGCATCATCAGGCTGCAAATTTTCTGAAATTTTATGCTTTGTTTCCCTTTTAAAACAGCATGTTTTTAACGGTATCCAAGTCACCTCTTGAATGCTTTTCTGCTTAGAAATTTCTTCCGCTAGATACACTAAAGCATCTCTCTCATGTTCAAAGTTCCACAAATCTCTAGGACAGGGGCAAAATGCCACTAGTCTCTTTGCTAAAACATAATGAAAGCAAGACTCTGTCTCAAAAAAAAAAAAAAAGAGTAACCTTTGCTCTACTTCCCAAGTTCCTCATCTCCATCTGAGAGCACCTCAGCCTAGACCTTATTGTTCATATCGTTATCAGCATTTTTGTTAAAGCCATTCAACAAATCTCTAGGAAGTTCCAAACTTTCCCACATTTTCCTGTCTTCCTCTGAGCCCTCTAACTGTTCCAACCTCTGCTTGTTACCCTGTTCCAAAGTCACTTCCACATTTTCAGGTATCTTTTCAGCAAGACCCCACTCCTGGTACCAATTTAATGTATTAGTCTGTTTTCATGCTGCTGATAAAGATGTACATGAGACTGGGAAGAAAAAGAGGTTTCATTGGACTTACAGATCCACATGGCTGGGGAGGCCTCAGAATCATGGCAGAAGGCAAAAGGCACTTCTTACATTGGAGCCGCAAGAGAAAATGAGGAAGAAGCAAAAGTGGAAACTCCTAATGAACCCATCAGATCTCATGAGACTTATTCACTATTATGAGAATAGCATGCAAAAGACCAGCCTCCATGATTCAGTTACCTCCCTCTGGCTCCCTCCCACAACATGTGAGAATTCTGGGAGATACAATTCAAGTTGAGGTTTGAATGGGGACACAGCCAAACCATATCAGATATTTATTTTATTTTATTTTATTTTATTATTTTTATTTTTATTTTATTTTCAGTTCCAGGATACATGTGCAGAATATGCAGGTTTGTTACCTAGATATACATGTGCCATGGTGGTTTGCTGCACCTATCAACCTGTCATCTAAGTTTTAAGCCATGCATACATTAGGTATTTGTCCTAATGCTCTCCCTCCCCTTGTCTCCAACCCCCAACAGGCCCTGGTATGTGTTTTCCCCACACAGTGTCCATGTCTTCTCATTGTTCAGCTCCCACTTATGAGTGATAACATGTGGTGTTTGGTTTTCTGTTCCTGTGTTAGTTTGCTGGTTATGATGACTTCCAGCTTCATCCATGTCCCTGCAAAGGACATGATCTCATTCCTTTTTTTGGCTGTATAGTATTCCATGGTGTATCCATGGTGTATATGTACCACATTTTCTTTATCCAGTCTATTATTGATGGGCATTTGGGTTGATTCCATGTCTTTGCTACTGTAAAGAGTGTTGCATAAACATACATGTGCATGTGTCTTTACAGTAGAATGATTTAGAGTTCTTTGGGTATATGCCCAGTAATGGGATTACTGGGTCAAATGTTATCTCTGGTTGTAGATTTTTTTACATTCCCACCAACAGTGTAAAATCATGCCTATTTCTCCACAGTCTTGCCAGTATCTATTGTTTCTTGACTTTTTAATAATCGCCATTCTTACTGGAGTGAGGTGCTATCTCATTGTGGTTTTGATTTGCATTTCCCTAATGGTCAGTGATGTTGAGATTTTTTTCACGTTTGTTGGCCACATAAATGTCTTCTTTTGAGAAGTATCTGTTCATATCCTTTGCCCACTTTTTGATGGGGTTATTTGTCTTTTTCTTGTAAATTTGTTTAAGTTCCTTGTAGATTCTGGATATTAGACCTTTGTCAGATGGGTAGATTGCAAAACTTTTCTTCCATTTAAATGACTGAATGTTTCCAGGTGGGAATAATAAGATGTCAATACTCCTTTAGTTAACCTACAGGTGTGAAAAAAATCTAAATATTTTAAATCCCCAAAGAATTATTTTAGGATATCTTAGACATTCTAAAGCAGATCTGAAAGAATAATTGTAGAATAATAATAAAAGGTATTTTCCTACCAAATTGTAACTTTTTTGGCTTACTATTGCTGCCAAGCTAATCTATTACAAATGCTATCTTACTTAATTTTTCAAACAATTCTGTAAGGTTGGAATTTTTATTTCTCCTTTTACAGCTGAGGAAGCTTCAGGTCTTAAAGGGGCTGTGTATCTTGCCCAAGATTACACATTTAGTAAGTGACAGTATAGACGTTTGGACCCAAGTCTGTCAGCCCTCAAATACCTCTAGCAGTAATCCATGCTACATACACTCCCCAAGCATTCAAATGCTGCAGGAATTAAAACATTAGCCCCAAATACACATGTAGAGAATTGATTCAAAATCTGAGAAATGGATTGTAGAAATAGTCCATGAGGCAATCTCTAGGGAAATTACCTCTGCCCTTACTGGGGTGCCTTTTTCCCCCCTTAAACCTCAGTGCTTCTGGCCCTTCTTTTTCTGTTCTTCAAATATATCAATCTGGTTCTACCTCAGCGCCTTTATATTTACTCCTCCCTCTGCTTGGAACTACTTTACCCAAATTTTCCATAGCTGATGCCTCTTCCTCTACATCTTAAGTTAAATGTCGCCTCCTCAGAAAGATTTTTTAATCACCTATATAAAATAAGAAGTAAAATGCAAGAGATGAGAAATGAAATTTTCCCTCAGTGCCCCTCCACATTGCTCTTTATACCATTAATGTGTTTTCCCCCTCTTCATAACATTGATCACTCTCTGAAATTATTGCATTTATTCGTGTATTTAACTCTTAATCTTCTCTGCTTCACTCTGTTACAAGGAGGGTTCTGTGAAGGCAGTTCACCTTTATCTCTGGTATTTGCAATAGTGGCTGATACATAGTAGGACCTCTAAAATCTTTGCCAAATGGATGAGTAATCTAAAATGAATACATGAAATAGTAAATGAATAAATATATATTAAGGTTACTTCTTTGCATGGAAACTGGAGGCAGGAAGTAGTGAAAAGGGAGATTAAACTTTTCATTTCTTATTTTAATTTTTTTAAAATTGTATTTTTTAACTAAAAGTTTCTTTCTCGATCCAAACACTGAAATAAACTCCAGAAAGTTGGACTAAGTTTAGAGAGAGAAATCATAAAGGAAAAGCAAGGAGAAATTAGAAGATACTAGGTTAGTAAAATAATTATCTCATCTCTGAACTAGAAAACATTTCCTAATTATTAAAAATAAACCTTCTAAAAAAGAGAGAAAAGCACATAAATACGTAAAAACTACAATACACACACATAAAATGTTTAAAAGCTAATTAAAAAACTAAGAAAAATATTTTCAATTAATACAACAGATAGTTAATATTTTTAATTTACAAAGAAAAACAATACAATATACAAAAAATGGAGAAAGAACATTAGTGTAAAACTCACTGAAAAAGAAATGATTTAATGAATACATTTGTTTTAAACTTAAGCTAACTAGTAATTACATAAATGTAATTTAAAACAAGAAGTTGCAATTTTTCACCTATAGAATTTTTAATGAATACTCAAAAGACCAAGTGCAATGGTCTCAAGTCTAAATTGATCATTGCTTTTTATTGTTATTTGGAATGTGAATTGGTCCATCATTCCTAGAAAACAGTTTACCAATGTATGTTAAATCTGGAAAATATTTAATCCTCTTTACTCAGCAGTTCAACTTCTAGAAAAGTATATGAATAAATTAATGATGAATACATGAAAAGTTTCAAATTGATGATGTTCATTTCAATGTTTATATTAATAACAAAAATGTGAAGCAAGACAATAGAAATGCTGTAAGCACAGGAATGAGGGGAAAATACTATTTTGTATTTTGTTTATGCTTCACAATAACATGCAATTAATAAAAACATTTTGGAAGAATTCTTAATGATATTGGAAAATGTTAATGGCATATAATGTTAAGTAAAAAACGGCTGATTAGTAACTATATTTCGAGTACTGAGAAAAATAGAAATATATCCTGGAGAAAACACAACAAAATGTTTGCAGTTTTCATATATGGAAATATATATAAGTAAATTTGTTATGTATTATTTATTCTCTCTCTCTCTCTCTCTCTCTCTCTCTCTCTCTCTCTCTCTATATATATATATATATATATATATATATATATATATATATTCTTTTTTTTTTTTTTGAGACAGTCTCGCTCTGTCACCCAGGATGGAGTGCAGTGGTACAATCTCGGCTCACTGCAAGCTCTGCCTCCCGGGTTCACGCCATTCTCCTACCTCAGCCTCCCAAGTAACTGGGACTACAGTCACCTGCCACCAAGCCCGGCTAATTTTTTTGTATTTTTAGTAGAGACGGAGTTTCACCGTGTTAGCCAGGATGGTCTCAACCTCCTGACCGCGTGATCTGCCCGTCTCGGCCTCCCAAAGTGCTGGGATTACAGGCATGAGCACTGCGCCTGGCCTATACTTTTCTATATTATGTAATTTGCTTTAATATTACTTTTAATGCCCCCAAAAATATTCCACATCACAACATGAATGTTTTTATGAATAATTAGAAATATGAGTCACCTAAGATCTTTAAATACCATTACATGCATGGCCTCTCACTTTACAAGTCATTACTATTTTAAAGCTGACATTTCTCTTTGACAGTGAGAGTTTATTATATTTCAAACTTCAGGTGGCTCATAGTCATAAATATTATTTATTGTTATTTTATTGTAATTTTTAGGCAAATTAATGGAAGAACTCAGTGAATATTTTTTAGAACAATTTGAAAAAAAATGTTCCTGAACATTTTTAAACATTATTATGGAAATGTTCATTTAAACTCTTTTCCAACTTTGTTTATAAAACAATTATACTGCATGAAGACCAGAAAATAAATAGGCTTAAAACAAAAAAGAAAAACCAGCCTTCATTCAGTTCCCAACCTGAGAAGAATACAAAAAAATAAAATGACCTTAAAGAATGAAAATAAATTGGATTTCTAAAAGTATTTTAGTTTTAATAATCTACAATGTTAACGGTATCAGGGAAAATTAAAATACAAACTTTAATTTGTCAGTGCAACATTATTTTAATGGGTTTTCTTTGTTTTAGTGTAATGAACATAGAAATCACATTTTCGGGATTTTGCAAAGACTGAAAATCTGACCTGAAGCAGAGTTTTGCTCAGTGAATTACTTGCATCCTTTTAAATTATTTGATTCATGTAAGAATCAGTTTTAATTTATTAATAAGATAGATACCACAAATAAAACACTTACATTATGACCCCAGAATGTATTTATTTTGAATATTCTGTTTTCTATTGCTCTGAACCTTCTAAACCTTCATCAGATTAGTATTTGAATAAAAAATGACTTGCTGCCTTTATCATTTTGGATAATAATAACCTAACAATGTCTTTTCCCTGAGGAAAAGTGTCTGTATACTAAAACAACAATCTGATTAAAACATTTTATTTAAATTTTTTTTAATTTTGAATATAACAGAATAAATGATACATGCTTTAAAAAGTCATGCACTTTGAAAGTAGGAAGAATTCATGTAGTCCAATGTTCTGCTAAAATAAAAGTTGTGTCTAAAATATTCTCAAAAACTGTTTCTCCAACCCCAATGAGGTGATAAGTAATGAACCTTTAGGTGGCATGTTATGTCTTTCCAATCACGGGATTCATTTCACAAATTACTCCCCTTCCCAGCCTCTAAATATCATCCTAATGACCTTACAAAATAAGCCCCTCCAAAATGTGAACAAGACAACCTAATATTGTCTTGGCATGGCAACAGTGCTGTGCCAAGACATGCTAGAGTTAAATGCTAAACAAAAAAGCATGAGTAGTGATCTTTTAAAAAAATTTTTGATATTTCATTTATCATGGTTGTTTTGCATTGTTTTTAATTTTCAACTTATTTTTGACACATTTTATATTTATTATGTATAACATGAGGAATAATATATACATATTTCAAATATAGTAAAATATGTATACATTGTATAATAGCTAAATTTACCTAATCAACATATGCATACTTATTTTCTGTTGTGAAGACACTTAGAATCTACTCTTAGTGAAATTGCATTAAATATTACCCACCTTGAGTTTTCTGAGATTCTCTTGAATCTTACACCTGAGGGAAGTGCCTCACTCACCTCACCCTAGTTTCAGCTCTCAATGATAATTTCTGTTATGTTTCTAGCTAATTGTATTTGCTAAGTGAATCCCTAACATTATTCTGTTATTTCCTTTTATTAAAACAATCATGCCTATGGAAACACAATTCATTTCAGAAGATGAATGTAGCTCAAATAAGCTCAAGAGATGTAATTTACCAGGTGTTGGTGGCTGGCAGAGTTCCACCAAACTTGAGGATGAGGCAAAGCAGTGCGAATAATACAGCTTTTTGTTGCACTTTTCCCCTTTTTCATTATAGGAGAAGTAACTATGGGCAAAGCAGCTTCCTTTGGCCAAACCAAGTTCCTAAGGAAGACCTCAGCTCCCAGCCCTCAGCAGTCAAAACTCTTAGAAGCTGGGCTAGGGGAATATATGGTTCTAACACACTACAATACGCAATACAGTTCACCATTTGACCTGCTTGGAACGATGTGTTATTAAGTTAAACAATGTGATATCAAATTTGCTTCATCTAGAACACAGCTGTTCTGGGATTCTGATTGATCTCTTTTCATGGGGAAAATTAGAAGTGGAAGGTTAATAAAAAGAAACATTGCTGTAGCTAGTCTCGAGGTCACAACTAATGCTTATCATCTCTTCAATTTTCCACCCATTCCAGATTACAGTCACCCTCAGCCAGCATCTCTACTGGTCTAGGCATCGTGATTATGATGCACTGGAGTAAGATGATATAGACCTTTATCCCTGGTCATCTTGCCATTCTCATGCACTGGCTGCTGCACTTGTTCATTGATTATCAATATCGGACAAAGAAGTACCCAGAAAAGCTCCAAGAGATCACCTGGATACCAAGCATATTCCTCCCTGCCCAAATTGTGTAATAGCATCCCTAGCATATCTTGATGATCAGAATCAATTACCCCTGCCAGGTTAACTCCTTTCCTTGCCTGATTGTCTATTGGAAGAAGAAATCTGAAGGAGCAGGAGTCATCGCTTAAAGTTTAATGGGAGTCTCACTATGTCCCAAATTAGATGCATTTCCCCTCTATAAACAAGAATTTATAGACTAGAGAGTCTAGAATTATGGGAAGAAGAAGCACAAATTACCTAAGTGGGTCACTAAGGTGATGATAAGCAAGGTTATGCCAACTTCTGTCCCCTTTTTGGAGACCCATTTATTCTATTATTAGAGACACAGAACGATATACTGATATTTCTACATCCCAAAAAGTGTTACCCCAGTTTTGCAGAATCTAATGTCCAAGCTGGTTCTTCATCTGCACCTCCAACAGACTAATCAATTTCTCTCTTATTCCAGCAGCTTCTGAATGATGCACTATCATCTGGCCCAGTGACCCTCATGATTATGTACATATTGACATAGCAACTTTGCTGTAATGTGGGTCCCTTGATTCAGGGAGATGCTATGTGGGATCACATATTGGTGAATCAAGCACTATGAAATCCCTTGAATATTGGCACTGGCTAAGTCCTTGCAGGCAGGAAAGCCAAATCCGTATTGAAAATGTGAATCAATTCCAGTCAAGATGAATCACTGCATCTTCGAAGACAGAAGATGGCTAACATAATCAACTTCAGACCAAATGGCTGCTTGATCTCCACAAGGGATAGAACTATATCCAGTGTTGAATATTGATTTCTGTGGCTGTCAGATTGAATGCTCAACTGTGGTAATAACTGGGGTAGGGAGTTTGTGTCACTTGGGTGTTCTGGGAAGCAGAGGCTGAGGCAATGATAGGAGTACAAGAAGATTATTGTGTGGAAGGAAGGGGATAATGACTATGAAATATAAATTGAGGAAGGGATAATGACTGAAATGTAAACTGAGGGAGAAGCAGAATTGGGCAGGGAAAGGCCACAGAAAATAATACAGATTTGATACCTATGGAAGGAAAAAGAAGAGGAAGCAGGATTTTTCAAGGAGAGCTTCAGACCACAGTAGAAATTTGACAAAGTCTGGCCAATCTAATGGAGCTCCAGAATAAAGATCACCCAGAGAGGAGTCTATTCTTTTGATATTTATCCATACCCTAGTATCTTTTCACAGTCAATAACTGGCTGGGGGCATTGTGAAGGAGAAGCCTAACTTCAGCTTAAAAACTAAAGTAGATCTTTAAAGCACTCACAGCTAAAAGTTGTCAGCTAACTGCAGTCCTTGGAGCTAAATAGTAAATTCTTTCTGGATAGAAGATCCTAGCAGAGCATCTTTCTGGCAGCCACAGTCCTCTTTGCATCATGCAGACCCACTTCCCCATATTCATGAGCTCTTCGTTCAGACTTTGGAGGCCTTTACTCCTAAGGGGATATTCAGAAAAGGGATGTTAGGACAAACTACAGTTGTTTTCAAAATCACAACTGGTATTCATCATTTTTTTCCTCTAATAACAATTCCAAATTCCCTTCTTCCTCGTGTATTATCTCTATTTCTTGGTGGTTTAGTTAGTGTTATGACCCAGATATTCATTCAGGAAGTGTCAGAGATTTTTTTTGGAAACAGGCACATAAATATTCATATCCTTTCTGTGACACCTATTAGGTGTGAGATCATGAACAAGTGACATAAGTGCTGTGTAACTGCTTTGCCATCAATAAAATGTGAGAAAACTTGAAGGTAATTATGAGGATTACCTAAAATACCATTAAAAATGGATTAATACTGTTTCTGCCACAGAACAAGCACCCAATAAAATGCTTTGATTATGATTATTATGTCAGCCTTCTCAAAATATCTAGAAATTTAGGAGTTTTGCTCACTCATCAAAACAAAACAAAAATTAAAAGAAACAAAGCACTCTTCCCTAAAATCAGCATTAACAGAACACAAAAGTATTCCAAAAATTCCTCCCCCTAAAATGTAATACCCTTTTGGTAAATAGTTACTTTAAAAAATTATAGGAAGGAGGGAGGTGAAGCCATCTAGAAAGGAAAAAATTTTGCTTCATCATCCCCTTGGAATTCCTTTCATGCATTATCTGATCAGATTATGATTGCAAATCAGCTGTAAGAATTCACAGTTCTTTCTCCTCTGGCCTTGAGAGCAGAGCTCTACTTAGAACTCTATTTCTGAGCATTGAGAGGCTTCATTAATTTTCCATCCTCACACTCTTTGTCCTAAGACCCCGTAAGGGCGCCCACCTGTCTGTCTACTTAAACAGCTTTTATTCAGCAGAATTGGCAATTGCTGATTCCCTAATGGCCTCACTAAGTCATTGATCTGGTAAGTTTTCTTTTATATTTTTCAGAATAGCAAATAAAAGCCTCTTGTAGAGCAATCTCTTAAAATCTATCTACTTACTGACTCCCATAGATTACTCTGTCTTTCCTTGTACACCTACTGCTGAGGCACACCTGACTCTTAACTTCTTGTTTCTTCTGCCTGAAAAAAGGTAAAATTCCCCTTAATATAACTTGGTTTTCTATTCTAATATTGAAGTACAAATGTCTGTAATATAGAAAAGTCTTTATGCCATGAAAAATTCAGAAACTAATGGAATGTAGTACATCCTACAGTTTTTTTCTAGATTTTCCAGAGTCCACAGGCTTTTTTAATCTCTTGAGGTATGCTAGTTTCTTTAACAGCCTCAAGAAGGAAGGTGTTAAGAAAGGTAATGAAGGTGTTAAGAGTCCAGAAGATCATGAAGACCTTAAGGATGTCCTGAATGCTATTGTATTCTAAAACAGGATCATCCCCATTTCCTATACTATTACCCTTCCAACCCCAAGGTCCTTATACAAGTAATTTTGAACAGCATTCACAGGAAACAACAGCCAGAATTGTAAGGTGGCCCACTGCTACTGTTTGAATGTGTCCCTCACAATTTGTGTGTTGGAAATTAATCTTCAGAGGGCTCTGCCCTCACTAATAGATTAATGACTTTATCGTGGAAGTAGATTAGTTACCACAAAAGCAGATTCCCGATAAATGGATAAGTTTGGCTCTCTTCCACACACTCTCTCTTGTGTGCCCTCTTGCCCTTCTGCCTTCTGCCATGGGATGATGCAGCAAGAATGCCCTTGCCAGATGTGCGCTCCTCAACCTTAGACTTCCCAGTCTCCAGGACTGTAAGAAATAAATCTCAGTTCTTTATACAATTTCAGATATTCTGTTATAGCAATGCAAAATGGACTAAGACACCCAGCATGGTGGTTTCCCTAAATCTGTTCCAGTTTTAGCACTAAAAGTCTCACATCCTGGGAAAACCTTTGGTCCCAAGCAAACTAGAGCAGTCAGTCTCTCTGCATGAAGTCATTAGAAATATGGACCCTGGAGTCAAGAAGACCAGGAAGAAATTCTTAGCTCTATTTCTTACAAATTGTATCACCCTGGGTGTCTTAGTCCATTTTTTGCTGGTATAACAGAATACTAGAGGCTGGGTAATTTATAAAGAAGAAAAATTTATTTCTCACAATACTGGAGGCTGGAACATCCAAAGGCATAATGCTGGTGTCTGGAAAGAATCATCTCAAGGCAGAAGATGTAAGGTAGAAGCAGGTGCACCAGTCAGAGAGGCACCAGAGGCCAAGTTTGCTTTATATCAACCCAGTCTGTCAATAACTAACCTGCTCCCAAGATAAGAACATCAATTCATTCACGAGGACTCCACCATCATGATTTAATCACCTCTTATTAGGCCCCACCTTCCTGTTGCTTTGGGGATTAAGTTTCCAACACATGCAAACCATAACACCGGACAAGTAATTAAACCTCAATTAAGCCTCAGTGTCCTCAGCTGTAGTTAAGGGCACAAATACCTTTTTTACAACAGAATTTTTCCAAATAGTGACTGAGACGATAAATTTAAATTATTTAGCGTAGTTTTTTTAGGCACATTGTAAGTTATCAATAAATATCAGCTATTGTGATTGTTAGGGTTGAGTTACTTGGCATTGAGCATGTCTCTGGTATGTTCCTATAGCCTTTGATGGTGTTGATTAAAAGGGAACATTGTAAGCTTACTGATAACCATAGTGATATGTGGTCTTAGAATCAAGAACTTCTGCATTCCTTTGCAATTATTCTACTGAGAAATTAAATCCTTGGAACATTTTATGCAAGTGAATGCTGGAAAAATTTTCATGGGAAATGCCACTGGAAATGAAAGTTATCAAGGTAGTGGTTAAGACCGTGGCTCTGGAATCAAACAGAACTGGGTTTGTCTCTGGTTTTACCTTATAAATCGTGCCACCTGAGTCTGAGCTTCCTCATCAGCATAGTGGCTGTGTTCATACTGGTCTCCCAGGATTTTAGGGATTCTTAGTGAGATGGTGCTTGCAAATTGCTTTCCACACCACCTAGCCATTGAAATTGTTCTTTAAACACTATGAAATAATATAAGCTAACATTTATTAAGTACTCATTATGTGCTGTACACTATTTTAAAGGTTTTTATGTATCAACCAATTTAATATTAAAAATTACTATGTGAGATAGATAGTGCTACTTTCTGCATGTGATAAATTTGAAAACTGAAGACTAGAGAGATTAAGTACCATGACCTAGTTGCCCAACAGATGGACTGTGATTAAGGTACCAATCAAAACCATCAAAAATATAGTTAGATAGAATGAATATGATCTAGTACTTGATAGCACAGCAGGGGGACTACAGTCAACAATAATTTATTGTATTTTTAAATAACTAAAATAGTATAATTGGATTGCTTGTATCACAAAGAAAAGATAAATGCATGAGTTGATGGATACCCATTTACCCTCAATGTGACTATTATGCGTTACATGCCTGTATCAAAATAGCTTGCATATCCTATAAATATATACACCTACTATATTCCCACAAAAAGTAAAAATAAAAAATAAAAACCATCAGGCTCCTGAGCCCAAGCTATTAACCACCACACTGTTGTTAGAGTGTCCAGATAGTAGAGCACAGAAAGGTAAGAAGGTAAGGGAAAGACTCTTAAATATCTACCCTTGAGAAGTAGGAAGTAGGGACCTCAAAGGATGGAAATGTACTCATAATCACACCAGCCTTCCTAATCAAAAGACAAGTTTCCACTCACACAAAAATGTGAACCCATAGAAATTATTATTATATAGAAACACTAAGTTATGGCTTAATGTACATCTCTGAAAGACATAGCTTACTGGGAATATTAGTCTGTTTTCCTGCTGCTGATAAAGACATACCCAAAACTGTGTAACTTATAAGAAAAACAGGCTTAATTGACTCAGTTCTATGTGGGTGGGGAGGCCTCACAATCATGGCAGAAGGTAAAAGGCATGTCTTACATGGTGGCAGACAAGAGAGAAAAGGAGAGCCAAGTGAAAAGGGAAACCCCTTATAAAACCATCAGATCTCCTGAGACTTATTCACTACCCTGAGAACAGTATGGGGGAAACCAACTCCATGGTTCAATTATCTCCCACAGAATTGCTCTCACAACACATGAGAATTATGGGAGCTATAATTCAACATGAGATTTGGGTGGGGACACAGCCAAACCATATCGTTGGACTAGCAAAGGCAGAGCCATCTGATTTTAAAAAACTTCACATTTCTTTTATTCAGGCATATGAAATAGCAAACATTTTTTCTTGACTTAAAAGTTTATGTTGGGTTCCCAAAGAATTCGTCTTTTCAAAATTAGGTGACTTTATCATCACCATAAATCAATGACAGATAAATCAAAAACAGAAGAAAAATATAAAATTAAAGAAGTTGCTTTCAGATGTAAGAACAATTCCAGACCATTGGCTCTTGGCAACACCATCGACTTCAAAGGAACACATTGATTTTGGACTTCTGATTCTCATACAAAACAGTAATGAGAACAAGCCAGAAAAACTTCATTATACTATTTTTTACACCCACCAGATAGCCGAGGTCAAAGAGAACCTGAATGAATTAAACTCCAGAAAATGATGAACTCTTCTAGAAGAGAAGAAACTTGCACTGCTATCATCAAAATCACCTGCACTGGGGCAAGGAGCAACCAGCTAAATTTTAATGAACTTTCAATGGCTATATGTGGCCTGTATCGATTAATGGAAATCCTAAGGAGCCCAAGCCATTTGGAGTTTACACTCACTTATTAACTTTTTTTGAGTCTTTAGTGAATGCATGAATAGTTTTAATGCAACGAAATCTGAGAGAGTTGAGAGCGTGCCCCCATCCCCTAAGGCAAATAGGCCTTCTTCCACAAGTAAGGCTACATCTTGCTGAAGACTGAGGGTAGTAATGCAGGATTGCTAGAAGTCATGAAGCACTCCAAGCTGTCATGCAACACACTTGTAAAGGCCTTCAGAAAGCCGAGGAAATGTCAGTAGGACAGAAGATCTTCTAATGTTTGGAAAGTCAGAGATGGAGATGGAGGACAAGAATGCCCTAGCCTCTATAAAGTGGGCTTACAGACTTTAAAGAAGAAAGAGAGAGGGAGAGAGAGAAAGAGAGAGAGGGAGAGAGAGAGAGAGAGAGAGAAAATTTCACATCATTCAGAAAACTGGCACCTAAGTCGTAAAGCATAAAGAGTCTTGACATGCTAGAATCTCAATCCCTGATTAAGGAAAAGTCCTGATTCTCCAAAGTCTGAAACCAATTGTAAACTAAAACTAACTGGAGCTGCATCAAAGTCTACCCAAATCAAATACCTTTTAGATGAACTCAGCTCCCCACGCTTAACAGCCTGACAAAAGAAGAAACTGTCAACCTAAGGAAAGAAACTGCGACAAAATTAGTATAAGCAGAGAGTTTCTTTAGGCCAAGTTTGAAGACCATAAACCCAGAAGCTATGGGTTCAACTTGCCCTGAATGTATGCTTTGATTAGCAGCAGTTACAAGTCAGTTTTTAAAGGAAAAAAGAAAGGGCAGTTCTTAAGTTGACATAAGTTATTGGTTGGCTATACATCATTTTTTGTATCACAAATTCCAGGAACGTGAAGATAATGTGTGAAGGTCACATTGTGCAACTTGTGGTAACATTTTAGGTAATTTATCAGCTAGTCTGGAAACTACTTAGAAGGAAAGAAAAAACAAAATGCCTTTCTACAATTAAACCAGAACATGATGGGTGTGTTGGGGTAGGAGTGGTTTAGGAGAGCGACCAAAGTCTCTGCTCTTGTCTTTTTGGACCTGATAAATTTCCATGCCTAATATTCTTAAAACTACACTGAGCTGCCTTTTTTTCTCAGAACATAAGCTTTTCTAGGTATAAATATTTATTTCAGCCTCTATTTTATACATAATATCCAGCATATAATAAAAAGTATGTAACTCACAATAAGTATAAAAATCTGATTCACAGTAAAGAGAGGAGATACTCAAGAAGAGCAGACATAGAAATGGTCCCAGACGCAGAAGTTATAGAGTTTTCTTAAAAATATATATATTTCTTTTTATTATAAATTATCTATAATACCTAATTTATATTCAGAGAAGATCAAAATTAAGAAACAATAACATTAGAAAATACCAAATACCTAGAAGCAAATCTAACAGAAGGTGTGAAAAATGTTTATATTAAAAACTTAAAATATTGTGAGGAGTAATTAATGAAAACTTAAATAGATATTACATGCAAATGAAGTATAAGATTCAATAATGCTAATATGTTTATTTCACATCTTCAGGCTCAATGCAATACCCAAAATGTTCCAGACATTTTTTGGAGGGTACTGACACATTCATTTTGGAATTTATATGGAAATACAAATATCAAAACAATCTTGAACAAATTTGGAGGACCTTCTATATCTAATTACAAGCCTTACTGTAAAGTTACAATATTTAAGACACTATGGTAATAGCACCTGGAAAAATAAACATTAGGAAAATATAGAGTACAGAAATATTTGCGCATCTATATGGACAACTGATTTTTGATCAATTTACAAAGTCATTTCAATGGGGAAAGAAAAGCTTTTAAAGAAATTATGCTGGAACAATGGAAAATATTCAGGGAGGAATAAAAAATCATCTCAACTCCTACTTTGCTCCGTACTCAAAAATTCATTTAAGACAATGGCCCAGCATGGTAGCTCACACCTATAATCCCAGCACTTCGGGAGGCTGAGGCAGGAGGATCACTTAATCCCCAGAGTTTGAGACCAGCCTGGGCAACATGGCAATACCCTATCTCTACAAAAAATTAAGAAATTAACGACCAGGCACGGTGGCTCACGCCTGTAATCCCAGCACTTTGGGAGGCCGAGGTGGGCGGATCGCGAGGTCAGGAGATTGAGACCATCCTGGTAACACAGTGAAACCCCGTCTCTACTAAAAATACAAAAAATTAGCCGGGTGTGGTGGTGGCTGCCTGTAGTCCCAGCTACTAGGGAGGCTGAGGCGGGAGAATAGTGTGAACCCGGGAGGTGGAGCTTGCAGTGAGCCAAGATCTCACCACGGCACTCCAGCCTGGGCGACAGAGTGAGACTCTGTCTCAAAAAATATATAAATAAATAAATAAACAAATAAATTAGCTAGGCATGCTGGCATGCTCCTGTTGTCCCAGCTACTCAGGAAGCTGATGCAGGAGGATCACTGGAGCCTAGGGAGTCCAGGCTGCAGTAAATTGTGTTCATGCCACTGCACTCCAGCCTGAGTGACAGAGTAAAACCCTTTCTCAAAAAAAAAAAAAAAAAAAAAAAAAAAAAAAGCTAGAATTCTAAAGCTTATACAAGGAAACAAGAGAAGACCTTCATGACCTTAGACTAGGTATGTTACAGTTCTCCAGAAAGAACCAATTGTGTGTGTGTGTGTGTGTGTGTGTGTGTGTGTGTGTGTGTGTGTGTAAAGATTTATTATGAGAAATTGGCTTACATGATTATGGAGGCTCTCAGGTTCCAAGATCTTCAGGGTGAGTCAGCAAGCTGGAGATCCTGGAAGGCCAATGGTTTAGTTCCAGTGTGGAGGCAGGAAGCATTCTCTCTCACTTAGGAGAAGGTCAGCCTTTTGCTTTTATGGGAACTTTTGACTAATGGGATGAGGCCCAACCACATTAGGAAGGGTAATCTGTTCTACTCAGTCAGCCAATTTCAGCATCCAGAATAGTGTTACCCTTTGGACCTGTCAAGTTGACATATAAAATTAACCTTTTATTAGACATGACCTAAAAAGCCCTAACCACAAAAGAAACAAAATAATAATTTAGACTTCATCAAAATAAAAATATCCACTCATCAACAGACATTCTTAATGAGATAAATAAGTGGACCACAGAAAGGAAAAAAATTTGTCACACATATGTCTAACAAAGGAATTATATTCAGCATATATTTAAAAAATTCCTAAAACTGCAGCAAAAAACCCATATAAAAATGGCTCCCAAAAGTACATCACAAATAAAGATACACAAACATTTAATAAGCACATAAAAAGGTAGCTAACATCATTTGTCATGTAAAAATACAAGTCAAAACCACAATAATATGCTATTTAACATAAATTGTATAAAATAAAAACAATTGACAGTGCAAATGGGGCCCAAAATTATGAAACAACTAGAACCTTGTATTACATTATACTCTAACTGACAATGCATGATCACTTTGGAGAACTGTTTGGCAGTTTCTTCCCCCATGTAACCCAGTAGTTCTACTCCTAGGTTTGAGGGCATATGTTAACAAAAATATTACATAAGAAGGTTCACAGTAGCCTTATCTATCGTAGCCAAAGCCTAAAAGCAGCAGAAATGTCCATCAACAGGGCAATGGGCAAATGAATTGTGATATAGTCATATAAGTAATACGGTTCAGTTCATACATGTTATAGTTAATGTGACAGTTAATTTTATGTATTAATTTGAATGGACCAAGGGATACTCAGGTAGCTGGTAAAACATTCTTTCTGGGTGTGTCTGTGAGGGTGTTTCCAACAGTGATTAGCACTTAAATCAATAGATCTAGTGAAGAAGATCTACCCTCACCAACATGAGCAGGCATCATCTAATTCTCTGAGGGCCCAAATAGAACAAAAATGTGGAGGAAAGACAAATTTGTTCTCTGTCTCCTTGAGCTGAAACATCCACCTTCTGCCCTTGGACACTGGAGCTTCTGGTTCTGGAGTCTGCAGACTCCAGGGCTTAGAACTTTGGCTCCCCTGATTCTTTACACATGAATTATGTCACTGGCTTTTCTGGGTCTCCAGCTCACAGACAGCAGATGGTAGAACTCAGCCTCCATAATTGCATGAGTCAATTCCCATAATAAGTTTCTCTCTCTCTCTCTCTCTCCCCATATCTATCTATCTATCTATCTATCTATCTATAATTTTCCTTTGGTATCCTCCCACATACACCAAAATTTATAGATGGTCAGTCCCTGATATAAAATGGTATATATTTGTCTATAATCCATACACATTCTCCCGTATACTTTAAGTCATCTTACTTATAATATCTAATATAATAGAAATGTTATATAAGTAGTTGTCTTACTATATTGTTTGGAAATAAGGACAAGGAAAAAATTCTGTACATGTTCAGGCACATTATTTTTTGAATATTTCTACCCAAGATTGAGTGAATCCATGGATGTGATTGTATTCCTCAGGGTTCTCCAGAGACACAGAATCATGAGAGATATACACACACATGCACACACACATACACACATGTTAAGTGATTATACAATTGTGTTAAATGACATAGAGACACAAAAGAGAGTGTACTGTACAATTCGTAGTTTAAAATCAGACACAAGAAATCTATGGTGATAGAAATCAGAAAGCCCTTGCCTCTAGGGCATGGGAAGTGACTGGAAAGGGAACTGATATGGTTTTGCTGTGTCCCTACCCAAATCTCAGCTTGAATTGTAACTGGTACAATTCTCATGTGTCATGGGAGGAACCCAGTAGGAGGTAATTGAATCATGGGGGCAGGTCTTTCGTGTGCTGTTCTCATGATGGTGAATAAGTCTCAAGATATTCTTTTTTTTGAGATGGAGTCTCTCTCTGTCACCCAGGCAGGAGTGCAGTGACACGATCTTGGCTCACTGCCAGCTCTGCCTCCCAGGTTCACACCATTCTCCTGCCTCAGCCTCCCAGGTAGCCAGAACTACAGGCGCCCGCCATCATGCCTGGCTAATTTTTTGTATTTTTAGTAGAGACAGGGTTTCACTGTGTTCACAGGATGGTCTTGATCTCCTGACCTCGTGATCCACCCACCTCGGCCTCCCAAAGTTCTGGGATTACAGGTGTGAGCCACCATGCCCAGCTGAGATTTGATATTTTTATAAAGAGAGGTCCCCTGCACAACTTCTCTTTCTTTGCCTGACCATCCATGTAAGATGTGACTTGTTCCACCTTGCCTTCTGCCATCATCGTGAGGCCTTCCTAGCCATGTGGAACTGTAAGTCTATTAAACCTCTTTTTCTTCCCAGTCTCAGGTATGTCTTTAACTGCATCATGAAAATGGACTGATACAAGAACAAAGACACTTCCTGGGTTGATGAGAGGATTCTATGGTTGGTGGAAACATTAGGGACATAGTTTACAAAACTCATAGACATAAACCTTTAAGATATGTGAATTTCATCATATATGAATTATACTCCAACTAAATAAAAAGAAGAAAAAAATATTCTCTGACTCTAGAGATACTGGTCTTAAATCAAGATGCAATTAAGTTGATAGTGAATTATTTTGAGGATCTACATTTGTATTTTTGACATTATTTAAAGAAGAAAACCATAATTCTCATGTTTTTGTAAGGGTATTTTTTTCTGAAGAAAATTACTGAGGTTTTGTTGTTGTTGTTGTTTGAAAAAAAAATCTCTGAAGAAGCATCATCTATTTTACTAATGATGTTTATTTGAGAGAAGGTTGTTTTAGTGGACAAGACCAGGACAATTTTAGGAGGCTATCTATATGGGAATATAATGGTTTCTTTGAAAGTTCCTAGTTTTTATTTCACCATTAGGATTATTGCCAAATGATGTTTGCTGCATAAATTAGAGAAGAAGGAGAGCAGAGATAATTGTGTAATACCTACTAGCAATGGAAATTTTTCCATTATTTGTTCTTCTGGTTGCTGATGCAGGAAAAGCTAAAAGGGATATAGGAAGGGGAAAATAAAACCTGAAATGAACAAAAGTTACTGAGTTCCAAATGAAATAAATGCATTTTTTATATTGGGTCAAATGAAGTTAAATTACTTTAAAATTAAAAGCATATATGGAGGCTTATTAAAGTTTTAGAAGTACATAGTTCATATGATATGGTTGAGGCTATTTGGCATAAGTTATGTTCTTGTTGAAATCTGAAAAATTGAGTACTAATAAGAACTATCACATATGAAACCAGAGGAAGCAGTAAAAGATGAGATACTGTAAGATGTTAGACTGAATACATTCTGAGGTCAAATGGATAACTGGATAATTAAGAAAACAACCATGGGTTGTTTTGCTTCTCTAACAAGTTGACCCAAATTTAGAGGCTAGTTAGTTTTGTTTTGCTTCTCTAACAAGTTGACCCAAATTTAGAGGCTCAAAATATCATGAATTTATTATTTTATACTTCTGTAAGTCAAAGGTTCAATACTGGGTTAAAAATCAAGGTGTCAGTAGGGCTGCATTTCTTTTATTAGGCTAAAGGGAAAAATCTGTTTTCTTTCTTGCTCTATCTTCAAAAGGCTGCCCACATTCTTTGATTTGTGGTCCCTCCTCCATCTTCAAAACTACTAACGTTACATCTGTCCAACTATCCTTCCACGGTTACATGCCCCTCTGACAATAGCCCAGAGGGGGTTTGATGGTTCTAAACTTTTTAAGAACCCATGTGATTACATTAGTCCTACTTGGCCAATCCAGGAAAACCAATTCATCTCAAAGTCTTAATTAATTGCACCTGCAAAGTACATTTTGCCATGTAAACTAACGTATTCACAAGTTCCTGCAGTTAGACTGTGGACATCTTTTTCCCTACTGCACATTATAGCAGTAGGGAAAAAATTAAAGAAAACAACAATCTAGGAGACAAAATGATTATTTTTTCAACATTATTTTCTAATATGTTTATAGAGATTCTTCTATTGCTTAACACAAAATATTTAGAGTGCTCATGTCCATTTTACCTTTATAGAGCTGAAGAAAAGAAAATGCCTCATAACCTCAAAATTACTTTACTGTATCTTTAAGAAAAAAATCTTACTCTCAATAACATACTATAGAGGTCCTTAATAGCATGACCTTACAGTTATTGTATCTGTTAGCAAACACAGTCTCTGGTAATAAACAAGGAGTTCTAAAAGATCAGCAGATACATTTCTTTCTTAGCTGAATTAATTAATTTACAATGTGTGCAAAAAATAATGGTATCAGAATGAGATATTTATTTTTAGTTACCCATTTGATTTTGCTATAACTTGGGATTGCTATGAATGAATAGGAAGAAAGTAATTTTAATGGAAATTTTGGTAACATGAGGTTAGCTGCCTATTGGGATTGATATTGTGTGGTTTAAATCAAGATGCAGAAGTTATGAAGGTAGAGACCATAGGAAGTGATCTGCCTCGAACTTTTAACATAATGAAAAGTCATGTAGCTTTTCTCTTTAGGAAAAAAAATATTGGTTAAAAGAACTTGGATCATGACGGCTTATATGAAAATCCTTGTGAATATATAACTTCAAATTGGCTTTATTAAACATGATAACATATAGAAGGTAAAAAAAATAAAAATCACCAAGTGCATATTTCAGTTTTATAAAATGATAACTTAAGGTGTAAAAAATACTCAATAATATAGTCCTGAATTTCCAATACTTGGAAATTTTATTTCCTTTTATCAGTGTACATAAGCTTTTGCAGGCTACTGTCATTAATGTGCACTAAAATTGAGGATACATGATCTTGTTCTGTTTTTATCTTCATGGTTTATGAAATAATATTAAAAGCTTAGAATCTCTGCCACTACCATTTATAAACTCTTCATTGAGCATATATTGAGTTTTCTTAATGTGCTTGATGACCTTTAATATCCTGACTATATATTAACGGGTTCTCTGGTCCTTCAATGAAAAATTGCAAGGGCTGTGAGAGGGCACATAACAAACAAAATTATTATGTCCTTTTAGTTTGGTTATTTTAAACATCTGAAATCATTATTGTTATTAATTCAATTCTAAAAGAAGGACTTGAACATCTTTAAGAGCCTTTCTATCTCAAAAATGTGATTCTGCAGTTCAATCACTTTAAATTATTTTCTTTTGGAGGAAAGCAGAAACAGGAATCTCACAACACAGCCCTTCATCTTACTGATCTATTTTTTTTCTATACAACAAAATAAGGAAGAGAGTCAATTATCTAGGAACAAGTAGTCCCCTTCCTAGCAATAGGTTGTATTCCCAAAGTTCATTCACTGGTCAGTTGCATGCATTAGACTCAAGGAAGCTCAAAAGCAAAATTCATGACCCAGACAGTGACTCTCAGTCAGGAGGAGGAACATTTAGTCTTTTGGGGAAAAAGTCAAGTTCCCTTGCCAAAGGAATGTGGCATTTTAACAGGCAGGACTTTAGCAAACTGGGAAAAAGACAAGGCCAAAGTCGACCACTGCTGCCCCTGCCTGTTTCTGCAGGAATCACTGAGGTCTGACTCCTCGTCTCCTCCCACAATGTGATGCCTTGAGCATGACAGGAATGCCCGAGCAGCCTTTTCCTCATGACAGTGGTAGCTGGGGTCTAGCCAACTCATGGGAATTTCTCCAATAACGTATACATCAACTTGATACCTCCTCTCTTTCACTCCCAACTGGCTCAGTCAAATTTGGGACTTTTGCCTTGAACTGTCCTACAGTTTTTTGCATTATGCTAAGCACATGGGAGCAGCAATGTAGATACTTGTAGATCATTTTATTACCATCACCATGGATCATGGTGATGATTGTTAATAATTCCAGATGAAATATACCAATCAGATTATCATACATATATAATGTAAAGCCTTTAGGGGGATGTGAAAATATTTTCTATATAGTTCCATCAGAACATTTTAGTTCTGATGGAGCTACATAGAAAAAGGACTGGGATGGGCACGGTGACTCACACCTGTAATCCCAGCACTTTGGGAGGACAAGGTGGATCACCTGAGGTCAGGAGTTCAAGACCAGCCTGACCAACATGGTGAAACCCTGTCTCTACTGAAAAATTACAAAAATAATTAGCCGGGCATGGTGGCACACACCCGTAATCCCAGATATATGGGAGGCTGAGGCAGGAGAATCGCTTCAACCTGGGAGCCAGAGGTTGCAGTGAGCCAAGATCATGCCACTACACTCCAGCCTGGGCGAAAGAGTGAGACTCTGTCTCAAAAAGGATTGTGGTATATTACATACACTAGAAAGGGAGTGCATTTTAAAAATTCTAAATAATATCACTGTGTCAGGTTTTGCTTTCCACTCTCTGTGGTGTCTCTCGGCAGGTCCTCAGAGGTTAAGTGTGTCATTCAACCTGCTGTAGCCTCCCTAGACTGACCACTGTATTGCACCTCCACTGGCCAACTCCTGCAGTTCTGTTGGCCTTAGAGAGAGGATAATGCATTGGAGTGAGAGTCAAGTGTTTTTTATCACTTTATCTGAAGCACAGAACCAGCTTTTATGTTAAACCAGGGAATGACAAACTATAGCCTTCTAGCCCAACCACCTATTTTTATAGTTTTATTGGAACATAGACACACATGTTCATTTGCAAATTGTTTCTGGTTGCATTCATGCTACAATGGCAAAATTGAAGACTTGAGCCAGAGACCATGTTACCCAGAATGGTGAAAATATTTACTATCTTGCCTCGTATAGAAAACATTTGCCAACTTTTACCCTGAATCCACACAGCCACAGCACAGCCTACATAGTACCATAGTACCATACAAAGGTATGGAGAATGCAGTATGAGAGAGAAAGTTACTTATTACTGCTGTTTGATGAGACCACTCTCAGGGTACCCAGGCCAAATTTGGTCACGATTTCCCTATCCAAGAAGCTCTACTTATTTCCTCATTAATCTATTTGGAGCAGAGGGAAGCTTATGTACATTAATGTAGTATGCCTCAGAGTCCAGATCCAGATATTAAGTTGCCCATATTAAAGAAAAGTTTTCTCTCTTTCTCCTCTGTAGATCCTGAACCCTCAGTCCCTTGTTTCTGCTCAGGATCTATCCTTTTTCAGGATGATAAATTGGTAGTGGGAATATCCACATCCTAAAGGGAAATCTCCTGCCCAGAGGGATAAAGCCCTGCCCTATAACCCTAAAGAGTTATTGTACTCATTGTAGACTGTATCATTGTTCTCAATTATTTGCTGTCTTAGCTTCAGTGTCTTCCCATGGGAATAAGTTTTCCCAAGCAATTGACTTCAGGCTTGACCATATGACTTGCGCTGGCATAGTAGATCTGAAGTATTCTATATCCTAGCAGAAACTTTATGAGCCATCACATGGTTAAGTATTTCCACTTTTCCTTTTGCTTTGAGAAGATCATATTCCAAATGATGACTACTAATAAAGTCTTCATCTTGGCATGAAGAAGACACATGACAAACAGCCAAGTCACAGCTGCCTCAGCTAACACATAACATGAGTGATAAATAAACTTAGGTGTTACAAGCAACTGTGACTTTTCATTTCTGTGCTATTTGTTACTCAGCATAATAGTGATAGATGACTAATACTGAAATTGCTATCAGGAGTGTGGTGCTGACATATTTAAAAACTAAAATATGTAACATTAGAGATTCAATGCCAGAGATAGCAAGACTACGATCCCTCATGATAATTTAGCAAGCATTAAAGGAATGAAAGGAATGAAATGGTGGCTTTAGACCAGTATGGTTCTCTGCCAGAAACAATTTTGGCTCTCAAGCAAAATTTGATAATGTCTGGAGACATATTTGGTTGTCACAACTTGGAGAGGGAGTATTACCAACATCTAATAGGTAGAGGCCAAGGTACTGTTAAACATCTTACAAAGCATAAGATAGATTCCCACAAGAAAGAATTACTGATCCTAAAATGTAAGTAGTGTAAAAATTCAAAAATCTTGCCTTAGAGAAACAGATTAAAAATAGAATTATTAGTATATCATAGTCCCCCCTTATCCTCAGAGGATTTATTCAAAGTCCTCCAGAGGATGCTTGAAACTGTGGATAGTACTGGACTCTATATATACTGTTGTCTCCTTTACACACATACTGATGATAAGTTTTATAATTTAGGCACAGTAAGAGATTAACAACAATAATAATAACATCAAACAATTATAACAATATGCCAGCATCACTACTCTTGAACTTCAGGGCCATTTTTAAGTGAAATAAGGATTACTTGAACACAAACGCGGTGAAGCCATGACAGTGGATCTGATCATGGAGACAGCTAGGAAGTGACTAAGGGCAGGTGGCTTCTACAGCATGGATATGCTGGAGAAAAGGATGATTCACATCCCAGGAAGGATGGAGCAGGAAGTGAGATTTCATCTCGCTACTCACAACAACACAAAGGTCAAAACTTATTAATTGTTTATTTCTGTAATTTTCCCATTTCATATTTTTGGACCATGGTTGACCATGGGTAACTGAAGCTGCAGAAAGAAAAACCACAGATAAGGGTGGGTAGGGGGACTATTGTATTTGATTTCATTTGACATACAAAAAAAATGAATAAACCCCAAAGTGTTGGGAAATTTGCAAGCAGGTATGATGCTGAATATGTTAAATCTCAAATCAAGACTTCATGAGTTTTACCATTAATATCACAATATGATATCAGGAAAATCATCTAAACTGAGGTACACAAAGAACAGCTCACCATCTTTTTTAAATCCCTCTTACTGTCAAGGTCAAAATTCTTTTTGCAGTTCTCTTCATCTTAAGTCACCATCTCCTGTAAGCTACTGCTCTGCCAAAATACAATTATACAAGTACAAACTATGTTTTACCATACAAAGAACAATCCAAATCCACCCAGAGGAGGAAAACACAAAAAACAACATAGCTTGAACTGAACACACATAACAAGTTGCAGCACTATTCACAGTAACAAAGATATGGAATTAACCTAAACATCCATTGATACATGACTGGATAAAGAAAATATGGTATATGCATGCAACATAATACTATTTAGCCATAAAAATGAAATTGTTTCTTTTACAGTAACATGAATAGAATTGGAGGCAATTATCTTAAGTGAACAAACTCCAAAATAGAAAGACAAATACCACATGTCACTTACAACTGGGAGCTAAATAATGTGCACCCATGGGCATAGAGTGTGGACAGATAGAAACTTGAGACTCAAAAGGGTGATGAGAGTGGGAGAGGGGTGGGTGATGAGAAATTACTTCATGGGTACAACATACATTACTTGGGTGATGAGTATATTAAAAGCCTAGACTTTACCACTCCATGGTATATCTAACAAAATTCACTTGTACCTCTTAAATTTATACAAATAAAAATTGAATTATTCAAGAGAACTCTTAGCTGCTCTGTCTAAAAATGACCATATTTCTACAGTTTTCCTTAAGACCATATTTGTGATATTAAAGAAACAATCCAGATGGTCTTTCCAAAAGAAGCAAATAAACAAAAACAGTCTGCGCCGATGATGAATCGAAATATCTACCTTTATATAGGCATACATATGAAGAGAACTACTTTTATTTTTTCCAGTTTCTATCAAATTTTCAAAAATCAATTGTCTGGTCTTTGAAGCCTTATGCTGCAGCCAAAATAGCAGGGTTGAGAGTAGCAGTGGGGCAGTGGAGAGGGTGAGGATCAAAAAGTGTTCTATATCATGACTCATATTAAAGGATTATAAGCATAATCACTGGTGAGAGGAGCTGCTCCCAGGAGTGTGTTCTTTTCTGGAGAGGTGAGGGAACCCCACTGCAACAGCTTCAGTACTGAGACACTTTATTAATAATCATCTGAACTTCTGAGTCATAAACTTCTGAATCATAAACTTCCTTTCCAGTGAATTAGTTTTAAAAAAATACAGCCACAAGATCCCTTCCAAGATGGCTGAATAGGAGCAGGTCCAGTTGGCAGCTCCTAGAGTGATCAATGCAGAAGATGGGTGATTTCTGCATTTCCAACTGAGGTACCTGGTTCATCTCAGTGGGACTGGTTGGACAGTGGGTGCAGCCCATGGAGGATGAGCTGAAGCAGGGCAGGGTGTTGCCTCACCCGGGAAGTGCAAGGGGTTGGGCGATTTCCCTTTCCTAGCCAAGGGAAGCTGAGACAGACTGTACCTGGAAAAAATGGGACACTTCTGCCTGAATACTGCACTTTTCCCAAGGTTTTAGCAACTGGCAGACAAGGAGATTCTCTCCTGTGCCTGGCCCCACAGTCCCATGACCATGGAGGCTTGCTCACTGCTAGCACAGCAGTCTGAGATCAAACTGTGAGGCGGCAGCCTGGCTGGGGGAGGAATGTCCGCCATTGCTGAGGCTTGAGTAGGTTCAGGAAGCTCGAACTGGGCAGAGCCCACCACAGCTCAGCATGGCCTACTGCCTCTATAGACTCCATCTCAGTGGGCAGGGCATTGATGAACAAAAGGCAGCAGACAGCTTCTGCAGACTTAAACGTCCCTGTCTGATAGCTCTGAAGAGAGCAGTGATTCTCCCAGCACGGCGGTTGAGCTCTGAGAATGGACAGACTTCCTCCTCAAGTGGGTCCCTGACCCCCGTGTAGCCTAATCAGGAGACACCTCCCAGTAGGGGCTGACTGACACCTCATATAGGCGGATCCCCCTCTGGGACAAAGTTTCCAGAGGAAGCATCAGGCAGCAATGTTTGCTGTTCTGCAGCCTCTACTGGTGATACCCAAGAAAACAGGGTCTGGAGTGGACCTCCAGCAAACTCCAACAGACCTGCAGCTAAGAGAACTGACTGTTAGAAGGAAAACTAACAAACAGAAAGGAATAACAACAACTTCAACAAAAAGGACATCTACACCAAAACCCCATCTATAGGTCACCAACATCAAAGACCAAAGGTAGATAAAACCACAAACATGGGGAGAAACAAGAGCAGAAAAGCTGTAAATTCTAAAAACCAGAGCATATCTTCTCCTCCAAAAGATCGCAGATCCTCGCCAGCAATAGAACAAAGCTGGATGGATAATGACTTTGATTAGTTGACAGAAGGAGGCTTCAGAAGGTCAGTAATAACAAACTTTCTCAAACGCATTGCAAGGAAGCTAAAAACCTCGAAAAAATGTTAGATGAATGACTAACTAGAATAAACAGTGTAGAGAAGACCTTAAATGACGTGATGGAGCTGAAAACCATGGCACAAGAACTTCGTGATGCATGCAAAAGCTTCAATACTTTATTCGATCAAGTGGAAGAAAGGGTATCAGTGATTGAAGATCAAATTAATGAAATGAAGCAAGAAAACAAGGTTAGAGAAGAAAGAGTAAAAAGAAATGAACAAAGCCTCCATGAAATATGGGAGTATATGAAAAGACCAAATCTACGTTTGATAGATGTACCTGAAAGTGATGGGGAGAATGGAACCAAGTTAGAAAACACTCTTCAGGATATTAACCAGGAGAACTTCCCCAATCTAGCAAGGCAGGCCACCATTCAAGTTCAGGAAATACAGAGAACACCACAAAGAGTCTCCCTGAGAAGAGCAACTCCAAGAAAAATAATTGTCAGATTCACCAACATTGAAATGAAAGAAAAAATGTTAAGGGCAGTTAGAAAGAAAGGTCGGCTTACCCACAAAGGGAAGCCCATCAGACTAACAGCAGATCTCTCAGCAAGAACCCTACAAGCCAGAAGAGAGTGGGGACCAATATTCAACATTCTTAAAGAAAAGAATTTTCAATCCAGAATTTCATATTCTGCCAAGCTAAGCTTCATAAGTGAAGGAGAAATAAAATCCTTTACAGACAAGCAAATGCTGAGAGATTTTGTCACCACCAGGCCTGCCTTTCAAGAGCTTCTGAAGGAAGCACTAAACATGGAAAGAAATGACCAGTACCAGCCACTGCAAAAACATGCCAAATTGGAATGACCATCAATGCTATGAAGAAATTGCATCAATTAACGGGCAAAATAATCAGCGAACATCAAAATGAGCAGGATCAAATTCACACATAACAATATTAACCTTAAATGTAAACAGGCTAAATGCCCCAATTGAAAGACAAAGACTGGCAAATTGGATAAAGAGTCAAGATCCATGAGTGTGCTGTATTCAGAGGACCCATATCATGTGCAGAGAAACACATAGGCTCAAAATAAAGGGATGGAGGAAGATCTACCAAGCAAATGGAAAGCACAAAAAAGCAGGGGTTGCAATCCTAGTCTCTGATAAAATAGACTTTAAACCAACGAAGATCAAAAGAGACAATGAAGGCCATTACATAATGGTAAAGAGATCAATTCAACAAGAAGAGCTAACTATCCTAAATATATATGCACCCAATACAGGAGCACCCAGACTCATAAAACAAGTCCTTAGAGACCTACAAAGAGACTTAGACTCCCACACAATAATGGGAGACTTTAACACACTACTGTCAATATTAGACAGATTAATGACACAGAAGATTAACAAGGTTATCCAGGAATTGAACTCAGCTCTGCAACAAGCAGACCTAATAGACATCTACAGAATTCTCCACCCCAAATCAACAGAATATACATTCTTCTCAGCACCACATCACACTTATTCTAAAATTGACCACATAATTGGAAGTAAAACACTCCTCAGCAAATGTAAAAAAAACAGAAATCACAACAAACTGTCTCTCAGACCACAGTGCAATCAAATTAGAACTCAGGATTAAGAAACTCACTCAAAACTGCACAACTACATGGAAACTGAACAACCTGCTCCTGAATGACTACTGGGTAAATAACAAAATGAAGGCAGAAATAATGATGTTCTTTGAAACCAATGAGAACAAAGACACAACATACCAGAATCTCTGGGACACATTTAAAGCAGTGTGTAGAGGGAAATTTATAGCACTAAATGCCCACAAGAGAAAGCAGGAAAGATCTAAAATTGACACCCTAACATCACAATTGAAAGAACTAGAGAAGCAAGAGCAAACACATTCAAAAGCTAGCAGAAGGCAAGAAATAACTAAGATCAGAGCAGAACTGAAAGAGATAGAGACACAAAAAACCCTTCAAAAAATCAATGAATCCAGGAGGTGGTTTTTTGAAAAGATAAACAAAATTGATAGACTGCTAGAAAGACTAATAAAGAAGAAAAGAGAGAAGAATCAAATAGACAATAAAAATGATAAAGGGGATATCACCAACGATCCAACAGAAATACAAACTACCATCAGAGAATACTACAAACACCTCTACGCAAATAAACTAGAAAACCTAGAAGAAATGGAAAAATTCCTGGACACATGCACCCTCCCAAGACTAAACCAGGAAGAAGTTGAATCTCTGAATAGACCAATAACAGGCTCTGAAATTGCGGCGATAATGAACAGCCCACCAACCAAAAAAAGTCCAGGACCAGACAGATTCACAGCCGAATTCTACCAGAGGTACAAAAAGGAGTTGGTACCATTCCTTCTGAAACTATTCCCATCAATAGAAAAAGAGGGACTCTTCCCTAACTCATTTTATGAGGCCAGCATCATCCTGACACCAAAGCCTGGCAGAGACACAACAAAAAAAAGAGAATTTTAGACCAATATCCCTGATGAACATTGATGTGGAAATCCTCAATAAAATACTGGCAAACTGAATCCAGCAGCACATCAAAAAGCTTATCCACCACGATCAATTCAGCTTCATACCTGGGATGCAAGGCTGGTTCAACATATGCAAATCAATAAATGTAATCCATCACATAAACAGAACCAACAACAAAAACCACATGATTATCTCAATATATGCAGAAAAGGCCTTTGACAAAATTCAACAGCCCTTTATGCTAAAAACTCACAATAAGCTAGATATTGGTGGAACGTATCTCAAAATAATAAGAGCTATTTATGACAATCCCACAGCCAATATCATACTGAATGGGCAAAAACTGGAAGCATTCCCTTTGAAAACCAGCAGAAGACAAGGAAGCCCTCTCTCACCATTCCTATTCAACATAGTGTTGGAAGTTCTGGCCAAGGCAATCAGGCAAGAGAAAGAAATAAAGGGTATTTGATTAGGAAAAGAGGAAGTCAAATTATCCCTGTTTGCAGATGACATGATTGTGTATTTAGAAAACCCCATCATCTCAGCCCAAAATCTCCTTAAGCTGATAAGCAACTTCAGCAAAGTCTCAGGATAAAAAGTCAATGTGCAAAAATCACAAGCACTCCTATACACCAATAATAAACAGAGAGCCTAATCATGAGTGAACTCCCATTCACAATTGCTACAAAGAGAATAGAATACCTAAGAATCCAACTTAAAAGTGATGTGAAGGACCTCTTCAAGGAGAACTATGAACCACTGCTCAATAAAATAAAAGACGACACAAACAAATGGAAGAACATTCCATGCTCATGGACAGGAAGAATAAATATTGTGAAAATGGCCATACTGCCCAAGGTAATTTATAGATTCAATGCCATCCCCATGAAGCTACCAATGACTTTCTTCACAGAATTGGAAAAAACTACTTTAAAGTTCATATGGAACCAAAAAAGAGCCCTCATTGCCAAGTCAATCCTAAGCCAAAAGAACAAAGCTGGAGGCATCATGCTACCTGACTTCAAACTATACTACAAGGCTACAGTAACCAAAACAAGCATGATACTGGTACCAAAACAGAGATATAGACCATTGGAACAGAACAGAGTCCTCAGAAATAACACCACACATCTACAACCATCTGATCTTCAACAAACCTGACAAAAACAAGAAATGGGAAGGATTCCCTATTTAATAAATGGTTCTGGGAAAACTGGCTAGCCATATGTAGAAAGCTGAAACTGGATCCCTTCCTTACACCTTATACAAAAATTAATTCAAGATGGATTAAAGACTTAGATGTTACACCTAAAACCATAAAAACAATAGAAGAAAACCTAGGCGGTACCATTCAGGACATAGGCATCAGCAAGGACTTCATGACTAAAACACCAAAAGCAATGGCAACAAAAGCCAAAATAGACAAATGGGATCTAATTAAACTAAAGAGCTTCTGCACAGCAAAAGGAACTACCATCAGAGTGAACAGGCAACCTACAGAATGGGAGAAAATTTTTGCAGTCTACCCATCTGACAAAGGGCTAATATCCAGATCTACAAAGAATTCAAACAAATTTACAATAAAAAATAAACAACCCCATCAAAAAGTGGGCAAAGGATACAAAGAGACACTTCTCAAAACAAGACATTTATGCAGCCAAGAGACACATGAAACAATGCTCATCATCACTGGTCATCAGAGAAATGCAAATCAAAACCACAATGAGATACTATCTCACATCAATTTGAATGGCAAACATTAAAAAGTGAGGAAACAACAGATGCTGGAGAGGATGTGGAGAAATAGGAACACTTTTACACTGTTAGTGGGAGTGTAAATTAGTTCAACCATTGTGGAAGACAGTGTGGCAATTCCTAAAGGATCTAGAACAAGAAATACCATTTGACCCAGCAATCCCATTACTGGTTATATACCCAGAGGATTATAAATCATGCTACTATAAAGACACATGCACACATATGTTTATTGCAGCACTATTCGCAATAGCAAAGACCTGGAACCAACCAAATGTCCGTCAGTGATAGACTGGATTAAGAAAATGTGGCACATATACACCATGGAATACTATGCAGCCATAAAAAGGATGAGTTCATGTCCTTTGCAGGGACATGGATGAAGCTGGAAACCATCATTCTCAGCAAACTATCACAAAGACAAAAGCAAGCATCGCATGTTCTCACTCATAGGTGGGAAGTGAACAATGAGAACACTTGCATGGGGCAGGGAACATCACACACCGGGGCATATTGGGGGGTGGGGGGCTGCGGGAGGGATAGCATTAGGAGAAATACCTAATTTAAATGACTAGTTGATGGGTGCAGCAAACCAACATGGCACATGTATACCTATGTATCAAACCTGCACACTGTGCACTTGCACCCTAGAACTTAAAGATAAAAAAAAATACAGCCACATTTCATTGTGTGAAATTATTCAGAACTTCAAAACAAATATTTGTTTCCACAGTTCTACTGGTGCTTTGCAAGAGGCACCAGGAGCCTGTCTGTTTGGCCAGTTTTTCTTTTTTCTTTTTTTTTTTAAACTAGCCTGCCAAAATTGTAAGAACCACGACAGTGAGCCCAAGACACATGAGGCTAATGTGCTTAAGTGCTGCTATAATAAAAATTCTGTTCTCAAATAGCACCCCCTTTTATTCTAATGAAGAACACTTTCAAAATTAAGCACAACAAAACTTTTATTCCTATTATTGTTCTGAGCATTGGAAGTCTTCATTGAAGTCAAGTGACCCCAAAGAAGTAGAAAGTTCACAAGCATATGAATGTGAATGGAAAAGCAGAGGATAGACTTGGATATTTGGGGCAAGTTTTTACCCTCAGCTTTATGCAAATGTTAGAAATAACAAGAGCATATAGCACTAATTCCAGTCAAAATAGTTGAACCAACCAGTTTTAGCAATTTAACTTTACAAATATAAATAACCCATTACTTTTTTTTCTATACAATGGCAGCAATTAAAATTTTTAAATACAATAAAAATTAGTTTCTCATTGAAGGCAAACATAACTAGTAATAGTTTCATTGGGTTTTACTCAAGTATAGCACAATGTAGACTGGGAAATATATAATCAGAACTCTGTGAGTGGGGGGCATCCCTTAGAAAGACAAGGGACAATATGCAGAAAGTTGAAACTGGACCCCTTCCTTACATCGTATACAAAAATTAAGATGGATTAAAGACTTAAATGTAAAACCCAAAACTATTAAAACCCGAGAAGAAAATCTAGGCAATATCACTCAGGACATAGGAACAGCCAAAAATTTCAAAAACATCAAAAGCAATTGCAACAAAAGAAAAAATTGACAAATGGGATATAATTAAACTAAAGAGCTTCTGCACAGCAAAAGAAACTATCATCAGAGTGAACAGACAACCTACAGAATGGGAGAATATTTTGCAATCTCTCCATCTGACAAAGATCTAACATCCAGAATCTACAAGGAACTTAAACAAATTTACAAGTAAAACAATTTTACAAGTACAAACAACCCCATTAAAAAGCAGGCAAAGGACCTAAACAGACACTTTTCAACAGAAAACATTTATGCAGCCAACAAACATGAAAAAGAGCTTAGCATCACTGATTATTACAGAAATGCAATGAGATACCATCTCAGGCCAATCAGAATGGTGATTATTAAAAAGTCAAGAAACAACAGATGCTGGTAAGGCTGTGGAGAAATAGGCATGCTTTTACACTGTTGGTGGGAAAGTAAATTAGCTCAATCATTATGAAAGACAGTGTTGCCATTCCTCAAAGATTTAGAACGAGAAATACCATTTGACCCAGCAATCCCATTATTGGATATATACCCAAAGCAATATACATCATTGTATTATAAAGATTCATGCATACGTATGTTCATTGCAGCACTATTCACAATAGCAAAGACATGGAATCAACCCAAATGCCCATCAATGATAGACTAGATAAAGAAAATGTGGAACATAGACACCATGGAATACTATGCAGCCATGAAAAGGAATAAGATCACATCCTTTGCAGAGACATGGATGGAGTTGGAAGCCATTATCCTCAGCAAACTAACACAGGAAGAGAAAACCAAACACCACATGTTCTCACTTATAAGTGGGAGCTGAACAAGGAGAAGACATGGACAGAGGGAGGGGAACAACATAAAATGGGGCCTGTCAGTGGGGTGGAACAGAGAGAAGAGCATCTGGATAAATAGCTAATGCATGTGGGACTTACTATCTAGTTGATGTGTTGATGGGTGCAACAAACCACCATGGCACACGTTTACCTGTGTAACAAACCTGCACATCCTACATATATATCCCAGAACTTACTATTAAATTAAATTTAATTATATTTAAAGAAATTCAAGGGCAAGGTAAAAACAGAGGGTCCCCACTAGGAGACTCCATGACCACATGAAAGGCAAAAGCATGGTAGATCTAGGTCAGAGGCACTGGACACAGAACACTGATTGACCCAGAGTTCTTGGGCTGTGCATGCACCAGGGTAAAGGCTGAGGTTTAAAATGACAAGAACACATTTTACCATTGAACCAATAGTGGCTATAGGTACTAGGATAGCAGTATCCCTGAAAGTGATGAGACTTCAGGGCAGAGGGGCTCTTAGTCAACTGGCAAGGTTTGCAGCGTTGGAGATCAGGCTGCAGAAGCCCAGTGCTGCATGGCTCTGTGGCTCAGCTTGTGTGAGGCAGCTCAGAAATGCTGGACATCTGAGTCTACCCAGTAGTAGAAGGTGACCAGATGGCTGGAGGACTCAGGGCAGTGAACATTCTCCAAAGGAAAATACAGGCTTTAGGCAGTCATGGGTGTTTCAGCCTGGAATACTGAAGTATGGGCCAGATGCTCTGCTTGGTGGCTTCCAATATGCTTGATTGCAGTATTCCATAGAAATACTTCAGAAGATGGAGAATCCTTGGTAACCACAGTATCCTGGAGGGCTCACAGACTCCCAAGTCTCAATGTGGTACAAGGTCAAAAAACATTCTTGTTTATAACCTCAGCCCCCATCCTGGTGCATGCACAGCCCAAGAACTCTGAGTCAAGACATATTCTGTGCCCACTGCCTGTAACTCAGATCCACCACCCTTTTGCCTTTTTTTTTGTGGTTATGGAGTCTCCTAGTGGGGGCCGTCTATTCTCACCAGGCACCTGCCTTCCTAAGCGATGCCAACCTCAGAGAGTTCTGATGATTCATCTCTAAACCTACTTTATGCTATACTTGAGCAAAACTCAGTGTAGATATTAATAGTCATTTTTACCTTCAATGAGAAATTGATTTTTACTGTATTAGAAAATTTTAATTGCTGCCATCATATATAAAAATGTAATGGATTGTTTATACTGGAGAAGTTGAATTGCTAAAACTTGTTGATTAAATTGGGGGATTTGCCTAGTTTTCATATTCCAAACATGGCTTGTCTGAGGCCAGCTTCTGTTTCTGACAGTGTATCAGTATAGCATGAGCCACCCTCTAGATTCTCATGTCTTTAGAATACCTGAACACACAAGTGATACAGCCTTGAAGAGAGAAACAGTGTTGCATTTATATTTGCTGTGTGGAAATGCACCAGTTCATAGTAGTTAAGCCATAGCTACATAGTTACATCCTGAGATAATGCTTTGAGAATATTAACAATTTTTCCTGTTACTCTCTGACTTTGTTCTTTTGCCCCACTGTGCCTGCATCTCTCTCTCTCTCTCTGTCTCTCTCTCTCTCTCACACACACACACACACACACACACACACACACACACACACACACACACACCAAACAGCCCAACCTATAACTCAGAAGAGTAATGTGACAGAGTAGAAAACAGGAAAAATGAGTATGTTTCTGGCCTTGTTTTCAAAAGCATAAAACTCTTAGAAAAAAAAAATCAACTCAGAGGAATCTTAGTATAGACAGAGTATTTGACAGAAGATGATTAAGAAAAGCATGTATGCCTAGCCCCAGCCTCCTTTCCCAAATCAGGCTGATGGCAGAGAAGAGGAAAGCCACAAAAAAGATTGACACAGGGAGGTGCTGCCTGGTCAAGAATGCCAGTGCTTACAAAAATCCCGGTTTTCCCTCCTAAGCCTTGATCCCTGCTAGCTGACATTGCTCAGCTCTCTTTCAGTTTAAGTGGGTAGAAGTGATGTACACCACTTTTAAGATTAATTTCTATAAACCCCATGCTCTGTCTCTTCTCTAGAAGAGACCTTAGAAGATGGAGGAGCCACAAGATGGAAAGAGCCTGGACCATGAATCATACTGTGACTGAAAAGGTGCCCACCAAACACTCGATTGGAGCAGGAGGTAACCAGGACAAAAGCCAGTGGGGTTTGAGTTTATTTGTTGCATCTTTTCACCTCCCTTATTACTATATTGATGCCCACAATAGATTTGTGGACTCTGAGAATGGAAGAGACCTTCCCCATAGACAGCCTGGGAAAGATGGCAAGAAACCAGCAAATGAAGACATTCCTGTGGGCTGAAACAGACAGAGACATGGACAGTCTCACAGAGACTCCCAGAGCTTGATGTAGTCCCAATTCAGGCAATACAGGACACAAAGGCTGAATAAGGACAAATAGCACACAGAGTCAAGGCACCGGGTTTCTGTCCTTATGGCACACAGCTGCAGCCATGTTATGCTTTGCCTTGCCTCTGTAGACTGACTCTTGGCAACATGTGCTCCCTTTACACATACTTCCTTGTGGACCTGGGCTTGGTACAAAATTACTGAAGAGGGTTGCCAGACCAGAAGAGACCCAGCAGAAAGAAATATGCATAGGAACCACACATCTGGTTTGCCTGAGGTAGTCATGCCTTGTATTCATTGTCTTGGCATAGTTATTTCCAGTATCTCCTTTTATTCTGGAAAGTGTCTGCTTGAGATAATAAATCATATGATCTCCATAAAAACAAGAGTTGTTTACATGAATACATTTAGGGATATACAATATTAAGGATGAAGTGTCCCTCTCTGGCTGTATTCCAAGGCAAGCTTCCTGGAACTTAGATGCAGCCTAAGAAAAGGGGTACAAACCAACTAAAACTATATTTCTGCCACTGAGTGAAATGTAGGCTCAAAATAGAGATTGAATTTATTTATACAAAATTGTTGTATTTTTTTACATTTCTGAGTCTTAGCGAGATTTTTATCTGCTACCCACAAGTCTCTCTCACACACACACATACACACACACATAGTGTAGAATAGATCAGGCTTCAAATCCAAGTTCTTTTATTTACTATTAGGTTTCAGGTTTGTTTCTCAATCTCTCTGAGCCTAGGTTTCCCATCCTCATCTGTAAAATTAGGATCATAATCCCTGGTTTACATATATTATAAGCATTCAGTAAATTAACATGTTTAATATGTTTGAAAATATAGTTTTCTACTGCAATTTATACTTATCTGCATGTGCTTATATATGACAAAATACTTCAATATTAAGAGAAATTTGCCCAGGCTTATCCACCTTCCTATGCTGGTAATATTGAGTATGTAGATTACATGACAGATGTTCCTTTGCTCCCTTCCCACTCATATGTACCCTCTTTGTTGACACCTATATTCAAACTTTAAAATATATCTGAAACACAGCCAGCAGCCATACCCATGCCAAAGCTAAGATTTCCGAATATTCATAGAGAAACAAAAGACAAAGTCACCTGGAGACCACTGGTGTCAGCCAGGCTGGCTGCAGGACCACCCCTACATGAATACTGCTTGCACCAATCTCAGGACTCTCAATTATCACTGTTTCTTCTGCCCAGCATGCATGTCCCTATGCAGCACAGCAAGCCCCATTCACAGACCTGCTCCAGAAAGTGGGGCTGTTTCTTGAGGCTCCAGCCTTTTCCAAATCTCACCCAAATGGCTTAACTTAGCCCTCCCCATCTCTCTGTATCATTTCTAATGCCCATTTCTTAACAAAATAACACAATCACATAACAGTAGACATGCTGTTGTGAATCTGCAGCTGTGAACAGACACCAGGGCAATCATGTCCAGGAGTGCAAAGTAGAAATACAGGAGGGTGACACTGGATTTATGCCAGGCTCTGTACAAAACACTTTCCATTCACCATATCTTATAAGCCTCGCAACAACTCTACAAGGCAGCAGTTATTACCATGATCATGTCATGGGTGATGAAGTTGAGGCTTTAAAGGGTAAGCACCTTGCTCAAGCACCCATAGTATTAGAATAGATAATATTCATCAAGGATGTACCAAAAGCCAGAAACCATTTAAAATTTTGTGCATATATTATCTCATTTAATTCTCATAACAAGTTGTGAGATAATTCTAATGTGTTACACATTTTACAAATGAGAAAAGTGAGTTACACAAAGTGAATTGAATTTTTCCAAGGTCATCAGTAACTAGTAGTGAGGCTGGAGTTTGAACTCAAGCAATCTGGCTCCAGAATGTGCACTCTTAACCACTTTATTATGACTAACAACTAGTTAAATCTTCTGGATTCCAAAAGCCAACCTCTTAATCTTATGCTCACATCAGATATTCAAGGGTCATTAACTCTTGTGGATAACAAATGGATCATTTTATGTAAGAAATCCGAGATCAGAAGGGATAATTGGTTCAGGATTCTTGAGCAAGGTCTTAGGAGAACTTCTTACAGTACTGTTCATTGTGAGGGAAACTTCCAGTGAAGTGATAGCAATGTGCACATCTCTAAGGACTTATGTAAGCCTTCTGAAATAACTTGACACTTTGGGCTCAACTGAAATTTCCAATCCAGAATGTGCTAGGTTTCCTTCAGCATGGATACACAGGAATGCATTCAAATTCAATCTGTTACTCTCCTGGTCTTCTAGCATAGATACAAAGTAGGATAAAGATTAAATAACTGAAAAAATTCCCCAATTATCCAAGCACACAGCATATTTTATTGGGAAAAAAGGATATAGAAAGGTAATATAGCATTATTATGTAATGTTAAAGACCACAATCCCAAATAAAACTTCCAAGGTTTAAAGCTCAGCTCTGCCATTTACTAGCTTGGTGGTTTTGGGCAAAAAATTTAACATCTATATTGCCTTCTTTTTTTCATCTTTATAGTGGGATGGTAATAGAATTTACTACCCAAGATTGTTTTGAACATTAAATGAGTTAATATATGAATAGCACATGGTAAATTATATTTTAAGTGTTTGTTACTATAATTACCAGAGCTTTTATGTGTTAGGGAGCTGAGAAGCTATCACTCAGTTTGCTAATTCTTTACTCCTTTTATCCAATTGGTTTCCCAGTTTTGTAGAATAGACCTTCAAAATATCTACTGTCTCTTCCATTCAATTCCCCCTATCAATCTTCTGTATTTCATTACTTCTGTATCCTTAAACTCACCTAAAACTATACTTTTAAAGTCAAAAGTGTAGGCTGTGAGCTCAGTGGTATTATCAGCCTCATTAAAATGTTAAGTTATCTTCTCACTTCCAGGTCAATTAATTTTGGTAATCTAAGGAAATGAGTAACTTGTGGGAAATTTTAGAGTGAACAATAATTTGAAAATTAGACAGCTAATATGTTGGTATATTTTTTCAGACTAGTGAAGGGCAAAAACTGGAAAGATATAAAATTTGCAAATTAGAATTAACATTGTCCATATTTGACATATTTTAGAGTCTTCATTCATCACCACATTTTTAGTTTTATGCTAGAAGATGTTCATACTGTACAGTTTTCTAAATTTCAGTTCCTAGGCACTTTGTAGTAACATAGTTAATATAGCTTAATAATTTGGTAAACCTAACCAATAATATTATAATTGTGAAAACATAAAATTCAGACTCAAATCTTTTATATTTATTGCTTTTTAATTAATAATATGTCTAAACTTTTATATAAGAAAATTAATATCTTGTATTCAACCATGTAGTTATATATTTTATTTAAAAATATTTACATATATAAAACATTCAAAGGACAACATATTTATAGAAAAATCAAGTTTTTACTTATATTATTAATTATATAAGTAGCTAATTATTTTTCAAATGGCTAAGATAACTCTCTCCAATAAAAGCCTATGCGAGAATAAGTAATCTTCTATTTATAACATTTTTTATCAAAATCATTGTTACTAATAATGATAGCATACAAGTGCAAATTGTTTTATAATTAACAATGTTTTTTAATTTTAACTTTCTACTAGAAAATGTCCCATTAGTTCAGCATTTCATTTATCTGTTAATATGCCAACTGTTATGAAATTTTCAGTAATTCACAATCCAATGACTCAATAGCTCTTCAATAACAGTCTTGTATAACAAGCTGGTAAAATTATGCTTATTATAGAAATAATAGAGTTGTATCTAAAACCTTCCATATTGCTTCAGCTTTTCAGTTCTTAAGGGAATTAGAATGATTAGACTCTATTTCTAGCAGAATTCCATTTGGGAATAAGGATGATTTAAAAGAAGGGAATAAACCTGGTTATTAAAAGAAACTCAAATAGATTTGAATACAGTAATATGCTTTCATGTCCCTTTCCAACTCTAGTGAAATTTTATCGTAAAATATATGAGTCATTAGCCAGTTGGAAAGCCAGTAGAAATATAAACATAAGATATGAGTATGCTTAAGGTAAATTCAACATTGCAGAAATATGTGGAGAATAAAATCAAACTTGAATCCAGATAGCGTAGACTTTTTGTTGTGAGATCAGGAAATAACAATATTCTTATGGCTTGATTCACTTCTCTCTTTTTTTTTCTTTTAAGACAGAGTCTCACTCTGTTGCCCAGGCTGGAGTGCAGTGACCTGATCTTAGCTCACTGCAACCTCCGCCTCCCAGGTTCAAGCAATTCTGGTGTCTCAGCCTCCTGAGGTAGCTGGGGTTACAGGCATGTGTCACTATGCCTGGCTAATTTTTTTTTTTTTCTTGAGGTGGAGTCTCGCTCTGTCATGCAGGCTGAGTGCAGTGGTGCAATCTCAGCTCACTGCACCCTCTGCCTCCCTGGTTCAAACAATTCTCTGCCTCAGCCTTCCGAGTAGCGGGATTACAGGTGCCCACCACCACACCTGGCTAATTTTTGAATTTTTAGTAGAGTCAGGGTTTCACCATGTTGGCAAAGCTGGCCTTGAACTCCTGACCTCAACTGATCCGCCCACCTTGGCCTCCCAAAGTTCTGGGATTACAGGGGTGAGCCACCGCAACTGGCCTGATTCCTTTCTTTATTTCAGGTTGTTGCATTACCATGCCTTTTTGTGTCAACTTTTGAGAACAAAAAAATGTTCAAATCTACCTGAAAATTTGTGAAGAACTTGATACTGGTAATCTTCCAGTTTCTGATTTTTCTATCTACAGCCAAAGGAGCAGACAGTGGATAGGACAGACATTATCTGAAAACCTGTTCTCTGTCATACTGTTTCAGGCAATGCAGTTAGGAGATCCTTTCCTGTACACGCAAGTATACAAGGGAAGCAAAAGGGGCAGATTCTGGTGAATGTGATCTGATTTGGATCACCAACATCAAACCATTGGGCCAAGTATCAGTGGCTGGCCAGCCAGCCACTGTTGACCACTTCAGAGCTTTGCAGGGATCACAGGGTAAGCCACAAGCAACAGAGCAAAACAATGGTTCACCAAACTGTAGAGGGCATGGAGTTTTGCCCAGCCCCATATTCAGCAATACCCCATTTAGAGTTCAGCATCTTAGAATATGCTCAGTTATACATGAAATATGAGCAACAATTTTTTAAAGTGTGATTTTAAAATAATCAGTATAAATAAGACTGTATTTATATTCTCAAAGTGTCAGGTTTAGTTGAGTTATTATTGTCTACCATAAATTAATATTAAGATCAGTTAAAAATCCCTTGTATAATGAGGTAGAGCAAAGATAAAATAAAAGTAGGACCAAAGATGGAGGACAGGAAGATGGAGGGAAGAAAGAAGAAATTATAAATTAAATTACATTTATTGGATTATTTGCTTCTTTATGTTTTGTTTTGTCTTTAAAAATACAACTAAATAGTAGCAAGGCAACTCATTAATTCAGCTAATCAATATGTTGAATATAGGCCAGGAGCGGTGGCTCATGCCTGAATACCAGCATGGGAGGCCGAGGTAGGCAGATTACTTGAGGTCAGGAGTTAACCAGCCTGGCCAACACGGTGGAACCCCATCTCTACTAAAAATACAAAAATCAACTGGGTGTAGTGGCAGGTACCTGTAATCCCAGCTACTTGGGAGGCTGAGGCAGGAAAATCACTTCAACCTGGGAGGGGGAGCTTGCAGTGAGCTGAGATAGTGCCACTGCACTCCAGCCTGGGTAACAGATCGAGACTCCATCTCAGAATATGTGTGTGTGTGTGTGTGTGTGTGTGTGTGTGTGTGTGTGTGTAATATAGAGAACAATATATCTATATCAAGCAAAAGGGTGTTGTCAGAATATTATATTTTTAGTGTCTGTCAGTACCAGGCGTATCAGGCGTATGGAACCAAAATGCCTTTTTATGTCTCTCAAACTCCTTTAATTGCAGCGTTTGTTGTTGTTGTTGGGCTTTTGTATTTGTTTATCTCCTCTATTTAAGGTTTTAAGAATATGTGTTTTTAGTGTAAGAGTAAAACTCTTCAGTAATATATCATCTCAAATTTAAGTGAAAAATGCTCTCCTGTTCTCCATTATTTATACAAGCTTATCTTATAATTTAATCCGAATACAAATGTATGCTAATACATAGATGCAGCATGAATCCATTCATTAATGTGTGTTTTATGGACATTGATGGAATCTTACTAACATTATTTTACCTCTTGGTATAAACATTGCACCCAAGGAAGTACATTTTCCAATTATCTGTACAATTATCTTGTTAGCTGGTATGTACATCCTTATTATTTTTGTTACTGTGAAGACTTTGCTAAGCCCTTTAAAATTATCTTTCAGTTTTCAGTTACTCCTAACAAAACTCTTGTGGCAGAATTTTGTTATGTCTAATGCAGATGAAGAAAGTGATGCATAAATTGTTTTCCTGAGATTTAATCATTTATATCATACCAAATCTTATCCACTATAGTATCAGCTAATTTCTGATTAATAACAGTTTGAGGGTGACCACATGTCATTTCTGTTTATGACAACTTTGAGTTGGTTATCTCAGTCCTTTTCTTAGCAGACTTGTATCTAGCAGCCAGTACAGCATAACACTTGATCCTAATTGATAGCCAAGTGAATAGCCTCAACAAAGAGGCCTATAATTAAGAAGCCACAAGACTGAAAATGATGAATTCCTTCCTTACCTCCCACTATGCTTCATCTAGAACAGGACTGAAATATATATTGTGACAGGAAGCCTGAAATCCTATGACAGTAACACAGAAGCCATCTATTTCTGTTCCAGCCAACCAAGACTTTTAGCCAGTATTACATCCACTTACAGTGGACAAATTAATAATTATTGAAAATGTCTTAAAGTGTGGAGAACATAATAGGTACTTATTAATGGACTAGAAGTTCTATTTAAGTATCATATGTGGACTCTTCTTACATATCAAATGAGTTTCCAACAAGCTTGTATAAAAGATTACGTAGCCTTATGTACAAAAAGCAGCAAAAACAAAATCTTCACATATATAATCTTCTAAGTAACATAATAGGAATACCACAAGGCGAGAACTGGTCAGAACTGCTCACAAATAACTGAACAACTGGTGCCTTTAAATCTCTCAAGGACAAAAATTAAACTTTCCTGAATGGGATGATAAAGGCAGTGTGATTTATCTAAGGTGCATATGTGGTCTATCAAATCTTCTCAATGGAGAAATACTGTTTTAATTTCTTATAAAGTCACTGTCATCCAGAACCTTACTACTTGAAGTTTAACATGGTTTTTCTTTTTTGTTTTCAAATTCCAAATTGGATAAATATGTTATTCTCTCCCCCTCATAGAATCCTTGGTAAGGGATACATGGTCAAAGTTAGAAAACTTACAGGAAACGAAGACAAAGTGTTTGAAATAAGCATCTAACAAATGCAGCCCTTAGGAAGGAAGTGTGAGAAAGATAAAATTCAATCTTTCTGGATTGAGCTGTCAGGAAGAAGTCACTGAAAAATAGAGAATTCTAATTGAAAGAGACATCCAGGTGATATTTCTTTTCAAATGCATACATTCCTCAGTCTATGTGGTAATTAGAACACTTGAAAGTCTTTACTATAAAAGTATCTCATATGGCCTGGCCATGATTTCCCTCTCTAAGATAATGCATTACATTTCTTTGTATTTTACTTTTCATTTTTTTATCTGCTACTCTTCAAGGATGATTATAGGTATATTTTTCCCCTAATTGTTCACCTAAAGTGAAGGATTAGTGAAACCCCGTCTCTACTAAAAAATACAAAAAATTGGCCTGGCGTGGTGGTGGGCCCCTGTAGTCCCAGCTACTCAGGAGGCTGAGGTAGGAGAATGGCATGATCCCGGGAAGCGGAGCTTGCAGTGAGCTGAAATCACACCACTGCACTCCAGCGTGGGCAACAGAGTGAGACTCCATCTCAAAAAAAATAAATAAATAAAATAAAATAAAATGATGTGTTCTGATCATAGTCTTATTAAAATCTACTGACCATAAACTATAAATTGTGTAGTCTTATAAATGTTATTTATATCTATACAATTCCTACCATCACTCTTTAAAAATAGCATTTGTCAAAAAACATTTTATTAAATGAACAATGGGGCCATATGGATACCATATAGGAAAACGCAATTAAGAATAATTAATTTTAAGCAGTTTTCATAATAGATGTCTGAAAACATACTACACATGTTCCCTGGTATTTAGCATTGTTTTAGAAAAATGCTTTGCATCTTCTCACTAATGCTTTTGTTTTAGAGCATCTTGTAGTCTCCCCATTAATCTGAATGACCTCAACAAAAACAGAGCAAGGCTGTTTTGGCAGAAAGACAAAGGACACTTTCCCCTCAGCTTATAACAAATTGCTTTCATTAAGTACAAATGGTCTTGGAGTATTATTCTACTTGAGTCTCCGCCTAGTGACAAGCCTAAAGGGGAGACCCAATGTTGATTGTAAACAATTAGAATGCATCTCAGAAAGTAGAATGTCCTCCTATAGTTTAAAAACATCCTATTCTAGGAGCATGAGGTGGGCCACATCCAACCATAAAACACCAATTTGTCACGACTTTGAATAGTTATGTCATTTCAGGCTTTATTTATGATTAAGAAAATCAAATTAAGATGGACTATATAGTAGCAGAAATTTATTGGATATACTATGTTTATTATTAGAAATATTGAGTTTCTGGTGTTGCAGTTAGGAATTAATTCTTTATAGATATCTTAAAAGAAGCCTCTAGTTCACTTATTTCAAGGTCTTTCTACACCATCTAGAACTGGATCTTTAGGGAAATAGTCATTTCAAATATCTTTTTTAAAATTCTTGCAAATATTAAAGTATGTAACAGAAAACAAAAATAAAACAAATTTTAGGTTAAGTACAAAATAATGTAGAGGGGAGTCATAACATAATAGAAAAATAATATTCTGTGTTTATGGTTTCAGCTGATTTTTTGGAATCACTATTTTTTTTTCTTATAAACTTCTGGTCAGTGAGGCTTTTAAAAAGACTACAATTTATAGACATTTCATAATATGACCTTTAGTTCTTTTCTATTTTTAAAGCATGTTTGATTTTGACATTATTTAGAGTTAGTATTTAATACTTGAAAAATAGGTTCTAAGCATGCATGTCAACTACTCTTCATAATGCTATTTTATTACTTCGATTACTGCATTTCATCTTCACTATGCATTTATAAATCTCAGTTTTCAGTTTACTAAAACTCAGCATTTTAAACTGAATCAGATTTCTAGCTGCAAATGATGTTTTTAAAAGGAAGATTAAAAACCAGCTAAGCTGGAGCACTTCAAAATCTCATTGGTCTTGCCCTAAGCAAGAAGTTGAGGAGAGAAGAGGGAGCCATAAGATGTACATTTCATGTTTGAATAAGGGATTGATTTAGAGAAGAACTCCAGGCTAACTGAGACAGAAGATTGTAATTTTCTATTCTTCCAATGCTCTGTCAATAAAAGAACATTAGAGATTCTCTCCTCTAAAGAAGCAGTTTATATTTGGGGTTCATCATTGCCATCAAAAAACATTTTTTGCTATTCACACAGCAGTTTCTCCACAGGAAGCAGTATGGATTGCATTGAGTATGAGAAGGAATCATGGAAAAGTCACCATTATTTAATAAATTCTTACAGCATTAGGAGGTAGGTGATAAATAGTATCTTTTCCTTCACCTCTGCAGCTTCATCCACACATGTCAAGAGGAAACAAATAGATACATACATAAACCCTTTTAAAAATCAAGTAAAACCGAAGCAAAAAAAAAAAAAAACCCATAGGTGACTCTATTAAAATGCTATAGATAAATTAATACTCTTCATTTATATTGCCTATGCATATGATCACCCTTTTATTCCTTAAGTTATTTACTTTAGTCTTACAAATATTTTAGGAGTGCCTATTATGTGCAATCATTGAGATGCAAAAATCAAAGTTTTAATTGAAAAAAAGAATCAGGATTTATCTTCAATGGCCAATACATTTTAGGTTTAAGCAAAGCATAGACCTCAGTGTCCTGAAAGCAAGACAGCTGTTCCTCCTGGGGCTGTAATTCTTGGTTCACATTTGACAGCTCATGATCCAAGCTGGCTTTGTCCGTGGAAGCAGGGCCCCTCATTTGGAAAGGAAGTCCTTTTCTCTGAAACTTGTTTTTTTTTTTTTTTTTAATTATACTTTAAGTTTTAGGGTACATGTGCACAATGTGCAGGTTAGTTACATATGTATACATGTGTCATGCTGGTGTGCTGCACACATTAACTCGTCATTTAGCATTAGGTATATCTCCTAATGCTATCCCTTCCCCCTCCCCCCACCCCACAACAGTCCCCAGAGTGTGATGCTCCCCTTCCTGTGTCCACGTGTTCTCATTGTTCAATTCCCACCTATGAGTGAGAACATGCGGTGTTTGGTTTTTTGTCCTTGCGATAGTTTACTGAGAATGATGATTTCCAATTTCATCCATGTCCCTACAAAGGACATGAACTCATCATTTTTTATGGCTGCATAGTATTCCATGGTGTACATGTGCCACATTTTTGGAACCAACCCAAATGTCTGAAATTTGTTTAATGACATTTTCGTATTTCTCTCTCTGATTTGCAGTGATTGATTCTGACTATATGGTAAGCTCTGAAAAATCTACATATATTCTGATTCTGCTTGATTCTATATTGAACCTTGACATAGTACCCCATTCTCTTTCTCTGCCTTGGTTCTTTGGATGTGGTCAAAACGTGTTCAAGCTGAAGCAGACATTTTATCTTGCTTCTTTTTCCACCTGTCAGAGTATTTACAATGGTTAATAAAATGGACTATTATGTCACATATTATCAGAAGTTACCAACCATGTCACCGAATGTATTAACCAATGTTATCATGCATTTCAAAATATTAATCACAAGGGATGCTTCTAGATGTAACATAGAAAAAGTTTTATAAGTCAAAGGAATTTGTTAAAAAAAAAGTGAAGTAAGCATTTTTCATTAATGGTTATCTCATAGCTTTATAATATGCTAATAAGCACATGAATTTCCAAAAGGAGATGGGGCTAGAGGCTATTCACTATCTCTAGACCTGTTTGATCAAGATGTTTCCACTTTTTATTTATAAAAATATTAAAAATATTTAAGGCCTTCTGCAGAACCCACTTTGGAGAATGCTGTTGCTCAGATAAATAATACAAGCTGAAAAGTCTTCAAGTATAAATTTTCATGATATTTGGATAAAGAAATTGCCAACATTTAATTTTTATATGAATAAATTTTTAAAACTTAAATTATTGAAATGCCTAAGATTGACCAAACATATCTACTCTCATTTAAAGTTTTTCATAATCAGCAAACTATTTCTCCTTGTTCCTGGTCAAATAAATAATGATTGCAACACTGTCATGTCCAAATGCTATCAGATCTAGAATGACAAGAACCTAAAATAATTATGTGACACAACCTCTTATAAATCTATGTAACTAGGCCATAGCTAAAAAAAACTGAAGATTTTAGAAGATATGTATATCTATAAAGAGATATACATCTATTATAAGACATATTATACATATATTGTTTCTAATATGTATTGTACATTATATAATATTATAATGTATATTTCAGCCAGGACCCAACTTACAATGGCCAATGATAGTTAATACCAGGCTAAAAATTCATGGAGCTCAAAAACTATGTCTTAATCATTTTTGTTTCCTCTGTAGCAGGAAACATAGTGGTCAGTACAAAGTTGTCATGAATGTATAATGTAAAAAAATATGTGGTGGTAGGAGGAAGAAAGAGAAAGAAGAAGGAAGAAAAATGAAGGTCATACTATATGTGCATTTACTTAGTCATTCTGTAAGTATTTATTGGATATTTTTAGTATTTTTAGATCCTATGCTAACCACAAACACAAATATAAGATAGGCTAGACTCAGGAACACCTGACCTAGTAGAAGAGACAAATATATTAATAAATAATACATTAACAAGGTGATAGGTCTGCAACAGAGGCATGTAAAATTATAATGACTAAGGAGACAAAAATTACCCCTGAGCAGGAAATGAGGCTTTCAGGAGCAAGTAATGTCTAGATTGAGGTTTTAAGAATTTCATCAAATAGACAGTAGAAAGTGCATTACAGACAGAGAAAATATCATCAGCAAGTACACAGAGAATTCAAAAGGTATACTGTATTCAGAAAAGAGCAGACCCCAGAAGTACTATCAAAAAGATAATGGGGCTCAGAGATCAGTGGGGAAGTGATTAGATGCTATGCTGAGAATTTGGACATTAGTCCTATAGATTCATATTTCTCGTACTTATTTGAGTAAGAGATTTTTTAAAGTATTGATGAAAAATCAATAATGATTTATGACATGGATAAAATAGAGAATATAAAGCCCCTTCAGAAACTAATTAATTATAGCAAAATGTATGAATAAAGACCAAAATAATATCACAAGTACATAATGAATTTGCAGAACAAATACATAATGCGTAATTAATTTATACCAATTTAATACAATAGACATTGTACAACTTAAAGGGAAAGGTGATAAATGATGCCTATTCATTAATGGCAATTTATTAAAGACAATGCATAATGTGATCACATTTGTGGCTTCCTGGAATGCTTAGCTGTTGCATATCATTCAAAACAACTATTTAAAGGTGTTTACATATATATAATTCAAAGTTAGTTACTGAAGAAAAACTCTTACCATCATGTATTTACATTTTTCTCCATAGAACATAATTTGGGAACCACTGCAGTAGACAATGGCAAAAGAAATAAGAACAAGCAAAGAGGCTCACCTTGGCAAGAAGATACATTTTGTATATGAAACCTAACTCTATTAGTCCATTCTCATGCTGCTATCTGCCCAAGAGTGGGTAATTTATAAAGGAAAGAGGTTTAATTGACTCATAGTTCTGCAGGGCTGGGGAGGCATCAGGAAACTTACAATCATGGTGGAAGGGGAAACAAACATGTCCCTCTTCATATGGAGGCAGGAAGGAAAAGTGCTAAGCAAAGGGGGAAAAGCCCCTTATAAAGCCATCAGATCTCATGAGAACTCACTCACTATCACAAGAACAGCATGGGAGTAACCACCCCCATTATTCAATTACCTCCCACCGATTACCTCCCATGACACATGGGGATTATGGGAACTATAATTCAAGATGAGATTTGGGTGGGGACACAGCCAAATCGTATCACCAACTAAAAAGCAACAATATCCAGAAAATCTCTTAAAAAGTGTTGTTACTGATAAAAATTTCAAGCACCATGGCAGAAAAATGTGGTCATCTTTATTAGAAGAGCCCTATCGTGAAAAAAGTATGCCAAAAATGTGTCTGCCTTCCTGTTTATGGAGGCTTACAAACTTGGGAAGGAAACCAACTAAACTTTGAATCAGTGTCAATAAGAGATATTTTTTAAACATATGAAAACAGGCAAAACTAAATTATCTTTGAAAGCAGATGAAAATGACCAATTTAAATGAATGACTACAGATTTTAATTTTTATTTCTAATTCTTCAGATTTTCTATTGTTATCATTGCTACTTATTAAGTTTACAATGAAGATAACAAAAAAACCAAAACAAAAAAAAAAAAAAAAGAAAATTTTAAAACCAGTAAGCTCTGGAGCCAGATATACCTAGAATAAAATAGCAGATGTGCCACCATCTATTATATTGCCCTTGAGTTACTTTCTTTACCACTGTGAGACAGTATTTTGCTTTTGCTTTTTGTTTTAATCTTCAAAATTAAGAAAGTCATTTCATTGTGCTGTGTCAAAGATTAAATAAATTAATATTGACTTACTAGAATTATATCTGATACATACTACCTTAGTTTGAGTTCCCACAAAAAGATACCCATAGACAAGATCAGAATTTAAATACTTTATTTGGAAAGCCATCTAGGAAATGTAGATAAGTGGAGAAGGGAGAAGGGAAAGGGAATAAAACCAATGACCTGTGCATTGTCAGGTCTGCTACCCCTAGGGACCACTGCCCTAGTTGAAAACTGAGGCTTAAAGACTTAAATTACTTTTCCAAGCTCATGCAGCCAAGGAATGGCAGAGCTAGATTTTGAAGTGTGCTACCTCTTACCATGGCCTAAGTAGTTAACCAGTGCCCAGGACTGATGCTTACAGTCTGACATGGAGCAATTACTCAATACATTGTTGTGTATTCTGTGAGATAATGTAAAATGCACTTTATAGTTCTCCCAACCAAGGGTGAGGAAAATGGAGGCTTTATCCACTCAGTCTCCACCTATGATTGGCCAATGGCTGGATTCCTACAGGCTAGGGTCAGGGGTGGTGAGAGGTAACATGTACCCTCAGAGTATCACAAGTGTTAAATATTAAAAGCCATAGCCATCGATTTGAATTGGCCGTTTTCCATTAACTACCCTTCTGTAAGTGGAGAATATGGTGGGATAATGACAGCATCTTCTACACAGAATAAACTCCTAATCCTATGAGTAGGAGTTAGATGTTGCCCGGATTTGTATCCTCAGTACATGGCTGCCAGATAGGTACTGAACAAATGGATGAATAAATGAATGAACAATAGTTTGGAAACAAATATCTTTCCCCAGAACTACAAGTTTCTCAAAAGTCATCAAGAATTTATTTGAATAATAATATCGTTATTAGGCTGTTTATATTTGTCATCACTAACTACTCTCATTTATATGTAGTATTTTATGTGCTCTTCACAAGAACTTTATGAGGTAGGTCTATTATTGCCCTTTTGCCTAGTTCAAAACTGAGGCTTAAAGACTTAAATTACTTTTCCAAGCTCATGCAGCCTAGGAATGGCAGAGCTAGATTTTGAAGTGTGCTACCTCTTACCATAGCCTAAATAGTTACCCAGTGCCCAGGACTGATGCTTACAGCCTGACATGGAGCAAAAATCAGCTGTGTTGCTGAGCAAGTGGAGGTTGATAATTCTGGGTTTTTGTTTAAGGCACTAAAGACCTAGTGGAAGATGTGAGTGTCTAGACAGTTCAGAGCAGCAAGAGGGCTCTGGCCTGGGAGCCTGGCGATAGGAATACCCAGTAAGGGAGGAGAGCCAGGCCAAAGATTACCATAGCCTGTTTTAAGTTTCAATTCAGGATCACCTCTAAGACATAGGCCAATATAAAATGCATCCTTTTTCTTTTGTCATCGTCCTCTTGCCTCCTTCTACCTCCTATTTCACACTCCCAGGTGAGCACCATGCCATCTATGTGTAGTAAGTGGCTACAATCAAGGAAAAGAATTTCAAAAACTCTAATGATTTACTTTTTGCATGAGGTACATTAGAAGCAAATTTTAGCCTGTGTCATCTAATTCCTCCCTCAGTGCAAACAGAGAAACTACTGTAGACATCAAAAGGAAACTCTCCAAAACGTATATAAAATGGCATCCCAAATTCTGGCATTGCAAAACAATGTGCAGCACTGAGTTCAATATGGTAGTAGCTAGAGACTAATTACTGCTTAGGACAACTGTGGTCTCAAATCAAATTCTGCCAGGAATTGCCTTCTTGGGCATTTATCCCAGAGAAATGAAAACGTATGTTCATCCAAAATCCTGTACATGAATGCTCATGGTAGATTTATTTCATGAACACTGGAATCATACAATAGAATCAAAGAAATTCAGGCAATTTTTATTAAAATGTGATTTGGGAACTACATTTAATTTTTTTTATTGAAAGTGCTTTTTTTGAACACAGAATCACCAGGTAAAACAGCCAGCAATGCTGTAGAGTGGACGAATGGTAAAATAAACTGTGGTGCATCCATACCATGGAAACTACTCAACAATAAAAAGAAACAAACCATTGATACATACAACAACTTAGACACAGCTAAAGGGAATTATGCTGAGGGAGATGTCAATCACCCAAGATTATATGCTGTACAATTGCATGTATGTAACATTGAAATGACCAAAAATATAGCACTAGAAAACAGATTAGTTTTGCCAGAGCTCAGGACCACGAGGGGGAGATTTAGGTGTGGTTACAAAAGGGCAGCATCAGGATCATTGTGGTGATAGAAATGTTCTGTATGCTGACTACATAAGTGTCAATCCCTCTTTGTAAGATTGTACTATATTTTTGCATGCTGTTGCCATCAGAGAAAACTGAGTAAAAGTTCCATTGAATCTCTCTGAATTATATTTTGCAATGGAAATTACAACTCTAATTAGCTCCAAATAAAAAGTTTAATCTAAAAATATCTGAATAAGTGCTTAAAATAAATGTTCAATATGGTAGTAGCTAGAGATTGATAAATGCTTGATGTATTGTAAACATAATACATCCATTATCAGTCCTGATTCAGGGAAGTGACCAGATGGATATGGATTAGTGTGGGATTCTTGAAAAGGTCAGTCAATGACAGAAAAAAAAAGTCAAAGAAAAAGAAAATTTGGAGAGGATTCCATTGGAGAAATACTTCTTTTGTAATGTAAGAGTTAAGTGCACAATTTTTGATCAATATTTGTATTTATGGGGCTGGCATCTCAACATTTACTGGCAGAAGATATGACATCTCTCTGATATTTGATTTCTTTATTTGTAAAATGCTAATAACATATACACCTTAGTACTGCGAAGCAGTTTGAATTAATAAGAGCTCAAAACAAATGTATGAATGAATAAGAATCGTTTCAGGTAGCCTCCCTGATTAAGAGATTTATTAGCTTCATATGGATAATGAAGGAATTGAAGCAATGACAATCACTTGAAACAATGTCGAGCACTGCAAATATTATTTGTAGTTTCAAACTAGCCAACATACAGAAAAAATAGCATGTATGTACGTTGATTGCTTTCTAAGTAGCTTATTTGAAAAAAGAATTCCCAACTAATTATTTGACTTTATAAAAATTCTCAGGAATCAAGCAGCTGAGTTTTGAACACAGTTCTGCCACTCAATAGTTGTGTTACCTTTGGGAAGTTATTTGATTTCTGTTAAGGCCCCAATTTATTGTCTGTTAAGTTGTAACAATATTACTGCATCACAGGGCTGGTATGAGGAGTAAATGAGATAGCACATAGTAGATAGTAATACAATCCTAGGCACAGAGTAAGACCTCATTAAATGTTAGCCACCTCAATTATTTTTTATTTTAATGATAATAATGATGATGGGTACAACATTCAAAGTTGAAATAATATTTCCTGATATTCCAAAGGTAAATGAATACCTGCAGTTGATATACTCCAAAGCCCAATGAAAATTCTGCTGATATTAATGAGAAGATACTGCCAGCAGTATCCATTAGTGCTTCCTGAAAAGGAACAAGTTCTTCTTTATTTTGTCACAGGTTACACCTATGTTTGTTTGTTATTAACCAGATGTTTTGAGGAGTGTGTGTGTGTGCGTGTATATGTGTGTAGCAATAGCCCATAGCTTTCATCATATTTTCTAATGGATCTCTGCCCCTCAAAATGTTAAGAAACCAGCAATTTTCATTATTGTTCTTGTTTGGTATCACATTGGTTAAATGGTTTTTGAAATTTGCCCAAACTTGGTCCATTTGTGCTACTATGACATAGAACCTGAGACTGATTAATTTATAATGGACATGAATTTATTGAATCATGGTTTTGGAGGCTGGGGAGTCCATGATCAAGGGGCCAGCATATTGCAAGGGTCTTCTTGCCACATCATCCAGTGGTGGAAGGCAGAAAGGCAAGAGAAGGCAAGACAGAGAGCAAGAGCTTGAACTGGCAGCCTCAAGCCGTTCTGTGAATGGGCATAAATCCATTCACAAAGGTGGAGCCCTTGTGACCTAAACACCTTCTGTTAGGCACCACTTCCCAAAATTGTGGCATTGGGGTTTACATTTCCAACACATGCTTTTTGGGAACACATTCAAACCATAGCAACTATTTACTATTTAAAGAATTGTTTCTGTGAGAAAATGTGTTCCATCTGTCAGGCAACTGGCTTCCCAAGAGAAATGGTGAAAAACTTCCCATTTGTAAGAAACCAGGGATTGCTATTCTGTCAGGGATGCCCATGAATGTGAACAGAGTATGAGTTTCACGCTACCCAATCTTATACTCCCCATGCCTGCGCTCCATGTTCCACATCTGATTTCAACTTTCAAGGATTCAGCTCCCATAGTCACCATCCTGGCATATAAGGATTCTCAAATGCAAGCAGTATAACTTGTTTTAAAGGAAAGTTATTTTCATGAACTGCCAAGAGTATGCTTTCAGCTTGAAAAGCTATGTCTAATTCAATAAAAATGCCTACTATCATCATAACAAAGGAGGAGTTTGCCTCTAAAACTAGTTTTTTCTAAAAGTTTATTATAGTGGAATTTTAGTGCTAATTAGTTTTTAAACTTTTTATTACATTCTCCTTGTTGCATACAAAAGGATATCTGTAAAATATGTAACTTATGAGACCCAATAATCAATCCAGTTTAAGACAGAACATTCTAATTTCCTTTCTCTAACAATGACCCACTCAGTTCACAGGGAAGGAACACATTATCTGACATTAATGCTTTCCAAAAATTAGCCCCAAAATGACTCTTCAAGGAACACTGTAAATTTTTATTTTTATTTTTTTAAGATAGGGTCCTGCTCTGTCACCCAGGCTAGAGTGCAGTGGCATGATCATGGATCATGGCTCACTACAGCCTCCACCTCCCTGGCTCAAGCCATCCTCCCACCTTCACCTCCCGAGTAGCTGGGACTACAGGTGCACACACCCACACTCGGCTAATTTTTGTATATTTTGTAGAGATGGGGTTTTGCCATGTTGCCCAGGCTTGCCTCAAATTCCTGAGGTAAGCCACCCACTTCAGCCTCCCAGAGTGCTAAGATTACAGGCATAAGCCACCATGCCCAGCCAATTTTTAATCTGTATGTACATATTTTCTTATCAGGCATCCAAACTGAATTGATTAGCTTTTTCCTCAGATGACGTCTCTGTATGCTCACATTGGGGTTACCTGCTACACATGCCTACTGAGAGGTTGCAGCAGACTTTCTGTCATTCCAGCCTGGGGTCTCTGTTGTTTGCCAGTTACCATTTTATTGTACCTACTTGTTGCAAAACACATTTAGGTGTCTCTGATCACCATGCCAAACTCACCTCCACCCCAAACAGGAACACATGCCTAGAAACAAAAACTTTTACTATACCCATCACCCAAATAGTGCACGTTGTATTTGATAGGTAATTTTTCATCCCTCACCCCTCTTTCCATCCTCCCCACTTCTGAGACTCCAATGTCCATTATACCGCTCAGTATGCCCCTGCATACCATAGCTTAGCTCCCACATATAGGTGAGAACATGTGGTATTTGGTTTCCCTTTCCTGAATAACTTAACTTTGGATAATAGCCTCCAGTTACCACCAAGTTGCTGCAAAAGACATTATTTCATTATTTTTCATGGCTGAGTACTATCCCATGTTGTGTGTATATATATATATACACTACATTTTCTTTATCCAGTCATTGGTTGGCAGGCACTTAGGTTGATTCCATCCTCTTTGCAATTGTGAATTGTGTATTGTTTCCCATTATTCCACTGAAATAAGTATGCAGAAAAATATTTGGAATACTGCATATGTGATTAGGCTGGGCAACTCTTTTTCACTTTTTTTTTTAAAAAAAAGGAATAGACTTTAGTATACATGGAACTAGGGTAGAAAAACTGGTTATTAGTGAGAACGTAGACACAATATTTAACCCTTTCCTTAGGTCTTTAATTTATCATTTAAAGTTGCATACCAGGCTAAAGTTATGAAAAACTTTGAAAATATAAAAATGCATGGTTATATTATATAGTCATGCACTGCACAAACATTTCAGTCAACAGATGGCATATACAACTGTGGTCCCAAAAGATTATAATGGAGCTGAAAAAATCCTATTGCCTAGTGACATTGTAGCTGTCATAACATCAGCTTACAGAGCACAACACATTACTCAGGTGTTTGTGATGATGATGGCATAAACAAACCTACTGCACTGCCAGTCATATAAAATACAGCACATACAATTTTGTGCATTAAATAATACATGGTAATAACAATAAATGACTATATAATTAGTTTATGTTTTTACTATAAATACTTTTTATTGTTCCATTAGCATATACTTTTTTACTTATTCAAAAAGTTAACTATAAAATAGCCTCTGGCAGGTCCTTCAAGAGAGATTCCAGAAGAAGGCATTGTTATCATAGCAGACGACAGCTCCGTGCATATTACTGCCCCTGAAGACCTTCTGGTCGGACAAGACATAGAGGTGGAAGACAGTGATATTGATGATTCTGATGTAGGCCTCAGCTAATGTGTGTGTTTGTGTTGGTTTTTAACAAAAATTTAAACTTTTAAAAGTAAAAAAAAAAAACAATAAAAAATTTTAAAAACAAAATAGCTGAGAGGATAAGAATATAAAAAAGGAAATATTTTTTGCACAACGGCTGTATGATGTGTTTGTTTTAAGCTCAGTGTTATTACAAGAGTCAAAACATTTTTTAAAAAAAGGTTATAAAGTAAAAAAGTTAGAGTAAGCTAAAACTAGTATATTATTGAAGAAAAATTTTTTATAAATGTAATGTAGCCTAAGTGTACAGTGTTTATAAGGCCTATAGCCATGTACAGTAATGTCCTAGGCCTTTGTATTCACTCTCCACTCACTCATTCACTCACCCAGGGCAACTACCAGTCCCGTAAACTTCATTCATGGCAAATGCCCTATGCAGGTCTACCATTTTTTAAATCTTTTATACCATATTTGTACTGTACCTTTTATAAGTTTAGATACATAAACATTTAGCATTGTGTTACAGTTGGCTATAGTATTCAGTACATTAACATGTTTTACAGGTTCATAGCCTAGAAGCAATAGGCTATACCATATAGCCTAGGGGTATAGTTGGCTATACCCTCTATGTTTGTGTAAGTACACTGTACAATGTTCACACAATGAAGAAATCACCTAACGACGCATTTCTCAAAATGTATCCCCATTGTTAAAGTGACACATGACTATATTATTACGGCATTCTTCCTGAAGTATGTCGGAAAGTTAATTGCATCCTCTGCTATGCTTGTTAAAAATGAACAGTCCACAGCATCCTTCAGATGCTCAAGGTGAATAAGAAACTGAGCGTACTGCCAGGAATCTGCATTTTAACAAGCACTGAAGGTGACTCTTATGCACAGTATATTTGACTACCACTTCTTCCACGCTGATGTTCAGATTACATTCTCTTATTCATGGCTACCAGAGAATAGACTACAAGGTTGCTTTGCCACCTGCCATTGCACTCAGTCTCACCCTAAGGTGTTTCAATGTCCTTGTCTTTCTGAACAGCATGACTCCACCCCTCCGTTCTTACCACTGATTTGCCTCTTAACTAACAGCCCCTCTTAAGGGGCAAGCACTGAATAGCTTGACTTCTCCTTCCTTGACTAAGTAACTTCAACTTATTCAAAAGTTGGCGTGAGGCCATGGGTAAGGGTTCAGGCTGCAGCACCATACTCCCTGGCTTCAAAATTCTACCCTGCCATTGACTGGGGGTCTTGCTTTGCACAAGTTTTGCTACCTCTGTTTTTCTTTTCCATAAAATGTAAATGATAGTAGGCTCTACCTATCAGAATAATTTTGAGGATTTAGTGAGTTAATACATGCAAAATGCTCAGTACCGGGCCCAGTACACAGGCAACCCTTGGGGAATATGAGAATCACTATGACCTTACCCTGGTTCTCCTAAAGAGCATGAATTAAGCCAAAGGAATGGGTCTTTCTAGAGGCATGTTGGAGAGAACTACTCCCCAGCATGCAGGACTGGTGCCTCTCAAGTCATGCGCCATAAGCAAAGACTCCTCTACTTATAAAGTGAAGTAATTGCTACAGCTTCTTCTTTCAATCAAAGAATTTGCAGCAGTATGATAATGTAACTTGACACTGAATCAGAATTTTAGTATCTGGAAAGCAATATAATTGTGTAGATGAAACATAATGTCTCAATGTAGTAGACTACAATCTAGGAATGGTTAAGGGAAGAAAAGGAGGGCATTAAGGGAGAATAATAAGATGAAAGTATCACCCCCAGGAAAAGCTATGTGTGTGTCATGCACGTGTGTGTTTATTCTTTTTTTTTCTATCTGACTGCAATGAGGCCATTGTTATCCAGAACATGGAATTCCTGCCTCCCTCAATTTACCTTGTCCTTAGTAGTCACATCTGTATTCCCTAGCATAGCAGCTAGCAGAGGGTGTAAATCTTTTGTCAAACTTTAGAAGAATTTGCAGTTACCCATATCACATTCTAGTTCTGCAATGTAGGTGTAGTTTAGATTTATGAAATAATTGATTCTGTTGGCAATTTGCACTTGGACGTGATTGGATACATTCACATCCAAAGCCATGGGCTCTGCAATGAATTTAGTACCACTTTACATCAGGCTTAATATGTTACATTTCTGCCAATCAGATTAAAACAACACCGGAACTTGAATAATTGATTTGTTCATTATCAACCCTGTTTCTATCTTTTAGAAAATCCTTAATATTATTTCTGTAATGATTGATGAATGAGTGTAATGAGTGACAAACATCTCAAATAGAGAGGACAATTTTTAATAAAAAGAAAGACAACCAAAGTTACATATAAAAGTGATTAGCATATTATTTTGAGATTGCCTGTACGGGAAGCATTTGTTACCCCTATGCTACATGTATATGCTAATCTGCTTAAGAATGCATACTGTACAGTAGGTCTGGTTCCTGAGAGTATTTTTTGAAACACAGAAGCATAGAATCAGAATTATAATGCGTGATGGTGATTGCAAAAATTTAAAAAATTCATAGAATATGATGAAGAAAAAAATAAAGATAGTAACTTCATGCAATGCAGAAAATTAGCGGAGCCCTGCTGGATAATTTGATGCTAATATGAATCCCAAAAAGGGAGGAGAGGTGCTTCTACTTCTGGGTAGAATTATTAGGCCATCACAGCTCAATGCTCTTGCTGTTACAGCTAGATAAAATCTGGAAAATTACAAAATCATATTTTAAAAAATTAGAGAGCTTTAGAAACAATGTGGACTGCATAAATTGGAATTTTGCTTTGAAGGGCAGAACCACATTTTCTGTATTTTTTAGAGCACCAGAGACAGAAATCTGACATGTTCTCAGTGGTCTCAGCCTTTGCACATTGAACAGATGGATTGAGTCTTTCTAAAACTGAAACTTAGCCCTGACTCAACTCATTTTCTAATTTAATTGAGGTTCTCATCCTTCCATCTGTCTGCCTGACTGAAGGAAAGGAAAAACGAAAAAGAATTTGGGGAGCACTTTACTGCTATAAGAAATCATCTTTTATACTATGCTGGGTATGCAAATAAAAAAATGATAGAAACATGAAGCAATGGGGAAATGCAACTACAAAAAAAAATAGAGAGCGAAGCAGACCTACAAATGATCCATTTGGGCTTAGTATATAGGGATTTTTAAACAACTGTAAATATATTTTTTAGAAAACATAGTAAAGCTGAGCAAGATGAATAAAAAGGTGGAGGATTTCAATAAAGAATTGGACTCTATATAACAAATCAAGTGTATATTCTAGAACTGAAATATATATCCAAAGTTAGCTCATTATGGGAAATTAATAGCATACTGGACATGGGAGAAGAGAGGATTAGCAAACACAGAGGCAGGTTAATAGAAAATATATACATATATATTTACACATAAAATATTTACATATATATGTAAAGAGAAAAAAAGACAAAATAAAACAAAAGAATAAAATGGATAAATGAGACATAGTCAAAAGGGCAAGTGTATATTAAATTCTCTATATATATTAAAGTCTCTCTATATATAGACATATATAACTATATATTATATATTTAATGTATAACTACATATACTTTTATATAACTTATATATAAGTATATGTATAACTATGTATATGTTACACACATGTATAACTATGTATGTTATACCTATGTATAACTACATATACTTATATATAACTATATAAGTATATATAGTTATATATATATATCTATATATATATAACACAGAAAGAGAGAAGTACAATAAAGATAACAAACAAGGCAGAAGGAATATTTGAAAAGAGAACTGGTGAAAATTTTTCAAAACTGGAAAAGACTTTAATCCACACTTACAAAAAGCTCTGCAAACCCCATGAAAGAAAAGTATAAAGAACACACACACACAGGTATAGCATAATTAAAATGCTAGCAAAAAAGACAATCAGAGGGAAAATAAGTCATATTACATCTAAAGGAGCAAGAGTACACAAAGACAGCTGACTTCTCAGCAGACATGGTCAAACCAGAAGGCAGTGAAATGACATCATTAAAGTATGAAAAGAAAAAACCTGCTAATGTAGCATTCTATGCTGATTCTGAATATATCCCTTAGAAATAAAGGCAAAATAGGAGATTTTTTGACAAACAAAAGCTACCTTAGTAGGAATAGTAAATGGAAATTTTTTCCCAAACTTTTATTTTAGGTTCAGCGGTACATGTGCAGGTTTGGTATATAAGTAAACTTGTGTCACCGGGGGTTGTTGTACAGATTATTTCATCACCGAGGTACTAAGCCTAGTATCCAATAGTTACTAAATGGAGATTTTAAGTAGAGGGAAAAGCTTTCCTAGCGGTAACCACAAAATATCAGAAAAAAAAAAAACGGAAGGCAAAACAAAGAGTAAATTAGCATGTAAATATGTTTAAAATAAAATGTATAAATAAATGTTTAAAATAAATTTCAAAATTACTACAGAAAAATAGGATATTTAAAATGCATGATTAATCCAAAAAAGATGAGAAGAATAAAAGAACAAAAAACAGATAGAAATAAAATAAAATAAAAGATAACAATCAAACAAGAAAATGATAGGTATAGGCCAAAGCATATTAAATATAAACCAGCCAAAGACTTCAATTAAAAGAAAAATAATTTCAGACTGGATTAATAAACATCCAACAGACAGCCTAGAAGTTATATTTGACTACAAAGGCCTAAACTGTGTCTTTTATGTCCACTAAAAACCTGATTAAAAGTGTGATTAATTTTTTACTTGTGTCTGTATCATATAAGCATAAATACTAATTTTTGCCCTATGTATCCCTAAATGTCATTTTTGATATTAACTTATTTAATATCAAAAATTTTCTTTAACCATGAATTCCTCAAATTCAGTCATTTCCATGAGGGCAAATAACTCTAAATCTTACTATACAAACATTCACATTATAACCAGAACACAATGGCTAAATATCTATTCCATGTACTTTAAAGTTCATTATAAAATATAAATGAGTCCATAAAGATGTCAACTCATCTATGGTTTTTGCATGCCCAGACTCAGTGTCAGGTGCCGAATGGACTCTCATGGCTGTCTTGCCTCTACTGAATATTTTGGCAAGTTACGTAATATGCAGAATGTTTAACAAAGGTATATATAAAGTTCGTTTGTCTTTTTTCTGGTAATGTAATTATATTGTAGCATACAGAAAACAGAACTGCTACCTCCTCATCCAAATGGTCTGTAGAATTCATGTCCCTTACAGTGGTCAACTGAAGTCAATATTTATTTATGCATTTAATAAAAAGTTTGATTTTTGTGAATGCCTGTCATGTTAGAGAGAATTAATCTTGCAAAAAATGTTTTATAAAATACAAAAAAGTATTGTAAGTAGTCTGATATTCTGTAGCTTATTTTCATGTTAGAGTTTGTACATATTGGTTCAGTAATAAAGTATCTTTAAACCTAAAACAAAGTCCCAAGTATATGCTGTTTACATGAGATTACATCTGAATATTAAGAACATAGAAAGTTTGAAAGTGGCTGGGCGTGGTGGCTTATGCCTGTAATCCCAGCACTTTGGGAGGCCGAGGTGGGTGGATCGCCTGAGGTCAGGAGTTCAAGACCAGCCTGGCCAACATAGTGAAACCCCGTCTTTAATAAAAATACAAAAAATTAGCTGGGCATGGTGTCAGGCACCTGCAACCCCAGCTACATGGGAGGCTGAGGCAGGAGAATCACTTGAACCCGGGAGGCAGAGGTTGCAGTGAGCAGAGATCGCGCCATTGCACTCCAGCCTGGGAACAAGAGCGAAGAGAAACTCCGTCTCAAAAAAAAAAAAAAAAGAAAGAAAGGCTATTATATTAACATCAGACACATTAAACTTTAAAGGCAAAAAATATTACTTAAGATAGAGAATAGCATTTTATAATAAAAGAGCTAATTCAATAGAAATATTAAAATCCCAGAAAAAAAATCCCTAAATGCATTTTATTTAATAACTAGGAGGTACATGTTGATTTTATGAGATATGATGGCTACAGGAACCAGGTTGCTAAGTATTTAGAAATGAATGAAGGTGAATAGGAACAGGGAGTGTGGGCTCTGTGTTGAACTTAGATAAGAAAGAAAAAAGATAAATCAAGAGTCGCGCAGAGCGCAGTGGCTCATGCCTGTAATCCCAGCAATTTCGGAGGCTGGGGGGATCACCTGAGGTCAGGAGTTTGAAACCAGCCTGGCCAACATGGCAAAACCCTGTCTCTATTAACAATACAAAAATTAGCCAGGCGTGGTGGCGTGTGCCTGTAATCTCAGCTACTCAGGGAGGCTGAGGCATGAGAATCGCTTGAATGCGAGATGCAGAGGTTGCAGTCAGCTGAGATCACACCACTGCACTCCAGCCTGGGAGACAGAACAAGACTCCGTCTCAAAAAAAAAAAAAAAAAGGATAAGTCAAGAGTCACTGAATGTGAAGGTTTTAAGAGAGAGACTTGAGTGTGAGTTAAATTCACATGAAAGTCTTTAATATTTTTTTAAAAAGAATATTGCCAGTGAATAGCATATTGTTCATCTGTTTTGTGCTATGTGTAGGAGTAGGTTCATAACATTGCAAAAAACATTTGAGGGACCCACCTTGTCCACTCACACTGTGTGATTTTGGACAACTCATTGATCTTTTGAGCCTCTATTTCTCCTATTTGAAAATGAAAATATTAATATTGACCTTATAGGGTTGTTATAAAAAGTAAATATAATTTTTACAGGAAAGTGCTTTGTAAATAAAACACTTTATAAAATTACAAGATAAATGCAGCTTACCAAACTAAAGAGACACAGTGAAGTACAGTGAAGAAAGTATTTGAAATTCTACTCTCTTTAGAACTTTAGAAAACTTTAAGTTTTTCATACACACTTAAGACAATGTCTATATTTTCTTGCTGTCCTGGCACTTTGTCTATGAAACATAAATTTGACTTGATGCTGGAATATTCCCAAGAATTCTTCCTGCACCACTATTTGCATTTTGCATTTTTAGGTGTGCTTAGGACGTCAGAGTGTGCTCCACCATGCAAACACCATCTCCCATCACTCTGATTTGACTGCCAGTTAAGAGACATTTTAGTCTGGAAATCCCATGAGTTCTAATAAGGTAGTTATTTGGCTTGTGCAGGAAGATTGCAGAACAAAACAATGTAGAAATAGATTCCTGTTTAGTATTACCTTGTCATAGAAAATAACAGTAAATACCACAACAATACTTCAGCTGATGACAGGAGCTAAGCAAGCACTGCAGTAGAGAAGTTACTTGGCAGATACAGGACTCAAGACATAAAACATTAATATTTCTGCTCTATAAAATATAAAACTCTGGATCACATCTTCCTGACATTTTCAGCAAATGCAGAGACACTTGATGAGAAGAGGACAGAGCATGAAGTTATAAATTAAAAAGCAAGGGACAATCCTGGCTGATGGAAAAGTCATTTCTCCTCTATGTTCTTGTCTTACAGAGCTCAGGAAATGCTTGCTGTGGTTAATGATGGCAGTGGCAGCACCATAACTTCCTCAGTGAATGGTTATCCTCAATTTAAGTTGGCTGCTCCAATTCTTCAACATCCCATGCTGTGTAATTTCTATGAAAGTTCAGACATTTCCACTGGACAAATATCCTTCTTTGTCCAAATATGGTCCCAAATTCAAAGGAAAAACACAGAGTAGAGTAGGAAATAAGCACATCAGCCAGCAAGACGCTGAGCAAACTGATCTAAGAAGCAGACGACAAAAGTTCTTAAAAAACCACATAGCTTTTGCATGATGTACTTGATAAAAATCACATAATCTTTCTGCACCTCAGTGTTCCCAATTCTAATTTTTTAACCCACCCTATAGGGTGATAGACTAGAATGTGTTACCCTAACTAAACAAACTAAATAGCCTAGAGTTTCTTTACCTGAAAAATTTGGGTTAAGATCAGCCACACACAAAAATTTGCATGTGATATGGGAAGCAGATGTAAAAAAGCAGCCACTGCACTATAAGAGATGACATGGTTTCAGATTGCTTGGCAGATGAGAGCATGTCTTCACTTCGTTTCTCCATGTGCATCTCTCCTTCCTGACTGTCAATCCTACTGAATATACACATAAGCACACTCAGGCCAACAAAAGTTGCTTTACTGAGTTGTGCAGAGCCAGCAACTCTCATGGACTTCTGCACCAGTTCTACTCCAGCACCCAGACAGCCTAGCTTCCTAGCTTCCTGCAAGCTGCAAGTCATTCATCAACAATAGGATTAGAGATTTTCCTTCTGATTCTTTTCAGACCTTTATTTTTTAGATCCTTCAACAATGGTATAGGGCTTATTTTGTATAATAATTTTTTAATTCCATAGTATTCATAGTGAACTTGCTCCTATGATTGAACCCTAACTGACACAGAGGATACAGTGAAATAACAGTAAATTTTGACAAAAAAGATAAAATAACATTTCAAAATAGCGGGCGTGACTCCATTATTTTCATGACCTGGAGCAAGAATAAAAATGAAGGTCTGCATACATACCATATTACTAAATATACACAAATTAGAAATTGAACTAATGCCTCCAGGTAAGTTATACTTTATTTTCCTACTTAGCTCAGGCTGCTGTAACAAAATACCAAAGACTAGGTGACTTAAATTACAGACATTTACTTCTCACAGTTCTGGAGGCTGGGAAGTCCAAAATCAAGGTGCCTACAGATACCATTCTTGGTGAGAGCCCTCTTCCCAACTTTTGCTGTCTTCCTGATGTATTGTCACATGGCAGAGAGAAAAAGCTCTGGTGTCTCTTCTTCTTCTTTTTTCTTTTTTCTTTTTTTTTTTTTTGAGGCAGACTCTTGCTCTGTCACCCAGGCTGGGGTGCAGTGGTGCAATCTCAGCTCACTGCAACTTCTGCCTCTGCGGTTCAAGCAATTATCCTGTCTCAGCCTCCTGAGTACTTGGGATTACAGGCATGCACTACCACGCCCGGCTAATTTTTGTATTTTTAGTAAAGAAGGGATTTCACCATGTTGGCCAGGATGGTCTTGAACTCCTGACGTCATGATCCGCCCGCCTCAGCCTCCCAAAGTGCTGGTATTACAGGCATGAGCCACCGCTCCTACCCTCTTCCTCTTCTTATAAGAGCACTAGTCCCATCGACGGACTTCACCCTCATGACCTCCTCTGAACCCAATTACTTCTCAAAGGCTCCATATCTTAATACCATCACATTGGGGTTAGGGCTTCAACATGTAAACTAAACTCTGAGGGGTACACCAATACTCACCCCCATAACACCTGCCTTGAATAAACTGTATCTTCAAATTTACAAAACTGAAAAATACACACAAGGTTATGATTTTAATGTGGCTTAAATGACAAATTAAACAACTTTTTTGAGTCATTCTAGTTATTGGACAGATTTTTATTAATTTCATTTTTAAGAAATTCTGTGGAGGCAATAGTAACTGAAATTGCAATTAAACTCTTAAAGTTATAGTTAGATTAAAAAATATATCATGAATTTTACATATCACTTTCAAACTTCATAATGGGGACACACAATATATTGTCCTTATGCAGAAAACATTGCAAAACATTTTAATTTCTTCACATAATTTACTGTTACTAATATCATAATGTTCAGTCTCTAAAAGCATGAATTAGTTTCTACTATAATGTGAAGAGTAATGCAATTGTAGCAATCTAGTTAATGCTTTAAGAGAGTTGCACATATGCAAATTTAATTGCAATATGAATTTTTTGATTATGCAAAATATTCCTTAGTTTTTGTGTGCAACTATTACAAATATCAGACTAAATCACTTAAGTTTCTGAGAAGGATGGTATAGTTTGTGTCAGATAGATCAAAGCTCTAATTAAGAAAAATAGACAAGCCAGATAAACACACAGGGCTTCTATTTAAAGGTATCAGACAGCTATGGAAGCAACGAGGACTAGAGAGGCTAAAATTCCAGAAGGGAAGGAATCCTGGAGAGGCAGCTAACATATGTTTAGCCGCTTTTTCCCTAGAGCACTTACTGGTTTGATACAGGGAAAGCTGGCAATGGAAGTTTGGTTTAGACAGAGGGTCCCACTGGGGTATAGCAAAATTGGGAGACTTTTTGATGGTCTTCTGGTTTTGCAGTGCTGAGAGAGAGAGAGAGAACGAAAGAAGAGAATTGAAGCACTTCAAACGCACAGACTCTATCTCCCTCAAGAGGTTTGTTGAATGCTAAAGGTGCTTTGAAGCCTCATACCTAAAGGAGATTTATTGTAAACTCTCCCTCCTGAGATTAGGAATGAGACAAAGATTACCATATTTCTTCAATGTTGTACCAGAGAGTCAAGCAACTACAATAAAATAAGAAAAATAAAAGATTCAAGTATTGAAAATAAGTAAAGCTGTCATTATTCATACATAAAATTTTGGTGATTATAGTAAATCAAAAGAACCTACAGACAAATTACGATAATAATTATTAATCATTATATTGTATATAAGGTCAATAAACAAAAATCAATCATATTTCTCTATACCAATGTATCAGTTAATGTTTGCTGTACAAAAACCTTCCTAAAACTTAGTGATCAAGAAACAATAACCATCTGTTTAGTTCACAATTCTTAACATTTACGATTTGGTCTGGGATCATCTCAGCAGTTCTTGCCTTGGCTTAGCTCTCCAGAAGTGGGCAGCTTCCGGGCAACTGAGGGTTGGCTGGCTTGGGATGACCCTAACAGAGATGATTCACTTCCGTTCAAGCTGGCTGCTCGTCCTCCAGCAGGCCATCCTAGACTTGTTCACACAGAAGTCAGGAAGTATTATGAGAAGATCATCTTTTTGTGCATTTTATCATTGTCATGGAGTCATCTTTCATTTCAGTGTCATGGGGCAAAAGATATAGGAGAGGCATCTATTTTCTTGGGCCTAAATGATGTTCGTCAAAAGAGTAGACATTTAGGATCACAGGTCACAAGTGCCAGATCCCAAGTGACAGACAGTTAATGTGTTTTCTATTCTATGAATTTCTGTGTTTGTGAAATGCTGGGCTCTCTGAAATGCAGGGGCCAGGGTGGGGACTGCCTTTTCCCAGGTTTGGGTTCTGTTAGAACTTAACTGAAACATTTGACCATGGACTAAGATATTTGTTTGTTTAATTGTCACTACTACTTTTATCTATTGCTTCTAAATATTTCTTCTCATTTTTAGGGGATTTTTCTCATAAAATTCTATTTCTTTGACATATTAGCATCAGACTGTAACTTAGCAAGTTTAAATTCTATTAAAAGAAAGAGAAAAAATGATTCTAAATAACTATTGATCTGGTTTAAATTCATTGATTTGCAAAAATCTATTTTGATTAACTGTACCCCATTTCCGTACCCCCTAAATACATTTTTTTTTTTTGAGATGGAGTCTCACTCTGTCGCCCAGGCTGGAGTGCAGTGGCACGATCTCGGCTCAGTGCAAGCTCTGCCTCCCAGGTTCATGCCATTCTCCTGCCTCAGCCCCCTGAGTAGCTGGGACTACAGGCGCCTGCCACCATGCCCGGCTAATTTTTTGTATTTTTAGTACAGACGGGGTTTCACCGTATTAGCCAGGATGGTCTCGATCTCCTGACCTCGTGATCCACCTTGGCCTCCCAAAGTGCTGGGATTACCGGCGTGAGCCACCACACCCAGCTACAATACAGTTTTTAAAAAGCTCTAACCTGAGGTCTTTTAGTAACCTATGCTGATTATTAAGTGTCACATTTAGGACCCCAACAGAGAACAAACACTATCCATGGCAAATTCACTCTTAACTAAATGTGTTTGCAAATTGGAAATCTGTATATCAAGGGAGTAAATTCACTGCGGGCTTCAGCATAAAAAGGTAACCTCTAGAAGAGAGCTAGATTCAGAGAAGAGTGTCACAAATTACTGCTCCCACAGGCTGGTGCTCACCCAGATCACCACAGAAAAGCATCTGAGGTTTTACTTTATATTTATCTGTCAGCCGGGTGATACAACCCTGCTCCAGCTCCCCCAGCCCAAGGGAGGAGGCAGGCCTTTTAAAATAACCTAGCAGCAGTTCTGTGTGCTTGGTTGTAGCATGCTCTGAGGAGTCTCCTGGGTGCCCCAGGGAGACCTAGCAAAACAACTGCCAACTCAGAAACACATGCCTTAGCGTGGGGTGGATGGAGAAACAGAGAGAAAGCAAATAGGTGGAGACGGAAATTTCAGTTATCCCTATGTTAGAGCAAGATGCTCTCTGGGAAACTATACAGTTATTTCTAAGTAAAAGAGGAAAAGAACAACTCTATGAACCATGTAATTTTGTACCGGCTATATTAAACATCTTTTAAAAATCAATTTGCTAGTGCCTCAAAGATCTCTGGGAATTGAGAAAAATCCAAAAATAAACCTGTCCACCTAATCGAATTTCCTTCTGTAACACTATAGCAGGGATGAGGAATCCATAATTATAATTAGCCTGATTGTCCAAAGGGGACTGAACATAGGAAACATTCAAAATATATCATCTTTGTTAAATTTCTAGCCCTGTGCCACTTAGCAAATGTCTCTGAAATGGAGAGGACAGGAACAAGACAAGGTTAAGCTTGTCTTGAATGTACAAGAGGATTTTTGTGGGAAAGGTCTGTGTCATCCTAGAGGGAAAACGCACCGGTAGGCATTGATGTATCCAACTGAATTTCTCAAGCATGTCATGTCTTCCCCTCTAGCATCTTTATTAATTACTTAGGTACGGGTCAACTGTCACGCTCTTGTGCATGAAAGGGAGAGTATTTCCATCAAATTTATTACTCGTGATGTTAGAAAATATGTCTTCTCTCTTCCTCATACCTTTTACTCCCTCAAACACCATATATTTATTTGGTTAACTTTCAGTGAAGTATTACGCTTTAGTAAAACTCCTTGATTGAGATGGGGCAAGGAAAAATATGAAGAGATGGAATGAAATTATCAAAACTAAATTTTGAATCGATCTCTTCCTTTCTATCTTCTCTACCACTGCTTCTACGACCGCCTCTTTTTGTTATTTCTTGCTAGAATCATTGTAAAAGCCTCACATTACCTAGATGGTCTGCTAATATTCTTCTAGACATGCTTCCAGAGATGTTTCGTGAATGTAAACTTGACTGCTACTCTGCTGCTCAAAACCATTCATTGCTTCCAGTCTTCTCCCCAAACCGCACAGGCCCTTCAAAATCAAGATTCAATCTTTCTTGTCAGCATGACTTCTCATCACCCTTTCTTCTACCCAGCACCACATAGCACCTTTGATTTCAGAGCTACGTCAACCTTCTGGTTTCTGTGGCTTTTCTCCAATATTAGAATGCCTATTTCTGTGTCATCCTGTACCAAGGGAATTATAGACGGCAGATGATTAAAAGTATTTGTTTCACTGAATATTAGCTATGTTTTAGAAAAGCTTTATAAAAGGCTCAACACAGTAGCTCCTAAAGGATATAATTTATTTATTATGAGTTTAACTCCATTATGACTGCTAAGTGAATATAAAAAGTAGCAACAGAATATTTTCTAGAATACTACTATCATACTAATAATAAGTAAATTTTTTGTTTACCTGACCAAGCAAAGCTAATATGGTGAGGAAAGTTATGAAAGAAATTGTTACCATGATAATCTTTTCATAGATATTTTCATAGGCAAAAAAAATACCCCTTATAAAGTTTTATTGTAAATTTATAGACAAAAATTCCAATATAACTAGTTTTATTTTTATCCCTTTAGTAGCAAACTTATAGAGAGGTAAAAAAATTAAACCTGCTTTTGAGAAATTGGACCATAATTCTCTCTTAATATTAGGTTAGCAGTTAATCTGTTTACCATATGCGACCAACAGTTTACATGTGTTGTACATGTACTTACTGTCTCATAAAAAAATATTTTATAGCTTCCGTATTGGGGGAAATGTTTTCTTAGAATTCTTTTGCATCACACACAAAAAAAACACATAGTTGAAAAAATACAGAAAACTTAAGTAACTGATCTTCCTCTTACCTCCAAACAAATTGACCCTATTCCAGCTTTCATATTTTACTGGATAAAAAGCAGTTTGGTAATGATAAAATAGTCATTAATTTGACTCAACATTAGATAAATGTGCACGTTACTCTAAAAACAACAAACCAATCCCAATATATGTGATAAATGGAAGTGAACCTGAATTTATATTCTTTAATAATAATTGAACCTGCTTATGAAAGCGACTGTAAATTTAGGGGTGAAGACCGTATTTTCAATCCCTGTGGATAGTAGGATTTTAACAAGGGAAGTGATTGTGTATTTTTATATTTCTGATCCATAGCGAGATGATTAAAAAAAAGACAAGCTTCTTTCAGAACTCTCAAGCAGCTGTGCTCAATGAGAGTTCATTGTTGGCATAATAATAGAAACGGTGAAAAAATTGAAAAGAATAGCAGAAGTAGATCAAGGGATACATTTGACCTTTGGCTTTTTTCCAATTTAAAATTTGTAGTTTTGATTTTTCTCTAGAGGCCAGAATGTCCAAGTCACATCAGAATTGAGCCAGCTGCAAGGGGTGGGCCTGTAGAGAGTCACTGAGAGATCCTCGCCCCAGCCAAGCCCAGGGCCTCTGCAAAGCTGTGGAGTTCACTTTTAAAGGGGAAAAAGAAACATTTTTGGCTACTTGCAAATCGGAAGTTGGCGTTGTGAATATTGAATCTACTGAGCAAAACAAACACTAATTTAGGCTGTAATATAAATTCTTATTAAGCTATAATTTTTCCGGTAGACATTCATTTTCTATATGGGGATTGTTTTAAACCTATTTGAAAAGCCAATTCAATCATATATCATATCTAATTATGTACCCTGTTTTTATTGCCTAACATTGTATACTATGTAATTTATTAATGTTTTGTATAACATTTAAAATTTTTATTTCAAAAAGTAAAAGCTTATACTTTCATCATATGTCAGTTACCATTTGAAACATTTTACATATATTAACAGTTAATGTTCACAGCCATGCTATTATCTCAATTTTCCAGATTAAAAAGACAAACAGGCACATAGAAGTTAGTTAATTGACCTGCCCATTTTTACACAGGGAGTAAGGGACAGAGCAGGCACACAAACCCAAGCAGTCTGGTTCCAGAGTCTGTATTTTTACCTCTAAGCTGCTCTGTCCCTCATAGCTATGTCCCTGCATGCCATAAAATATACCTACCAGAGTTTTTCTAAATAGTACTCTGTGATTAGACATTTAGGTTCAAAACTGTTGTTTTCTTTGTTTGCTATCTATGCTGAAATCACCTCACCACAAAACTCTTTTTTATTTGGTAAGATATAATGTAATCTGAACTTTTTGAATATAAGAAAAACAATTTTCTATTAACTATTGAATGATCTATTATTGTTAATAATAAAAGATTTGTAGAACATAGTAAAATTTTTGAACTTCAGAATGTCGCTTTTTTTCCTCAAGTTTGTTTTGACTTTATACATGCTATACCAAAAGCAAATAATAAAAAATCACATATCCCTGTGGTCACCCAGGCACAAAATTTCTTTCATGATTATTTTGAATTCTTATTCTGGCTTAAATAAAATCTATTTTTTAAAAGTTCTGTATGACTTAACCCTTAATCTAAGCTAATTCTGTGATTATAGGTATATTCTGTAAAAATATTTAGTAGATCTTTTTGCTAGAAGTCTACATAGATATCTAAACAACCAAGGGAAAAAAATTACTCAGAAAGACTTTTTGAAATACTGTAGGAGATTGCCCCTTCATAGGATCTGCCTATGACATTTTGCCCTTCTAAGTATTAGATCCATCACCAATATGACAGTAAACACATGGTCAAAAAGGAAACATCGGGTTTCCATGTAAAGAAAACAGATGATTTTTAAAGTTAGTTACCGAAGAATAATTTTTCTACTACTCACCTAGAGGACTTATATGAAATATAACAACAAATTATATTGAAGCCATATAAATTTTTGATATGATGTTTTTACCAGAACATAGTGAAATGAAAAACAAAACAAAATTTGGTTCATGTTTTTAGATACATTGATTACATTATATACATTATATATATGGCTTTAATATAATTTGTAAAATATTGTATTGTAATCAATGTATCTGAAAACATTGAGCCAAATTTTCCTAGCATAAATGGGCATAAATGGATTTTTATCAGTATCTGAATGGAACAGAACTGCTCCTCTCTTCGCTTGTTCTATGTATTTCTAAGCCCCTTCATACTCTGCTCTTCATGAGATCATACGTGGACTAAATATTTGGTTCACAGTCTTTTGTATATGATGGACCAGCTACATTTTTAAAATAAATTAAAGGACTAGAGTTTTCTAATTCTTTTGAAAATTAAACATGGCATAAATTATAAAGGAAGTATTATGTATGGTTGCTGTAAAAATTGGAAAGAACTTAACTCTTAGAATTATTTCCTAAGAGCGTCCCAAGAAAGGACAGTTGGCAACTTTACAATGCCATTGTTTTTCTGTTTATTTTGTTTGGTTTTCATTTTGGTAAAAATATCATCACAGACAGCCAATTGCATTCATCAACTGGCATTTAAAGGCCATTGGACTACTCTATGTTAGAAAGTTATTGAAGGCATAATACTATAACAGTGTCTTTAAGTTTTAGTTGTTGAAGGAATATTTAATGATTATACAAAAATTGTCAGCACTACCAGAAAAAGATAAATTTTTAGTCCAAAAAGACACTGAATTTTTTTTCAAGAAAATAAATGTGAAACAACCCTTTCTTCACTACGTTTCTCAGAGAAGACTGTTCTTGGAGAAGGCTCATTATACCATAGAAAATGTAGCTTAGAGGGATTATGGCCACAAAGCAAAATATTTTACTTAGTAGTAGAAGCAGGGAGCTACAGCATCACAGTCTCTTTCACACCTCCAAAGCAGGCTGTCTGCATTTTTCAGAGCTTGAGCTTGTTTGAGGAAAGAAAACTACTACTCAGTAGAAATTAATAAATTAGAGCTCTATACTTAAAGACCACTTCACTAAGTGCAAAACATGCTTGGAATAAAACTAACGTATATTTGTGCAATTTCCATTGAGATTCCAGTAAGAAATTCAGAATTCATCTCAGAATGCCACTTAAGGACACAAAAGAGGGAGTATACTTCATTGGACAGTGATTTCTTAACACTGGTTAAAAATTACTACTACAGTTGACCCTTGAACAACATAGGTTTAAACTGCACAGGAACACTTATATGTGGATTTTTTTTTTAATGAAAATCACATTGATTGTGCCTGCCTTTCCTGCTTTCCATTCCACTTCCTCCACTTCTGCCTCTGCCATCCCTAAGACAGCAAGACCAACCCATCCTCTTCTTCCTCTTCCTCAGCCTACTTAACGTGAAGACAATGACAGTGAAGACTTTTATGATGATCCACTTCCATGCAATGAATAGTAAATATTTTCTCTTCCTTATGATTGTCTTTTCTCTAGTTTACTTTATTATAAAATTACAGTATAAAATACATATACAAAATATGTGTTCTTTAAATTTTTTTTTATTTTAATAGGTTTTTGGGGAACAGATGGTGTTTGGTTACATGAATTAAGTTCTTTAGTGGTGATTTCTGAGATTTTGGTTCACCCATCACTCAAGCAGTGTACACTGTACCCAGTGTATAGTCTTTTATTTCTCACCCCTTCCCACACTTTCCCTCAAGTCCCCAAAGTCCACTGTATTATTCTTATGCTTTTGCATTCTCATAGCTTAGCTCCCACTTATGAGTGAGAACATATGATGTTTGGTTTTCCGTTCCTAAGTATTTTATTTTTTTACAGCTACTGTAAAAGGGGTTGAGTTTTTTATTTGTTTTCAGCTTGGCTGCTGTTGTTGTATAGTACAGCAACTGACTTGTGTACATTAATTTTGTATCCTGAAACTTTACTGAATTCATTTATCAGTTCTAGGGGCTTTCTGAAGGAGTCTTAGGGTTTTCTACATATACAATCGTATCATCAGCAAACAGAGAGAGTTTGACTTCCTCCTTACTGATTTGGATGCCCTTTATTTCTTCCTCTTGTCTGAACAGTCTAGCTAGGACTTCCAATACTGTATTGAATAGAAGTGGTGACAGTGGGCATCCTTGTCTTGTTCCAGTTCTCAGGGGGAATGCTTTAAACTTTTCCCTTTCAGTGTAATATTGGCTGTGGCTTTGTCATAGATGGCTTTTATTACATTATGTCCCTTCTGTGCCAGTTTTGTGGAGGGTTTTAATCACAAGGGATGCTGAATTTTGTCAAATGCTTTTTCTCCATCTATTGAAATGATAGTATAATTTTTGTTTATAATTCTGTTTGTGTGGTGTATTACATTTATTAAATTGTATATGTTAAATCACCCCTGCATACTTGGTATGAAACCCACTTGATCATGGTAAATTATCTTTTTGCTATGCCGTTGGGTTCAGTTAGCTAGTATTTTGTTAAGGAATTTTCCATCTACATTCATCAGAGATATTGGTCTGTAATTTTCTTTTATTGTTATGTCCCTAGCTGATTTTGGTATTAGGGTGATACTGGCTTCATAGGATGATTTAGGCAGGATTCCTTCTTTCTCTACCTTGTGGAATAATGTCAATAGAATTGGTACCAATTCTTTCTTTGAATGTCTGATAGGATTCAGCTGTGAATCCATCTGGTCCTGGACTTTTTTTGTTGGAAATTTTTTTATTATCATTTCAAACTTGCTGTTTGTTATTTGTCTGTTCAGTTTCTATTTCTTCCTGGTTTAATCTAGGAGGGTTGTATATTTCCAGAAATCTACCCATCTCCTCTAGGTTTTCTACTTTATGCATGTAAAGATGTTCATAGTAGTCTTGAATGATCTTTTGTATTTCTGTAGTATTGGTTGTAATAACTCCGGTTTCATTTCTAATTGAGCTTATTTGGATCTTCTCTCTTCTCTTCTTGGTTAATCTTGCTAATGATCTAGCAATTTTATTTATCTTTTCAAAGAACTAGCTTTTTGTTTTATTCATCTTTTGTTTTTTTTGTTTCAATTTCATTTAGTTCTGCTCTATTCTTTTTCTTTTCTTCTGATGGGTTTAGGTTTGGTTTATTCTTGTTTCTCTAGTTCTCTGAGGTGTGACCTTAGATTGTCTGTTTGTGCTCTTTCAGACTTTTTGATGAAGGCATTTAAGGCTATGAACTTTCCTCTTAGCACTGCCTTTACTGTATCCCAGATGTTTTAATGGGTTGTGTCACTATTATCATTCAGTTCAAATTATTTTTAATTTCCTTCTTGATTTCATTGTTGATCCAATGATCATTCAGGTACAGGTTATTTAATTTCCATGTATTTTCATGGTTTTGAGGGTTCATTTTGGAGATATTTTGAGTTTTATTCCACTGTGGTCTGAGAGATCACTTGATATAATTTCAGTTTTCTTAAATCTATCAAGACTTGTCTTGTGGCCCATCATTTGGTCTATCTTGGAGAATGTTCTATGTACTGATGAATAGAATGTACATTGGGTAGAATATTCTGTAAATATCTGTTAAATCCATTTGTTCTAGGGTATGGTTTAAATCTATTGTTTCTTTGCTGACTTTCTCTTAATGACATACCTAGTGCTGTCAGTGGAGTACTAAAGTCCCCTGCTAATATTATGTTGCTGTCTATCTCATTTCTTAGGCCTAGTAGTAATTGTTTTATAAATTTGGGAGCTCTAATGTTAGATGCATATATATTTAGGATTGTGATATTTTCCTGTTGGACAAGTCCTTTTATCATTATATAATGTCCCTATTTGTCTTTTTTAACTGCTGTTGCTTTAAAGTTTGTTTTGTCTGATATAAGAATAGTCACTCCTGCTTACATTTGCATGGACCATCCTTTTCCACCCCTTTACCCTAAGTTTTGTGACTCCTTATGTGTTAGGTGAGTCTCTTGAAGGCAGCAGATACTTGGTTGGTGCATTCTTATCCATTCTGCCTGTGATTGTTAATACTGAGTGTCAACTTGATTGGATTGAAGGATGCAAAGTATTGATCCTGGGTGTGTCTGTGAGGGTGTTGCCAAAAGAGATTAACATTTGAGCCAGTGGGCTGGGGAAGGCAGATCCACCCTTAATCTGGTGGGCACAATCTAATCAGCTGCCAGCAGATACAAAGCAGGCAGAAAAGTGTGAAATGGAGAGACTGGCCTAGCCTCCCAGCCTACATCTTTCTCCTGTGAACACTGGACTCCAAGTTCTTCAGCGCTGGGAGTCAGAGTGGCACTCCCTTTCTCCTCAGCTTGCAGATAACCTATTGTGGGACCTTGTGATCTTGTAAGTTAATACTTAATAAACTCATATATATAACAGGATATACATATCCTGTTAGTTCTGTCCCCCTAGAGAACCCTGCCTAATACACTGCCATCCTGTATCTTTTCAGTGGATCATTGAGGACATTTACATTTAACATTAGTATCGAGATGTGAGGTACTATTCTATTCATCATGCTATTTGTTGCTTGATAACCTTGGCTTTTTAAAAAAGTTTATTGTTTTTTTGTTTTATTGATCCTGTGGGATTTATGCTTTAAGGAGGTTCTATGTTGGTGTATTTCAAGGATTTGTTTCAAGATTTAGATCTCCTTTTAGCAGTTCTTGTAGTGCTGGCTTGGTAGTGGCAAATTCTCTCGGCATCTGTTTGTCTGAAAAAGACTGTATCTTTCCTTAATTTATGAAGCTTACTTTTGCTGGATACAAAATTCTTGGCTGATAATTTTTCCATTTAAAGAGGCTGATGATAGGGCCCCAATCCCTTCTAGCTTATAGGATTTCTGCTGAGAAATCTGCTGTTAATCTGATAGGTTTTCCTTTATAGGTTATCAGGTGCTTTTACCTGACAGCTCTTAAGATTCTTTCCTTTGCCTTGACTTTAGATAATCTGATAACTATGTGCCTAGGTGATGATCTTTTTGTAATAAATTTAATAGGTTTTCCTTAAGCTTGTTGTCTAGAATTCTAACAAGGTTGGGAAAGGTTTCCTTGATTGTTCTCTCAAATATGTTATCCAAACTTTTAGGTTTATCTTCTTTAGGAACACGAATTATTCTTAGGTTTAATCATGTAACATAATCCGAAACTTCTTGGAGGACTTTTTTAAAATTCTTTTTTTTTGTCTTTGTTGGATTGTGTTCATTCGAAAACCTTGTCTTAGAGCTCTGAAATTCTCTCTTCTGCTTGTTCTACTCTATTGCTGAGACTTTCCAGTGCATTTTGCATTTCTCTAAGTGTGTCCTTCATTTCCAGAAAGCATTATTTTTTATTTATGCTATCTATTTCAATTAAGATTTTTCCCATCATATCTTGTATCCTTTTTTTATTTCATTAAACTGGACTTCACCTCTCTCTAGTGCCTCTTTGATTAGCTTAATAATTGATGTTCTGAATTCTTTTTCTGGCAATTCAGGGATTTCTTATGGGTTTGGATTCATTGCTGGTGAGCTAGTGTGATCTTCTGGGAGTGTTAAAGAACCTTATTTTGTCATATTCCCAGAATTGTTTTTTCTGGTTCTTTCTCATTTGGGTAGACTATGTCAGAGAAAAAATCTGGGGCTCAAGGGCTGCTATTCAGATTCTTTTGTCCCACAGGGTGCTCCCTTGATGTAGCACTCTTCCCCTTCTCGTAGGAATGTGGCTTCCTTAGACCTGAACTACAGTGATTAGTTATTTCTCTTCTGGATCTAGCCACACAGTGGAGTTACTAGGCTCTGGGCTGGTACTGCAAGGTGTCTTCACAGAGTCCTGTGATGTGAATAATCTTCAGGTCTCTCAGTCATAGATAGCAGCACCTGCTCCAGTGGATGTGGCAGGGGAGTGAAATGGACTCTGTGAGGGTCCTTGTTTGTAGTTTTGTTTATTGCAATAGTTTCGTGTTTGTTGGCCACATGCCAGGAGGTGGTGCTTTCAAGAGAGCATCAGCTGCTGTAGCATAGGGAGGATCAGGCAGTGGGTGGGTCCCCAGAGCTCCCAAGAGATTATGACCTTTGTCTTCAGCTACCAGGGCAGGAAGAGAAAAAATATCTGGTGGGGGTAAGGTTAGGCATGCCTGAATTCAGACTGTCCTCGGGCAGGGCTTGCTGCAGCTGCTGTAGGGGATGGGGGTGTGGTTCTCAGGCCAATGGAGTTATGTTCCTAGGGGTTATGGCTGCCTCTGCTGTGTCATGCAGGTCACCAGGGAAGTGGGGGAAACCTGGCACCCAGAGGCCTCACCCCACTCCCACACAGCCCACAGCCTGAAAGGCCAGTCTCACTCCCACCATCCCCCTCAACAACGCCAAGTTTATTTCCAGGCAAAAGGTGAGCAGGGCTGAGGACTTGCCCCAGGCTACCAGCGTCCTGGCTGAGAAAGCAAGCAGGGCTTTCAGGTTTCTCACGTCCCCTTCTGCTGTGGCTTCTGTGCTGAATCTGCACTCCCAATTCCCCTGCTCCCCTGAGTTCTGTCCAGGAAACTTTGCATTCAGTCAAAATTGTTACAAAGTTCAGCTGGAAGTTTCCTCCTCCCTCTGGTCTTTCCTCAGTTCCTCTGGCAGCCTTCCCCTAAGGACCTCTGCAAGACAAAGTCAGAAATGGCTTTCCCGAGGATTTAGAGAGCCCACAGGGCTCTTCCTACTGCTTCTTCTACCCCTGTTTTTCATTCAGCTCTCTAAACTTGTCTCAGCTCCAGGTAAGTTCAAAATCCTCCTCCCATGATCGCTACCTTCTGGTTCCCCAGTGAGAGTGTGTGTTCAGGGGCATAGGATCTTCCTCACACTGTCACACTTTGGGCACTCAGTTTTCTGGCTGTCTCCTGGGACTTACAGGAGCAATCAGCTTCCTTCAAAGGGTCTGTGGATTCTCTTGGCTTTCCTTGTATGTTCCAGTGGTAGTTCTTAGAGCAAAAGTTCATGATGTGAGTCTGTCCACATGCTGCTCTGTCCATTCAAGAGGGAGCTGCAATTTAGTCCTCCCTCCTATCTGCCATTTTTCTTGTATCCCCAGCAATTGTTTATATTTTCAATAAGGCTTCCAGTCAACAGTAGGCTGTTAGCAGTTAAGTTTTAGGAAAACTAATCCAAAAGTTATTCCTGGATTTTTGACTGTGGAGATGGTCAACACCCCTAACCCCTACATTGTTCAAGGGTCAACTTTATTTCCTTGTGAAAAGGTGGAAATTACTCTCTGAAGCACTTTATGATTTTTACATGGTAAGGTGTACAAAGCTCTCTTAGTTGGGGCTCAGTCAAAGCTTTATTCATCTCTAATTAGAAGATTTACTCTGAGAATTCTTATGGATTGATGCCTGTAAATGGTGGACTGTCTATTATATTTAAGAATTTCTCACCCAAATTAGGTAAAACCAGGTAGGTAACACTTACTAAAGAATCCTAACTTTAATTTTCACATACCCTAATTTGGTGTGGATGTCCTACAAATAACACAAAACTATACTAAGTAAGTTTCAATTTCAATTCATGCCCACAATTAAGAAGACCTTTACTGATGCCCAGTAACCACACAATGCTTGGCCAGTCCAGTTAAAATCCTGACCTGGACACATGTCTTATGCTTCTCCTTTTTCTTCAAACCCCAAATAGTTTCTTATCTATCCTGAATTACAACTATGGTTTTGCTTCCTAATTCACTGAAAAAATTGAAACAAACAGAAGAGAACTTCTACAGACTCTGCCACCTCATCTGCCCACCTGCTAGCATTTGCCACTGTATTTTCTGCCTTTCTGCCTATTAGTCTAGATGCTGAGTTTCATTTCTACTTGTGTTTAGTTAAGCCTATTACTTCTCATCTTGTAAAGGACATTGCTGCAGCAATTAGTCTCTCTCTCTATTGCATTATCAATATTTTCCTCTATATTGGACTGTTCCTATCAGGATACTTCACAATGGATCACCACCTTTTCCTTGAAATGCTTTCTTCCATTGGCTGCGAGCATCCTACAGTCTCTTGGTTTTCTTGGTGCTACTCTTGTTTTTCTTTCTTCATCTTCATTGTTGTCCGTCTTCTTCTTCGCAACCTTGATAAAAGTTAAGATGCCCCAAGCCTCACTGTAGCAAGGAGAAAAAACTTCTGTCCTTTTCTATGTATGCTGACATCTTTTATTGTATCATCTGGTCTCATGGTTTCAAATTCCATCTACATGTTAACTCACAAACTTAAAATTTCAGTTCATAGCTGTACCCCAAACTCCAGACCCTGAATTGCAAATATCTTTGCATCTCCATTCAGATATCCAATAGACATTTAAAAATCAACATATTAGGATTACCATATTAAATACACATATTAATACAAATTTAATTAGGTGTCCTCTATTTTTATTTGCTAAATCTGGCAACCCTACCACATGTTCAAAGCTGAACTCTTATTCCACTCCACAATCTTTCCCAATTCAGGTGATGTCAATTCATCTTTCCAGTCATTTATTTCAGAAATCTTGCAGCTGGCCTTGATTTTTCTGTCTTTCACATCTTCCATTTCACATCCAATCCAAATCTTGGTTCTTTCTTCAAAATATAACCAGAATCAGACCACTTTTCACTGCTTCTGGTGTTCTGCTAATCCCCTCCCTTAAACCAAGCCACTCTTATCTTCCTCCAGGATCGCTGCCATGCAACTCCTAATCGGGACCCCTTTAGTGGGCCCTTGCCTTCTTATGGTCTAGTCTTAATAGACTCATTCATAAACTAATCCTAGGGCTGTGATGAAGATTAAAAGTAGCGCTATAGTGAGTATCCATTTTAAGTTGTAGCAGCCTCAGTTATCCTCTTAAAACATAAGTGAAATTGTGCTTAGAGTAAAACCCACAATTCCTACAATGGAATGACTATAAAGCCCTCCCTGCTTTTTCCTTTCTCACTTTATTTCCCAAAAATCCCCTGTCCTCAAGCCTTCTTTACTCTGCTCCTTGAACACATGATGTAAGTTCCTGCGTTAGATCCTTTGCACTAGTGGTTTCTTCTGCATAGTGTTCTTTCTTCTAATAACTGAAAGACAAACCCCTTTACCTCCTCTTAAATCTTTGCAGTAGTATCATAATACTGTAAAGGGCAACCAAATTATTATTTAAAATGCTACTTGTTTCCCCTCCTCACCGTTTCTATCTCTTTACTTAGACTTATTTCTGTTGTGTGTATTCCCCCAGTAGAATGTAAGATTCACAAGTACAGGGATTTTTCTCTCTCTTGGGTTCATTAAGAGTCCTTAGTGCCTAGAAGAGTGCTTGGCATGTGGTGGTGATCAATAAATATTGAATTAATCAAAATTCAGGCACAGAAAGAGGCAATGAAATCACATTTCTAAGGCAATATACAGAGAGTCTGTTGGAAGTGTCATTTTATCCATTCCTTTCTGGAAGGCACAGACTAGGGAAATGCACAGATTTTAAAAGTTCTATTTATTTGCTGATGGACTAACAGAAACAAAACAACTTCAAAAACGTGGGCATTTGAATCACAGAATAAATCAAGTTGATGCAAAGAGCTTCTTAGCACCTCTGTATGTCACTGCTAGGTCTACTGTTCTAGACATAAAAACAATAGGAAGCTAAATGTAGCAGAAGTAGTAAAGAATCAACACGAGGATTTTGAACATTTAACTATATTTCAAGTACTATTTAAAATACTTCTACCTGATTCTTCTTTACCTTGACATACATTACATGAAACACATTAGAAACTAACTTCATTTTAAGACAATTTCCTCCACATCTGCTTGCAATATGCATTTTCCTTATTCACAACAATGATAGTTGATTGAAAAAAAATCCAATACAATATGGAATTTTAGATGAGTCTATATTTAGCTCAGATAATATCTAAAAATTAGCTGATATATATCAACAGCTAGAAGTTCAATAGATCATAAATTTCCTGATTCTTTTGTTTTTAACTCAATAGAATATTCAACAGATGACAACTGGCATCGTTAGAAGGCAGTAATACATTGAAACCATGTTTGCTTAGCCTAGCAAAATAATAAATTGTGCTGTGTTTATCCTTTTGTTTCTAAGGCCAACTGTTGGCTTTATTTAATACCCTCTTAACATGCTAATAGCTCCTAATGGTCACATCAGCCATCAGTTAAACAAACCATTATGTTGGGAAAAGAAATTTCAATAAAGGCCATTCACTAATTTGTTGATTGTTAATGGACATTAGCCCATTCAGGACCTTAGCCTAGACATATAGTTTAACTCAGAATCTATTATAGCACTTTCTCCAAACAGAGCAAAGAGGCTAATTCAGCATTCTAAGTACTTCTGTTTCCTGAAGACATGCTACTTAGATTTCAATACGCAAATTAGATGTTTTCAGTCAGCAACATAAAGAACCTGACAAAAATTTAACTTTCAAATTATATAATTTTCACACAGTTTATGATTAAAGATAAATTTACTAGGGTCGTTTTAATCTCTTTCTCAAATTAATAAAGAACCGTTAGTTATTTTAGTCTTAGAACCAGTCATTTCTCTCTTAGATTCAAAGTATCCTTTATACAATCAAAACACCACATCATTATGCCAGAAAATGGAAGTCAAAAACATTTTATAAATAAGATTTTGCTGTTCACTTCATGCTTGCCTTCACTGACAAGAGTTTACATTTCTGCATTTTCAACTAATCTATTTATTAAGTTTTTAAATAGAAACAGGATTTGATGACTGTTTTCGAAAAATTTACTCAAAATCTGATATTGGAAGAGGCAAAGTAATTAATTCATAGTCTCTCAGTCTTTCAAGATAAGTTCCTTTTCTGTTTCTTTTCACTGTTGAATTATTTTTTCTGCAATAATTCCAGGACACGTATAAAGCTACCCAGAGCCGCTTTACTTCAGTGTTAACTCAATTACACATTGACAGACACCAAAGCACACACATGACTGTGGAAAAGCATTTAATTGTACTCATATTTTACACAGATGTCATTCACATTGTCCTAGAATGGGGTAAATAGTGCACAATTAGATTTGTCATGTAATATGAAAGCCAAGCAATGAATCCATTCAAGATTTCACTTTTATCCCCGTCTTCAAAAACAAGCTGCTGCTTCTTGAACTGTAGCTGAGGTGAGTCTGAAGACTTCTGGCATTCTGACGGTATTATCAATACATGTTAAAATAGTTTATTTTTTATATACATTTTCATGGTGAGAGGTTTCAGGTCGTAAAATAACCAAAGATTTAGAAATCAAGTTTATCAGCTTTGAAATTTGAAGAAATACATTACGGACAGTGTTCTCACAACAAAGAAACATGAGCTCCAAAAAGATTCTCTTTCAGGAATGCCATTTAATTACCTCAAAATGTAGAAACGACATGTCCTGGTCATACAATACCTTAATTATTATGATTGGCCTAGAAAGCAGCTTATATGTGCTCATCTTTAAATGATAATAAAATGTAGTGAAAAATACATTAATGCATTTTATATACATATCCACATTTATTACATAAACCAAATGATGTGTTGATACTTTTATAGTATTCTTTTTATCTCTAAAAAATTACAAAAAATATATACTATTCAGTAACAACACCTACATTTAGTTATTAAACTTGCAAAACTTTCCCTAAAAATTTCTTAGGAGGGTAATTAACGTGCTTATTTGTTTATTTCAATCTATATGCTATACTTTCATTGTACATTATTATTTCACATGCCATATTGAACTTTTATATAATATAAATATATGTTTTTAATGTTAATATATAAAAGTTCAACATATGATTTATTGAAAAAATATCAAAATTTCTCAGTCTTGAAGTGTAATAAATACCTGCCACTTTCAATAACTTCCAGCTACTTGGGAGGCTGAGGTGGGAGGATCACTTGATCCCAGGAGTCCGAGGCTGCGATTTGCTATAATTGAACTTGTGAATAGCCACTGCACTCCAGCATGGGCAACATAGTGAGACTCTGTCCGTTAAAAAAAAAATAAAGAATTCAGTTCAATAAACATTGATTAAAATGCAGGTCTTACAGGGTTGCTGTGAGAATTAAATATGATGCATAATACAGCAATGTTCATGCTCGCTAAATTTTTGGTAGCTCTCTGGAGGTAAAGATAGAACCTAGCTGGTACAAAGTTTAGAGTAAGACAGGATGATTATGCCATGTCTTTAAAACGGAATTAGGAATTTTCCAATAATTAATAAAAGTAACTCAGTTTTCCAAATCCTGGGGCCGCATTTTCCTCTCATGCCATTATGTCCCATCTGTCGTTATGTCCCAACCTAACTCTTGGCTGAGGAGTGACAGAATCCCATATCCATCTTTTAGTATAACTATATTTATTTTTAATTGGCCACAGTATTCAGCTCAGCTACTGCTATATTCCTTAATCCATGGTTCCTTTGAGGGAAGAGTCATCTATATCCACTTTCACAGTTATGTTAAGTCTGTCATCATCCCTCTCAGACACGCCTGGTATAGCCATTTCTCATTCCAGTCTTTCCTGCCTTGTCCTCCTTCCTGGGAATGCCATCCAACTGCATAGTGGCCCTAGAGTAACAGAGGGTTACATGATGGTGACAAAGATGTGCGCAGGGCTGGGTATTCACTTTACCACAAAAACACAACTCGGTAAAAGTTAGAGGAAATTATAGTCATTACTGAAATAAAACAAAATATTACACAAAATGAGAACCAGAACCAATTTCATTATAGGAAAACAGAACCAATGTCTATATACAAAATCACAACCAGATTCAGTGTCTGTACACTAACGAGAACCAATGTCTGATGATATGCATTCACTGGAAAATAATCCAAGTATATTAATGTTCTGTATGAATCACTTGAAGCATAAGCACCCCCTGTAGATGGTCATGCTTTTGCAATACAGTCAAATAACAGAGAAACTCCTTTACTTATGGTTATCTAATGCTGACTCTCATTCTACCTAAGAGTCATAGTCAAGTTTGACCTGTTAATCTGCTCACGAGGAAACCAGCTGGGTACGTAGAGTCCATTTTTCATTCCACCATTGATAGTGAAATGATAAGCTGGCAACCACATATGTTTCTCCTCCATAGGCTCATTACAAAGTCACTATGTTGATCTATCAAATCGTGGAATAATTCCGTTGATTGATTGGAAACCATTAATGGATTCATTGGCCTTAAATTGAATTCTTTTACACGAAGAAAATATTTTTAGCTAAGAGACGTTTTATTTGAGCCCTTTATAAGCTTAATCTGATTAATAAATTAGAGGCTGAGTTCTATTGTACTGTGAAATCCACCCCAGCCATCATTGTAAGTGGTAAATACAACCACTGGGGGGAAAAGTCAATGACTTGGAACATGTTATAGTCCAGAACTTGTTACCTAAACAGCCCTACAATCTTATCAGTTAATTTTGTATTTACCATAATTATAATCATGGCACCATTTTCCCAAACTATGAGAGATACCCATAATCAAATCTTTTTAAAGGAAGAATTACATATTGATCATTTTCTTAATTGTGTCTCATTTCAACTTATGTACTTTGGAGCTCACTTATGTGATAGCCTCGCATTCAAATTGAAACTGGCTGATGCCTGGCACATCTTTGTTTATTATTTGCATAAATTTAAGGGGTACAAGTGCAGTTTTATTACATGGTTATATTTTATAGTGAAGTCTGGGCTTTTAGTGTAAGCATCACTGGAATAATGTATATTGTGCTCATAAGTACTTTCTCATCCCTCATCCCCATCCTACTCTCTCACTCTCTCAAGTCTCCAATGTCTACAATTCCACACTATGTCCATGTGTACACTTTATTTAGCCCCCACCTATAAGTGAGAATGTGCAGTATTTGACTTCCCGTTTCTGAGTTATTTCACTTAAGATAATTGGCACATATTTTCATATTTGCCCCTAGGTGCACAAGCAGTTCTCTTTTTTTAAATTCCTTATGACTATTCTCATTATTTGCTAACTGTTTCTAAATTCTCCTCTCATTTTATTCACTCATTTATTCACCCAACAAATGTAATTATATTGGATTAACTGTTATATGCCAGCACTGCTCAAGGTCTTAGTATATCAGCAGTGAATTCAAACATTGGAATAGCAGGAAAAGCAGAGATTATAGTTTTGAACAATTTCTGGTGTAGAGAAATGGATCTAGCTCTTTTGAATTCTCTTACTTTTCATACATTAAGTTCCTTCACTGATAATTTGATATGCTATTACTTATTTCATAAAGAGCTTTCAGGGAACATTTCACTCAGAATATTTCCTAATTTGGTTAAAGAACTCTGATTTCAAAATATTGAAAGGTGATTCTCTTAGAAACCGTATAATGATTGATGGAAAGAAAATGGCATTATAATATTAGTTCTTCCTTTTGCATGTATAAGAAATAGCTAGAAATTACTAAAGTATAATCAGTCTTTTTATTTTTAGACTTGATTATAAAGCCAGTTTTGCCTATAACAGTAAAATGAAAAAATATTTCACATTGCAAAATATAACCATAAATAGACATTATAATTTAAAATACCAAAATCTAGTAGGATAGAATGTGGATCATTTTCAGCTGTGGACATACAGGAGAGATCACAAAATGGCAACTCAGGAACAACAACAACAAAAAATCCCTTCTGGTCTGTATTAGTTCATTATCACACTGCTACAAAGAACTACCTGAGATTGGGTAATTTATGAAGAAAATAGTTTTAATTGACTCACAGTTCTGTTGGCTACACAGGAAGCATGGCTGGGAGGCCTTGGGAAACTTACAATCACGTTGGAAGGCGAAAGGGAAACAAGCACATCTTTACCATGGCAGAGCAGGAGAAAGAGAGTGAAGGAGGAAGTGACACACACTTTTAAACCATCAGATCTTGTGAGAACTCACTCGCTATCACAAGAAGAGCAAGGAGGAAATCTGTCCCCATGATCTGATCACCTCCCACCAGGCCCCTCCTCCAATTTGACATGAGATTTGGGCAGGGACACATCCAAACCATATAATGGCCAGATGATATATTTTTAATTGTACTTATAAGTTTAATTGAAAATTGTATATAACATTCCAGAATTCTGTCTTTGCTTACAGATGAGAAGATCTGGTCTAACAATAGTAGGCCAGATTTCCCATATGGGAACATTCAGTGATCATGAGTGATGCCCAGTCCTTTAGGCAGAGTATGCACTTTTCAGATGACCACATTCTTCTCATTCATCATTGCTATGCCACGATTTGCTTCATTCATGTTTATTACTTGTTCAATCCCATTGGCATTTGATTTTGTGGACCATGGTCCACATTAGATGTTGTGAAATAGGAAGAAGCCAGTGAGTATTGTAATTTCAATTACTAGAATTAGTTCAGGTGAAGAATGGGAGGCTCTCCCAGGTAGCATCCAGTCTGAAAGCTACTCTATTCCTACCCAAACACAAATAATGGTTTTCATATTTCCCAGCATATCTGAGCTGAGACATTTCTGTAAGGAAGTATTAATTACAAAAGCAGTAAACTATAGGAAAGCATGTCACAAAGTCACCGGACTGTCCTAAACGTTCTGTGGGCAATGGTAGAATTTATTTATTCTCAGAAGGGATTCTTTGAAAATCTGTTTTCAGTTCAGACACAAGTGAACAGGATAAAATGGTTTGGTGTGGTCATGCAACCAGCAATGGATAACATGTAACCAGCAAGGGATACAGAAGATAGTCAGCTCAAAGACAGCTTTTATAAAGGTGTGGAATGTATGCCAAGCACACTGCCTTTCACATAATAGATTCTCAATAAATATTTTTTGGATAAATGGATAAATGGTTAGATTAGCTAACTAATCAAAAAAAAAAAAAAAACCCCAGAATTCTGAATATGTTTGCAATTCCTTTCAATGATAATGCTTATCCCCAAGACACTATTAACTTTCCTTTTTTTATTTTTTTGAGACAGGGTCTCACTCTATCCAGGCTGGAGTGCAGTGGCATGATCTCGGCCCACCGTGACCTCCGCCTCCCAGGTTCAAGCAATTCTAGTGCCTCAACCCCCTGAGTAGTTGGGATTACAGGCATGTGCCACCATGCCTGGCTAATTCTTGTTTTTTTTTTTTTTAGTAGAGATGGGATTTCACCATGTTGCCCAGTCTGGTCTCGTACTCCTAGCCTCAAGTGATCCACCCACCTTAGCCTCCCTAAGTGTTGCATGAGCCACTGTGCCTGGCCCTAACTTTCAGTTACCATTAAAATCACATTGATGTCTTAGTTGAAATCTGGAAGTTCATGCTTTACTTATTTATTAACCTCTTTATGGTTTATTTTATACCAACAATTAAATTCTTTTCAGTCAATCCTTCCTTACTGTCTTTAGAAATTTCTGACCTAGAAAAAGCCATTTGAAAAAAACCTATTAACAAGAAAACCCACCTTTGATGTTTACAGGCATTATTCTGGAGTACTGGTTGTCAGACCACATAAGCAGCATATCTTATTATATGATATCTAATCTGGACATATTCCCATTAGAGTATAAGTACTAAGAAATTTGATTATACTATAGCCAATCACATTGTGACACTATGAATAGAAGAAGCAAATAAAATTGAATAGACTTTTTTGTAGATAGTCGAATGTCAATGTTAAAAGGACTCGTTGTCAGCCTTTGTCTTTCTCAACACTTCTCGGCTGGAGGAGCAGAAATCTCCCACCACGAATCCACCCTCATTCCATTTCTTGGCTGGTATAGGAAGGAAAGGTGAATCTGGAGGAGTGATTCTGAGGAGATGGAAACCTGAAATGTCACTTTTCTATTGTGTTGGAAGTCCTCTCAAGTGATTTTATAGGCCGCCCAAGTAAGATCCTGAAATTTCCTCTCCTTTCCCCAACGCTTTGTCATTTGGGGTTTGAAATGATTATCCAAACCACATTATGGTCTCTGACCTGATGCCAAATACAGTTTGCAGTTAACTGAGACCCCTTCTGCTGTGGTTAATCTGTAGATACTAAATTTATTTGATACTGGTGTGTCCTTGAATAATTCTGAGTTTGTGTAGTCGCCTTGGGCAGTGCACTGTCTTCTTCTGTTGGAGTTAGCGATAGATATTAAGACATTTCTTTTCACCCCATTTCATGTTGCACTGAGCCTAGCTGCCTAGCTGATTTGTGACACCTTAGAACCTAATCCAAGGAGTTCTTTCTAATCAAGAGGGATCTGTGTGGTCCCACTTCAAAGCATCCCTGATGCTGTAAACACACAGCATTGAGGGATAAATAAGAAGAGAAGAAAAAAAAGTGTCATCAAGAAGCAAGCACAAAATAAAAGGGAACAAAATCGAAAACACAAATAGTAAGTGGTAAGAAGGGCTGAAGTTACTACCTACTGAGTGTTGAGTAATAAGCAGAGCAGACCTGGTATTTGGCTTCTTCAGGGAAGCAGAAACTGCAATTGGTCACCCTAAATCATATTCCAATTATTGAAGCCCGGAGCGGGAGTGGAATTACTCACACAAGAAAGAGAATAGAAAATGCATCTGCCTGCCACAGCAGAGACTGTGGCCAACATAAAGCTTCAGCCTAAGGAGGTGGGAAGCGGCAGACAAGGCTATGAGACCAGGAAGTGACTTAAGCCACCTGCTGGTGTAGTCATTAGTTTAGAGATATATAGCTATAGATCTGCCAGGCACTAATGCTGAAAAGAAACCTACTCTGAAAGGATAAAATATTATTTTAGTAAAATCAAGGTTTGTAAATCCATTCAGATCTGTACCAAAAATTAATCAGAATATATGAATTTTTTAAGACACTACTTTACACTCATTAAAATGACTCTTTTTTTATTTTACTTTAAGTTCTGGTATACAGAAATAACAAGTGTTAATAAGGGTGTGGAGAAATCCTTGTGCACTGTGGGTAGAAATGTAAAATGGTGCAGCCACTACAGAAAACAGTATGGCAGATTCTCCAAAAATTAAAAATGGAACTACTATATGATCTATCAATCTCACTTCTGGGTATATACCCAAAAGAATTGAAAGCAGGGATTCAAACAGATATTTATACACCTATGTTCATAGTAGCATTATTCATAATATTCAAAAAATAAAAGTAACTCAAGTCTCTACTGATGGATGAATACGTAAACAAATGTGATATATACATACAATGAAATATCATTCAACCTTAGAAAGGAAGGGAATTCTGACACATGCTTCATAGGAGAACCTTGACAACATTAAGCCAAGTGAAATAAGACAGTCAAAAAAAGATGAGTACCATATGAGTCCATGTATGTAAGGTACCTAGAGTAACCAAATTCATAGAGACAGAAAGTCAAATGGTAGTTGCCAGGAACTTGGAGAGGAGAAAATGAGAAGTTATTGTTTAATGGATATGAAGTTGGGAAGATTTCTAAAATTCTGTAAATGGATACTGGTAACGGTTTAACAACATTTTAAATGCCTGAACTTAATACCATTGAATTGTACACTTAAAATTTGTTAAAATGTTGAATTTTAAGCTGGGCATGGTGGCTCATGCCTGTAATCCCAGAACTTTGGGAGGCGGAGGTGGGCGGATCACCTGAAGTCAGGAGTTCGAGACCAGCCTGACTAGCACGGAGAAACCCAGTCTCCACTAAAAATACAAAATTAGCCGGGCGCAGTGGTGCATGCCTGTAATCCCAGCTACTCAGGAGGCTGAGGCAGGAGAATCGCTTGAATCTGGGAGGCAGGGATTGCAGTGAGCCAAGATCACGCCATTGCTCTCCAGCCTGGGCAACAAGAGCGAAACTGCGTCTCAAAAAAAAAAAAAAGGTTAAATTTTATACTACACATATTTCACCATAATAAAAAAGATGGTAAAACAGTGAACTCAGAGGGGTTCAACAGAATCATAGAATTTCTTCATCCTTTTTCTCCCAGCAATTTTATTTATTGTTGCTGCTTAGGTTTTGTTTCAATGAGCTTGCATTTCTTTCTTATTAAAATTGGAAATTACATTCTAGGCAGAATTAAACAGTTAATAAAAGGTATGCCCAGTGTATTTTCCAATAATCTGGCTTTCTGGATGAGTTTTCTATGTCAATTTTCAGGACTGCCTGGTGATGTATGAATTTTAGGGAAGAATGAAAATGAAAGTTCACATTAACATCTGATCTCTATAGTGAAAATCAACCATGGATTAAAGAAACACTATTTTGAATATTTTCCTACAAATAAGACACATACAGGTACAGTTGCAAATGGGAATGCAAATAATTACCTTGTATTATAAAGTATAGCAGGCTAATTGTTCCAAAGGAGTCACACATATGCACAGTCATATTAAATTTTTGTTTTAAATGTTCTTTTCGGTGAATTCCTATGCACGGTGAGCAATTTAGGTGGTGCCGGCAGGGAGCGTACAGCCATTTAAGGCTTCTCTGTTAGGGAGATATTTTCTGGTGTTTGTATTACATTCATTTATCCCATCTGAGAGCTTGTTCCTCACACCCATTTCCTTTTTTGAGGCAAATCTATTACACTGTACTATTTTTCCCCCAGGCAGAAAGACAGGAGATTTGTGCTTTTCCCATGGTTTTTATGCTCCAAGAACCACTCAACAATTAAGTAGTTAGACTATATTGGACTCTTCGTTACATTTTCTTCCCTAATTGCTCAGCCTGACACTGTAGAGACTCATTTTCTTGGAATTTGTATCTTCATTGATTGCCAACATTCTCTTTTATGACCTGTAATTAATCTGCTTTGAGCCTCAATTTTTCTTTCAGCATTCCTTCATTACCTCTTCTCAGTTTTGAGGACCCATGTAAACCATGTGGAAGCCAAGGGCATCTGTCCATCCAGCAGAAAAAGGAAGTGTCCTGCCCCGTAATAGTCATCATAAATGATGCAGGGGCTGAAACTATGTCTTTTTCATGGTGAATGATGTCAATAACAAAGAATTTCTGTAGGAAATCATGTTCCTTAGTTTTCATCTGGCAATACAAATTGACCTGCTTTTATTTATTTAATTAATGGATCCTCTTTCACATCTCAAGTATTACTGGAATACTCCTTGGCATTAGTCCTATTTCCAGAATTCCCTTTGCTAATAATGCACAAAAATCATGGGCAAAGAGAAGTGGTGGAAAGAGGGAGTGAAGGAAAAGCATTAGACGAGGGGTGGAGGAGACGGGAAAGGAGGAAGAAGGAATAGATGTGTGGTAACCACCTTGGGAAAATGACAGGAAGAACTGGATACAGCATCCTAGGTGACAGGATATTCACAACGAAGAGCCAGTAAACCACATCAATGCCAGGCTAACTTAGACTTCTCTGCTTTAGTGTCTTGACAAAGGGAGGTATTATGCATTAGTTGCCACTAAAAATATTTAATAGTATTGAATTTTGTGAATTATATTCTTTATAAATTAAAGCTTATTTGAGTGATCACTGCAGTGACATCCCTCTCACTTACTTCCTGGTGTGCTCTTATGGAAGCAAAAGGAGTGGAATTATAGCTAGCTTGCAGGGAATTGTGCTTAAACTGCTAAATATGGTGTCTCCACTTCTCTCAAGCCTGAAGAGAATGAATATTTAGATGGATTACTTCATGACATACATGCTTAAAACATGCTTTTAAAAGTACCACGCCCTGGCCGGGCACGGTGGCTCATGCCTGTAATCCCAGCACTTTGGGAGGCTGAGGCAGGCAGATCACGAGGTCAGGAGATCAAGACCATCCTGGCTAACATGGTGAAACTCCATCTCTACTAAACATACAAAAAATTAACCAGGCGTGGTGGTGGGCACCTGTGGTCCCAGCTACTCAGGAGGCTGAGGCATGAGAATGGCGTGAACCTAGGAGGTGGAGCTTGCAGTGAGCCGAGATCGCACCACTGCACTCCAGCCTAGGCAACAGAGTGAGACTCCATCTGAAAAAAAAAAAAAAAAAAAAAAAGTACCAAGCCCTTCCATCACCACACATCCAAAGGTCTACAGGTCTATATTTCTGGTTTTCTGGAAACATTCTTAAAATATAGATTTTTAAAAATAAACGGGTTTATGGCACATATGTGAATATCATCTTCTACATTTACAGAGAAGGGAAAAGAGATGGAGACAAGCTGCTTAGTGCCAACATAATGCTTTACACCACCTTATAGTTCAATTCTCCTGTCTGAGGTGGGCAATTGTTACTCTATTTTGTAGATCAAAAAAAAGTCCTCTGACAGTATTCTAAATGTGATTCCATTTATGAGCTACTTTTCACTTGCAAGACAGTTTCCAAAAGCACAGCTTCTCTTTGGCTCAAAAGCATGTATTTCTCCCATATTTCTTTATCAAATCCAAGCACTTTGTCTGGTTTTTAATCCCTCCCCCTCCTCAAATTTGTGGCTGCAACCTATTTATCCAACCTTATCTTCCAACAGTTTTTCTTAATGAAGAGTCAGGCATGTCCCTGGAGAAGAAAGATCTTAATGTAAAATTTTAACACCTATGCCCACTTAAGTGTACTGAAGCTACCTCCATGGGGTAGATACTAGAGGGATTACACATTAGACACATGATGAGGCCACATGTCTAACAAGAGAGAGAAATGGATTTGAATTGAAGTCATTTATTTCTTGTCCACTATGACAGGAAGCTGTGAGCCACACGCATGCCTTTTGGATGTGTCCTCCAAAAGGGATCATCTAATATTCCCTTGAGTTCACCAGCCCATCACTAACATGAAAAAAAGCAGATGAAACTATGTGTTTGCAGTTATGACTGAGAAGATGGTTTCAGATGTGCCCTGTGGTAACCAAGTGTCAGTGACCCCTATCCAGAAAAAATATTTCCAATTATACTTTTTAAAGAAATGAAATGAAGGTCAGTGAAGTGGCTGCACCTTTCTAAGACTAAACTGAGCTTTCAATTGGATTTATAAAATTGAGAGTATTTATGGCTTTAAAAAAAAAGCCTGCAGAGAATAAGAGGTGGGGGATTTGTTACACTGCTATTACTTTGCAGCTTTTTATTATTATATTTCCTATTAATTTTATTGAAAAATCTATACTTTGTTTGAAAACAGATTTTTTATTAGGTTTTCAATTTATGTTAATACTGTCTACCACATTTAAAATATCACAGCATTATGTTTCAACTTTTTTGATTGAGGATAAAAGAGAAAAATGTATTCTCTTATGGCTTAAGCATCCATCACATGAAAATTGGTGAACAGTAGAGTAAGCAAACATGTAGAAAGTATGTGTTATTCTCACTTTTATAAAAATGTAGTTTTCTTAATACAAAAAAGTATTATGTAAATGAAAGAGTAAATTGATTGAACATGGGTTTTACTAACAATCTATCTCCATCATCTCTGAACACTAACATTTTAAAATATAGCCCCATAGTGAAGTTGATTAGTACCAGAAAGACAGCCAAGAATATAAAGATAATCAAATATTGGGGGAACCAGCCCCCAATATTTCAACTTAGGTTCTTTTCTATTTTCCCTAAGTGTCGGCCAGTCTGAGAAATAAACAGAGAGACTACAAAGAGAGAAATTTTACAGCTGGGCCTCCGGGGGTGACATCACATATTGGCAGGATCCATGATGCCCGCTGAGCTGCAAAACCAGCAAGTTTTTATTAGGGATTTTAAAAAGGGAAGGGGGTACGAACAGGGAGTGAGTCACAAAGATCACATGCTTGAAAGGGCAATAAAAGATCACAAGGGCAGAAAGGCAGAGCAAGATCACAAGGCCAGGGCGAAATTAGAATTACTGATGAGGTTCCATGTCTTGCTGGGCACACATTGTCATTGATAAACATCTTAACAGGAAACAGGGATCGAGAGCAGACAACTGGTCTGACTATAATTCGCCAGGCTGGAATTTCCTAATCCTAGCAAGCCTGAGGGTGCTGCAGGAGACCAGGGCGTATTTCATCCCTTATATTCAACAGCATAAGACAGACACTCCCAGAGCGTCCATTTTAGAGATCTCCCCCTGGGAATGCATTCCTTTCCCAGGGTTATTCCTTGCTGGCAAAATAATTCAGGGGTATTTCTCCTATTCGCTTTATGCAAGAAGAGAAATATGACTCTGTTCTGCCCAGCCCCAGAGGTAGTCAGACCTTATGGTTATCTCCCTTGTCCCCTGAAAATTGCTGTCATCCTGTTCCTTTTTAGAATGCCCAGATTTCATATTGTTCAAACACTCATGTTTTACAAACAATATGTGCAGTTAATGCAATCATCACAGGGTCCTGAGGCAACATACATCCTCAGCTTATGAAGATGACGGGATTAAGGATTAAAGTAAAGAAGCATAGGAGATTATAAGAGTATTGATTGGGGAAGTGATAAATGTCCATGAAATCTTCACAATTTACGTTCAGGGACTGCAGTAAAGACAGGCATAAGAAATTATAAAAGTATTGATTTGGGGAACTAATAAATGTCCATGAAATCTTCACAATTTATGTTCTTCTGCCATGGCTTCAGCTGGTCCCTCTGTTCAGGGTCCCTGACTTCCCGCAACAATCAAATAAGTAGAGAATAAAGTAGAACGCAGATTCTTAGATACAGTTTCAAGAGGTTAAGTAGATATACAAGAAAAAGAGAAAAATTTAATTCTGGACTACAAAGACAGAACATTAAATTAGGTCAATATGGATATGGGAAAAGGAATGAAAGATAAAACATGATATAGAAACAAGATCACTCAATGTTCATCTACAAAATGAACCTTGGCATTAGTAGAATAATAAATAGAAGAGATAGAAGAGGAGACAATTCCAGGTCAGTCTAACCAATACTTGTGTGGCATATAATATGGGAAAATTGTGTATGACCCAAATTTGAATTTAAATTTGTCCTTCTTAAGAAGATCACTACCTAACAGAAGGAATATCAGAAATACATAAGTTTATAAGATTCAAAGAAGGGAATCTTAGTAGCTCAGTGCTACTAGGAATAGAACAAATACATGTGATGTGGGAAGAGTTGATATAGGATTAGAAAGTCATATCATAAAGTTCCAGTAGAAAAAGGAAAAGAAGATTGGTCAAAACTCTTTCATTCTAAAATTGTGGAAACTAAGAACCAACAATGTTGGGGCCAACATTTTTTGAAGGACATACAGCATTTGGTAGCAATACTGGCTGGCCCAGGAACCTAAGTCTTGACACCCCCAATACATTATGTTGTCACTAACCCCAATAGTAAAAATCATACATAATAAAACATACCCAACTACTTTATGGTGAATACTCACATTGTTATTTTTGTATTGATAGCACATCAGTAGATTTCGGGATTGTCTCCCCAGCACCAAAGAAAAGATTTAACCATTGCTTTGCTTTTTATAAATATGGTATGAATTCAGATGCAGGGTCAAATCAGTCAGAAATTTGACAAGAGTATTGCCCCCTCACTCACTCAAAAACCTTGCACTAAATGGGTAGCTAACAATCCAAAGTACTATGAAGCAAAGTGTTGGACTTGGGTGTGTAAAGGAAATAAAAAGTTTTAATAATGAAGAGCTGAATATAATTTAATAAACAGAAAAAAGATTCATTCCTGAAAATAAAGGAGACAAAGATTGACTGTTTTTTCTTTCATTAAATTGTGTTTGCCTGATTCCTTCCTTAGAGATGGTTCTCCTGAGGTGGTGTGGGAGTTAAGGCCCGGAGTTCCCAGGGTCATCTCCTTCCCTGCACCTTCTCAAACCACAGCAGAAGGTGTGTGATCACACTCAGGGAGAGCCCTCTTAAGAGCCAAAGCCACAGCCAGGAAAATCAAGGTACAGGATATTTGCCTCTGGCTGTATCCCCTTCTCAACCCTTTCCTCTTTTTTTTGGCCCAGCTCCCTTACTTTCAGTCCCCAATACCATCCCAAAGTCTGCGGCATCTCTCTGAGGAGTCAGTGATTTTTACTGTGAATGTTCTCAGTTTCTGACCTATCCTGGGAGGCTATTTTCAGAGGACCCCAAGAAAAGAAACCCAAAAAACCATAATTTTTCATAATGCATGATACTGAGATGGGAAAGAAAATTCTGCCCTCTGTGTACTTCAGAGAAGAGGTCTTCAAATTTTTTGTTCATATATCCTTTTTTAAAAAATTAAAATCTGTGACTCTCATATGTATTTTTAAACTGAGAGTAAAACATTTACACAAGTCTAAATACTTGTGAAATATGTAATCTCTAACATATTGTAAATACTGAAATTTTAAATTATAAATTTGAAATATAACATTTCCAAACTTGTCAATAGTAATTTGATACCCACCATCATTCATTGAAAAATAAATGAGAAGGGTCTTCTTAATGGTCAGAAATGTAACATTATTCATTTTTCTCCTTATACTCTAATTATTATTCTGCTTTTCCCAAAGAATTTTTCCTAGTATAATACATTTTTTGCTTTAATATTTATTGTTATTCAAGCTATCACACTTTCCTGCATACACACACACACACACACACACATCAAAGTGTTTCTAACAATTTTATTTTTATTTATTTTTATTTTTGGAGACTCAAGAGCTCTAAATGTTAAAGAGAAAAAGACTTTCCACAGTATTGTAAGTATTACTAATGCATTATTGGCTAAAACATAATAAATATACTTAATAGATAATAAACATAAGACAAATTTTATTGGAAATGTATTTCTTAATGAGGCATATAAAGCTTTCATTCTTCAATCAGTATGTGTAACCATGGTTAAATACTACTCATTGATAAAAGAAAATGAGAGGATTTAGCATCAATTCAACTCTTATTTTTATACATATAAGCACTTGGTTACATAAACAATTTAATGGGGAGGGAAGAAGAAGGAATTTTGCTGTAATAATGGCTCTCAGTTGATTGAAAGTTACCTAACAAAGTCACACGGCTAACAATTCATTTGGATCCTCCTTCAATTCTGTTGAAAGCAAAGAATTGGAATGAAATTCACTTGCATATTAGTTTGTGACTAAGCAATTAAAATTATTTGTATATTTCCATCTACATCAGTATTTTCAATGATACTTTTATATGATGTCCCAACAGTTTTTGCATAGCAGAGCAATGCACCACAGTATGATCCTAGACAGGTAAGAGATTTCCCTTTCTTTTGCATAGTGGGAGAAAGATGGGAAAGGACCATCGGCATGACCTCATGCTTATTTGCAGGCAGTTAGTTTCAGGAGGGAATATACAGAGAACTTGAGTATCTGCAAATTAATTCCCTCAAAAGCCTCAGTATCTCTGTACCTCTTAGAAGATGTTTGTGATCCTCCAGAGGTACTTACATCCCAGCATGAAAACCGCTGCCATTTAGTATCATTTAACAAAATGGAAAGGATATAAAATTTGACTTTCATTTTTCTAAATTCCTCATTTTTTTCTTGTAGTAGTGCTTTTATTTTCCTTAGGATGCCAGGAGCCATAAAATCCCTTCTCCTGCCCTTTCTTTCTACTGGGAAAATACATAAAACTCATTTTTTTAAAGGATGATAATGGATTATATTCTGAAGTGGTAGATTTTACACTAGAATTTACGGATTTGTGTATTAACAGGAATCAACAACTTAATATTAGGGGAATGAGGCTGGGTGCAGTGGCTCACGCCTGTAATCCCAGCAGGTTGGGAGGCTGAGTGGGGTGGATCACGAGGTCAGGAAATCGAGGCCATCCTGGCCAACATGGTAAAACCCCGTCTCTACTAAAAATACAAAAATTAGCTGGGCATGGTGGCACATGCCTGTAATCCCAGCTACTCAGAAGCCTAAGGCAGGAGAATTGCTTGAACCCAGGAGGCAAAGGTTGCAGTGAGCCGAGATCTCACCACTGCACTCCAGCCTGGCGACATAGCAAGACTCCGTCAAAAAAAAAAAAGAAAGGAAAGAAAGAAAGAAAAAAAAAAGAAAGAAAGAAGGAAGGAAGGAAGGAAGGAAGGAAGGAAGGAAGGAAGGAAGGAAGGAAGGGAAGGAAGGAAAGAAGAAAGAAAGAAAGAAAGAGAGAGAAAGAAAGAAAGAAAGAAAGAAAGAAAGAAAGAAAGAAAGAAAGAAAGAAAGAAAGAAAGAGAGAAAGAAAGAGAAAGAAAGAAAAGAAAAATTAGGGGAGTGGATTTTGATCATGCATTTTCAAGGCATTCATCAAATGGGGCTGTGCTTGAGCACTAGATTCTTCTCTGAACCCACTTCATACAGGAGTTAGCCTGCTTAGAATCCCACTTTGACCCATTGATTTCCTGCTGAAAGCAACAGTTATCTTGCCTGCTTAAAAATATTAAAGAAAATGTTATATGTTACATGATATTCAATGGCTAAGAGCATCACTAAAAAGTGAAGACTTTACAATGGAAAGGGTGGTTACACTGAGTCCAAAATAGTGGTCCCTAATATTTTGAGGGTCATAGCATACTCAGAAAAAAAATGCATGTACCTAAAAGTTGATCCCTTGAAATGTATATATGTGTAGATCCTTCTACATGTCTGTAGGTTTTAAGGCTGGAACCTCTACATACTCCAAAAAGGCAGATAGAAACTTGCCAGGTATTTCATGGAGAAAAAACAGCACACACAGAAACCCAAGCATGACATATTTTGGTTAACAGCCAAGAGGTCACTGTAGAAGGAGCACAGAATGCATTGGTGCAGGAGGAGTGTGGAAGATAATAGAAAGATAATATAGACTATGAAGGATCCTAACTGACTGTGAATATCTTTTGTGCTGCAGTCAACGGCAAAATTATTGGAATGTTTGAAGAGGAGCAGTAAACTGTTCAGATGTCACTTTGAAAGATGACTTTGGTTATAGTGTGGAGGAGGCTGGATTGAAGGGAAAAATACTGGAAGCAAGGGGAGTAGTTAAATACTACTGAAATGACATATAGCATAAGGGACAATGGCACAGATGACAGAGCAGTCATGGAGACTATAAAGGCATGGAAATAGAATTCCTATGACTTCATAACCAATTAGATGAAATATATGAGATTGGAGCAAGATAAGTAAAAATGAATGTATTTTTTGCTTCAATGACTAGATGATAATAGTTACTATTTACTGAACGCTTACTGTTTGTGAAACAGCATGCTGAGACACTGCAATCATTATCTTTAATCATCACCATTATCCCTCAAGGTCAATTATATTATCCGAGTTTTCAAAAAGAAAATTGTGGCTCAAAGATGTCAAGAGACTTGTTAAAGCCCACACAATTATGCAGTACCAAAGTCATAATTCAAACCAGATTTTCCTGGTTCTACAATGCACTACTAAGGAACAGGCAAAGATTTGGGGAAGGAGAAATTACCATATACAGTATTTGTATATTATTCAGATTTTTCAAATAATTTACATACTCATTTTCTCTTCTCCTCAAAAATCCCCGGGAGACAGACGGACAGAAGATATATTACTATCAACGTTTATTTTTCAGTGCAAATTGACTTCCTCAAAGTCACACAGTTCATAAATGCCAGGATTGACAGTGGTCTTTCCAGTCCCTATAATGTCTCTCTGCTACATCATCTCCCATTTTTCTTCTATCTCACAGCTACAGACTACACACCTAATCCTAAACTAGCTTGTGAATGTGAATTAGTCATCAAGGGAGAACTGGTGGAGATGTAGAATTAGTTCAGCCTAGCCCCTCACCAACTAGTTTGATCTATGAATCAATTTTATACTGATGACGGGCCTCTAAAAGAAATCCACTTGAAGAGACCCTTAGTTTCTCACTCTCTCTTTCTCCCTTTCACACACACACACACACACACACACACACACATATCATTATGCCAACTTTTGTGGTAGGAATGTAAAAGAAACAGTAGAACTCAATTTTCTCAAGTCTTTTCAGAAGTCCAATTTTATTTTCAAATCTCATTAGGGATTGAGTTCATGGGCTTAAGTTTTTGCATAAGAAATTTAAGATAAATCTAAAGAAGAATTTTCTGACACTGGGAATTATAAAACATAAAAAAGTCTTGCCACCAGAGATGGTAGCATTTCTGTCTTTGAAAGGCTGTAAAAAAGCAGAGGCTGCCCTTTGCCTGCAGTGGTTTAGATAAGGCTCTAAATGGAAGTGGCCTCTTTGGGAAAGTGGTGGACCAGGTGACCTTTCACAGTCTCTTTTAGTCTCTAAATTTCATTACTCTGTAATCCTATTAAAGAGATCAAATTCATGCAATAATGCCCACTCATTCAGAGGTCAAGCTTCTGGAAACCTCAGGAGTTGATATACAGCCTTAAACTTAAAAGGAATAAAAGAAAGAAGAAAAAGGAAGCTCTCAAGAATGAAGAAATATTAACTATTATATTCAGACTGTTATACTTTCCTGAAAATTTAGAGCCACCCTCAGACCTCTTCTAGACAACTCTGTGTAAAATAAGACATTGGATAAGAGTAATAGTGCAAGAAAAAAAATCTAAAAGAAAAAACGAAACAATTAACTCATTTTAAAGAATCTAAAATCTGAATCTCTGTATTCAATAGTCGCTGAAAGCATTTCTATAATTCACTATAACTAAATCTTTGTTTCATAATAATTACCATAAATTAGCACGAAAATCTTACATTATTTTTATTATTGACTGCTTAAGAAGGCAGAGATATATAATTTTTATTTGTAAAATGTTTTTTTCTTTATAGAAATTTATGAAAATAAAATTTAAAAATCAAGCCATTTACATGAGTAAGCCTAAGATAAATAGAAAATGTGCTTGTATGAAAGAGTAGTTTTTAATTATGCTAGGTAAATATGTATGCTTTATTGTCTATAATTTTTAATGACATTCTTTGAGAACCTATTTGTAACAGAAAAAAATGTAAACAATGAAGAGGAATATATCTAAGATGATGGGTATTGCTTTGTAGAGTGATATGGCAATCGCTTGGGTACTCTTTCCATCTGTTTTAGATCTCTAGTCATATTTAATGTGTGTTACGTTGTTTTAGATATGCATTTATTATAAGCTCATTCTCCTTCCCTTGTTTTTCAAACTAATTATTTATATATCATTTTTCCCCAAAAGAATTGAGGCGGCTTACAGAAATAAACAATTACAACACAATAGGATAAATGAAGGGAGGAAGGAAGGAAGGGAGGGAGGGAGGGAGGGAGGGAGGGAGGGAGTAATTAAGATGGAAAAATAGGGGTATTAAAGTAAGTTGAAGCCAGGCACAAAATTAGAACACAAACTGCATACTATTTTATCTTGTGCTATTGCAAGAGGTGAGCAAAATTTCTTATGCTTTTTGCGGTAGTTAATTATCTATTATCAATTCAGCCATCAGCTCCTGCATAGGAGAAGCTGAAAATATATTTCTCCAAATCCCTTTCCCATATTGTTCAGATTAGTTTGCCAAAGAGAAGCAGTCACATAGGTTTGGAAAGCAAAGGCAAAAATGAAGCCAAAGTCTATGGAATCTGGGGCAGACATGGGGTTGATGAGAGCTTTCTACTGAGTTTTTGAAAATCACACACTCTGCTGCTTCAAGTTGGAAGCTTCTGTAGTGGCAACTTTCACAACCCACAGATTTTCCAGCAGTATATAAACGTCTAATTCTCCCAATTATAATCCTTCAAACTTAAAAAGCATAGAATGGCTTCTGTTATGCTGCCCAACTCCTGACTGATACAGTTCCTTAGAGGCCAAAGCAGAAGAAAAACCTACTAATCATTCAATTCACAGTATTTATAAGATGAATACAAACCATTTGCCCAAAAGAAACCTAGTTTTTCCTGCTGTAGAACATTGAAAGAAATTTCTCATGGGAGTTCTCATAGGAATGTATTGAACAAGTTTTTAACAAGAGTTTTACAATATGTATGATTGTGTCTTTTCTATGGCTGTTTCTTATAATGTCCCTCAGCACAGGCTAATGGCATAAATCTAAAATGCAATTCTGTACAAGCAACTCTACATTGGGCCAAAACAATGCAAAACAAGTGTGCAGTTCTCCAATGGTGTGGTTGAGTCCAAATTTAAAAATTAGAAAAACTGAGGGAATAGGATTATAGTATGACCTTCGGGAATTATATATATATATATATATATACTTAAAGTTGTGGGATACATGTGCAGAACGTGCAAGTTTCTTACATAGGTATACATGTGCCATGGTGGTTTGCTACACCAATAAACCTGTCATCTACATTAGGTTTTTCTCCTAATGCTATCTCTCCCTTAGCTCCCTACCTGCCAAAAGGCCCCAATGTGTGATGTTCCCCTCCCTGTGTCCATGTGTTCTCAGTGTTCAACTCCCACTTATGAGTGAGAACATGCTGTGTTTGGTTTTCTGTTCCTGTGTTATTTTGCAGAAAATTATGGTCTCCAGCTTCATCCATGTCCCTGCAAAGGACATGAACTCATCCTTTTTTAGGGCTGCATAGTATTCTATCATGTATATATGCCACATTTTCTTTATCCAGTCTATCATTGATGGACATTTGGGTTGCTTCCAAGTCTTTGCTATTGTAAATAGTGCTGCAATAAACATATGTGTGCATGTGTCTTTATAATAGAATGATTTATAATCCTTTGGGTATATACCCAGTAATGGGATTGCTGGCTCAAATGGTATTCCTGGTTCTAGATCCTTGAGGAATCACCACACTGTCTTCCACATGGTTGAACTAATTCACACTGCCACCAACAGTGTAAAAGCATTCCTATTTCTCCACATCCTCTCCAGCATCTGTTGTTTCCTGACTTTTTAATGATCGCCATTCTAACTGGTGTGAGATGGTATCTCATTGTGGCTTTGATATGCATTTCTCTGAGGACCAGTGATGATGAGCTTTTTTTCATGTTTGTTGGCCACATAAATGTCTTCTTTTGAGAAGTGTCTGTTCATATCCTTCGCCCACTTTTTGATGGGGTTGTCTGTTTTTTTCTTGTAAATTTGTTTAAGTTCCTTGTAGATTCTGGATATTAGCCCTTTGTCAGATGGATACATTGCAAAAATTTTCTCCCATTCTGTAGGTTGCCTGTTCACTCTGATGATAGTTTCTTTTGCTGTGCAGAAACTCTTTAGTTTAATTAGATCCCATTTCTCAATTTTGGCTTTGTTGCCATTGCTTTTGGTATTTTAATCATGAAGACTTTGCCCATGCCTATGTCTTGAGTGTTATTGCCTAGGTTTTCTTCTAGGGTTTTTATGGTTTTAGGTCTAACATTTAAGTCTTTAATCCATCTTGGGTTAATTTTTGTATAAGGTGTAAGGAAGGGGTGTAGTTTCCGTTTTCTGCATATGGCTAGCCAATTTTCACAACACCATTTATTAAATAGGGAATCCTTTCCCTATTGCTTGTTTTTGTCAGGTGTGTCAAAGATCAGATTGTTGTAGATGTGTGGCATTATTTCTGAGGCCTCTGTTCTGTTTCATTGGTCTATACATCTGTTTTGGTACCAGTACCATGCTGTATTGGTTACTGTAGCCTTGTAGTATAGTTTGAAGTTAGGTAGCATGATCCCTCCAGCTTCATTCTTTTTACTTAGGATTGTCTTGGATATGCGGGCTCTTTTTTGGTTCCATATGAAATTTAAAGTAATTTTTTCTAAATCTGTGAAGAAAATCAATCGTAGCTTGATGGGTAGAGTATTGAATCTATAAATTATTTTGGGCAGTATGGCCATTTTCATGATATTGATTCTTCCTATTCATGAGCATGGAATATTTTGCCATTTGTTTGTGTCCTCTCTTATTTCCTTGAGCAGTGGTTTGCAGCTCTCCTTGAAGAGGTCCTTCACATCCCTTTTAAGTTGTATTCCCATGTATTTTATTCTCTTTGTAGCAATTGTAAATGGGAGTTCACTCATGATTTGGCTCTCTGATTGTCTGTTATTGGTGTATAGGAATGCTTGTGATTTTTGCACACTTTTGTATCCTGAGACTTTGCTGAAGTTGCTTATCACCTTAAGGAGATTTTGGGCTGAGAAGATGGGGTCTTCTAAATATATAATCTAGAAATACTAGAAAAAGTCAGCTTTAAAATCTTTCTTGGTTTCCTCAACCTAAGCCATGAAATTCATCCTTCAGGTACTTATCAATATCTCTGAATCTTTCCTTATTATCAGTTTGAATGAACAACTCAATAATGCAAAGTTTATACTAAGATTTCAACTTGAAAAAAATTCCCATATACTCTCTTCAGTAGCTTTGCCAAGATTTTTTTTTCTACCTAACAATCCTTGTCAAATTAGGCATTAAAAAAAATAAACCTAACCATTGAACTAATAAAAGTTAATTTATTCACTGGCAATTTTTGACAAGAATGAAATAGGCAATATTCTCAGATAGGAGACAATCAGCACCAAATTGAAAGTATTACAGCCTACTTATATTTTCTGTCTCTTTTATCACTCTCACCAGTTCCACCATAACAGCAAACAAGTCCCAGAATACCTCTGCCAAATGTTCCAGATTAAACTGAAGAGGAAAATGGTTACTTTCCACACAGTCCAAAATGTTCAAGTTAGGACAATAGTGTACAAAAAGAGACTATCTATTAACAGGTTGTATGCACTCTACATGAAAACAGAAAAAGAAATAAAATATCCTAAGTAATTTCATGTGTCTCACCAAGTTGTTTGTTTTTAACGAACAAGTTTAGTAAGAAAATTTACATGTTGCTATACCATCTATCCCTAAGGAAATGACCTACAAGACCTCAATTCCCCTAAGTAACCTTAGTCATCAAACTCAATGTCACCCTTTGCATTTAAATAATCAAAAATCATAATGCCTTAAGCAATTATCTGTTTAGTATACACTATACGCTCAACATTGTTTAAGACTCTGAAGTTAAAAGTGATCAGCAAAACTAACAAAAATCTCTTATTCTCAAATTATATTGAAAGAAGAAAGGCAAAAATTAAAGTAAGAAAAATTTGTGTAAGTAAAATGATTATAGGTGCTATGAATAAAAGTTGAACAACAAAGGGAAGGGACCAACATGTAGAAATTAGAGAGGGAGAATGCAAGTTTGCAATTTTAAATAGGATGGTCAGGAAATATCTCACCTAGCACGTAACAAAAGACCTAAGGGAGGTTAGAGGGAAAGTCATGCAAATTTCTAGAAAAAGAGACAGGGAGGCTGGGCGTGGTGGCTCAGGCCTGTAATCTCAGCACTTTGGGAGGCCGAGGCGGGCGGATCACAAGGTCAGGAGATCAAGACCATCCTGGCTAACAGGGTGAAACCCCATCTCTACTAAAAATACAAAAATTAGCCAGGCGTGGTGGTGGGCACCTGTAGTCCCAGCTATTTGGGAGGCTGAGGCAGGAGAACGGTGTGAACCCTGGAGGTGGAGCTTGCATTGACCCGAGATCACTCCACTGCACTCCAGCCTGGGTGACAGAGTGAGACTCCGTCTCAAAAAAAAAAAAAAAAAAGAGAGAGACAGGGAATAGCTCCTTGGAGTGATCCTAGACAGCTTGGTGACTAGTGACGTTTTGACACAAATCGTGAGAAGGAAGAGTAGAGGGGATAAAGACAAAGAGGTTGCGAACTGTGGAGTGTGGAGATCAGGTACAACCTTTTAATGATACAGATTTTAATCAGAGTTAGTTAGAAAATCAGATACAGATTGTAATGATACAGATTTCAATCAGAGTAAGTTAGAAAACCACTGTTTGATCTGGAGCAGAGAATATCGTGAACTGGCTTACATTTTAACAGGATCACTTTGGCTGCTGAGATAAGAATTAATTGAAGGGAATAAGGATGGAAACAGGGAGATTGGTCTATACTCTGAGGAGGAGGGAATTGTGAATGAGAGGAGTCTAGAAGTGCTGTTTTGGATGTAGATATCTACTTATCATGAAGATAGAAACATCACCTAGGAAGTGGGTATACCCTGGTGTTCAAAAAAGATATAGGCAATGGATACTCATCTGGGAGTAATTCATATACAGATAGTATTAAAGGCAGCAAGATTGAATGGTATCCCTAATCGAGTGAGCAGATAGTAAAAGAAAGGGCAACTAGAATAGAACAGGCAATAGAAGGGCAATAGGATAGAAAAGGTGGGGTAGTGTGTGTAGCATGTTTAGTCAGTGACAGATTGAAATAGATCCCTTCACTCCATCCAAGTTTTGCTCATCCCCAGCATGGCCTAGAAGAGATCTATTGCACAGAAATGATCAACAAGGTGCCTGCCAGGGAGTTGTTCAGCCTCAGGTTTAGGAAAGAAAAAAAAAAAAAAAACTATTCTTGGCCAAGGTTTTAGGGCCGAAAGCTCAAGCCTGGACCAACAGGAGGGTAGGCTGTTTCAGAGTACTGGCAGGACCAGCAAGAGCTAACTTGGGGCCAAGTCAGGAAGGACAGATTGGCCCTTCCTCAAAAGCAATCACCACCGAGAGACTGGACCAGAGCTTATCTTTTGCTGGATCTTTTATTTCAGTTGTGAAAAGTCAGTCCTTCCAATCCACCCCATCAAACTATTGCCTTTCACATCCATTCAACACAGGCCTGGTGTGTAAAAGAATGACTAAGAAAAGAGGAAGACAGAGAGTTCATAAGCCTTGAAATTGGTAAAAATGGAGAGAAGAAAAGAGATAGGACTCAAGCCCCAGTCCTGAGCAAAATGGACAGCCTAGGGGATAATTCTAGAAGCAGGGGTGGCATGGAAACTTTTAAGCAGATTGATATCTAGTATTGTTTTTTACTTTTGCTGTATGCGTACAGTAGCCAGTGTCCTTACACATTCTGCGATCTTTCGGGATAATTGTTATCTTCAAATTTTTGTAATTATTTTGTAATATTGGTGCTTTGGAAGAATGAAGAAATAAGGAAGGTGATCACATGGAGGACAAAAATCATGCACGGGAAGAAAGCAGCCACAGGACTGGAGGTAAAGAATAGGAATGGAGAGCTGCCATGATACTAGGGAGAAGCAAGCTGCAGTGTGGATCCACCCAGGAGCAGAAATGCATACCCCCAAATAGACTTGGAAAAGCTCTTTTACTCCTGAAATGAAGCATAACTAGGTTTTGCTATTAGGTGAATAGAAGTCAGTCAGATGCAGACAATAGGGTTATGGTGTTGTTGAAAAAAGTAAAAAAAAAAAACTTCCTCTCTAATTATTTCATCACACTACCAATTACTGTGGTTTAAGCAAAACACAGGCCAAGGCAAGAGAGTCTTCAAGGTATAGCAAAGGTTAGAATTATAGAACTCTAAATTCAAATTCCTAGGTATGGATATCTATGATTGGGTAGACTGGGTAAATAACATTTCTGGGTTTCAATTTCCTCATCTGCAATATCGACATAGTATCAAAATTGTAAAGGTTTATGAATATTATAAACAATATTGACACAATGTTATTATTCCAATTGATATTATAAACTCCATACTTGTAAAATATTACCATATCAATATTGATAAACTGTGTGGCACAGGGAAAATACCCTCTAAAGGATCCATATTATAATAAGGCAGCTCTAAGAAAAATTGTGAAATTAGCAAAGCTTGCTTGGTACTCAAGAGTTCCATTGACCATTCCATATCCTCCCTTCTGAAACATCATCATATTAAGAAAAAGTACTTCCATGTAATATAGTCAACAAAACTTTTATTGTCTTCACTCAAAAGGAGGACTAAAAAGTAGTGATTTTTGACAATGTGGCAGGCAGATGGAAGGTGGCATTTTTGGAATGAGTATTTTGATATATGTCAAGTCATACCATGGAAGTAACCACCCAATCTGTCTACTCAGTCTCAGCTTCAAAGGCAATTTCTTATTATTATTTCTCCTTCATTTTATTGCAGCTAACTGCTTCCCACTCCACTCCAGTCTTAACTGGCAATTCTACAAAACTACAAATCACTTTCAAGGGTTAAGTGAGAGAAAGAGAAGAGTTACTAAGCAGGGATTTAGCCAATCAATGGTTATTTAATAACCACTGACTACTCAGTTCAATTCAACTAACATGAGTTATGACAGGCCCTATGGATGGGTGTAATTATAAGAATGTTCTTGTGCTCTAGGGACATACTATCTGGCTGCAGATATTAGAGTTAACCACATCAATCAGTTAGGGAATAATAGTAATAACAATAGGTACTTTGAGCCCTTGCTATGCTTAAAGATCTAAATGTACTACGTTCAATATCTACAACAAACTTACGAAGTAGGTATTTTTATACTAATGTTACAGAAGAAGAAATGAGTTCAGACCGGTTAAGTAGATTTTTCAGTATATGATGGTGTATAATGTTGAAAGAGATTATATTAACTATGAACATGATGCTATATATGAATGCAGGTACCATTGATATTCTGAAAGGCTACAATGCAATGAATAATAGCTAGATGACAGCACAGCATCTGAAAAGGATAAATGTCATGGTATAGAAAATGGAAAAGGACCAATTAAAATAATTGATACATTAGTCAAAGGATGCATCCATTTTGATTATATCAAATATACAAGTATTTATGGAGTACCTATTGTGGTCAAGACACCATGTTAAATACTATGGAGGGAAATAAAGATTCTAAGGGGCATTTGCAACCTAGGTAGGATGGGAAGAAGGGAAGAGGAAAATTAAGTAATCAAAGATTCAAAGTACCATTTAATTATTGGAGACAAGAATGTTCATAGCAGTGTTGTTAATATAACCAAAAAAAACTGGAGAAAACCAAAATATATTCCAGTAGGAAATCAGATCAATTGTAGAGTATTCATAAAATAAAAAATTTTACAGCAGCAAAATACATTAGCTACTGCTGTATATAACAACATGTATGACCTTCACAAACAAAGTGTTGAGGAACAAAAACCAATTGTTTTTAAAAAACGGAGGATACATATAGTAAGGTACCATTTATATAAACTTTGAAAATGTTAAGCTTTAAAAATATATAGTTTTTAGGGATACATATGTAATGAATGTATTATGAAAACCAAAATTTCTGGCAGAAAGTAAGAGGAATGCACTAGGAAAAGGATACATTGTAGTTTCAATTATGTTGGGAATTTTCTATATACTAAGTGTATACTTAATAGTCTACATAGTATACAAAACATATATAGATCAATTATTTGAATGCATGTATTTAAAAATAAAATTTAAAATCAATTTAAGGTAGTTGTAGATAATAATATACAACAGCATGAATTGCCAAAAAAAAAAACTGCTAATAACTTAATTCTCAATCTTCAACTCAGTTCTTGAGGTAGATGCTATTATCTTCATATTATAGATGAGAACTATAAGCCACAGGGGCATTTAGGCTGTCTGATTCCAGAGCCCAGATAGTAATTGCTGCAGAAATTCAGACAGACATATCTGGGGTGGAGAGGCCAGGATGACCTTTACAGAAAGGTGTGCTTTATGGAAAGTTGGGTTTACATAGAGTGAATCAGTGATTCACTTCAACCTCTAAAACAAAATTTGTTTTCTAATCCATGGAAATCTTTGTTTAGTTAGATATTCTGGGGAGAGGATATTATAAAACCCATGAAAGAAGAACAGCTCTGAGAACAAGGTGAAAATCCTCTCTCAACCTTCACCCTCAGCACTGCCACACTCCAAATGCTCATCAGATAAGATAAGCTCGATCTTCTCCTTTTTTGCCCATGACTTCCTTGACAGATGTTAAGGTTCATCATCAGATATTACTGACCAAGGTGCTTGGGATGCCATTTCTGGTAGATGCTGTATGAATGTGTTTATTTTCCTATATGTTGCAAGATCTAGAGCGCCAAGAGTTGTGAGTAAAAGGAACAATGCCCAGGTCGAAAAGCAAGAGGCAGCCTGGAAGGCCCTGTGGGATCTGATGTAGTTCACCAGGAGTGTGGCTTCCTCACAGGAGCTTGGGACCACAGCCTCCAAGAAGCTAGTAATGATTTCCCTCAAAAGTCCACTCTGCATATTTCTGTCTTAATTATGTAGCAGAATCAAGCAATTAGTCCTGGATTTGGGGCCGAGGGTGGGGGCAGAGGGCTATTTTTATGTAAATATCCTTTCATCTGGACTCACAAAGAAAAATCAAAGGAAGATGTCATTTTGGATCAAACAATATAATCAAACAAAATAAACACAAAACAGAGATAGTACAATATGTACCTAAGAAACATCTAGTAAGCCATTTTGTCTAGTGTGAAGAGTTTAATAAAGCTGGAAATGCTAGCTGATTAAAAAGAAAGCTAATTAGTTTAAATTTTTATCCACAAAGCAATGGGAAGATACCGAGATATTTTCAGCAAGGGAGCTTCCTGTGGTCAGAGTAACATAGCTTGGTTTCTTCTCCACCAGTAATTTTCCATTCTTTCCAAGAGTAAAAACTGTTACCTATAACCGATACCATATTTAGGGTGAGGAAAAAGTAGAAAACATAAAATAGAGAAATAGTAATCATAAAACCTAATGAAAAATAAATCTCAAAAACAGTTTCATTTGCACCTTAAAGTTCAAAGCCAAGCTGAAATTGTAAGGAATGTATCCACTGACAAACATTCTTCTTTGCCAAGTGTTTGGGGTGTGAGAGAATTATTGCAAAGGGGAATAAAGGTCGTTCCAGATGCAATCCAAGAAAACTGCTGTCTATTGGTGTCTATCTATAAATGCCTTCTCAACATTTAATTAAATAGCAAATGTTATTTTCAGTGTCAAATTCTGCAGATTATGAGAATATTTTTACAGCAGTGCACTTTTCTAACATGTATATAAACAATTCAGCATTTGATCTATTTGATGCCAAGCAACTTTGACCTTCACAATGCTGACATCTTGTTTTGTTAAGGCATAGGCACAGTTTATACCATAAAAGAGATTTAATTGCAGGTCTTATTAATTCACAATTTCTGCTGTGTTTGAAGATTTTTACATTTCCTTTGAATTGAAATTTAAAAGGGAGAAGTGTGCACATAGCATGTTATTGCAAAAGTGGCCCATTCCCTTCTCTGAGCTATAACACTTAAAGAAGAGAGTATTTGAAAAACATCAGAGTGCTTAAAGAATATTATTTCTGAAATTTTAATTATACTGGATAATAATGGAAAATTAAAATCACTTTCAATGTGATTTTATTATTCATTTTGCTATTGTAGGAGACAATTGTAGTTTGGTTTACCAGAACAGAAAAATAAAAATCCACATCTGTAACTGGAAAAGAGCTCCTTTGAATTCTTCCTTCTTTTTAATAACCATTATTAACAATATTTTAGCAAGACACTCCTTGTCACAGGTGCTCTTAAAATCCTGAATTCTATGGGAAAACAAAATATAATTCCTATTATTTTAAGGTAGACAATTTTAGCATTGTTAGATAAGGCATGAGAATACACATGACTCCTTAACATCTGACACTCTAAACTATCAATGAAAAACAATAACTTATTTTGAAGTAAGATAACATTATATCACTGTATATTAGTTTTGGGTGAGAAGAAATAGTTTATTAATTATTTATTCTGAATGTATCAAGAAAAGCAATTTTAAAACATGCTGTAAATAGGGTTCACATAATTCTTAATTTATTCTTCATACTCTGAGATGAAATAAATGTTATGAGTTCATTGTATATTTACCAGTGAGTAGATTTACTAGCATAGTTACTGAATTGTATAATGCACAGTTTAAGTTTATATTTCTTCTTATATGATTTTATTTATTTATTTATTTATTTATTTATTTTAGAGAGAGGATCTCTGTCTGTCACCCAGGCTGGAATGCAGTTATACAATCATAGCTCACTGCAGTCTCAAACTCCAAGCTCAAGCTATGCTCTTTCCTCAGCCTTCTGAGTAGCTAGGATTACAGGCATAGCCCATTATTCCTGGCTAATTTCGAATTCTTGTAGAGACAGGATCTCGCTATGTTGCCCAAGTTATGCTCAAACTCCTGTCTCAAATGATCCTCCTCCCTCAGCCTCCAAAACCTGGGATAACAGGTATGAGCCATGGCACCCAGCCTTAGTATATAATTTCTTATTAACAACTTAATCTAATTTAAAAATATCTATTTTCCAATCTTAGGTGTTAGAAATTATAGTATCCCATCCTTTACTTAATGGCTATTTCTGCATATATATATATATATTTAGTTAGGATATACTTATTATTCAGCCAACTGGCTTGACAAAACAGTGGTAGAATTGTTGGGTTGACACCTCTAAAATGCTGCCAGAGGAACTGTTTGCATGACTCTAGATAAAAGCAGAAAAAAAAAAACAAAATATAAGTTTTTGTTCAGTTATCCCACTAGTATTCATCAGAAATGTGCCCTAATATAGTAACATTTGGATACCTAAAAATGGAGAATGTGGCAATCCCTGAGTAGAACATATTATGAGCAGTCATCACACACCTTTATGCTCACTGTAATCAATGTAGGCCTTTATGTGCAATAGCCAATAGACCTCATCTTTCCCACAAACTTTGGGATGTCCTCCATCAGTCAGCAGCATCATCATTAACCCAACTTTCTAAACCAAAGAGATAGGAAGAAGCACTCTTGATGCCTCATTCTCCCTCACCTCTCATATATAAATATCACAAAGTTGTGTCCATTTTACCACCTAATTATTTTCAAAATCTCCTCATTCTTCTCATCAAGAGTCTGTTACTCTTGCTCAGACCACAGGGTTTACAGCACACTCCCTTAACTGGGCTCATTGCCTCCACCTTTATTCTTCTCTAAGATGTTCTCCACACTGCAGCCAGAAACATCTTTCTGACATGGAACTCTGATCAAGTTACTCCACCACTTATGCATCCTAGTGATTCCCCAATACCCACAAGATAAAGTTCCCAAGGCACTATGACCCCTGATTCCTTCTCTATCTTCAGCAATTCCATTGACCTCTTTCATTCTCTAATTCCTGTCATACTGAACCATCCACATTTCTCCCTATACCCGTGGTCTATCTCAACGCTGAACACTTCGATCATACTGTACTCTCTGCCTGAAATGTCCTCCTGCTCTCTCACACCACATTTGCCTAGGCAACTACAGCTCATCTTTCAGAATCCAGCTTAGAATTCCACTAACTTGACCTTCTCAGAAACTTCCCAAGACTTGGTTAAGTACTCCCTTCTTTGACCCTCCATTGCATCCCCATGGTTACCTCTGCCATAGAACTTATGACATTATGTCATTGTTACCTGTTTACTTGTGTCTCTGTATCCTGCTGGACTATATGCCCTTTAAAGCAAGTAGAGCACATTACTCATCACTCAATCTCCAGGACCAAGTTAATGTTCTGTATATAGTAGTAAGTCAACAAATATAGACAAATAGATTAAAGATTAATTTGTAGCCCAAGGTGACATTCTAGAGAAAACACTTTAAAATAAGTTTGAAAAAAAGAAATGAATGTAAGAAAAATACAACTCCTTGTTCAGTATTAAGGCATATGCTACTAAATATTTGTATGTTTATGCCTTGCCTTACCTTCTTTCAAAAATAGTTTGAAGTGGTTTACAATAAACATGTATTTACATACTTTATCTCAGACTGATATTTTTTAGGCATGATTTTTTTTCATATGGCTTCCCTGTGTTGTTATGCATGACTAGGTAAAGCTAATATTAGGATGCAAGAATTACCTGGTTTGTCTATTCCTTCTTTCAGTTACCATAATCCAGTGAATTTGAAATTTTAAAGAAAGACAGCATTCCCAATGGCCCTAGTACTTAGATTATTTTTACAAAGTGTTCTAGTAAATCTTACCTAAGCACAATATAGTAATATTTCACATCAACTTTCAAATTACTAAATATTAAATTTTACTAATCTTTTAAACCTTTTTGCTGTTCCCATTTCCTTTACCCTGGTTCTACTGTCATAAATAATCTACTTCAAATCCTAACAAAATGCATCCAATAATGTGACATTTGTATCTGAAATAAGCAATTTCACATCCTTATTTTGTCTGAGATTTTGTTAATTATTAATGATATTTTGGATGTGACCATATAATTTTAAAACTTATGAAACTGCATCTTTATTACTTTCATTTGAACTAAGATGTGTGTTAAGTATCAAAGTGTATGATTTTCAAGAATGGCGCTATAATATGTTTGTTTTCCCCAATAACTAATTCATCACTAAACCCCATTTTAATGTTCACAGCTGACCCAGCATACCTGGAGACATTTGTTTCTCATAGAACTTGTTTAGATAGATTAGTGTGGTTGGCTGGAATCTGGGAGAGCCACTTCAACACAAATTGTATTTATGGTGACCACTGAACAACACAGATGAGCCGAAGGTTACAGACTTTTAGATAGAATTCTCTGCAGTGTGTTGCAATGTGTCACATGACCATGCATCTTCTACACGTTAAGACATCAGTGCTCTGGCTTTGATGCTAGTTTTTTCTTCTTCCCCCTGTCTTTGGCTGTAAGGGGCAAACAAAATCAACTATACCATTAATAACTACAGCAGATTTCAGTAGAGGTCAGGGAAACTCTTTCCTGTCACTGTTTTTCAATATTTGTACTATTTACACTTTAGGCTAGTTAATTGTTTGTGTTGGGGGCTGACTTTTGCATTATAGAATGTTTAGCAGCATTCCTGTTCTCTACCCACTAGATGTCGACAGCAACATCTCCCCCAGGTGTAACAACTAAACGTGTCTCCAGACATTGGCAAATATCCTTGGGCCATGGAGAAAACATCACCTTCAATTGAAAACCACTGGGCCACTCTAATGCCTTCAAGGTAAGGAGTCCTAGTCAAGCTTATGTTTCATAACTGGCATGTCTTCTGGCTCAAATGTAGTTTTCTAAATATTTAATGTTTATGTTTATATAATTCTAATGCTCAAACCATGCTATGTTCTGTTTGCTTGCATTTTTGATCCTAACATAAAATCTATCCAAGAGAGTGTTTCTCTTGTTATTTCCAGCTAAAGCCAATCTCTGTACCACTCCTATTCCCTTTCACTCATTCAGGAACATTGTTTCAATGATTTGTTCCCTCTCTCTCTCTCTCTTTTTTTTTTTTTTAAGACATAGTTGTTGCCCAGGCTGGAGTGCAGTGGCACAATCTTGGCTCACTGCAACCTCTGCCTCCCAGGTTCAAGCGATTCTCCTGCCTCAGCCTCCCGAGTATCTGGGACTACAGGTGCCCACCACTACGCCCAGCTAATTTTTGTATTTTTAGTAGAGATGAGTTTCACTATGTTGGTCAGGCTGGTCTCCAACTCGTGACCTCAAGCAATCCACCCGCCTTGGCCGCCAAAAGTGCTGGGATTACAGGCGTGAGCCACCGCGCCCAGCCCTCTCTCTCTTACATGGAAATTTTTCCCCTCTCTATTGAATCATTACCAGAATATAATATGCTGATCTCACATATATGTGAAATTTTAAAAAGTTACATTCACAGAGGCAGAGAGTACAATGGTGGTTACCAGGGGCTGGAGAAGGGGGATGGACAGATGTTGGTCAAAGGATCCAAAATTTTGGTTAGATACAAGAAATACATTCAAGAGTTCTATTATACAACACGGTGACTATAGTTAATAACAATGCATTATATTTTTGAAAATTGCTGAGAGAGTAGATTTTAATTGTTCTCACCACCAAAAAAAAGTAAGATAATGCACATGTTAATTATCTGGATTTAGCATTCCACAATGTATAAATATTTCTGAATATCAGGTTGAACAAAATAAATATATGCAATTTTCATTTGTCAATTTAAATAAATGTTTTTAAAAAAGAATATATCATGCTGTTATTCATGTCATCTTCAAAAATAAATTAAAAATATATGATTTTAAAACTATCTATTGCCCCTACATCTCCCAGATACTGGGCCATATCTTCCTCGCATTTGAGAAAACCCTTCAAAAGTTCTGAAGATTCACTCTTACTAATTCTTTCTTCTCATATGCTATCGAATCTACTCCAATTAGGCACATACAGTGTCCAAAACAGTACAAACCACAGGAAATAAATTACAGTGCTATGGTTGTGCAGGACCCTCTTTCACATTCCTCAAACTGTCAGGACCTCTATTTTCTTCACCAACAAGAACTCTGGCCCAGGTAGCAAAGTGACTAGACCATAGACTGTACTAACATCTCCATGTGTTGCTTTCATCTCCAGGTCCTCTATAAGTTTCTCACTTCTGGGCAGGAAGTGTTTTAATATCTTCCCTTCTATGTAAAAAAATGCTCCATGTCATAACCTGCATCCTCCCACTAAGTGGTTCCACAAAGCACTGCCAATATAAGTCAAATCTAAAGCCATTTTTCTCTCAGTGAGAGGTGACAGCACGCTGACAGCCCTCGCAGCCCTCACTCACTCTCAATGCCTCCTTGGCCTCGGCGCCCATTCTGGCCGCACTTGAGGAGCCCTTCAGCCCACCACTGCACCGTGTGAGCCCTTCTCTGGGCTGGCCGAGGCCCGAGCTGGCTCCGTCCGCTTGCAGGGAGGTGTGGAGGGAGAGGCACAGGCAGGAACTGGGGCTGCCTGCGGCGCTTGCGGGCCTGCACGAGTTCCAGGTGGGTGTGGGCTCCGCAGGCCCCTCACTTGGAGCAGCCAGCCGGCCCGCCGGCCCCACCTGCCAAAGGGAATGAGGGGCTTAGCACCCGGGCCAGCAGCTGCGGAGGGTGAGCCGGGTCCCCCAGTAGTGCTGGCCCACTGGGGCTGAGGAGTGCAGGTGAAAGGTGCGGGACTGGCAGGCAGCTCCACCTGCGGCCCTGGTGCAGGATCCACTGGGTGAAGCCAGCTGGGCTCCTGAGTCTAGTGGGGACTTGGAGAACCTTTATGTCTAGCTAAGGGATTGTGAATGCACCAATCGGCACTCTGTATCTAGCTCAAGGTTTGTAAACATACCAATCAGCACCCTGTGTCTAGGTCAGGGTTTGTGAATGCACCAATTGGCACTCTGTATCTAGTTAATTGGGTTGGGACTTGGAGAACCTTTATGTCTAGCTAAGAGATTGTAAATACACCAATCAGCACTCTGTATCTAGCTCAAGGTTTGTAAACACACCAATCAGCACTCTTTATCTAGCTCAAGGTTTGTAAACACACCAATCAGCACCCTGTGTCTAGCTCAGGGTTTGTGGATGCACCAATTGGCACTCTGTATCTAGTTAATCTGGTGGAGACTTGCAGAATCTTTATGTCTAGCTAAGGGATTGTGGATGCACCAGTCGGCACTCTGTATCTAGATCAAGGTTTGTAAATGCACAAATCAGCACTCTGTGTCTAGCTCAGGGTTTGTAAATACACCAGTCGACATCTGTATCTAGCTAATCTAGCAGGGAGGTGGAGAACTTTTGTGTCTAGCGCAGGGATTGTAAACGCACCAATCAGCACCCTGTCAAAACAGACCAATCAGCTCTCTGTAAAACAGACCAATCAACTCTCTGTAAAATGGACAAATCAGCAGGATGTGGGCGGGGGCCAGATAAGAGAATAAAAGCAGGCTGCCCCAGACAGCAGTGGCAACCCACTCGGGTCCCCTTCCACACTAGTGGAAGGTTTGTTCTTTCACTCTTTGGGTCCACGCTGCCTTTATGAGTTGTAACACTCGCGGCGAAGGTCTGCAGCTTCACTCCTGAAGCCAGTGAAACCAGAAACCCACCAGGAGGAGCGAACAACTCCACACGCGCCACCTTAAGAGGTGTAACACTCACCACAGAGGTCTGCAGCTTCACTCCTGAGCCAGCGAGACCACGAACCCACCAGAAGGAAGAAACTGAACACAGCTGAACATCAGAAGGAAAAAACTCCGGACACGCCACCCTTAAGAACTGTAACACTCACCGCAAGAGCCCGTGGCTTCATTTTTGAAGTCAGTGAGACCAAGAAGCTACCAATTCCAGACACATCAAGTGTTTGGTTCTTGCCAATCAAATGCAACTTGTCTTACAGCCATTCTGTTTGTTGGAGGTTTAAATTGAATCCTTCTGTTGACTCAATTAAAGTGTTTGGTCTCAGCTGTCTCTACTAGTCTCTTCTTCTCATTTTCAATGGCAGTAAGTCTTAGCTTCACAGCCTGAGAGGTGGAATGTTTCTTGAAAGACAGAAAGAAAAAAATAATAATTACCAGGAAAGAATCTCTAGGTGGTATTTCAAAGCATCATTATCCTGCTGTGCATTAGCATCCTCCAATATTTATTACCCTGTAGCTCCAAGGAAAAGATATAAGACATGAAGACACGGAAAGGATGGTAGGTGGAAATGTTTCTTAGCTATTGGGTATGAGGGGAAGTATAGAACTCTTCAGGGCTTCTGTTCATTCTCTTTGTAGTTCTGGTTAGTAACTGGAACTTACTATCCAAGACAATGCCCAAACTGGCGTTCTCTAATATATATAGTGCATATGGAACCAAGTTCTGTGCTTCCTTCTTCCCTAGTAATCCATGGTCGTTATACTTCATTTGACTTGTGGCATCCTGCCCCATAAACAAACAAGAAAAGTAGATCAGCCCCCGCCCTCTGACTCCCATCACAAACAGAAGTACTTCAGAGACTTCTCTTTTTTCAGACTATATATAGGTGAAATGCCAAACTCTAGCTACAGTGAAACTCAACTATGAAATGTCTGTGTCTAACTAGAATTTTTGCCTTGGAGTTTGCGTATTGTTGTTAGTATGGAGAGAGTTATCATTATGAGTGTCACACAGCTTCAACGTATGGTCCAGTTCCTGAGAAGTTGAGCATCTGGAAATGATACCTAAACATATTAGGATGATGGAAATTTTCATTCCTAACAATAGGTGGTACATTCCATGGAGATAGGCAGTGTGTGTTTTTGTGACAGCACTTCAGCACATCTAGAAATGAAACACTGGGCTAAATTTGATTTTGCTTCACTTTAAATTCTCATCTGAAAGAGATCTGCCATTTTCATCACATTAAAATAAATCACAGATTTACTATTTTCTTTGTTGCTATCACTTGTTAATTGAATCACAATGTGGTTGTATTTATTAGGTTACAAACTATACCTTTTGGGGAAGAACAAGTTCTGCATTCGAACATGTTTACTTGATGTTTTCCCTCCCATCTTCCTTAAGGGGGGATATAATTAAATGTAACAAAGCAAAAGGCAAGTCAACGTGAGGAGAAAACATTGTAAGAAAATTTCTTCCAGCTGAATAAAGCTGTAACATTCTAAAGGCAGACAAATTGCTACAGATGAAACACTAACTTGAATATAAAATAAGATCTAAAACTAGGAGATTTTACTTTTCAACCTCTTTCCTTGGACTTTCAAAATTGTCTAAAACATAATGAAACGTTAAGAGAATTACATTCTCTTCCTAATCTACCCAACCATTTCCCTACCACCAACCTAAAAGCGCTCAGATTTTATTTATGAGCCAATGTCAAAGTAGCAGGACTCCAATAATTGAAAATGTGTCATAGCCTAGATCTGTGCTACCCAATGTATGTACCACTAGGCACATCTATTTTATCTATTTAAAATTTTAAATCATTAATTTATAATTAAAATTAAATTAAGAATTTAATCCCTCACTAGCCACATTTCCAGTGCTTTGATAGCGACCTGTAGCTAATGCTTACCATATAGGGCAGCATAGATATAGATTTCATCATCAGAGAATGTTCCATTGCGTAAAACTGTTGTAGCTGCACATTAGATGATAGTCTACCTTTTTAATGATCTTCTATGAAGCACTGTCCAACAAGACTTTTTGTGGTGACAGAATTATTCTTTCATTACAATTAGCCACAGCAGAAACCAGAAACAATAGCAGGAGACTTCCTGAGGCTGCTCTATGAGTAGACTAAAAAATACCACCTCTGTGGTGTGACTGAACACATATCAAAATACTATTTAAAAATTTTCCCCTCTTGCCTGCCTGCACAGTCTAAAATTTTCATTTTTAGTCTGCTGAGTTAATACAATAAAATTATGTTACATAGAAGTGGTAATCCATACAAATTGTTATCACTTTAGTCCCAAACACAACTTCCTGTGAAGGTTGATAATCTATAATTGCATTGTGCAGCATGACAGCCGCTAGTCTCATTGACTGTTCAGTACTTGAACCATGCCTAGTACAGCTAGGAAAATGAATTTTAAATTTTATTTAATTTCAATGGAAATAGACACGTGGCTCCTATCATGTTAGACAGCAAAGTCTATAGGAAAGAGCTGAAAAAATTAATAGGCACGTTAGAGAGTGTGCTAGACTAAAAGATGGCTCCCAAGATTTCCAAACTCTGGTATGATTCAGGAATCACACCCTGTCTGATTCCTTTTCCTTGATTGTGGGCAGGACTTGTGAATGTGATGGGATTTCACACTAATGAGTAGGTTACTAGTCAGCCAGTTTTGACTTAATTGAAAGAGATTATCCTGGATGGGCCTGACCTCATCAGGTGAGTGCTTATAAAAGACTATGAAGATATTTGAACCTGAGAGAGTTTCTCTAGCTGGCCTTGGTGAAACAAACTTCTGTGTTATGGAGAGGGCAAGGGACAACAGGTAAGCTCGAAGAGCTGAGAGTAGTTCCCAAGTAGCCAACAAGAAAATGCGGCCTCAGGCTGGGCGCGGTGGCTCACACCTGTAATCCCAGCACTTTGGGAGGCCAAGGCGGGCGGATCACGAGGTCAGGAGATTGAGACCGTCCTGGCTAACATGGTGAAACCCCGTCTCTACTAAAAAGACAAAAAATTAGCCAGGCGTGGTGGTGGGTGCCTGTAGTCCCAGCTACTCGGGAGGCAGAGGCAGGAGAATGGCGTGAACTGGGGAGGAGGAGCTTGCAGTGAGCCGAGATAGCATCACTGCACTCCAGCCTGGGCGACAGAGCGAGACTCCATCTCAAACAAACAAAAAAAAAAAAAAAGAAAGAAAATGCGGCCTCAGTTCTATAGTTGCAAGGACCTGGATTCTGCCAACAACCTGAACAAGCTTGGAAAAGGATCCCTGGCCTTTGATGATATCATGGCCCACCAACACCTTGATTACAATTTCATACGACCCAAAAAAAAAAGGGCTCAGGTAACCAGCACTTGGACTCCTAATTCACAGAAACTGTGAGACAATAGGTATATGTTGTTTTAAGCCACAGAGTTTGTGGTACTAACAGCAACAGAAAACTAGTACAGAGAGTTTATGCATTAGCTATTTAAGGGAACATGTCTTTTAAAATTTTTCAGCAGAACACATCAATTTATAAAACAATGTTTTCTGTTACTAACTGCTTCTTAAAGTAGATATTAAGGATTTTTTTGGCAAAACTTGATAGCATGATTTTTGTGACCTGGAGGAGGAAGATGAGAAAAAAGAAAAGGAAAACTTCTTGGCAATGACAACAGTGGTAATTATGACAATAACGGTGTACAAAGTGATGGCGCTGATGATGCTGATGACAAAATACACGTTTACTAATTCATGTCATGCTTTAAATAATTCGTGTGACCAGTGAAATTATACCCTACATATTTATCTCAATGGACAATATAAGATTACTGAGAAGATTTTTCTTGTCATCAATAAGGGAGAGACCATCTTAGAATCAGACATCATTGTTTTTATTCATTAGGTAATAACCAGTGTGTAAAACACATGATCTGGATCCAAAACATTATATGTTTAAGACTTGAACGAAAACAAAGCATAAGCATTTTAACAAGAGTTAATATTTAAAATCACATCAAACATTAGTCATTTTTTAATTTAAAAAAGACCATTTCTAACTTATTGGATTGGAGAACTAAAGTCCTGAAGATAACCTTGTCTCTAACTTCAAACAGAAGGAATTATAATGCTAAAAATGATTTTCCCTCTCTTTATTGATTTAGTTTATTCATTTTATAAAATTAAGCTGTATCTGAACTGAAATATATAAAAGGATGTTCACCATGAAAATATATTTCATTACATGTCGATCCAATAAAAACTGACGTTCATATAGCACATAGAGACATAATCTCCCCTCAAAATAAACCTGAAGTAGAATAAAATGTTCTACTTCATAACAAAAAGATAAAATGTAGGTCAGATGTTCAGAGACATAAAAAAAGAAAACATATCTTTATCACTTTATTCAAAAGAACTAAGTATACCAACTCAGTCCCAGTTCTTTGGAACAGAAAGCTGATGTGCTGATGATAAACAGTAAAGCAGATCAGTCTACTAGCCGTCAGACTATTATGATGCTAGTTAGGTTAGTCTGTCTGTCAGTGTCCATAAGACTGTACTTGCCTCAAGACAGAAGTGCACAGATTAGACAATTTCTTGAGGTCCTGAGTTTTTCGTTGCATCAAAACCCTAAACTTACATGGTCCTTGGTACTCATAGGATCTTCCTATTTAAGATCAATTGAAAGGTGTACAACATTTAGGAACCACTTTTTTCTACCTAGCTCATACTTCAAAAAGAGATGTTTTGCTATTCTAATCCTAAACTTTGGGAAAGAGTTGCCTTGCTTCTTTTCTCCTTCCTATTTCAGAGAGAAGCAGCACCTTTCATTGGAGGTAGCTGTATCACAAGACAGCAGCAACAGCCTTAAGTCCTACAGCACACAGCACTGAATAAATGCTTTTGGACAGTTGTCTATCTTCTGCCTCAGAGAAAAGATGGAGTCCCGTTAAGAACATATGTACCTTGTACCTGACATAGAAACTTCCTGTCCTAGATGCTGTAGTATATTGTGGGTATATACTTGGGGATTGAGAGAACAGAAAAAAGGCCGAGGCATCATCCTCTTCTATGACTCTGAGGATCAAAGGCATTTTCTTGTATTTCTTGAACAAAGATTTGTGGAGGACCTACTCTGTGCAGACATTATTAGACAATAAAGGTAAGCACTGCAATAATCATCATCAGAATAAGTTCTTGAGGTCTGTTGTTCAACACTGTTTATGGCTAAGAATATTGTACTATACACTTAAAAATATGTGGAGAGGATGGATCTTATATTATCTGTTCTTACCACAATATAACACAATAGAAAATAAATATCTTACACTTGTTGCCCCAATAAATATATAGGAACAAATTAGGTAATACATACTTTTTGGTAAGTTTTAAAAAGTATTTTACACTTTGGATTAGAGGAGAGATCATGGCGGTGGCAGACGGAGGCAGGGCTAGATTGAAGCTCCGGACAGAGCAGCAGGCAGCTCGCATTGTGAATTTTAACTCCATATCAACAGCAAGAAAAAACCAGCAATCCTGAGAGGACCCACAGACCCTCTGAAGGAAGCAGACTGCTCCTGCAGGACACAGGAGACACCCCCGCAAAACTGTAAGTGCGCCAACTGCGGAAGTGGGAAAGGGAGACCCTCCTCTCAAACACACACCCCCACTGGAGAAGCTGAAAGTCTGTTTGCAGGAGAAGTTTCTGACTTTACCTGGAGCTGAGTACATTTGGAAGCCATGCGAAATACAGTGGTAGAGGAAGCAGCAGAAAGACCCGGGGATCTCGCTGGGTCCCCTAGCAGGCCATTCCTGCCTGGCACCACAGGGATCCAATGGGAGAGAAGCAGGGGGTAAAACCACACAGGAAGAAGCAAATCTCTAGCTGAGTTTTGTAACCATTTGAATAGAGTGAGAAGCCTTCTGGCAGTAACTCAGAGGAAGGCGCAAATCCAGAGTGCAGACTCCACAGGCATGGGAAGAACCAAGCCCCTTTTCTTTCCCAGCTGGGAGGCAGATAGCCTGGGGCAGGTTTTCAAGCCCCTGTGGCTCTCCACCTGGAAAAGGTCTAGGGGCTGTTGGGTGGGCACCGGGAAGTGAGACCAGCCCTTCGGTTTGCATGGAAGCTGGATGAGGCCTGTGACTGCTGGCTTTCCCCTACTTCCCTGACAACCTGCATGAATCAGCAGAGGCAGCCATAATCCTCCTAGGTACACAACTCCAGTGACCTGGGAATCTCACCCCCATCCCCTAAAGCAGCTGCAGCAAGACCAGCCAAGGAAAGTCTGAGCTCAGATACACCTAGCCCTGCCCCCACCTGATGGTCCTTCCCTACCCACCTTGGTAGTGAAAGACAAAAGGCATATAATCTTGGGAGTTCTAGGGTCCCGCCCACCACTGGTTCTTCCCCATAATACCACAGCTGATGCTCTCTTGAAAGTGCCACTGCCTGGCAGGAGGCCAACCAGAACAAAAATAGAACATTAAACCACCAAAGCTAAGAACCCTCATGGAGTCCATTGCACCTCCTGCCACTTCCATGGGAGCAAGCACTGGTATCCATGGCTGAGAGACCCATAGATGGTTCACATCACAGGACTCTGTGCAGACAGCCCCCAGCCTAGAGCGAGGTAGACTCACTGGGTGGCTAGACCCAGAAGTGAGACAACAATCACTGCAGTTTGGCTCACAGGAAGCCACATTTGTAGGAAAAGGAGGAGAGTACTACATCAAGGGAACACTCTGTGGGATAAAAGAATCTGAACAACAGCCTTCAGCTCCAGACCTTCCCTCTGACATAGCCTACCCAAATGAGAAGGAACCAGAAAAGCAACCCTGATAATATGACAAATTGAGGCTCTTCTACCCCCAAAAAAATCACACTAGTTCACCAGCAATGGATCCAAACCAAGAAGAAATCCCCAATCTACCTGAAAAATAATTCAAGAGGTTAGTTATTAAGCTAATCAGGGAGGGACCAGAGAAAGGTGAAGTCCAATGCAAGGAAATCCAAACTATGATACAATAAGTGACAGGAGACATATTCAAGGCAATAGATAGCTTAAATAAAAAACAATCAAAAATTCAGGAAACTTTGGACACACCTGTAGAAGTGTGAAATGTTCTGGAAAGTCTCAGCAATAGAATTGAACAAGTAGAAGAAAGAAATTCAGAGCTCAAAGACAAGGTCTTCAAATTAACCCAATCTAACAAAGACAAAGAAAAAAGAACAAGAAAATATGAACAAACCCTCCAAGAAGTCTTGGATTTCGGTTAAGCAACCAAACCTAAGAATAATCAGTGTTCCTGAGAAATGAAATTTCTAAAAACTTGGAAAATATATTTGGGGGAATAACCGACTACAACTTCCCCGGCCTTGCTAGAGACCTAGACATCAAAACACAAGAAGCACAAAAACACCTGGGAAATTCATCACAAAAAGATGTTTGCATAGGCACATTGTCATCAGGTTATCCAAAGTTAAGATGAAGGAAAGAATCTTAAGAGCTGTGAGACAGAAGCACCAGGTAACCTATAAAGGAAAACCTATCAGATTAACAGTAGATTTCTCAGCAGAAACTCTACAAGCTAGAATGTATTAGGGACCTATCTTCAGTCTCCTCAAACAAAACAATTATCAGCCAAGAATTTTGTATCCAGAGAAACTAATCATCATATGTGAAGGGAAGATTTTCAGACAAACAAATGTTGAGATTATTTGCCACTACCAAGCCACCACTACAAGAACTACTAAAAGGAGCCCTGAATCTTGAAACAAATCCTAGAAACACATCAAAACAGAAATTCTTTAAAGCATAAATCACACAGGACCTATAAAACAAAAATACAAGTTAAAAAACAAAAAACAAAAAACAAAAAAACAAAGTACAGAGGCAACAAAGAGCATGATGAATGCAATGGTACCTAACATGTCAATACTAACATTGAATGTAAATGGCCTAAATGCTCCACTTAATAGATATAGAACCACAGAATGGATAAGAACTCACCAAACAACTATCTGCTGCCTTCAGGAAACTTGCCTAGCACATAAGTACTCACATAAACTTAAAGTAAAGGGGTGGAAAAAATATTTCATGCATATGAACACCAAAAGTGAGCAGGCATAGCTATTCTTATATGAGACCAAACAAACTTTAAAGCAACAGCAGTTAAAAGAGACAAAGAGGGACATTATATAATTGTAAAAGGCCTTGTTCAACAGGAAAATATCACAATCCTAGACATATATGCACCTGACACTAGAGCTCCCAAATGTATAAAACAATTACTAATAGACCTAAGCAATGAGATAGACAGCAACACAATAATAGTGGGGGACTTCAATACTCCCCTGACAGCACTAGACAGGTCATCAGGACAGAAAGTCAACAAAGAATGGATTTAAATTATACCTTGGAACAAATGGATTTAACAGATATATATAAAACATTTCATCCTACAGCCACAAAATACACATTCTATTCAACAGTGCATGGAACTTTCTCAAAGATAGACCATATGATAGGCCATATACAAGCCTCAATAAGTTTAAGAAAATTGAAATTATATCAAGCACTCTCTCAGACCACAGTGGAACAAAACTGGAAACCAACTCCAAAAGGAACCTTCAAAACCATGAAAATACATGGAAATTAAATAACCTGCTCCTGAATGAGCATTGGGTCAAAAGTGAAATCAAGATGGAAATTTAAAAATCCTTTGAACTGAACGACAATAATGACACAACTTATCAAAACCTCTGGATACAGCAAAGGCAGTGCTAAGAGGAAAGTTTTTACCCATAAACACTTACATCAAAAAGACTGAAAGAGTATAAACTGACACTCTAAGGTCACAACTCAAGGAACTAGAGAAACAGGAACAAACCAAACTGAAACCCAGCAGAAGAAAGGAAATAATCAAGATCAGAGCAGAACTAAATGAAATTTGAATAAAAAAATACAAAAGATAAATGAAACAAAAGCTGGTTCGTTGAAAAGATAAATAAAATTGATAGACAATTGGCAAGATTAACCAAGAAAAGAAGAGAGAATATCCAAATAACCTTACTAAGAAACAAAACAGGAGATATTACAACAGACACCACTGAAATACAAAAGATCATTCAACGCTACTATGAACACCTTTATGCACATAAACTAGAAAACCTAGAAGAAATGGATAAATTCATGGAAAAATACAACCCTCCTGGCTTACGTCAGGAAGAATTAGATACCCTGAACAAGCAGCGAGATTGAAATGGTAATTTAAAAATTACCAACAAAAAAATCCAGGACCAGATGGATTCACAGCAGAATCCTACCAGACATTCAAAGAAGAATTGGTACCAATCCTTTTGACACTATTCCACAATATAGAGAAAGAAGGAACCCTCCCTATTCATTTTATGAAGCAAGCATCACCCTAATACCAAAATCAGGAAAGGACATAACCAAAAAAGAGAATTACAGACTGATATCCTTGATGAACACAGATGCTAAAATCCTTAACAAAATACTAGCTAAACGAATCCAACAACATATCAAAACAATAATCCACCATAATCAAGTGGGTTTTATACCAGGGATGCAGGGACAGTTTAACATATGCAAGTCAATAAATGATATACCACATAAACAGAATTAAAAACAAAAATCACATGATCATCTCAATAGATGCAGAAAAAGCATTCGACAAAATCCAGCATCGCTTTATGATAAAAGTCTCTGCAAAATTGGCATATGAGGGACATACATTAATGTAATAAAAGCCATCTGTGACAAACCCATAGCCAACATAATACTGAATGGGGAAAAGTTGAAAGCATTCCCTATGAGAACTGGAAAAAGGCAAGGATGCCCAATCTCACCACTCCTCTTCAACATAGTACTGGGTAAAGGGTAAGTCAAACTGTTACTGTTTGCTGATGATATGACGTTTACCTTGAAAACCCTAAGGGCTCCTCCAGAAAGCTCCTAGAACTGATAAAAGAATTCAGCAAATCTTCCAGATATAAGATTAATGTACACAAATCGGTAGCTCTTCTATAGACCAACAGTGACCAAGCAGAGAATCAAATCAAGAACTCAACCCCTGTTACAGTAAGTGCAAAAACTAAAATAAAATACTTAGGAATACACTGAACCAAGGAGTCAAAAGACCTCTACAAGGAAAACTACAAAACACTTCCGAGAAATCATCGATGACACAAACAAATGGAAACACATCCCATGCTCATGGATGCGTAGAATCAATATTGTGAAAATAACCATACTGCCAAAAGCAATCTACAAATTCAATGCAATCGCCATCGAAATACCACGATCATTTTTCACAGAATTAGAAAAAACAATTCTAAAATTCACATGGAACCAAAAAAGAGCCTGTATAGCCAAAGCAAGACTAAGCAAAAAGAACAAATCTGGAGGCATTACACTACCTGATTTCAAAGTACACTATAAGGCCATAGTCACCAAAACAGCATGGTATTCGTACAAAAATAGGCACATAGACCAATGGAACAGAAGAGAGAATCAAGAAATAAACCCAAATACTTAGAGCCATCTGATCTTCGACAAAACAAACAAAAACATAAAGTGGGGAAAGGGCACCCCTTTCAACAAATGCTGCTGGGATAATTGGCTAGCTACATGTAGGAGAATGAAACTGGACGCTCATCTCTCACCTTATATAAAAATCAACTCAAGATGGATTAAATACTTAAACCTAAGACCTGAAACTATAAAAATTCTAGAAGATAACACTGGAAAAACTCTTCCAGACATTGGCTTAGACAAGGATTTCATGACCTAGAACCCAAAAGCAAATACAATAAAACAAAGATAAATAGCTGGGACCTAATTAAACCAAAGAACTTTTGCACAGCAAAAGGAACAGTTAGCAGAGTAAATAGACAACCCACAGAGTGGAAGAATCTTCGCAATCTATACATCTGACAAAGGACTAATATCCAGAATCAACAACCAACTCAAACAAATCAGTAAGAGGAAACAAAAATCCCATCAAAAAGTGAGCTAAGGACATGAACAGACAATTCTCAAAAGAAGATACATAAATGGCCAACAAACATCTGAAAAAATGCTAAACATCACTAATGACCAGGGAAATGTAAATCAAAACCACAATGCAATACCACCTTACTCTCGTAAGAATGGCCATAATAAAAGAATCAAAAAACAGTAGATGCTGGTGTGGATTTGGTGAACAGGGACAACTTCTACAGTGCTGGTGGAAATGTAAACTAGTACAGCCACTATGGATAGCAGTGTGGAGATTCCTTAAAGAACTAAAAGTAGAATTACCATTTGATCCAACAATCCCATTTCTGGGTATCTACCCAGAGGAAAATAAGTCATTATTCGAAAAAGATACTTGCACATGCATGTCTATAGCAGCACAATTCACCACTGCAAAATCGTGGAACCAACCCAAATGCCCATCAATCAATGAGTGGACAAAGAGTAAAGAAAGTTATATATATATATATATATATATATATATATATATATACACACACACACACACACACATATACACACACACACACATATATGTAATAAAAGCCATATATATTATATATGTAATGGAATTTATATATATATATATATATATATATATATATATAAAATGGAATACTACACTTCCATAAAAAGGAATGAATTAATAGCATTTGCAGTGACCTGGATGAGATTGGAGACTATTATTCTAAGTGAAGTAACTCGGGAATGGAAAACAAAACATAATATGTTCTTGATGTGTGGGAGCTAAGTATGGGGATGCAAAGGCATAAGAATGATGCAACGGACTTTGGGCACTTTGGGGGATGAGTGGGAGGGTGGCAAGATATAGAAGACAACAAATACGGTGCAGTGTATGCTGCTTAGGTGATGTATGCACCAAAATCTCACAAATCACCACTAAGGAGCTTACTCATGTAACCAAATACCACCTGTACTGGAATAACTTATGGAAAAATTAAAAATTAAAAAATTTTTAAAAAGTATTGTACACTTTGTCTCCTCATGGGTCATAAAACCAGAGAGGGAACCAAACATGAACACATAAACACACAAAAAGACATGATTAGAAATGTGATGAGTATTATAAAATGCAGAAAACAAAGCAAAGGTTCTAATTTGGATTAGGGTAGAGCTTCAGTAAAACATTTGCAAAGATGCCAACATTTGAGCTAAGGACAAGTCGGTGCAGGGATAGATCCTGTGGCTGAGAAAAAATGTTCTAAGCAGAGGGACGAAGGGAAGACTGTGGGTAGAGGCCAGAGCAGGAAAGAGCTTTGTGCATTTAAGCAGTTGACAGGCTAGAGTGGCGGGAGAACAGCAAACATGGAGTCCTGAGAGAAGGCTGCCGAGGAAGTCAGGACCAGGTCATGCAGAGCTTTGTGGGCCACTTAAGGAGTCTGCATCTTTCCTGAGAGCAATCCATTAAAGTTTTCTAACCAGATGAGGTTCATAACTCAATTTATATTTTTAAAATAAAGTTTTTGGAGAGATATTTATGAAGGTAGTAGGGCTCATTAAACCTAAATTATCTTGCTAGTTTAAAAAGCTTCTTAGCAATATATTTTCTAAGCTCATTCAGTTGTCATTACACAGGTTTCTGACTTTAAAAAATGAGATTGCATGTGGACCAAAGTAAGGGTACACATGTCATTATCTTTCCCATGCACTGTCTAGTCTAGGCTTTCTCAACCATGACACTATTGACATCTGGGACTGGATATTTCTTTATTCTGGAGGTTATCCTGTGCATTTTAGGGTGCAGTGTTCAGCAGCAACCCGGGCCCCTACACTCTAGATGCCAGTAGCACACTGTTTCTCCACCCCACTCCCAGATGTGACAACCAAAAATGCCTCCAGATATTGCCAAATATCCCCCAGAGCCAAAATTGACCCCAGTTAGGAAACACTGATCTAATTTTAGTTAAAGAGGCAATGTTACCCATTTAAAGGCACATAATATCTGCAGGAGCCATCACACAGAAAGGACCCTAAAAGCCATTCTAGAAATTACCTTACCTGAGCCCTGGTCGTTCTTACAAACATATAGAAGAGTTAGTGCTCAATTGTTGCAGAAGTAACTTAATATTCTTTGTACCTAAAATACACATGTCAACCAAATCCTTAAAATTAGGAGACATTTGGGTTTGCTGAAGTCATTCGGCTTTGTGAAGAAAGGGAGCTATTCTCACTTTCTCCAAGATTCTTCAAAAGAAGATGGAGGTCCAAGAAGACACAGCCACTGTAGGCTGACTTGTTTCTCTCTCTAACTGCTCTAATCATTTTTACTTGACACCTTCATTTCAGAGGCTTTCACAACTGAAAATCACAGAATGCCTAATTTTTGTGTATTTTTTTTTAGTAGAGACAGGGTTTCTCCATGTTGGCCAGACTGGTCTCGAATGCCTGACTTCAGGCGATCCACCCGCCTCAGCCTCCCAAAGTGCTGGGATTACAGGTGTGAGCCACTGCGCCCAGCCAGAATGTCTAATTTTAAAAGGTGCTAGGGATCTTCCATCTAAGCTTCTCACTTTAAAAGAGATACTGGATTGTAAGAGGTATGTTTTGTCCAGGATTATACCCAGTGTGCATTAATTGGTGGTTAGCAAAAAGGAAGACCCTTTCCAAGTGTTTGATTCATCATCCTGCAATCAAACCTACCCAGCAAACAGACTGCTCTGTGTGATTTTGTTTAAGGCTGAACATTATGAAAACATAGCTGTATATATTTGGAGTCACTAATGTGGGGTATTATATCTATGGTCTCATTAACTAGGACAGTTTTTAAGTGTCTTTTTACTTTGAGAGTATTAGTGGTATTTCCTGGACAGATTTACACGGTCTTAAAATGTGCTGAGGGAATCCCTAATGCAGGCAGAAAGAGCAGCTGCCTCTCTGGTGGGATCTAAGGAAAAGCCTTTTTAAATTGTTTTCTCTCCCCTCACCACAGTGCTTGAAGTTCCTGCCACTTGAGGTCCTATTTCGTCAGGTGTCTGTAATAATGCAAACACGTTGAATCAGAAGAGCTCGCTAAGTCCATAAAATGTCACCAGTTAAGTTGGCAAGCAATTTGTATATAAATAAGTGCATAGATTTGGAGCCAGATCACAAAGGCGGGAATCCTAGTGTATAGAGGAGGAGACGGGGCCTCACAGACACTATGACCATGCTCTACAGGCAGTCAAGGAAAGGGTTGAGCAGCGACACAAACAAACAAAACTAACAGAGCTGCAGAGTGTATAGAGACTAAGTGTTCACTCATAAGACTTTTAGAAATGCCTCTTCAAGACAGAGAATGCCTTGCTTCTTAGACACAAATTGTTTGGCTTCAAGGACCAGAAAGCTATCCAAACTGCTTTAAGTAAAGAGTAATGTGTGTGAAAATAGGAACATCTCCCGGAATCCAAGGCAGGCAAGCTCACTGAGCAGCTGGAAAGTACAGAGCTCTCAGGACCCAAGCAGCGTGTGTGTGTGTGTGTGTGTGTGTGTGTGTGTGTGCACACGTGTGTGTATGAGTGCATGCACACGCGCAAGGTGGGGAATGAGGGGAACAGGAGGTAAATGCCATCCACAGGCTCCTCCATGTCTGCTTATTCCCTCTATCTTCTCTCAACTTTCATTGCTCTGTTTGCTGTGGCTGTCATACAACATGACTCAACCACTGAGTCTGAAAGACTTGCTAAATGCGGAATCCATAGCTAATTAATCCAATATATATATATGTTCTCTACATGTTTAGTAGAGTCTCAAATTAGGCCAATTTGTATAAAGTGTATATGCTGTACCTGATTCAATGACCATTGGCTGGAAAAGGAGGGACGGAATGATGGGTACAAAAATTTTACTCTTTGACACTATTCTAGAACAGTAGTGCTTTCATGGGAATGCATGTGTGTTTGTGTTTGTGTGTGTGTAAAGAGAGACAGAAAGAATGAATGAATCACTCTATTCAAATTATCAAGTGAGTAGTAAAAACAATATGCCAAAAATAAGAGCACCCAGAGCAGGACATGGTTAGGAGAGACTTCTTCAGTGTGGTGTAATCTGAGCTGAGCTCCCACAAGTGGGCAGGATTATATTTAGAATGGGAAAAAGAAATTAGGAGGACATTTCTCTCCAAAATGACACAAGATAGAAATGTCAAGTTTCAGGCTTTGTGATCATAAAATGTTTGGAGCTGATTGGAATGCAAGACTGGCATGTGAATTGTGTGTGCTGAGACTGAAAGTGTAGATTCCTTCCAATCATTGACTATGTCTGAGGCAAAGAAAACTAACTTGAGAGGGACATTTACACACCACAACTGAACTGGGTTTGTTAAAACTGCATGTCTTCTCAGGATAAGGCCTATTTGCCAAGAATTCACTGTTAGAAGTTGTGGCTGTGAATTTCAACTGCACCTGGGCTATTGTGGCTATTCAGTGAAGATAAGTTAGAAAGTTTACTCAATATTTTATGTACCAGTACTAGAAACTATGCAAACTGGCTAAAATGCCAAGCACAGGCCACACTACTGCATGACCAAGATGCTGGAGCAGGGCTTCTGCATCCACTAAAACTAAGCCACAAGTGAGGTGTCCATTGAAGATGAGAGTCCTTGTGTTGGCTCCAGCAGCTGTGGCAGACTGTCCCAATCATCAAACTTGGGAGACAGTCATGTATTCTTTCCCATTAAGCCACTCACACAACCCAGGCGAAATGCCCTGGTCCTAGGAAGATGACTGACTAAGGCAGCCCCAACAGGACACTGAAGGGCAACTTCTGGCAGAAAGCAGTCCCAAAAATCAGACTAGGAAAGACTTTCTATGAGCCAATCCTTTAACTAAATATCTTCTGGGGGGGAAAAAAAAGTTATTGAATTAAACCAATCCTTTTTTTCTTTTAATTTCAGTAGACTTGCAAACTGAGCTACTATGTAATCAGTGCAAATGTGTACACATCCAAAAACATTACCACATAGTTGATAATAGTGAAAAATTGGAACACAACCTAAATACTCATCAATAGGTGCCTAGATAAATCATGGTATATATAGCCATTAAAAATGATAATGTGGTTTTCTTTCTTTTTTTGAAACAGAGAGATGCTCATGCCGTGGCATATTGTCATGGGAAACTTCAGGTTATAGAGCAGAATGTATGCTATGAGCTGAGTTATGTAAATGTGTGTATGTGTGTGTGTGTCTGTACACATTTCTTATAAATATCCAGAATTATGGAAACATCGAGATATATATCAAGGTTTTAGTTATTATTCATTACTAAATAATTACTAAATTATTTACTATGGGAGCTCTTTTAGTAGGTTTACTATACTTTTAATATCTACTGTTTATGTTTTTTCTTACAGTAAGCACTACAACTCTTTGTTAGAAGAGAAATTGGGGGGAAAATTGAAAAAGTTAAAAGAAAATTGTTTTTCCTAACTCTAACAGGGAATACTGAAGAGCTGACATGGTGTGCATTTTATTTTGTAGATCTCTCAGAATTCATTATAGAGACACTCAATGCACTCTTTATGTAATGATTAGCTTATATTATGCAATTCTTGAGTAGAATTTGGGTCAGCTCTGCATGCTCATTATTTGTGCAAGTAGCCAGGACAGCCAACTTTCACAGCTTGAAAAGTATTGATACCACTGATGGATGAAATGTTTTCCAAGCATGGAAATGGCACTTTAAAAGGGTAGGGAACAAACTGCAGGTTTCTTGGTCACTGGAATAGATCTAAGGGTCATTCAGAGAGTAAGAGTTCCAAATGCTAACTTGCTAATCAGAGAACGCAGCTGGAGAAGGAGAAAAGACTGAGAAAACACTTTCAACTTTATTCCCTGAGTCTTGTATTTAGTTCCGAAACCCTGCCGCAGAGGAAGTTTGTTGCTTGAGAAACTCATACAAAAGCAAAAGAACTTCCTGGGCTGGTTAGCTTATCTCTTTTGAAATAGATAATATACCAAGTTAAAGATTGTCAATACTTGTTGTTTGGGAGGAAATGGTTTAAAACCTGAGTAGAGTTTATGCCAAACTACTCTTTTCCTCTACATGTTCACAGGCCAGTGGCAGGCAACAAAACTGAAAAGGAGGTGAAATTCCTCCTCCGTCTTTGCCTTCCACCTTCTCCCATTCCATCCCTTCTGTCTCTGCAGGAAGCCAAGAGTCTCAGGCCCTTCGCCCTTGCTTCTCAGAAAAGAACAGCTAACCATTGCCAACCAGAATGCATAGAAACTGAACTACTTCTGTGTCTGCAATTGTCATCTTGGACAAATTACCTAAACTGCTTGGGCTGAGATATGTGAATTCAGATATTGAAGCTTATTTATACCTTCATAATTCTATGCTTCCATAATGATTAAATCCACCATAGTAATAAATAAAGGCCTTAACCACATGAAGAAATATTTGGATTTTAAATAAGTCAGCAAGGATTGGAAAATGCTTGCTTGGTTTCCCTCCCTCTCCCGGCAAAAATGAGTTCCTCAGGATACAATTTCAAGCATTGATAACCTTAGCAAGAGAGAGAATTTGGAACCTTTCTAGATTCTTCAGACCACACAACAAATGGAATTACCCGCTGCCCCCTCCCACCCACATCCGCTGTGCTTAGACATTGTAGTATTCACAATGCCTTTGGAAGGCTCAGAGAATTCTTAACTCAATTGTATCAAAAGACATTGACAGTCTCATTAAAAATTGTTATCTTTATGTTTCTAATGAAAGGGCTAAACAATTTAGTTTCAGATGAGTTTTAAACTTATAGCTGCCCACCAGAACTAAGTCCTTTAATGATTCTACCCATTACTAAGTGTCACACAACAAAGTACATGTAAATCCTTTTGAAAAAACTTAATATTTTGTAGTACATTTAACTTACTAAAGGAACCATTTTGTTTGTAAGAAAATAACACTGTAACAAACATGTTTATTCTAACTAGATTACTTCATGTTACAGAATGTTTGAAAAGACAAATGAAAAACTGAGATTCCTTATGAATTGACAAAGTGCTTTTTTACCCTTTCTTTTTTTTATTCAATTAAGGGTGGGTTTTACACTTCAGGATCATCCAATTTCTGCTTCATGTCCATCTTTCAGTAAAACATCTTTTTGCTTTAGGCTTTTATTCTGTTTTCTGTACTTTTCTTATTCCAATGTTTCATTTTCTTTAGAGCTCTCTATTAATTTCCCCCAAGCCTATTTTTTTTACAACCCTGTGTTCTTTTCCTTTAAGCACCCAAGAATGACATTTTCTCTGTTCTCCAGATGGTTTTGGTCTCATTATTAGTCTTTTCCCCCTTAGTTTCATTATGTACTTCTTTTACGGCTAGTTAGCAAGGATAGACACAGCCTGTACATATACTTTCTACTTTACATTCTCACTAATTTGAATTGTTATCCCTTCCACAGGCAGCAAGTAAACTAAGCAATCACTATAAAATCAAGGTGCTTTCACACAGGTCTGATCTGTCATTGTGGGCTTTCTAAATCTAGTCAGATCATATTCCTTCTCTGTCCTGGTAAGAATAAAATTTTCAATGAATCTGTATCCTCTTCAGGTTGGCACAGAAAATCCTTTCATAAAGCATCAGTACCTACAATATCTGGTTCCTGCTGACTCCTTTGATTTCTCCTCTCAACTTTCCTATTGTACTTTCTGCTCAACTTGTTCAAATCCTTTCAGTTTCCCCCAAACACCATGTTCTCACATCTCATCATGCCTCTAGCTCTTCCCTCCCCCTCATGAAATAGCCACCCCTTTCTTTGACTCACTCCTGTAGAAAATCTTCTTACATTTTTCGTTTCCTCACGTCCAAATCTGGGTTTGAATGTGTCTCTAAATTTCCCTATGCTTGCCTCTCTTACAGGACGTACCTCCAGGTTTTATTAGTGGTGATGGTTTATTTGGCAGTCTTCCCCCAGTGGATTCTAAGCTTTTCTGAGCAAAGTACCCATTTTCTTTCTTTATTTATACCACGAGGACTGAACTGCCATGAAGTAGTGTTTGTGAGAGAAATGTATTTGTATATGAAATACCAAATGAGAAAAGGCACTAGAAATCTTAAGTGACACGCATGATGATTGCCAAAACAAGGTAATCATATTCTAATTATAAGCAGTTAAAGGGGAAGAAGATGGAGGATGTAGTTTTGCTTCAACTTCTGAAAAGCTTGAAGGCATCAGACACCTCTACTTTTGCTTTGAACTTTCAAGAGAAGAAAGCTGCTGGAGCAAAAGTCGACTATGATAAAGGTTACTTACTGTTCCTCTTGCTCAGGCAGCCTTTTACTCTCTAGTCAATTGTGCAATAGTCCTGAATCCAGGAACCTGGGCCATTGTTCTAATCAGTCAATTCTAACAAGGCGTCTAGACCCCTGTCACTTCCCGCATCTCTTTCCTGGATGTCTCTTCCAAAGGGCTCTGAATATTTTAGTCAATGCCCCACCTTGCTCTCTTCATGCTATAGAGATGCTCTGCTGTACAGCTTACAGTTAGTGTCTCATTAAATTCTTGTACTAGTCCTATGAAATAGGCTTTATTATTTTATCCCGTTTTATATTTGAATATTTGAGGGAACCAAGGCTTGAATTAATCAACTTGTCCCAAAGTGAAACACTGAAAAGAAGTAGAACTAGGATGTGAATCAGGCTATGACTAACCTTAAGTCCTGAGTTCTTAATCACCCATCAACCCTGCTTTGTCGTCTGACCAGGGCCTCGTCAAACTTTTCACTGGTAGTCTCCACCCCTCTTTGACACCTTTCATGTAAATAGTCTAGAAATAAACTTTTTTGATTAATATATCTTTATTTTTTCCCCATTCACTTTCTCTTTACTCATTATATCACAGAGTAAAATATTTTGTATTGACCCTGGACATAGAGAATATTGATAGGGATGGATGGAGACTGAAGCTACTTACAGCTTTATTTTTCCAGTTTAGATTGTCTCGGGAACTGAGATGGAACCAAACCTTTTTTAGGTTTTATATTAACCAATACTTATTAGGCAGTTGTTATGTTCCAATCACTTTGCTCTTAACTTTGTATAGACTGTCTCATTTTATCCTCATGTCAACTCCATAAAGTAGGTATTTTAGTATCCTCCTAATACAAATGAGAAAATGGAGGCAAAGAGTTTATACAACTTATCCAAATTTCTAGGTTTATAAATGAAATAAAAGCAATTGTCAAAATCAAGCAGACTGACTTCAAATCCCAAGCTCCTAACCACTGAGCTGTGTTGACTCTTAGGAGGTTGGCTTCTGCTGACTCAGTAAGTTCTTAAAGAAAAGGGAGGTAAAGCAGAAGAATAACAGGAGCTGATAGTATCGGCTCCCCCAAGGAGTGGTGCATTTCCCACTAGTGGAGGTAAATGTCAGAATGACACTTTGCAATGTTTAATTGTATGTGTCAACTTGTTTGTATCAAGGGTACCCAAATATTTGGCTAAACATTATTTCTAGGTGAGTCTGTGAGGGTATTTTCAGGAGAAACTGGCATTTGAATTGGAGTGCTGAGAAAAGTAGATGCCTCCTCTAATGCGGGTGGGCTTCATCCATTTCTTTGAGGGCCTGAATAGAACAAAAAGGCAGAGGAAGAGAGAATTCTCTCTCTCTCTCTCTCTTCCCCCCCTCCCCCCGATGGTTAATTTTGAGTGTCAACTTGATTGGATTGAAGGATGCAAAGTATTGATCCTGGGTATGTCTGTGAGGGTGTTGCCAAAGGAAATTAACATTAAGTCAGTGAACTGGGAAAGGCAGACCCACCCTCAATGTGGTTAGGCACCATCTAATCAGCTGCCAGCACCGCCAGAATAAAACAAAAGGCAGAAGAACCTGGAAAGACTAGACTGGCTGAGTTTTCTGGCCTCCATCTTTCTCCCATGCTGGATGCTTCCTTCCCTCAAATATTGAACTCCAAGTTCTTCAGTTTTGGGATTCTTGGGCCTTCAACCACAGACTGAAGGCTGCACTGTTGGCTTCCCTACTTTTGAGATTCAGGGACCAGACTGGCTTCCTTGTTCCTCAGCCAAGCAGATAGCCTACTGTGGGACCTCACCTTGTGATCATGTGAGTCAGTACTCCTTAATGAACTCCCCTTTATATATACATCTATCCTATTAGTTCTGTCTCTCTAGAGAACCCTAATTCTCTCTCTCTCTCTCTCTCTCTCTCTCTCTCCCCCTCTCTCTCTCTCTCTTCCTCTTTCTCTCTCTGCCTGACTGCTTGAGCTGAAGCATTGGTGGCCTTCTCCTGCCCTTGGACAGAGACTGGCTTCATTGGTGTTCTTCCTTGTTCTCAGGCCTTGGGACTTGGACTAGAATTTACACCACTCGTTTTCCTGGGTCTGAAACTTGCAGACAGCAGATTGTGAGACTGTTCTGCCTGCACAATCATGTGAGTCAATTCCTTATAATAAATCTTTCTCTCCCTATCTCTATGGATATGCATATACATATATAAAAATAAGATATCTTTATATATGTATCTATATACATATATAGAGAGATTTATTATAGGGAATTGACTCACATATAAAATAACTATATAGTTTTGCTAAATGTTAATCATTGCACATTTCTTTTGCTGCCATGATGGGTGATAGACTGTGTGTGCTTGGTGTCCATAACTAAATTGAAAACTGCCCTACATACAGAAACTGGATACTTTTGGATACTTTGGATACAAATAATCATGTTCAGAACGTGATTATTGGTTAAGCTAAGTAGATTTCTCCAACATTAGTAAGGATATAAAAATAATTTTTCCATAAAGGTTATCAAAAAATAATAAAACAGACATGAGAAAATTTGATGCATTCTGATAATAGGTACAGGAGCAAAATAACCCAGACAAACTAAAAAATTATGTGTGTGTGTGCATGCCTCTCATTCACCCTAGAAAAGGAAAAGGTTTCAACAGAGATTTCCAAAGGGATAACAGTCTTACTGTTTTCTGTTCAGTAGGCCAGACAGGAAAAACATTAAAAAAAGAACAGTTGATGATTAACTTTGGCCAATTCTAGGGTTTTAACTAGGTGAAGGGAATTGTGGTTTTTCAAGTGACATTCAGAATCCATTTTTCTGCCATCATTTATCTCTATTGCATATGGAGTGCTCTATCTTTCCAGCCAGCCACCCTAATAAAATGTAAGTAAAGAACCACCAGTGATGTTACAAATGAAGTACTTAGAAGCTTGCAGTAATAGGAGATATTAATAACAACCTTAATGAAAATCTGTAGCAACCCAATTTATCATTTGAAAAAGTAGCAACAAATGGTATTTTGTGCTGTTGTCAAGATTTCAGAAAGAAAATCTATTAATTAACAATGTGTAAATGCAAAGTTGCAATATTACAATTTCCACTGAGATGTGTGAATACATGGCAAGTTACCTACCAGTGTTCCTAATTATTAATATTTTCTCAGAGTTTTTTCCTGTAGAAAGACTTAGAATCCCCCAAAACAATGCATTTACTCAAAACCCTTCCCAACCTGCCAGTAGCTATAACAATAACCATGGCAGTTTGTTTTTTCCCAAATATCTTTTGTGTTCTACAATGTGACCTCGTCTCCCCCATAAAGCCATGGAATACATTGTGCTTCAATGAATAGATTATGTAGAATATAAAAAATGGGACCTGATGTGGCTTCCATGGCAAGGTCATAAATAGTCATGCAGCTTCTACCTTGGTATCTTGGAATATCTGCCTTATAAATACTCTCTCTTCTGATCTTCATGTTGGCAACCCAGCTCCCATGCATCGAGAAGCCCAACTCAAGATGAGGCTGCTTTTTGTGCTCTCACTGACACACCCAGATGAGTTGAGTCTTCAAGTCAGCCCATCTTGGGTACCAGACATATCAATGAAAAAACCTGCAGATGATTCCATCTTCCAGAAGATCGAGTCAGGTTCTGCTATTTGAGTCTTCCCAGCTAAGGTTTGAGACATGGAGCAGTAACAAACCCTCTCTCATGTCCCCTGCCTGAGGAGAGGTTTTGGTAGACCTGTTTTGACACGAAAGCTAGACTGAGTCTTACTCCAGATTTCCTTTGAAGAAAACAGTTATGCAGCATCATGAAGAAGAAGATGATGATGAGAGGAAGAAAGAAATTCCCAAGAACTTCATAGGGAAGAGTGTCTGGGGAGAGAAAAACTGGAGAATCTGGGAGAAGGCTGTGGAATGTCTAATGGTGATTTTTACACACACACACACACACACACACACAAATCCGGTATGCTCTGCAATGTAAATGCTATCATCCAATTGTTCTGTGAATTTGTTGGTGTTGTCTATATTTTTTAAGTTTGCTGCAAAAAAATATATATACATTAGGAGGACCTGGAACCACATTGTCAAGAAGTTAAAAGAGAGATTACACTGTAGGAAAAGTATGACAGCTGTGTTATAAATAAATAGTGTTCATGAAGCCCCTAATGGGTGCCAGCTATCATTAGAGGCATGGAAGGTACAATGGTGAATAAAGTAATGGTAGAAAGAAGGGCGTTAAAACATTGCACTGAATGACATATCATTGGGAGATGAATAATTTCATAAAACACTACAGAGGGTAAGTTTTCCATTTTCTAATGATAATGATAGATATTATTATTTCAAAGAGTAGGTAAAATGTGAGGAATAAACACAAATAGTTAAAAGATTTTTCCCCTTACAATAAGAGCTATGTGCTGAATTTTGTCCCTCATACCAAATCCATATGTTGAAGTCCTAAGTGCAATACTTCAAAATTTGACTGTATTTGGAGATAGAGCCTCTAAAGAGGTAATTAAGGTAAAATGAGGTCATATGTGTGGACTCTGATCCAATATGCCTGGTGTCCATCTAAGAGAGGAGATTAGGACACAGACACACACAGAAAGAAGATCATGTAAAGATATCAGAGGAAGACAGACATCTACAAGCCAAGAAGAATTGCCCTTAGAAGAAACCAATTCTGCTGACATCTTGATCTAGAACTTCTCACTTCCAGAACTATAAGGAAATACATTTCTGTTGTTTAAGCCACACAGTCTATGGTACATTTTTGTGGTAGGCCTAGCAAAGTAACACAATAAAGTAGTCCATTATACTCATCAAAGATTTTTTTCAAATTATTGACTGTTGTGAATTGTATTGTTTGGTTCCTTACAAAATTGCCAGAATAATTGTCATATTGTCATTCATAACTAAGAAGATAAAATATGCATTTATGATATTGTTTCTACAACTTGGAAGGGAAAAATTATGTAAAAATATTTTATAACACTGATTTACTAATATAAAAGTGAGGAAATATTTTTTAAAAATTCTTTAGAAAATTACAATCAATCAACAAAAATTTGGAGTTTTATTAATACTTTTATGCAAGTGGCATGAAAAGAAAATTCTCAAATTTTAATTCTCTTCTTGTATAAAATGTAGTAATTTGCATTGTTATGATCATTGATTTTAAGATATAGCATTTTTAATCGAAAGTTTGTAGTGTAAATGTGGATACGAACATGAAAATCAGACTCTATAACTGCCATGCATTATCAAGAAGGAAAAACACTCAAGAAAAGCATGTGATGCAAATCTAATCTTTCACTCTAATAGAACACATTTTCTTAAACCTTGAACATATTTTAAATAACAAATACAGATTTCTGGTTGTGGTTGTGTGTTTGATTGTCTTAAAACTTTCTATGCTTAATTACAAATTATTATGATGTTAAAATATAGAAACACACATAAAGTAGAAACAACCATTCCAATGAACTGAGATTGTTTTTAAGAACTGATATTTCAGATACTCAGATACTTGCCCACAACCTTGATAAAATTCACTGAATCCTGTTTAATTATTGCAATATCATGCAACATCATGGGTTTCAAAATGTATACATGGATTCGTTTCCTAAGTTATTAAGTTTAACTGCCTGGGTTTAAGTGTGTGTGTGTGTGTGTGTGTGTGTGTGTGTGTGTGTGTGTGTGTGTTTCTATTGACAGAGGTCTGCAACTCCTTGTTGACCACTTGATAGAAGTGGTTGATTTAAAGTGCTTTTGTTCTTCAGATACAGAAATATATTTTTCTATAAACCTATTATCTTTGAACTTGATGGAATCTTGTATTGTTTCATATTCTTAAGACCATACAACTCTTAACAGTTGTAAAAAATCACATACAACTGAATTTTTGAATACTTTAAATCATATGCAATTGCGTTATGGATATCTCACACGGCTTTGTCTGGCTTCTCTGATCTCATAATTTGGGCTGAGGATCAAGCTGTGAACAACAAAGTTCCCACTCTCATGGAACTAAATTCTGAAGGGGTAAGAAAGAGAAAATAAACAGACAAATAAATAAATACACACTGTAATAGCAGTTAGTGAAAAGTGCTGTGCACACAAATAAAACAAGCTAAGGGAATAGCACATTATAAGAGATATTACTTCAGAAAGAGAGATCAAGGAAGTCCTCTTTCGTCCTGCAGGCTTCAGGGAATATTTGAACAGGAACCTGCCTGAGGTGAGAGAGCAAGCCATGGAAATATCTTAGGGCAGAGCATTCCAGGTAGAAGGAACAGCAAGTCTGAGGACCCTGAGGCAGTAACCTACCTGAAGTGTTCAAAGAACCACAAAGAAGCCACTGCCACCGGATGGAGACAGTAAAGAGTGAAAGGCCGGGTGCGGTGGCTCACGCCTGTAATCCCAGCACTTTGGGAGGCCGAGGCGGGTGGATCACGAGGTCAGGAGATCGAGACCATCCTGGCTAACAAGGTGAAACCCCGTCTCTACTAAAAATACAAAAAATTAGCCGGGCGCGGTGGCGGGCGCCTGTAGTCCCAGCTACTCGGGAGGCTGAGGCAGGAGAATGGCGTGAACCCAGGAAGCGGAGCTTGCAGTGAGCCGAGATTGCGCCATTGCAGTCCGCAGTCCGGCCTGGGCAACAGAGCGAGACTCCGTCTCAAAAAAAAAAAAAAAAAAAAAAAGAGTGAAACATAAATGCATAATGTCACTTATTCATTCTGAAAATGTTTGTGTGCCTACTGAGTGCTAAGATCTTGAATACAATCATGGAAAAGGCAGACGTAAATTTGCCCTGTGAAGCTCACCCTGAAATAGGGGAAACAGACCAAAAGAATTCACTGAGAAACACATTTAAAAATTGCAGTTACCAAAAGCAATACGCAAACAAAGTAAAGGATGTTGGGAGATGATTTAAGAAAAAACAACAGTATTTATTTTGAATGCATTAGGAAATGCCTTTATTAAGAAGTGGATTTTAAGTTAAGCTTTAAGGAAGAAAGGAGGTAGTAATGTCAAGGCAAAGGGCCAATGTTTCAGCCAAGGAAATAGCACAAGTTATGTCCCTGAACAAGATGGAACCTGGCACAAAGGACGACCTGACAGAAAAGCAGGGTAGCTGGAACTATCTCTTGGCAATATGAGTGTTTTGGTTAAACAGGGAGAGAAGCAACCACTTGTGAATTCAATATTAACTTAAGTGTTAATGATTCTCAAATACAGTACAGACCTTTCTTTGGAGTTTCAGACACATGTATCAGCCATTTACCAAGCATTTGCCCTTTGATGTTTCACAGATTCCTTTAAGTCCACATGTTTAAAATCTTTTTATCTTTAAATCTCTCCATTACTCCAGGGCAAATGTACTTTCTATTCCTTTCATTCACAGTTTGTCAGAAGGTACCACTATCCACCCAATTTTTCAAGAACTGTACATGCTAGTTCTCATATCTGCTTCTTTTTCTCCCTTACCGTCATCTAGTTACAGATTCTATTTATGTTCAAATAGGCTTTTCTTCTTCCTCCTGACTGGCAGTTTCTAATGCGACGTCCTTTTTCTTGCTCATACTCTTGCAGTAGGCTTATTGGTCTCCTCATCTTTAATGTTACCCTCATGCTTCAATTTATTCTCAACAGTATTGTTTAGACTTATCTTTGTGAAAGTAAATATGGCTACACCAGTCCCTATTTTAAAAATGTAAATGACTCTCAACAATTTTATCACAAAGTCTCAAATTCCTAAGAAAGGTATACCATGTTCATGATTTGTTCAGCCTTGTTTCCCACCTCTTTCCAATTGCACTTCATGCTCTAATAACACTGACTCTCATGTAGATCCCAAATGGAAGTTACTTTCTGTCACCTCTATCCACAACTTTGTACAATATGTTGCCTCTGTCACAAATGTTCTATTTACACTTTTCCAGCTGTCAAACTGTATCCTTCAAGTGGCCTTTCTCCAATTCTCTTAAGACAAATTGTGCTCATATTCACACTTTATCTGATTTATGTCTTTATAACTAATAGTCTACCACAATGTCCAAGGTTCCATGAATATGTGTGGTGTTATTAGATAAATAAATGGATGGATGGATGGATGGAATGGATGGTCAGAAGGACAGATGAATGGACATTGGAGGGAGGATGATCAAAAAGACTTTCTGAGGAGACACGTTTTAGTCTCAATGTTAAATACTGGCTAAGCTTAGAAAGATTGTGGTGAAGAAAGAAATATTCTATCCATGTGGATAGAATAATGAAAGCAAGGGTGAGGAGGAAGGTGAGAGAAAGCTTTGTGGAAACAGTGAGTTCATCTGGGGTAAAATCTTTATATAGAAAATTAGTAAAAGCCAGAATATTAAGGTTGTCGGTAAAACAAAGAGGGAAAAGCAAGGACATCATATTTTAAAGGCATTCAAGCAAGGGTGATAGAAGTCACCGGACAACAAACAATTACATTTGCATGCAGAGAATGTTGCTAAGAGGCATGAAGTGGGTTTTATTTGCTGTTAAAATTCTGCAGATTGATTTATAGTTAACTATGTTGACAGCATGGAAAAGTACTCCTTTTATTTTTAAATACCTATGTAAAACCTTAGGTTAAAGATTAAATTTTCTTATAAAAAATCGTCAGATCTAAAATCATGTCTATGTCAAATTCTAATATGTATATACTTATATATTTAGACAGGATTGTGGATATGTTCTACAAAAATTCTTTTGGCAGAATATTATTTATAATTCATCAAACTAGCACATTATTTTGAAACATAATGTAAGAAAATAAAGTTTCCAATAAGAAAGGTCCAAGGAGTTACTTGCAAACATAACTAGAAGAGCAACCAAATAAATAGAATTATGAGAATCCTTCACTTTCACCTTTCACTCAGAGAATGAATCTATTAAATTATGAAGGCTGAATAGTTTTAATTTCCTTTGAACACTTTGGTATTTTTTTTAACTTAAGTGACAGGAAAGCTGTTAAAATGACAGGCACAAGAATGGCAAATTCTAAATCTTACAGAACCATAAAGAAAAAAATGAGAACAGAATTGTTTCTACATGTTCAAGGAGTAGAGAATAAGTATAAGTAGAAGAAAATAAATTTAATAAATTCAAGACATTCAGAGGCAAAGTACTTGTGGAAAGAACCTGAAAATTTTAAAAATATTTTAAAATTGTGGCAGATTATCATGTTTTAGTATAATAGCAGTAGCCTAATTTAGAGAAAGTCTGTAGAGAAGACAAAAGTCTTAGTGGAAAAAGTAAAAGCACTGAGATGAAAAAGATTTCTGAGCCTCAGTTTTCTCATATGTAAAATGGATATAATAAAATATAAGATGCAAAAACAATTGTGAGGACTAGAGATACATTATATAACGTATTTGGTGCAAGGTAAGCAGTTAATAAGTAATCATTATTGTTATTATTATCATAGAGTTTGACACACAAATTAGAGAAATTTAAAATTATAAAATAAAGAAAATGATAAAAATTATGAAGAGTTATAAAGAAAACATCAGCAGATCAATTTTTATGCTGGCAGACTAGGGAGGAAATAGTTTTAAAGAAATATTTCTCAAATGGCTGAGCATATATGTTTTCTCTGTCCCCTTGTCAGAGAGAAGTGAGTTAACAGCTAGTTAGCAACAGGTGGCATTATTGACCTCCTAAACATTGCAAAGTGCAGGAAGGTGACATTGAAAGTGGGATAGCCTCATTTGTTGACAAGGGTGTCTTTTCCCCACTTTATGTTTTTGTTTGCTTTGTCAAAGATCAGTTGGTGGTAAGTATTTGGGTTTACTTCTCGGTTCTCTATTCTGTTCCATTGGTCTATTACCTATTTTTATATCAGTACCATACTGTTTTGGTGACTGTGGCCTTTATAGTATAGTTTGAAATCTGGTAGTGTGATGCCTCTAGATTTGTTCTTTTTGCTCAGTCTTGCTTTAGCTAGGCAGGCTCTCTTTTGGTTCCGTATGAATTTTAGAATTGTTTTTTCTAATTCTGTGAAGAATGATGGTGGTATTTTGAAGGGGATTGCATTGAATTTGTAGATCACTTTTGGCAGTATGGTCATTTTTACAATATTGATTCTAACCATCCATGAGCATGGGATGTGTTTGCATTTGTTTGTGTCATCTGTGATTTCTTTCAGCAGTGTTTTGTAGTTTTCCTTGTAGAGGTCTTTCAACTCCTTTGTTAGGTATATTCCTAAGGTTTTTTTTTTTTTTTTTTGCAGCTATTGTAAAAGGGTTGCGTTCTTTATTTGATTCTCTGCTTGGTCGCTGTCGGTGTATAGAAGAGCTGCTGATTTGCGTACATTAATCTTGTATCCAGAAACCTTGCTGAATTCTTTTATCAGTTCTAGGAGCTTTCTGGAGGAGTCCTAAGGGTTTTCAAAGTAAACAGTCCTATCATCAGCAAACACTGACAGTTTGACTTCCTCTTTACCGATTTGGATGACCTTTATTTCTTTCTCTTGTCTGATTGCTCTGGCTAGGACTTCCAGTACTATGTTGAAGAGGAGTGGTGAGAGTGGACATCCTTGTTTTGTTCCAGTTCTCAGAGGGAATGCTTTCAACTTTTCCCCATTCAGGATTATGTTAGCTGTGGGTTTGTCATAGATGGCTTTTATTACATTAAGGTATGTCCCTTGTAGGCCAATTTTGCTTAGAGTTTTAATCATAAAGCGATACTGGATTTTGTCAAATGCTTTTTCTGAATCTATTGAGATGATCATGTGATTTTTGTTTTTAATTCTGTTTATGCAGTGTATCACATTTATTGACTTGCATATGTTAAACCATCCCTGCATCCCTGGTATGAAACACACTTGATCATGGCAGATTATCATTTTGATATGTTGTTGTATTCAGTTACCTAGTATCTTGTTACGGATTTTAGCATCTATGTTCATCAGGGATATGAGTCTGTAATTCTCTTTTTGGTTATGTCCTTTCCTAGTTTTGGTATTAGGGTGATGCTGGATTCAACGAATGAAGTAGGGAGGGGTCTTTCTTTCTCTATCTTGTGGAATAGTGTCAAAAGCATTGGTACCAATTCTTTGAATGTCTAGTAGAATTCTGTTATGAATCCATCTAGTCCTGGACTTTTTTTGTTGGTAATTTTTAAATTACCATTTCAATTTCGCTGCTTGTTATTGGTCTGTTCAGGGTATCTAATTCTTCGTGATGTAAGCTAGGAGGGTTGTATTTTTCCAGGAATTTATTCATTTCTTCTAGTTTATATGCATAAAGTTGTTCATAGTAGCTTTGAATGATCTTTTGTATTTCAGTAGTGTCAGTTGCAATATCTCCTGTTTTGTTTCTAAATTAGGTTTTCTCTCTTCTTTTCTTGGTTAATCTTGCTAATGGTGTATCAATTTCATTTATCTTTTCAAAGAATCAGCTTTTTGTTTCATTTACAAGTTACAGACTGGGATAACATATTTGTAATCCACATATCTAGCAAAGGACTAGTATATAGAATATAAGAAGAACTCTCAAAACTCACACAGTGAAAAACAAAAACAAAAAAATTAATCCAATCAGAAAATGGGCACAAGACATGAACAGATATTTTGCCAAAGAGGCTATACAGATGTCAAATAAGCACATGAAAAGATACTCAGCATTATTAGTTAATAGACAAACACAAATTAACGTCCCAATATAGTATCGCTTCACATGTATCAGAATGGCTAAAATAATAACAATACCAAATTCTGGTGAGAATGCTGACAAATTGAATCACTCCTATGTTGTATGTGGAAATGTAAAATAGTACAGCCATTCTGAAAAATAGTTTGGCAGTTCTTTATAAAACTGACATGCAATTTCTATACTATTCAGCAATTAATAATTGGGCATTTATCCCAGAGAAAAGTAAATTTATGTTAATGCAAAAAAACTGTACATGAATGTTCAAAGCAGCTTTATTCATAATAGCCAAAACCTGGAACCAACTCAGATGTCCTTCAATAAGTGATTGGCTAAACAAACTGTGGTACATGCATACCATGGAATATTACACAGCAATAAAAAGAAATGGGCTGTTGATACACACATCAACTTAGATGAAGCTCCAGGAAATTATATTGAGGGAGGAAAAAAAAGACAATTCCAAAAGATTGCATACCATATAATTTCATTTCTATAACATTCTTGAGATACATACTTTTTTTCAGGAGCGAGAGATTACCAGGGTTTAGGAAAGGGGAAGAGGGGGATATGGTTACAAAATTACACCACTAGAACCACTAGAGAGCCTTGTGGTGATGGAATTGTTTTGTATCTTGATGATAATGAATACAGACACCCACACACATGATAAAATTGCATAGAGCTAAACACACACACACACACACAGACACACACACACACAGAAGTACAAGTAAAATTGGAGAAATGTTAATAAGGTTGGTACATTATACTTTTGAAGGATATTACCATTGGAGGAAACTAGACAAAGAATGCATGGTATCGTTCTACGTTTCTTAAAACTACATGTAAATGCAAAATTATCTCAAAATAAAAAGTTTAATTTAAAAAATACCTATGACCTATGAATTTAATTAATGTGTATTGTTATTAGTTTGCAAGATATTAAAAAATTACTTTAAAGCAACTAAAAACTTTTAATATCTGGTATATCATTGTATAAGAAAAAAAGTAATGTAGTATTCTTCTTCAAGATAATTCTGGACAAATCAGACCGATTTTATAACTTTGGTTTAAGAGCAACTCTGTATTTCCTCCCTGGCTTTACCATCATGTAAAAATAATGCCAGCAAAATACTTCAGTTTATGCAAGTGTTGCATATATTTCCTCATGAATAGTCTATTTCAAATGTCCCAAACTTCCTCTACTAGTTTGGTGCATTAAAAAACCTAGCATCACTTAGAAAACTGCAAGATATCAAGTTCAACTAAATTAAATAATAATAAATAATGTATTAATTAAAAGAGATCAATGCATGAAATGCTACAAGTCATAGAAATTGTAAGTGCCAGCCAAAAATTATAACTTCCAGATTTTTAGTTAATTTTAAAATCTTGAACTATTATAATATTAATTTGAGTTGTTTAATAAATGAGCTCATGTATTTGGACAGCTTAATTTTAAAATGCCTGTTTTCTTATTTACTACATTATAGAGTAGCCCTCAGTTAACAAATCAAAAAGTACAAATGAATCTGGATTATGTTCAAGTGCATGTTCATTTTTTAAGAAATGAAAAATACAGTATGGTAAGGGGATATGTATACAGCATAACAAATATATATATTGGTTTATCGTGGGATTAAAAAGAATACTTCTATTCTAAAGTAAAAGTATGCCACAATGTAAAGGAAGATAATGAAATGCAAATCTAATGATTTGTACAATAAATGTAAAAGATCTGAGAAGAAATTAACCTCACATGCCTGGGTTTATAGTACTTAGAAATAAGAGGTTGAAAGGAACTACAAAATGTGTTGAAATTTTTGACAAAGTTAAGTAAATGTGATGAGTTTATTTATTAGGAAAACAGACTCATGAATATTTCATTGTATATTGTCATATAGGTAAGATTCAACAAGGTGAAACTAAAATGTGTTCTCTTCGTTAAAAGGGCTGAGTAATGCTGCTCAAATAACAAAAATTCCTTCTTATCACCACAATAACTCTATGGGTTTTGGGATACTCTTTAATCATTTTAGCTAAAGTTCCTTATTTCTTGAAAATATTTAATTTAATAATAAAAATTGTTATTTATTGCTATTTTTAAATACTGGCTGGTAACTATTGTCATTAGAACCTGTGATGTATATTCACAACTTCTCTCTTCCCTTGTGTCTTCTTGTTTTTGCTTTTTGCAAATTCAGTTTCCAAATTCAAAATAATAAAACTATTAAGACTTCTTTTACATACAAATTATGCTTGAGTCACCCTATAGTTATGAACTACCTAGTGGCCACCAGGTAACACAGAAATTTATTCCTTCATTAAAATAATTAGGCATGTTTGACATTCTTCAGATGTTTGATTAGCTCAGTATTGTTAAGAGAACTGTCCTGGTTAGTTTTATTTTCAAAACAAAAAAATATCATCCTTCTTAGGTAAATTTCATACAGGTAAAGGCTACTAATATAAATTTGTTTCCGGCCAGGCACAGTGGCTCACGCCTGTAATCCCAGCACTTTGGGAGGCCGAGGCGGGCGGATCATGAGGTCAGGAGATTGAGACTATCCTTGCTAACACGGTGAAACCCCGTTTCTACTAAAAAAAATATTAAAAAATTAGCCAGGCGCGGTGGCGGGAGCCTGTAGTCCCAGCTACTCGGGAGGCTGAGGAAGGAGAATGGCATGAACCTGGGAGGCGGAGTTTGCAGTGAGCCGAGATAGCGTCACTGCACTCCAGCCTGGGCTGACTCTGTCTCAGAAAAAAAAAAAAAAAAAATTCGTTTCCATTTTGAGAGTTTTAACAGTTAAAAAGAAACATAATCATGTTTATATTTAAAGACTATTGTCAACAAATTACTTTTTAATATATTTTTTAGATTTAAATATCCATTTAATTTATTATAATATATTGATATTAATGACATTCATAATGCATTTAATGGTATAAATTAAAGACTCTGGAAATTTATGAATGCCCTCACTATCAGGATCATAATTTATTATATCTTTATAAATTTATTATGTATTATGCCTCAACAGAACAAACTATTCTCTTTCTTTCTATTATTTTTGGCTACTATAATAAAATAACTCCAGGCATTTAGTCTTATCAACTACAAAAAGCTTTCCTCTTTTTTGCTTACATTTGTCTAAAGGCCTTGTGATATGACTTTTAAAATCAAATATTCTATAAAAAACATCAAAAGAACCTCAGGAAAGGACTGTATCAGGTAGACCTGACTGTTGTTGTTACAAGGAATATACTCATGGTTCAAGATTTCCAGGTTATCACCAGGGACTGATTTGCAGACTGAGTCAGAACCTCAGGATCATTTTAATCTAAAAGCAGATGACTCCATGGAAATGGACTGCGTAACTCAAATGCAAGCAAACAAGAATCGATCACCTAGGACACTGTATTCCTATGTTTGTGCTGCTGTAACAAATACTTGAACAACTGGAAGCAGCCTTGGAACTGGGTAATGAGTAAAGACTGGAAGAATTTTGAAGTGCATGCCAGAAAAACTTTGTCTTGCTGTGAATGGAGCCTTAGTGGGAGATTCTGGTGAGGACTCAGAAGAAAAGAAAATCTATAGAGAAAGCCTGAATCTTCTTAGTGATTACCTAAGTGATGGTGACCAGAATGTTGGTAGAAATATAGACAGTAAAGGCTATTCTGATGAGGTCTTAGACACAATTAGATATATATTATTGAAACTGAAGGAAAGGCCATCCTTGTTATACAATGGCAAAAAAAGAAAAGCCAGATGCGGTGGCTCACACCTGTAATCTCAACACTTTGGGAGGCTGAGGTGGGGGGGATCACCTGAGGTCAGGAGTTTGAGACCAGCCTGACCAATGTGGTGAAACCCCGTCTCTACTGAAAATACAAAAATTAGCTGGGCGTGGTGGCGGGCGCCCGTAATCCCTGCTACTCAGGAGGCTGAGGCAGGAGAATCGCTTGAACCCAGGAGGTGGAGGTTGCAGTGAGGCAAGATTGCGGCATTGCACTCCAGCCTGGGCAACAGAGTGAGACTCCGTGCCAAAAAATAAAATAAAATAAAATAAAATAGAAAATAAATTTGAAAAATAAAATGGCAAAAAAAAAAACAAACCCACAAAACACTTGGCTGAATTATGTTCATGTTTTGGGACTTTGTAAAGGTAGAATTTAAGAGCAATCAACTAGGATACCTAACACAAGAAATCTCTAAGTAGCAAAATGTTGAAGGAGCTACATGACTTCTCTTACCTGCTTATAGTAAAATGAGGGATGAAAAAATGGTTTAAGTATGAAAAGTATAATTAAAAGAAAAGCAGAACCTAAAGATTTAGAAAATTCTCACACTGGCCACGTAAAGAATAAAAAAGTGTGTTCAGGAGAGAAAACTAAGGGTGAGGCCAAGCAACCGTTTCATAAGGAAATTAGTATAGATAGAAGAAACACAGGTGTTATTATCAAGACAATGAAAGAATGACCCTAAGGGCATTTCAGAGGTCTTCCAGGCTGCTATGTCCATCCAAGGCTCAGAGTCCCATGGCTGAAAGACAGTACAGTCTCAAAGGAAGAGCCAGGGATACCCATGGGACCTCAAAGCTTGCTGTGCAGAGATGCCTCAACTCTGCTTCCTGAGTTCTGGAGCAGTGTGCCTTCACCCACCCAGCTATGGCTCAAGCATGCCCAGGTGCGGCTTGGGCCAATTCTCTGGAAGGTACAAGTTGGAAAACTTGGCCACATCTTGCGGTGCTAATTTTGCGGGTTCGCAGGGTGTAAGAACTGTGGAGGCATGGTTCTCTCCACTTAGAATTCAGAGAATGTCTGATAGCCTTGGACCCCCCGGCAGTAACTCGCCACAGGGGCAAGGCCACTACAGAGAGCCTCCACTAAGGCAATGCTTAATGCAGCCATGCAGGCAGAGCTGCCACCAACACCCCAGACCTTTAGGGCACTGACATGCAACACCAGCTTGGTAGAACTGCAGCCACCCAACTTCCACCAGTGAGAGCTATGGTGTGGGCTGCACCAGCAAATCCATGGGGCATAGTCCCTGGGGGCTTTGAAGGCCCAACCCCCTCCCCCAGCATGTCCAGAAGTAGGACATGGAGTGAAGCCTCAAGATTTAAGTTATTTATCCTGTAGGATTTGGGACTTACTTGAGACCTGTTGCTTTTACCTTCTTTCCTATTGCTATTGCTCCCTTTTGGAATGGCAGTGTCCAGCCTATACCTGCCTCACCATTGTATTTTGAAAGCATATAATTTCTTTGATTTCACAGGTTCACAGCTAGAGGGAAAGACTTGCCTCTGGGCAAGTCATGCATTGAGTCTCACTTATATTTTATTTAGATGAGACTCTCCTTCAAAATTCAAGTGCTGTAAATATGAGAGTATTAAGAGGTGGGACGTTTAAGAAGTGATTAGGCTATGAGGGCTTCTCCTTCATTAATAGCATTAAGGCTCTTATATAGGAATATTTTACACTGTTGGTGGGACTGTAAACTAGTTCAACCATTGTGGAAGACAGTATGGTGATTCCTCAAGGATCTAGAACTAGAAATACCATTTGACCCAGCCATCCCATTACTGGGTATATACCCAAAGGATTATAAATCACCCCCGTCGTGGGGTGGGGGGAGGGGGGAGGGATAGCATTAGGAGATATACCTGATGTAAATGACCAGTTAATGGGTGCAGCACACCAACGTGGCACATGTATACATATGTAACAAACCTGCATGTTGTGCACATGTACCCTAGAACTTAAAGTATAATAATAATAAAAAAAAAACTTCACATAGCATTTTGTTTCTTGCCCTTCCAACTTCTGCCATGTGAGGACACAGTGTCCTTCCCCTCCAGAGGAAGAGCCCTCAAAAGAAAACCAAATATGCCAGCACCTTGATCTTGGACTTCCCACCCTCCAGAACTATGAGAAAATAAATTTCTATTTTTTATAAATTACCCAATCTCAGGTATTTTGTTGCAACAGCACAAGACACCACAAAAATAGATACATGGAGCTAATGTAACTGATTTAATTAGTATAATATTCTATTTTTGATGCATATGTGAAAAACCTATTTTTTTTCTTAATCTATATATAATCCTCAACATAACCAGTTTTATCTATAGAAATTGGAATAAAACACTCTGTAAGTGGTATCTTCATCCAATATAACCCTAAGGATTTAAAAGCAAATGTCTAAACTAAGAAATGCTAAGGAAATTTAAAAATAGTTCTCAGAAAATAATGGCATATTATGATTGACCTTGTCATCAAAACAATTATAAGTTCAGTTGTATGAACAGTGGCTTTATTAGATTATTTTATGTTTTATGACCGTTTAATTACTTTATAGGTTCAATAAAATTGGATTCTCTTTCCTACCAGAATATAATTGAACAAATCAAATTTGTATCTATGACCAAGCTGAAAATCTTGTTTACCTAGATCAGATAAGTCCACTATTAAGAAGCAAGGACTATGTTTCTCATGTGGAAATGATGCCTACACATTCCTCCTAGGAAAAGTTTCCTGATATCTGTTCTATGGCATATGAAATCTCAGCCTTATAGATAGTAAAGAATATCATTTCCACACAAAGAAGGAAACAATAGGTAGCCACCGGGGCCTACTTGATGGTGAACAGTGAAGGAAAGTGAGAATCAAAAAACTACCCAGCAGGAACTATGTTTATCACCTGGGTGACAGAGTAATCTGTACACCAAGCCCCTGTGACACACAATTTACCCATGTCACAAACCTACACACGTATCCCAAACATAAAATAAAAGTTGGAAGGAAAAATTCAAAAAGAATGCTACTCCCAGTAGGCCAGGAACACCAACCAAAGAAGGGATGGATCTCAGACAAAGATGACCCTTTACACTTATAGGTTATATAGGAGAAAATAGTAGTAGTATACAGTCCCACCAACAGTGTAAAAGTGTTCCTGTTTCTCCACATCCTCTCCAGCACCTGTTTTTTCCTAACTTTTTAATGATTGCCATTCTAACTGGTGTGAGATGGTATCTCATTGTGGTTTTGATTTGCATTTCTCTGATGGCCAGTGATGATGAGCATTTTTTCATGTGTCTGTTAGCTGCATAAATGTCTTCTTTTGAGAAGTGTCTGTTCATATCCTTCGCCCCCTTTTTGATGGGTTTTTTTTTTTTCTTGTAAATTTGTTTGAGTTCATTGTAGATTCTGGATACTAGCCCTTTGTCAGATGAGTAGATTGCAAAATTTTTCTCCCATTCTGTAGGTTGCCTGTTCACTCTGATGGTAGTTTCTTTTGCTGTGCAGAAGCTCTTTAGTTTAATTAGATCCCCTTTGTCAATTTTGGCTTTTGTTGCCATTGCTTTTGGTGTTTTAGCCATGAAGTCCTTGCCCATGTCTATGTCCTGAATGGTATTGCCTATGTTTTCTCCTAGGGTTTTTATGGTTTTAGGTCTAACATTTAAGTCTTTAATCCATGTTGAATTAATTTTAGTATAAGGTGTAAGGAAGGGATCCAGTTTCAGCTTTCTACATATGGCTAGCCAGTTTTCCCAGCACCATTTATTAAACAGGGAATCCTTTCCCCATTTCTTGTTTTTGTCAGGTTTATCAAAGACCAGATAGTTGTAGATGTGTGGTATTATTTCTGAGCGCTCTGTTCTGTTCCATTGGTCTGTATCTCTGTTTTGGTACCAGTACTATGCTGTTTTGGTTACTGTAGCCTTATAGTATAGTTTGAAGTCAGGTAGCGTGATGCCTCCAACTTTGTTCTTTTGGCTTAGGATTGACTTGGCAACCATTGTGGAAGACAGTGTGGTGATTCCTCAAGGATATAGAACTAGAAATACGATTTGACCCAGCCATCCCATTACTGGGTATATAACCAAAGGATTATAAATCATTCTGCTATAAAGACACATGCACACGTATGTTTATTGCGGCACTATTCACAATAGCAAAGACTTGGAACCAACCCAAATGTCCAACAATGATAGACTGGATTAAGAAAATGTGGCACATATACACCATGGAATACTATGCATCCATAAAAAATGATAAGTTCGTGTCCTTTGTAGGGACATGGATGAAGTTGGAAACCATCATTCTCAGCAAACTATCGCAAGGACAAAAAACCAAACACCGCATGTTCTCACTCATAGGTGGGAATTGAACAATGAGAACACTTGGACACAGGAAGGGGAACATCACACACTGGGGCCAGTTGTGGGGTGGGGGGAGTAGGGAGGGATAGAATTAAGAGATATACCTAATGTAAATGACGGGTTAATGGGTGCAGCACACCAATGTGGCACATGTATACATATGTAACAAACCTGCACGTTGTGCATATTTACCCTAGAACTTAAAGTATAATAAAAATAAATATGTAAAAAAGAAAACTACTACTAGTAAATGGGATGGTTCTTAGTTCTTAATCCCAATAGAATTGTTAAGAACAATAAAATTCTTCAGTGACATAAAAGCAAATTACAGCCCCAGGTCTTTTAAATACTTTAAGATAAAAGTTAACTTTTAAGGCTTTAATATTTTGTGGCCCCAAATGTTTTCACTGTACTAAAAAGAGGTCAAAATCTCTGAAATAAGTGGTCTCATGGAACCAAATATCACTAAAAGAAAAAATCACTGAAACAGAATCACCAAATATCACTGAAACAGAAAAATCACTAAGTATATTATATGGTCAGATTGACACCTTATTGGCAAGCACATTACCATATGGAGGGAAAGCAAAACTTCGAAAGCTTAGAAGAAAAGCTAAACTTGGCACTGCTTTTAATAAGCGTAAACACTTCATAAACTGTGGTCAAAAAGAATACTGTATCCTCTGAGGAAAAAAATAATAATAGAAATTCTAACTGGTTCTGATCCCCTAAATAATAAAAATGTGAACATTTCCCACAAAATGTGATTTTCTGACATAAACAATGTTGTCCCTGATCTTTTCTATGCAGGTGTGGAATCTGTGTTGTAGCCTTTGTTAATGTAATAATCATGCCACAGAGTTTCTGTTTTTCACTTTGATCAGACAGATGTAAACTCAAAAACTTGTCTAATTTTGCAGCATATTTTCTTTGAAAATACCTGGCATTGTGTTATTTGGTGAAACAGCCCTTCTTCTTTACAGTCAACGTATTCTTTCTTTTTCCAAATGTTTATAACTGAGTCCTGTTTTTTGACAAGCCTTATGTTGGTAGAAAGCTGGGCAAACAAATACACACATTTAGTGCCACAAATTGATCCACTATTGGTGAAGGACAATGTGAAATTATACAATAAGTGATAAAACTAGTAAAAAAAAAATAAAGCACACATGGGATTAAGTGTCAAATGAGTGATTAGGAATTAAATGCCAAAGGACATCAAGAAGGCATAAATCACTCCTGCTGGATGGTTGGACACCTCTTCTGAGAAGCAGTAGTTTTATTGCTAGAGAGACTCAAGGTGGGTAGAGAAGAGGTCTCAAAGGGGGATGAAGAACATGAGTTAAAGCACAAAAAATTAAAGCACTAACTTTTCTTTTTGTGAAATTGTTAATATTTTACTTGACTGCTCTGGCTTATATCTTTTTATAATATTTAAGTACTTCACATAAAAAGGGATCATTCTTATTATGAGAAAAATTTTAGAGGTTAAAAGGAAGGTCATACCATGTCTCGGAATTCAAAGTTACAGGATCTTCAAGGAACTTGAAAAAGCTCTTCATTTATTATGAGACAAAGTAAAGTTAAACTCATTATTGTCTGGCTAGAGAATACTAAAAATGTTACAATATTTTTCTAAAAAAAATTACATGTTCTCCAAACATGAACAGAATTTTACAATGAGAGAAAAAAAAAATCAGCCTTTTTTCCTCTGCTAAGACCAAAGACATTCAGTACATGCTCACTGCAGATTCCCATTTGACCTTTATCCTATTATTGATATTTGTAGGTGAGATTTTTGCTTTGGATGCTCTGCTGCCAAGGGATTGGTAGTGGCAGTTGAGTTCATGTTGTTTCCCTTTATGCTTAATTTTTAATGACAAGTCTCTGAATTACCAGATTGTGTCAATTACCCTCCAAGAAATCTAATTTTTTTAATGAAATTAGTTGCTTGGAAGAGAAACATAAGCATTAATTTCAGTTTAGCAGTTTCTCTTTGAGCTGCAGCAGGTGCTATTTGATGGAATTGCCAGCACTTGATAAGACTTTATTGGTCCTCACACTCAAATCAGATCAGTGCTGTCCCGACAACTGAGGCCAATGACATGGCACGTGGCAGTAGATCTGAAAAAACAAACTTTCCAAACTTCAATAAAGCACATGGTAATTTCTCTGAAAAGAATTAATGTGACTTTTTAAAAATTATCCCAAGTCTAAAACTCATAAGTAACAAAGTAAGTGAAATATTAAAGAAATTATCCATGATAGTTCAAGATCAAAGCACATTTTTGCAGAATGCTTCTCTAGATCAGCCTAAAAAGTAATTTTTATTTGAATTATCAAGATTGTTCCCTATTTATTTTACTTTATTAATAGAAAACTCTTGGTGTGGTCTATATTCTGACTTGTTATGGCTTTGAACAGATCATGGCAGTCACAGTGTATAATGGTCATCTACTGCAGCAAAGTCACAGGACAAATTTTTATTCACCCATTTATTTGCCCATTTTTATTCCCAATAAGTTTGAATATTATTTCCTTGCCATAAAAACACAGAAAGTCACCATTGTTCTGAAATGTAACATATTTATATTTACCACTATATGGTAGTGCACTGAATTCTTAAAATGCAAAATAGCAAATTTTCATATCAGTTAAGAATTGCAACTATCAACCTCTTCCTATGACCTACTACATAATCAATATTTATTGAGCACCTACAATATACCAGGCATTGCTGTTCCCAGGATACAGCAATAAATAAAAACCAAGTCCTCCCTTTCCTGGTGCTGATGTTCTGGTAAAGAGACGAGTTAATGGGTGCAGCACACCAACATTGCACATGTATACATATGTAACAAACCTTCATGTTGTGTACATGTACCCTAGAACTTAAAGTGTAATAAAAATATATATAAAAAAATAAAATAAAATAAAAGCAAAGCAAAACAAAACAAACAAGCAAACAAAAAAGCATTTAGGTGCAATTTCTGTCCCTGAGGAGCTCTGGCCCAGACCCTAAAGAGAGCCAGAAAAGCATCCCAGAGGAGACTCCATTTTTCTCAGACAGAAAAATTGAGCATAAGTGAAGTCATTATAGGTAATAGGAAAATACAACGGTGATGAGGAAAGGCTTTGCAGAGGAGGTGATGCCTGAGCAGGTCTTCGAGAATGAATACAAATCCAGAGAGAAGCACTCAAGGCAAAAAGAAAGCGAATGCTAAGGCATGGGGGCAGGAAAAAGGATACTGAATTGTGAGGGAAAGGGGTATAAGTCCCCAGCTGATTATCAGCTGAAGGGCTCCTAGGAGTGGGAGGAGACAAGGATGAAAGTATGGGTAGCCCCTGGGTCTGGTGGGCCTGTGGGTCAGTTCCAGGAATTTGGGGATCCTCCTTTCACTAGCCTCTCCTCTCATAAAGGGATAAAGATTAATAAAATAACATGTTTGGATAATTGATTTTTCTTTTGAAGTGGAGTCTTGCTCTGTTGCCTAGGCTGAAGTGCAGTGGTGCGATCTCCGCTCACTACAACCTCCGTCTCCCAGGTTCAAGCAATTCTCGTACCTCAGCCTCTCGAGTTGCTGGGAGTACAGGCATGCATCACCATGCCCAACTAATTTTTCTTTTTTATATTTTTAGAAGAGACGGGGTTTCACTTTGTTGGCTAGGCTAGTCTCAAACTCCTAACCTCAAATGATCTGCCCGCCTTGGCCTCCCAAAGTGCTGGGACTACAGGCGTGAACCGCTGCACCTGGCCTGGATAATTGATTTATAAATAGTTATCTGTTATTCACACATATATACATACACACGTACACTTTTTCTTACATTTCATTTTTAAGGCAGTTAGAAAAGTTTTAAAATTGCAACTTCAAAAATAATTATAATTAATATTTGTATAACACTTGGTACAATAGACTTTATACACTATACAATGAACTCTATAACACTACAAAAATATTGTCTCATATATTCTTATTCGATTAACGATCATCAAAGTAATGCTACAAGGTAGAAAATGTATAATTTCTTCATTTTACAGATCAGGAAAATAGTCCAAAAATCTGTTTTCACTGGGTCGGTATTCAAACAGTGCCCTTCTCCCTCCAAATATTGAGCTCTTTCTACCATACTAGATTAATTTGTATGTAAAGTCCAGTTGTTTTATTCCAATAAAAAATCCTTTTTAATGGAAACCTTTGAGATCTGTAACCCCATGCTCTCTTGGGTCTGAACCATAAGTGTGCTAATACCCTGCCCATTGGGCCATCTCTCCATTCTGCAGGGAGTACTACCTAAGGGAGACTCTCCACCATGAATATTCCTCCAAAACTTTGCAAACCTTTTGCAAACTTCCCTACTGCATTGCTCTCCTGTTCCAAACTTTCCTCCCATCTTTAAAGCCATTCATGTTTTCCTTTTGTCAGTGTTAACTTGGGCAAACTTGGGGGTTTCAGCATCTCCTATTCAAGCTCCCCTTGAATGCAGTTATTTTGTTTACTTAGACTGCTGTGTAGGACCCAAACTTTCCCCTGGACAAAGCACAGTTCTCTTGGGAAATAAAATAATTACCCACGTGAACAGTTTCAAAAAACAATAAAAAATGGTAGGTGATAAAAGATTCTGTTAAGTACACCCTCCCTCTATCTTGATTACAATTGATTTTTAAGTAAAGCCCTTAGAAGAACTTTATACAGTTTTCACTTATTGATTAAAAATACACTAGTTCATCTATGTATCTGAGTATTTTTCTACACTGTTTAAGACATTGTATGGCAAATAACAGTATGTTAGGAACTCGTTTGCTAACAAGGTATTATAATGTTGTTGAATTTCAAGGTAGCACTAGACATTTGAGTTAAAATGAAATATAAATTCTTACCAAATCAAATTCTTATGAAAATTATAAATTTGTTGTTATTGTGTGAGTTACTCATAAGCGAGTATGTTACTGTGTGTATATTCACCAATATTCACAAGGGGAGTGGTGGCTGAGCCATTCAGTTAGTACTAAACTATCGGAGGAAGGAAGGTAGGCACTTCTGTCCAGACTCATTGTTTATTCATGCCAGAATCATCCCTTGTGTTCAGTCTTCTTCAGGACTGGTTCTCTCCCTCTTGTTTAACTCCTGCAATTCCTCTCTGGCTGAGACCGTGGGAAACTCAGTTGAGTCTCCCATGAACATTTCCCTTTTCTGTGCAGCTTTCCTGCATGCAGGAATCACTCTACTTTTCTCACACCCCAGAGGAGTGCAAGAAACTAACTCTAAGTCAATTGTAGGTTGATCTGTCTAGATACACTGTTCAGATATCTATTTCTGTGTCTGTGTATACTAAGCCTGAATTTCCTCTCCAAAAAATGAAGGTCCATGAAAAGTGTCCTCTGCTCTTTGATCTTCAGACCTCTGTGGGTTTGTTCCCATTACATCCACAGATCCTAGTTTCTTAGGGACCACAGCATCTACTCACTCCTGATTCCTCTTTCGTCCCTCCTCCTCTACCTGTGTCAAAGAAATGGTCACCTAATCTGGCAGGTAACCCTGGTGGCAGACAGGTGGGGCAAAATGTTACTATTCTTTACATCACTTTGAGCATTTTGTATTATCCAAATTTTATATTCACTTTTTGAGTCCTAAACTTTTGAAACCTCAAAAATTAAGAATTAACCTCTTGTTTTCCCTGCTTTTGGCTGGCTTTTTCTTCCCTTAGGCAATGATGCAAAATGCCCAGCTGACTAAGTAGGGTTCTCAGGTAAAAGGAAGTATAAAAAAGGCAGCAATTATCATAGTATCCCTTCATACCACTGGTAATTTATGATAAGCCATGTATACAACGATTTACCAACTTCAAATTTTAATAGGCCTGATCATTTACTCTATCAATATTTATAACTTTTACATTGCATGCCTTTCTTATGGATTTCAAATTCTTTCTGAAGATATAAAACAAAGCTTTGTTTATTAAAAGAAAAACTTCACATGTAACAATGTTAAATTGAGCCTAATGGGTGGTGAAAGGTGGTGAAAGCTATGCATATATATTCAAAAATGTTTCTATTTTCTTAAGTCTGAGAAATCCTGCCTCTTGTGTTCTGAAGAGTGGGCTCTGATGAGCAAATTAAGGCTCTCCCATCTGTACTTTTCGATTTCCTCCTCCATTTCAACGTTTTCCCCACCTTTATTTTCTCCCTTCCTTTGTGCTGGATTTGAGAAAGAATTCTCCTTCCCCTTTGCCAAAGTGAATCTCTCTCTTCGCTGGTACTTCTGACCCCCTCACCTTCCTATATTCCAGGAGCTTGCATTGCAGTACAGCAGGGAGTATAGAGTTTGTTATCATCCATGGACTCATCTCCTGGCCCTGTCACTTTTTAGCTGTGCAATGCTGTGCAAGCTACTTAACATCCCACAATTCAGGCTTTACCTTTGAAAAATGGATTCATAAAAGTAAGATGTTTTATCATTGCCTCTCTTACTTTCTTATATTTTCACTTTTTCTCATACTGATTGTGCTTCTTCTCCAACAAATATTCTCAGTTCTTTCTGAATCTGAATGAAAACAAGAGTCTCTCACCCTTGCTGCATGATCTCCTTACCACCCTATGCCTCTCCCTTTACCACCAAATTTTTGAAAGAATAGCTATTCCTGCAGTCTTTTCTTAATAACCCCAAATTTGTTTACTTTGACTACTGATGTTATTGAACTGTTACGTGACCTTCTAATCACAAAGCTCTGTGTCTTTTCTCTATTTTTAAGCTCCTTGAAACATCTGCACCACTTAACACTGTTGGATCCCTTATTTGCTTAAAATAATTTATTCCACAGCCACTATCATTGTGCTATATCTGTGTATCTTTGACTGATCCCTCTTTCTCTTCTACCTACAAATTTAGCTGCTTTTAAAGTTTCTTTTTTTGACTGTCTCCTATTTGACATACACAATCCTTCCTAAAATTTCACCAAATCTAACACCTCTATCTGAATGACCCAAAAGGTACAGTGTCTCCATGCTGAATTAAGAATCTTATGATTTACATGCCTGAGTATTCCACCACACCCTTGAATTCAAAACATCCCACAAACCAAAGACATCCCACTCCTCCCAAACCAGCCCTTCTCAACTCTGCATTAAAGATATTGACATTCTCCCTGGCAACGTGATCCGAATCTTAGAGGTACTTCCTCTCCTACCACCTCCTACCGCCAATCAGTCAACAGTCCTTATAAATTCTAGCTCCATAATATTTTCACATTTATCACTGTCTTCCAGTTTAATTGTTACCACTGTGGCTCAGGGGTTTATTACTTCTTATCTGAACTATTATAATAACCTCTTAATTTGCTCTAACTTATCCTCTCTTCTTCTAGCTTCGTGCCCCCCTCATTTTCTTGACTAACCCATCACCAGCGCCAGATAAATCCTCAGTTTAATTTTAAAAAGTATTTATCAATCAGGAACTTGCAACAGAGAGAAAAGAGGAATTAGCATTTTGGTGCAACAGCTGGATACCATGCTATATATTTTACTGCATTATCTCATTTAATATTCAAAACAAATTGTGGTGGACATACTTGGATGACCATGCAATATTCATTTCCTCCTTCCTCTTTCCAAATAGAGCCCTGATTTTATTCAGGTTACCCCAACCCCTCCCCGTGCCGCCACAAAGGACAATTCTAATTAGTCTGTGCTGGTCAGCTTCAGATTTGTCTGGCTATTGTTATTGGTGTAAGGGTAATTGTAAATCCTAAAATGATTCATAAGAGTAAAGGGAAGAACTGGTATTTCACCATTAGCTAAGATTCTCTCTTAGAGAGCATCTTGCCCGGGTAGCCCCAGCCACCAATTTGGCACCATAAGCAGAGCCAAATTAAGTAGAAAGTAGACAAAAAAAAGGGCTGAATGAGAGTCAGAGTGATATGCTGTACCTCCATCCCTCTGGGCTGTTCATTAAATGAGGTAATATCTTTCCTAACTTGTGATTTACAATTGTGTGGTCTATTACTTGAAGCCAAAATGTGCCTATGAGCAACCTTATGATATGGAGACAGGCTCAGAGAAGCCTAAGTTTACCTGACTGGTATCAGCAGAACCAAAATTTGAAACCACATTTGATTGATTACAAGACCTTGTTTTTTTCACATTATCTGACTAGGACTTTAATCAGCCCAAAACCTATAGAAATATTTTACAAATGTATTGAGTATTACTTTTTATTATGCACTATTGAAGTGTTTTATGAGTAATAACTTACTGACTTCTTAAAATAACTCTATGGGGCCCACATATTATCCTCCTTTTACAAAGACTGAGAGAGTTCAAATAATTTTCTCAAGGTCACACAGCAAGTAATTATCAGAATATGAAATTGAACCAAAGCATTCGGACTTTAGAACTCCTGCTCCTAAGCACTGGGCTTACACATTTCTTCATGTACATTTTGCACATACACAATATTTAAAAAGTAGGTATGTTGCTTTGGTATATTATATTTATGAGAAAAATTATGAGAGCCTCTGCATGAGAAAGCTGGCTTACAGTAGCAATTTCTGTATGTACCAGAGAGAGGTTGGCAGGAGGATGGAAGGAGGGGCTATTTGAATGAAAACATGGGATATGAAATGAAGTAATCTTCTGGCTGAATTGGAGGAAACTCCAACTCTCACATCAGGGGTGAGGCCTTGTAATGTTGCTGGCAGTGGGGTTCTCAAAGAAACCTTCACTTATGGCTTAAGTGTCAATTTGCAATGATACATAGAGACCCAGGCCAACTGCTCTATGGAGTCCTCCACAGTATTGGAATTGATTCCAAATTCCTTAGCCTAGAATTTATATTCTGCTTCCAATCTACGTTTCTAGCCTTCCCTTAGTGCCCTTCCCATCCTTCTCTTTTATACCTCCCATTTCTTCTACTTAAATTTAGGTAACGAAAGGCTGTTTTAAATTAGTACTGATAATTGCATCATTGAAAAATTTAACTTGCTTATAGATAATTTTTAAAACACAACTAGCATCTATTTGCTAGAAACATAAATAACCTCAACAGTTGGATATCTTTGTCATAATGCAATGGAACATATGGTGAGGGCAATGCTAGAACTCTAGAAAATGAGGTTAGCTCAGTGGGAAACTCTGTTTTATATTTCCAAAAAACTCCGTTTAAGTTCTACTCAACTAACAAATGAAATAAGGTCCTGTTCATGCTACATCATGGAAAAGTGCACTATCTGTCCTCACTCCTAAAGAGAAGCCAGGGGCACAAATTAAATAGGCCTGGTAGAGCTTCAAGCATCTGTAATTTAATAAAGTAACTAGAGAATAACAGCTACAGGGTTTATACCTAATCCTTGATTTGTTTTTCACTGTGGATATAAAATAACCCTCCCTCCAAAGCTTCTGTTTAGTATGATATCTTGAGAATAAGTGAAATGTAATTTATTATCTTCATTTAGTAATAGTACATTGTTAAGGTACTGTTTGTCACTTGAATAGTAGGTCTCATCAAAAGGTAATATTCTACTTTTTTCTTAGCATTAGAAATGTTATGTCTGAACAAGATGAATATTGAGCATCCATCTTTCTTTTTTAACTGTCACTGAGACACTGGGGAGACCATAAACAGTAAAGAGAATGATTAACCGTATCACACAGTCAGTAATTTAAGGAGCAGGGAAATATTTTCAGATCATCATCAATCTGAATGTTTTCCTTTTACAACAGAAAACCAGGTGATTTAAAATCTCTCCACATATACAAGGCATACCAGAGATAGAATTCAGGGAAAAAAAAAAAAAGAACAAAATCTGGTGCTATTTGGGAGTTTTGCATGTTATGCTAAGCTTTCCGGGTTCCCGACAGGAAGGTAATTCACATTGCATATGACATTGCAGCACAGTAAATTTTATTAATGGAAACCTATTATCTATCCAGTTGGAGAAATGGGGAGGGCAAATAGGTTAAAATTTTTCTCTTAACTATTAGTTAATGTGCCTCAGGTGGTCTCCTTCCCATTAATTTCATTGTACTACAAGAAAATATGGTAAGAGCAGCTGTACATGTTAATCAGTGCTGCTTGCAAAATACTACAAGATACAGACCTGAATGTCTCCCTGAAAAATCAATAACAATAACAGCACCACCGTCAGAGGAGAAACTATTAAACACTGCCCATGCCAGCACATATACTATGGCAAATTCTAACAACATCTATGTTTCTAACTAGATTGGTGTTTATGTTAGAATAATCAAGTCAAGAAAATGCCTTATACTCAGCCATGGTCCACATCACATATTGTAGCAAGAAGAACATAAATTAATGTATGCAAATAAAATTCAGATTACATTGATTTTATTTTGGTTTGGGAATATGTGACTATTACCAGATTTTTTTAGAGAAAGAACATTTATCAACTTGCTTTAAAGTAGCCGTAACAAGGAGAAACCAGGATCTTAAAAAGTCTTTTAAACAAATTAAAAACATGATGTATTAGGACTTTTTATTTTGAAAGTGACAAGGACATATTCTATCCAGCTTAAGAAAGGAAGAGAATGTATTGCTCAAGTAATTGGAAAGGGAAGAGCTAGTGCCAGCTTCAGAGATGACTGAGATACAAAGATCATCATGTCTCTCTTTTTCTTGTTTTCATTTTTATTCGTTTCTCTCTTCCTTTACTTCCTTGTTTCAAATTTCTTTTTATGTGATGGCTTCATCCTCTTCTACGCCAATGTTTTCTCCATGTGTAGTCGCACATGAATACATATATGCAGACAAACAAGAACAGAATGGTTGGAGTAAGAGAGGAGGAATTTCCCAAAGAAAGTTGGGGGATTGGAAAGGAAACTGTTACAAGAAGAGCAAGAATTGGACAGAAACCCAAAAGAATAGAAATCTGCATTATTGCTTCTCAGTGTGATCAGCAGCATCCACATCACCTGGGAAATTGTTAGAAATGCATATTCTTCAGACTGACTGAATGAAACTGTGGGGGTGGGTCCCAGCAATCTGTTTTCACAAGCTCTCTAAATGATTATGATGGATACTAAGGTTTGAGAACCACTGTTCTACATGAAGATTCCAGATTATCATCGTAAACATATACCCTGTATATCCAACTGTCCCATGTGTACTTTAAGTTGTACCAGTTTGATAGAGCTTATCATAAACTCCCAAAGTTGTTCCTCCTCCGGTATTTGTATTATCAGTTAATCCCTCCACAGTCCATCTGGAAACTTTGAGCTCCATCCTAGAGTTCTCCTACCCTAACCCTCACTTCCAATAAACTGTAAATCTTGCCTATTTGACCTCCTATACATTAATATCAATCTCTTTACTGATCTCTCTGGTACCTTCCCTTCCCATAACTCCAAATTCATTTCTCCTCTATAAACAAAATTATTTCATTAAAGTACAAATTTGACGATGCCTCGCCTCTGTTAAAATATTCACAAGCCTCGCAGAATAAATCCTGCAGAAGAAACTGCACAATCTTTAGCTAAGGCACTGACTATCTGAGCCTCTACTTTGCTCTCCTCCAATTATAAGCTTCAGAGATCTATAAGCTCCCCAGGATTCTATTTTTAAAATCATGCTATGTTTATATATGCTGGGGAGTAGGTCCCCAGCTTTCATCAAAGTCTTATTGACCCAAAAAGTTTAAAAACTATCAATACAGTAGACAGAAGAGAAAAGTAATTTTGGTTGTCAGGTACATGTTTATGATTGAGAGTACCCTGAAAAAAAAAGTTCAGACTAATTTAACACATCTTTAAATATAAAACGATTCCTGTGCTTTTAAGAGAGTGATGCTATGGGTAAATATAGATAATCTGTATAGAATTAAGCATGGTGAAAAAGATTTTTCACAAAGGCAAAAATATCATTGTTCTACTTGTGTTCTGTTGATTAGACTCATGCTAATTATTTCATGGTTAAAAACTTACTGGAGAAGTTGGAATACAAACTAAAAACAAAGAACGATTTGAAAAAAAGAATGCATTTAATGTGAATATAGATTTGATAGGAAGATTGGATAAGGATTGCAATAGCTATTTTGGGGAGTCATGTAGCATATTTTTCATTAAATTTCATTATTTTTTAACGTCCTACAATTCCTACCTTTCCCATCCTTGTGATGGATGTGTAATGCAAGTGTGACCAATTACCATGATCAATTTTCCTATCACGGTGATTAACTCTAGAGTAAGTGTTTAACAAACAAACAGAGACAAACAGAGCCCTTCCCCTAAATTGATAAATGGAAATTGGAAACAAGTTCTCTTTCAACTGAGTGTGCTAAAACAGGGCCATGTAAATCTAAGCCTGCCAGTGGCAATAGAGAGAACTTGTCAGTAGGAAAAAATTGAGCCAAAAGATGAGGAAAACTGAAACAAGTAAAGCTGAGAAAGAGGGAGGAAAAAGAAGCTTTGAAGGTATGGGATGAACTCTTGAACAGTCAGATTGATCTTTTAAAAGCTAGATTTACTTTGGACTTTCTAGCCATATTGGTTAGCACATTCTTTGTTGCTTGAACTATGTTAAGTAGGATTTGAATTATAGTCGTTCTTTGACTTACAATAGGATTACATCCTGATCAACTTATTATAAATCGATCACATTTAATATACCCAGCCTACTGGACATCATAGCTTAGCCTAGCCTACATTAACCATGTTCAGAGCACTTACATTAGCCTACATTTGGACAAAATTATCTAACACAAAGCCTATTTTATATTACAGTGTTGAATATCTCATGTAATTTATTAAATATTGTACTAAAAGAGAAAAACAGAATGGTTGGTGGGAACTTTAAATATAGTTTCAACTGAATGTGTGTGCTTTTGCACCATCACACAGTTGAAAAATCATAAGTCAGGGACCATCTGCACTTTGAATAGAATTACTGGCAACAGAAACATACCTGTCTAATATACTAGAACTCTGACTCCATGCTTTGCTGTCATTCTGTTTTTTACAGGGACAGATCCCAGGTCTAAACCCTAGCCAAAACCCCTTGTGTTAGAGGAGCTCACCCTTTACTGCTGATGAAATCTCCATGATGAAGTGCTTTCCTGGTGACACCCAGAGATCGTTTGCTATGTGAATGCTTTTCTTGCTCAAATTTCAACAAACATGATTGGTAGGTGCTCTATTTAGGCTGTATAGAAAGCACCAGAACATAGCGTGATGGAGGCAGCATGAACTCCTCAAAATTGCCAATACCAGCTCTAAAATGAAAACATACATTATCTTCATACATCAGAAGAATGAATACTGTTAAAATTACCTTACTACTCAAAGTGATCCACAGATTTAATGCAATCTCCATCAAATGACATTCTTCACAGAAATAGAAAAAGTGATCCTAAAATCTGTGTAGAACCGTAACACTTTGAATAGACAAAGTAATCTAAGGAAAAAGAACAAAGCTGGAGACATCACATAACCTGACTTCAAAATATACTACAAGGCTACAATAACAGAAACAACATGATATTTGTATGAAAGCAGACACATAGACCAATGAAACAGAATAGAGAACCCAGAAAAAAATCCACATATTTATAGCCAAAATATCTTTTGACAAAGTGCCAAAAACATACATTAGGGAAAAGACACCATCATTGATAAATGATACTAGAGAAATTGGATATCCATATGCAGAAAAATGAAGCTAGACCCCTATCTCTCACCATATACATATAAAAATCAACTCAAAATGGATTCAAGACTTAGATGTAGACCAGAAAATTTTTACTATAAAAAAGACCAGAAACTATAAAACTACTGGAAGAAAATATAGGGGGAAAATGTTAGGATACTGGCCTACGTAAAGATATTATGACTAAGACTTCAAAAGCACAGGCAACAAAAACAAAAATTGACAAGTGGGACTACATGAAACTAAAAGGTTCTTGCACAGCAAAGGAAACAGTCAACAGAGTGAAGAGACAACCTGTAGAACAGAAGAAAGTATTTGCAAACTAGTCATCCAACAATGAACTAATATCTATATTATACAAGGATCTCAAACGATTCAATAAAGAAGTTTTGAAGGTATGAAACTTTGAAGCTAATAATCCATTAAAAAATGGACAAAGGATCGGAATTGACATTTCTCAAAAGAAGACATAAAAATAACCAATAGTATATGAAAAAATGCTCAACATCACGAATCATGAGGGAAACGCAAATTAAAATCACAATGAGTTATCAACTCACACCAGTTCAAATGGTTATTATCAAAAAGACAAAATATAAAAAATGCTGGTGAGGATTCAGAGAAAAGGGAACTCTTTTACACTGTTGGTAGCAGTGTAAATTAGTACAGCCATTATGGGAAATATTACGGAGGCTTCTTTAAATACTAAAAGTAAAACTACCATAAAATTGAGCAATCCCACTATTATTACTCCAAAGAAAAGGAAAGGATTATATCAAAGAGATAACTACATCCCCATGTTTATTGCAGCACTATTCACAGTAGCCAAGATATGGAATCAACCTAAGTGTCTGCTAACAGATGAATGTATGAAGAAAATTGGGTATATATACATAATAGAATACTATTTGGCCATAAAAAAGAAAGAAATTCTGCCATTTGCAGCTACATGGATGGAATTGGAGGTCATTGCTTTAAGTGAATTAAGCCAGGCACAGAAAGACAAATATTGCATGTTCTCACTGATATGTGAGAGGTAAATAGATGATTTCATGGAGATAGAGAGTAAAATGATAGCTACTAGGGGCTGGGAAGAATGTGTGTGTTTGGAAGTGGGGAGGATGAGGAGAGGTAGGTTAATGGGTACAAATAGACAGAATGAATTCTAGCTTTTTATATCATAGTAGGGTGATTATAGTTAACAATAATTTATTGTATATTTTTAAATAAATAAAAGAGAAGGTTTGAAATGTTCTCAACACAAAGAAATGATAAATGTTTGACATGATAAATATCCGAAATACCTAAATTTAATTATTACACATTGTGTGCATGTACCAAAATTTCACATGTATCCCATAAATATCTACAACTGTTATGTATCAATTTTTAGAAAGGTAAAAATAATTGCCAATACCAGCTCTGTAAGTTTGGACTAATTACTTAACCTGCTAAGTCTAGCTTTCTTCACTTGTTAAAATGGGTATACTATCTAGTTTACAATATTATATGAAAAAATGAAGTTAATAATGCAGGCTATTACTGTGTCTATCACATATTTGTACTCAATAAATATTCTTTGTCACAGGCACATATATGCAAATAGAAGAAAGACAATGGTCTTTGCTTGGAAGCACTGTGAATCCACATAGGTTACTCATGAACTGAGCCTTGGAGGGTGATCAGGATTTTGCCAGATAGAAAAAGGAAGGAAGGACATTATATTTAGAGAATGACATATGATGCTAGTTATTCTTCATTCACCTCTATAGATTCCTCATCTGCCCACCTCTTTATAACCTGGAAGAATGGCCTGTAGGAACTGCATTACCCAGGCTCCCTTATCCACCAGCTTCTGCTGGGATCAGCCAATGGTAGGCACATGCAGGATAATGGAAGGTGAAAAGAAAGACAGTTTAAGGTATTTATCTTTTCAGGTCACCTAATTCTCATGGCTACTACTCTCGCTGGTTTCCAGTAACAAATTCAGGTCTAGAGGCAGTAACAGCTTTCCTGTATTGCTGGCTAATATGCGCCTCAATGCTCTTTGTTGGTTTCCCTCTCCTCTCCCCACACCTTTCTAAATAGTCCCTACATTTAGCCTTCTCCAGATTTAAGACTATAAGTCTGTGTTTCTTTCATGCCAGTACCCAGACCTTTACAACATGTAGATCATAGGGAGCAAAAATACATGGTTTATTTAGGGAATGATAAATAGTTCAATTTCCCCCCATTTCCAAAATAACAAAAATGAATAAAATATAAAAAACATCCCTCCTAATATTCTTCTGGAACTATCACCCTTTTTCTCCTTTCCCATCATCAAGCCTTGCTGTCGAAAAAGAAGGGGGGAGTTTATACTGAGTCACCCAACTCTTCACTCCTTTTCAGTCAGGCTTCAAGGCCACCCTTCCCCAACATTTCTTGAAAATACTATCCAAGTGCCTGTAACAACAGCTTCTGAACTATAGATATCCCTTGTCAGATTTAGAAAATTCCCTTCAATCTCTAATTTGCTGAGAGTTTTTATCATAAATGAGTGTTGAATTTTATCAAATATTTCTTTACAGCTATTGAGATGATCATATGGGTTTTTACCTTTATTCTGTTAGGGGGTAAATTACATTGATTAATTTTCAGATATTAAATCACCCTCGCATTCCAGGAATAAACCTTACTTGGTCATTTTTCATGTTATACATAACTGGGTTCCATTTACTATTTTCTTTTTTAGAATGTTTTAGTCCATGTTCACTAGGAACATTGGCCTATAATTTTCTTTTTTACTGTCTTTTTCAGGTTTTGGTATCAGAATTATACAGGCCAAAAACTAAATTGAGAAATATTCCTTACACAATTATCTCTCAGTTTACTCCCTAAGGCTTTTTCTCATAGAGTTGTTTCTTTCCAGCCATTTTATTTTTCCACTTCTAATTCTGTGTCCATTGTTCAAATTCTAGAGTTTGCTAAGATTTTACTAATTGTCTTAGTATATAGTAAGACGCATCAGGGTAAATAAGTAGGTTGGTAGCTTGGGTCCAGAGAGAGAGAGAGAGAGAGATCTTTTTATATGTATAAGAGATATATATGCACACACACATATATGTATATATATATATATATTCTTAAGCTTTTATTTTGGGTTCAGGAGTACATGTGCAGGTTTGTTACATAGGTAAACTTGTGTCACAGGGGTTTGCTGTCCAGATTATTTCATCACCCAGATACTAAGCCTAGTAGCAAATAGTTATTTTTTCTGCTCCTCTCCCTCCTCTCACCCTCCACCCTCTGGTAGGCCCCAATGTCTGTTGTTCCTCTCTTTGTGTTCATAAGTTCTCATTATTTAGCTCCCACTTATAAGTGAGAACATGCAGTATTTAGTTTCCCATTCCTGTGTTAGTTTGCTAGGGATAATGGCCTTCAACTCCATCCATGTTCCTGCAAAAGACATGATATTGCTTTTTTGTTATGGCTGCATAGTATTCCATGGTGTGTGTCTGCCACATTTTCTTTATTCAATCTGTCATTGATGGGCATTTAGTTTGATTCCATGTCTTTGCTATTGTGAATAGTGCTGCAGTGAACATATACATGCATGTGTGTTTATGATAGAATGATTTATATTTCTTTGGGTATATATTTAGTAACAGGAGTGCTGGGTCAAATGGTAGTTCTATTTTTAGCTCTTTGAAGATTTGCCACACTGCTTTCCACAATGGTTGAATTAATTTACACTCCCACAAACAGTGTATAAGCATTTCATTGTCTTCACAACCTTGCCAGCATCTGTTATTTTTTTGACTTTTTAATAATAGCCACTCTGACTGGTGTGAAATGATATCTCATTGTGGTTTTAATTTGAATGTCTCTAATGATTAGTGATGTTGAGTGTTTTTTCATATGCTTGTTGGCCACATGTATGTCTTATTTTGAAAAGTTCATGTCCTTTGCCCACTTTTTAATGGCGTTGATTTTTTTCTTGTAAATGTGTTTCCATATACATGCTGGATATTAGACCTTTGTTGAATGCATAGTTTGCAAAAATTTTCTCCCATTCTGTAGGTTGTCTCTTTACACTGTTGATGGCTTCTTTTGCTATGCAGTTGTTCTTAGATTCCATTTGTGAACTTTTGCTTCTGTTGCAATTGCTTTTGACAACTTTGTCATGAAATCTTTGGCTGTTCTTATGTGCAAAAGGGTATTACCTAAGTTTTCTTCCAGTGTTTTCCTAGTTTGGGGTTTTATATTTAAGTCTTTAATCCATCTTGAGTTTATTTTTGTATATGGTGTAAGGAAGCGGTCCAGTTTCATTCTTCTGCATATGGCTAGCCAGTTATCTCAGCACCATTTATTGAATAAGGAATCCTTTCCCCATTGCTTGTTTTTGTCAGATTTGTTGCAGATGAGATAGTTGCAGGTTTGTGGCCTTATTTCTGGGCTCTCTTGTGTTCCATTGGTCTATGTGTCTCTTTTTGTACCAGTACCATGCTGTTGTAGTTACTAATAATCCTGTAGAATAGTTTGAAGTTGGGTAATTTGATGCCTTCAGTTTTGTTCTTTTTGCTTAGGATTGCCTTGGCTATTTGGGCTCTTTTTTGTTTCCATATGAATTTTCAAATAGTTTTTTCTAGTTCTGTGAAGGATGTCATTGGTAGTTTGATATGAATAGCATTGAATCTGTAAATTGCTTTGGGCAGCATGGCCATCTTAATGATACTTATTTTTCCTATCCATGAGCATGAACATAGAATGTTTTTCCATTTGTTTGTGTCATCTCTGTTTTCTTTGGGCAGTGGCTTTGTAATTCTCATTGTACATACCTTCCACCTCCCTGGTTAGCTGTATTCCTAAGTATTTTATTCTTTTTGTGGCAATTGTGAATGGGATTACATTCCTGATTTGTCTTTCAGCTTGGCTGATGTTGTAGTATAGGAATTGTTGTTGTACAGGAATGCTAGTGATTTTTTTACATTGATTTTGTATCCTGTAACTTAGCTGAAGTTGTTTATCAGATCAAGGAGCTTTGGGACAGAGACTGTGGGGTTTTCTAGATATAGAATCATGTCGCCTACAAACAGGGATACTTTGACTTTCTCTCTTCCTATTTCTTTATTTCTTTCTCTTGTCTCATTGCTCTGACCAGGACTTACAGTACTACATTGGCTAGGAATCAGAGAGAGGGCATGCTTGTCTTGTGCCAGTTTTCAAGGGGAATGCTTCCAGCTTTCGACCATTGAGTATAATATTGGCTGTGAGTTTGTCATAGATGGCTGTTATTCTTTTGAGGTATTTTCTTTCAATACCTACTTAGTTCAGGGTTTTTAACATGAAGAGATGTTGAATTTCATCAAAAGCCTTTTCTGCATCTATTGAGGTAGTCCTGTGGTTTTTGTTTTTAGTTCTGTTTGTGTAATGAATCACATTTATTCATTTTCATATGTTGAGCCAACCTTGTATCCCAGGAATGAAGCCTACTTGATCGTGGTGGATTAACTTTTTAATGTGCTGCTGGATTTGGTTTGCAAGCACTTTGTTGAGTATTTTTGTATCAATGGTCATCAAGGATATTGGCCTGAAGTTTTCTTTTTTTGTTGTGTCTCTGCCAGCTTTTGGTATCAGGATGATGCTGGCCTCATAGAATGTGTGGAGAAGAGGGCCTCCTCAAGTTTTTGGAATAGTTTCCATAGAAATGTTACCAGCTCTTCTTTGTACTTCTGGTAAAATTCAGATGTGAATCCATCTGGTTCTGGGCTTTTATTTGATTCGTAGGCTATTTATTAATGACTCAATTTCAGATCTTGTCATTGGTCTGTTCAGGGAATCAATTTCTTCCTGGTTACGTCTTGGGAGGCTGTATGTGTCCAGAAATTTCTCCATTTCTTCTAGATTTTCTAGTTTGTGTGCATAGAGTTGTTCATAGTAGTTTCTGATGGTTGTTTTTATTTCTGTGGGATCAGTGGTAACTTCCCTTTTGTTGTTTAAAGAGATTTATATTAAGCCTTTGTTATATTTCACCTAAGCCAAAAAAGAAAAAAAAAAGAAGAGAAAAGAGAACAGAAAAGAAGAAAAGAAAAGAAAGAAAGGAGAAGAGAGAGAAAGAGAGAAGAGAAGAGAAGAGAAAAGAAGAAAAGAAAAGAAAAGACCAGACCAGACCCATAGAATCCTATGGGATCTGCTGACATGTTTGTCTGAACTTCGTCTTCCATATCACTGTCAAGATAGTTTTTCTAACTCACCACTCCAAAATCTATGAAAAGCCTCCATAAGCCCCTAGTTGCCCTCCAAATTATAACTGCATTTGGTTCACACTTTTCCCTCCTCCTGAAGTGACTTTCCTTCTTATTCCGCTTTTAAAAACTTTATCACCTGCAAAATTCACTTCAAAAAGAGCTCCCTCCATGAAGGTTTAATTACTCTCTTGGCCCTAAAGGAATGACATCTCCTGTTTGGCCTGTTCACATTGCTGCACTGCACTGGTAACTCTTCAACGAAACCCATTTTTACTCTTACCTCTTATTGTTACTTATGTACAGGTCTTATTGCCTCTCTCAACCTCAACTAAACTATTTAAGAGAAGTGTACTCATCTGTTTATTTCCTGCTGAGTCTAGTCCAATCTCTTATAATTTTTAGACCATTAAAAAGCTATTTGCTGAAGTGAATTGAGTTGAAATTGGTATAGACAAGCCAGTATGTCTGGTCATCTTAATCTATATGTTATTGAACAATGTGCCAGCTGGAATCTCCTTTTATGTAGTGTCCTTCTCAGTATTCTTTTTCCTTTCCCATGGCATTTTGAGTCCTACTGCTAAAGTAGAAAATTTAAGAAAGCATGTTTTCCATAGTGAAAGAAACATAGGTAAAATTCTGATAAAAATAAAGCATTAGAACTGAACATTCAATTAGTAAATGCTAATAAATCCATGGACTAAAACAAAAGTTATCATAAAAGTAGCTAGCAATGCACAAGGACATGTTTAGATAATATTATACAATTTATGCTTATTTTCTTTCTCCAGTGCTCATTCTTTCCAAATGTTTGTTATCTATGCTGGATCTTGATGAGAGGAAGAAAAAAAGAAAAATGAATAAACCATATCTTACAAAATGATTTCCAGACTGTAATTTGTAACCTGAAATAAAATATATGTATCTATTTATATTGACTTCCTAGTCAGGAAAAAATGATAAGCAAACAGCAGCAACAAAAGAGCTGCAACCCTTTGACCACCGAGAGTGTTATGAAGGCTTAGTGCTGCCATCCAGCACCCAGCAGTCAGACTGTCAAAGCATAGCATGTAAAGTCTGAGACAGCATAGCATTTCTAAATCAATAAAACATCAACTTGGTCCTACTTTTGATGCAAAAAAATTCTAGTGGTTTAACCCAGAAATAGAGTGAAATACAGAAATAACAGAAGATAGAAGATCAAAATTGTACTCAAGTTTACTTGCTTTTTAGGTTTTTTTTTCAAATACCATTTGAACACCCAAAACAAAGTTAAATATGAGAATGTATGTCAGAATTAGAGATGAATAACAGGGACTTGGATGTGGGCTAAAGCTAATGTGGGCATCGTAGCTACGGATGAAAGCTGTTGCCAGAATGAGTTAAAGGCCCTGAATGCTTGCTGATCTTTCTTCCACATAATTAAGTTTCTTCAGTATTTTTCTAGACCCTGCCTCTTTTGGACCACACTGTATGTTTTCTTCTCTCCCTCACTTCTTCTGGAATACTATCTGGGAACATATCAGTCCAGCCAATGTATATATAAAAATAAAATAAGAAAAGCGTTTCAAATATGATTCAAATCATATCCAATCATCTACATATTCAAAAATATCTAAGGAAAAAATACACACAGTGATCCCATTCTTATGTGACTTGCTTTGTGTTTCTGCTTCTGCACTTAAGACAAGAGCTATCTTACATAAATGAATTAATCTGTAAATTTAAAGTTAGGTGGAGTGAGGAATTACTTTGATGACATTGATCAAGGAGAAAAGAGTAAGGGAATATGAGACGATCCTCAGTCTGGAGGAAGGGAAAGATATAGAGCTATGTGAAACAAGCTACCAGTGGAAAGGCAATGAGTAGGCCACAAGGGATAGTGAGAAAAGAATATCAAAAAGGAAGAAATCTGAAGAGATTTGGAGGGTACAATAGAATGAAAAAATGATTGTAGAAATAATTTGTGAATATTGGCGTTAGATACCTAGGAAAAGAAACAAGTTCGAAAGAGTATGGATGTAATATTTTTTTTCAAATGTAAGGTAATGATTCTGCTGATTGTATTGTAGTGTCATAGAATATGCAAAAAGTGCCTCCTGAAATTGTGCTCTACACAATGCGTGTGGCCAGATGTGAGGGCTGTAATGGAAATGTTCAAATTAAACAGAGGACATGCCACTGAAGAACCTTCCAGAAAGTACTTTGCTTTCTATCGCAAGCAAAAAGCATGGTCTACTAGGAAATATCTTCCCTAGAAATATGAAGATCAGGCTTCTCACCATCATGCCGTTATTATTTTGGACCACATGAAATTATCAATATCAGACAAATTTTTTACCTGTAAAAGTTTTAATTTCACAGAGTTCAACCTAATAGTTGAATAATCTTGGTAAAGATATTTTACTTTTGTGGGTCTTACTTTACTTATCTATAAAATGAGAATTTTAGTCTAGATCAGTGAGTTTCAATATATATTTTTCCATGTTCCCTCTCCCATAACCATATCAGCAATACCTCTCTTGACGCACAGTGATAGCAGATATGGATAGGGGTAGGAGCACCACATTTTCTCTCTCCAGGAGACAGAAATTCTGATATGCTCCTTTACTGAGCCATTCCTTTTTCCTGCCCTATTGAAAACACTGGGTGAGATGCCAGAATTTTTCTAATGAACAGAATGGTTCTCTCAGTGTCAGGTACTAAAGTTGCAGTACAGTTGGTGTCAAAAGTCTGGAATAATACACCCCATAATCATAATTTTAAGCTATGTATCTTGATTCTTCTCCTGTGGCAAACGCAAGTCATAAGCTGAGTAAAAACAAGTCAATGGGCTGAGGATGTGACCATTTTGACATTCCACCTCCTAGGGAAAATAGCAACCAGGAATAACGGACAAGGCTAAGGCCCAAGGCAACGTGCTAAAGTGGAGAATCCTCTGCTCTCCTTTGGGAGGTCAGATGAATGCAGAGAATGCAGCCTTGCTTAGGAAAAGGCAGAGTAGAGCTACTTAGGCTATAGCACTTGTGACTCCATTTTGTAATTTCTGTTTAATTTGCTGTTTTGACACAAGACTCACAGCTTCTTGAAATCATCCATCTTTGTATCCCAAATATCTATCATAATGCCTTCTTGTCATTTAGTAGACACAAATACTTGTCCCTTTCTGAGCCTTCATTGCCATTAGGAGATAGTTTTAAAATTTGGACAAAAAGTTTACAAAAATATTACAAATAAGTCCTTTATACCCTCTACCTAGTTTCGTGTGTTTTTAACATTTTGCCATATTTGCCTTACCCTTCTCACTCTAAACAATTTTAGAGTGGGTCACAAACATCACAGCCCTTTACCCCTACTGAAACGGTTTGGATATGTGTTCCCACCAAAATCTCATGTCGAATTGTTATTCCCAGTGTTGGAGGAGGGGCCTCGTGGAAGGTGATTGGATCATGGGGGTGGATTTTGCCCTTGCTGTTGTCGTGATAGTGAATGAGCTCTCACGTGATCTGGTTGTTTAAAAGTGTGTAGCACCTCCCCATTTGTTCTCTCTTCTTCCTGCTCTGGCCATGTAAGATGTGCCTGCTCCCTCTTTTCCTTTTGCCATGATTGTAAGTTTCCTGAAGCTTCCCCAGCCGTGCTTCCAGTATTGTCTGCAGAACTGCAAATCAATTAAACCTCTTTTCTTTATTAATTACGCTGTCTCAGGGGTTTCTCTATAGCAGTGCAAGAATGGACTAATACACCTACGTACTTCACTGTGTATTTCCTAAAAACAAAGAAATTATATTTGATAACCACAATACACTATCAAAATCCAATTATAATCCATATATTTGAACCATAGTTATACTTTGTCAATTATGCCAATGTATTTATTTATTTATTTATTTTTGAGAGGGAGTCTCACTCTGGTGCCCAGGCTGGAGTGCAGTGGCATGATCTCAGCATACTGCAACCTCTGCCTCCTGGGTTCAAACGATTCTCCTACCTCAGCCTCTCGAGTAAGTGAGATTACAGGTTCGTGTCACCAGGCCTGGCTAATTTTTGTATTTTAGTAGAGATGGGATTTCACCTTCTTGGCCAGGCTGATCTCGAACTCCTGACCTCAAGTGATCCACCCGCCTCAGCCCCGCAAAGTGCTGGGATTACAGGCATGAGCCACTGCAGCCTGCCGCCAACTTTATAGCAAACTTTTCCAGTCAACAATACAGACATTGCAGTTAATTTTTATTTCATTTTACTCTCTTTTGATTTGGAACAGGATAATAATTTCTGAATGGAAACTAAGGTGTATTCTGTCATCTTAACTCTTTTTTTAATTTCTTTGTACAGTACTAAATCGCTAACACCTGGAATTTCAAAGACAACAGTGGAAAGGAAATGAGACTTGGAATCAAAAGACTTCAGTTTCAATCTAAAGTCCCTGAATGTGTAAACTATTGTGATTTTTCTTAGCTACAGTCCTCTCACTTATAAAATGTTTACTGTCCTCAGTAGTACATTGTGAAATATCTTGTGAGAAGGCTTTATATATAGTGAGGAACTATCCAAGCATTAATAATTTTTTTCATCTCTAGCTACATATCCCTTGATCATAAAGAAGATACTACAAAATATTCAAAGATAAAATATTAACACTCACCAGCAAAACAAAATATAGAATGATCTAGAGAGGTTTGGGGCATATACAGAAGAAAAATAATCAGAAAATCCCAACAAACTGTCTAAATGACATACAGTTTCTCATTCTTAATGCTATTGATATTTTAGACATGATAATTTATTGTCATAGGGGAAGGGGGAGATTGTCCTGTGCATTGTATGATGTTTAGTCATATTCCTTTTTAAGTGGCCCAACAGATTTCCACTTGCTTCAAAGTTAGTCATTTCCACTGTGATTAGAATATATATATATACATATACATCTGTTTTACAATATTAATTTATGGTATAATTGTATATTTACATATCTACTTTGCTCATTTATCTTGAGTTCCTCATTGGTAGGAACCACATATTTCTAATCTTCCCAGTATTGCAGTATATCTCTTGATAAATATTTGGTGGAGGAAGGAAGGAATGAGAGAGGAAGTAAAGAAGGAGGGAGGGAGGGAGGGAGGAAGGGACGGAGGGAGTGAAGAAAGAAGGAAGGAAGGAAGGAACTTTAGGTTATAGTTGGTACAGAAGTTCTAGTGGAATAATTTGCAGAACTGAAAGAGAATGACCTGGATCCAAGTGCCTCATGAGAATCCATCTGAAAAACATTTCTTGATATTGGACACTTTTTGACTGAAGGTTATAAAATAAAAACTCTCATTAAAAAACCAGATACGTGCTATTTGAAGCTCCAATTTAAGTTTTTCATCAAGAAAGGTGTATGTGGGTGAGTGTATATACCGTCATATGACATTTCTGCTCCCAAAATGATAAAGTAAATATTATGCTATTGTTGATTCTTCCTTTTCTTCTTCCAAGTGGTACCAGATGCATGTGTAATTAAAGGGAACAATTTTCTCTTAAATCTTATTGGAGAAAGATTTGTTTGCTTTGTTTTGTTTTTTAGTAAATATACCAGAGCAGAGTTGTCAAGATAATTATTATTTATTTTGTTTGGCTTTGACTGGATGAAATGGGGAGCCATCATAGCATTTTTTTTTTTTTTTTTTTTTTTTTTTTTTTACTTTGAGTTCTGGGATACATGTGCAGAACTTGCAGGTTTGCTACACAGGTATACATGTGCCATGGTGGTTTGCTGCAAGATCATGGCATTTTTAACAGAAGATTGATGTTAGTTTTTTCTTTGTTTATTAAATCAAGGGAAATGTTAAGCAGATGAATTTTTGCTATTGTTTATTAAATTAAGGTAAATATTATGCAGCTAAATGCAAGTTGAAATATACAATTTAATAATTGTTCACAAATGCAAATATTCAAATAAAAACTTTCCCAAATATGATATAAAACACTTCTGGCCAGGGCAGTGGCTCCTGCCTGTAATCCCAGCACTTTGGGAGGCCAAGGCAGGCAGATTGCCTGAGGTCAGGAGTTCAAGACCAGCCTGGCCAACATGATGAAACCCCGTCTCTACTAAAAATATAAACATTAGCCGGGCCTGGTGGCAGGCACCTGTAATCCCAGCTACTCAGGGAGGCTGAGGCAGAATAGCTCAAATCTGGGAGGTGGAGATTGCAGTGAGCCGAGATTGTGCCACTGCACTCCAGCCTGGGTGACAAGAGTGAGACTTCATCTCAAAAAAAAAGAAAAAAAAATTCCATCACTCAGAACGTCATCCTTTGTTCAGTCCATCTCCACCTCTCTAAGCAACTATTTTTCTGATGTCTTTCAACATAGATTCTTGTGTAATTATTCATGTAAATAAAATCAAACAGTATATGAATTTTAGCTAGCTTTATTCACTTAATATAATCTTTTTCAGATTCATCTATATTGTTGTCTGTATCCAAAACTGACTTTCTTTTAGCGCTAAGTGGTATTTCATTGTACTAATACACCATAATTTGTTATTTGTATTCCCATTGATGAACATAAGAGTTATTTCTGGTTTTTGGTGATTAAAAGTAAAGCTGCTATGAACATTCTTGTACAAGACATTTTAAAGACACATGTTTCCATTTCTCTTGAGTAAATATCTAGGAGTGGAATTGCTAAGTGATTATTATATGTTTAACTTTTTAAGAAACCACAAATAAATTTTCTAAAGTAGTTGTACTACATTACCCTGCCACCAGCAGTATATGAGTTCCACTTACTTCATACGCTTGCCAGCACTGGATATTATCTATGTTGTGGGAAAAAAATTCTGATTTATGTATATGGTATATCATTTTGGTTTTAATTTTCATTTCCCAGATAATGTGATATTCAGTATCTTCTCACATACTTCTGGGCCATCCTATATCTTCTTTTGTGAGATCTATTCAATTCATTTACCCACCTTAATGGACTATTTGTCTTCTTCTTATGGATTTGGAGGAATTCTTTAAATATTCTGAATACAGTTCTGTCGTTGAACATATGTATTTTTAATATCTTTTCTTCTGCCCATAGTCTGGCTTTCCCTCTTTTATTGGTGCAAAAAAAAAAGAATTCTTAAATATTTTAATGAAGTCTAATTTATGATTACTTCTTTCAAGTTTAGTGCATTTGTGTTCTCTAAGCAGCTTTTGCCTATACCTAGGTCACAAAAATATTCTTTATATATTTTTCTAAGAGATTTATTGTTTTAATCTTATAATTTAGGGCTATAATCCTTCTTGAATTTGTTTCTGTGTGTAGTGTAAGGTGAAGCTAAGATTCATTTTTTCCCATGTATTTATCCGATTAGTTGCTCTATTATCATTTATTGAAAGGGTAAAGTGTCTTCATTGTCCTCTGGTCTTCAATGTTCTGATGATAATTCAGCCATTATTTGTATAATTGTTCCCTTATATGTGATGACCTCTTTCCTCTGACAGCTTTCAGTATTTTGCCTTTATCTTTTATTTTCTAAAGTTTTACCATGATGTGCTTAGGTGTAGTTTACTTTGTGTTTATCTTGCTGGGAGTTATCTAGGCTTCTTGGATCTATAAATGTATGTTGTTCACCAAACTTGAAAAATTTGGGGCCAATATATTTTAAAGTAATTTTTGTTTGCTTCTTTCTCTTTATATTTATCTATTTTGATGTTTACTGACTCCTTTGTATTAGTTTTCAATTGATGCCATAACAAATTGCCACAAATTTAGAGGCTTAAATCCACAAAAGTTTGTTATAGTTTTGTAGAACAGAAATCTGACACAGTTTCTACTGAGCTAAACCAAGGAATTGGGAAGGCAGTACTTCTTTCTGAGAGCTCCAGGTAAGAATCTGTTTTCTTGCACATTCAGGTTGTTGGTGGACTCCAGATTTTGTGAAACTGACATTCCTGTTTCTTTGCTGACTGTAGCTGAGGGCCAGCTTTGGCATGTGACTTCCTCAGCTTCTAAACAAGCAACAGAAGGTCATGTCTCTCTCAGCACTTCAAATCTCTCCTGCCCTTTTCCATTATCTCAAATCTTTGACCTACTTCCACTTTTCAGGGTCCATGTGATAATCCAGGATAATGTCTCTACTTTAAAGTTGACAACCTGAATTCCTTCTGCAAAATTCCATTTTCCATGTAAAGTAACATATGCACAGGTTCCAGAGATTACGGTGTAGACATCTTTGGCAGAGGGAAGGGGCCGGCATTATTCTGCCTACCACAGCTTTTTATCTGCTGGCTTCAATCTGCTGCTAAATTCATCCATGGAACTTTTTTATTTTGGATGCTAAATTTTTTATTTCTAGAATTTCTATTTGATTTTCTTATAGTTTTCATTTCTCTACAGAGACTCACCATCTGTTCACTTATTATAGTCATCTTTTAAATTAAGTCCTTATGATAGATGCTTTAAAGTCCTTTACTGTTAATTGTCTACTAATTTTCATGGTATGTTAATTTCTTCTGTTCTTGAGGATGGCTCACATTTTCCTATATTTTCATATATCTAATGAATCCTTCTTGCACACTTGATATTATGGAGAGAGACTCTGGTTTCTATTAACTTCCTGTCAGAAGTGGTGCTTTTGTTAGTTTGTCTGTTTGCTTGTTCATTTGTTTGCTTTTTCTGGCAGCCAGTTAAATTGTTGACTAATCACATTGAATTTTTGAAGACTTTATTTTATATTTTGTTAGAGTCAATCTGCTTCACCTTTATTCCTACACTTAAACTATAGCCCTTAATCAACAAACACAGTATTTACATCTAATATGGAGTATTTCATGGGTTTTACTGAAAGTCTGAGGTGTTTATCAATCAGGATTCAAACTCCAAACACTGTCATCCCACCAAGAGGCAATGGCTGAAATCTATGCTTAGCTTTTTTATCCTTTAAGTTTGTATTTCCCCTGGACTCCTTAGAGTATGCCCTATATATAAATTTCAGAAAATGACACAAAGGATTGAGGGCAGTTAAATTAAAGATTTTTGGTATCCTGTTTCTGTGGCTCCTTCATTTCTGGACTTTCTCTCATTAATTTCTACTCACTCTGTTAGCCTCTAACTCTGTCCTCTAACATCACAGGTTGATAAAACTGTGCCTTCTGCTTAGTTGTATCCAATTGCACCACTCATTGATTGGGTATTTCCCCTCATTGTAAATGTGGCTGTCACCCAGCATGGTTTCCTTTTTTCAGTGTCAAATATTGTTCAGTGTCTGCCTAGTTTTGATTGCCCTCCAGTGCCTTCAAATAGCTTTACAAAAAATATTTTGTCTAGGATTTATAATTGCTATCTGCAGGAAGGCTAGTCCAATACAAGAAACTTCATCATTACTATAACTAGAAAGCTGACTCGTTTTTCAAAGGATAAGAATAAGCTTTTAAAGGATAACTTTGCCTTCTGTGTTGAAAATATACAGTAAGACAAGCAGTCAAGGATAGAATCTGAGAGGCAATTAGGAATTTCTTACAATAATCCAGGAAAGAGGTCAGGTTGGCTTGTAATAGAATGGCAGAGGTAAGGTGGTTAAAAAGTTATCAATTCAGTAAATAGTTTGTAAGTAGAGCCAAAAAGCTTCCCAACAGATGGAGAAAGAAGATAAAAGAGAGAAGTCAAGGATTTCTTCAAGACTTAGTAACTTAGCAGTTTTCAGTAACTGGCATGAAAAAGTTATACTGGGGCCTTGGGGGTGATGGGGAAAGGGCAAATAATATGAGTTTAGTTGTAAGCCATTGTATTAGGGTTCTGCAGAGAGACAGAACTAATAGCATATATGTATATATAAAAGGGAGTTTATTAGGGAGAATTGGCTCACACAGTTACAAGGTGAAGTCCCACAGTAACCTGCCTGAAAGCTGGAGAGACAGAAGCTGGTAGGGGCTCAGTCCAAGTCCAAAAGCCTCAAAAGCAGGGAAGCCCACAGTGTAGTCTTCAGTCTGAGGCCAAAGGCCCAAGAGCCGCTGGGAGGCTGCTGGTGCAAATCCCAGAGTACAAAAGGTCAGAGAACCTGAAGTCTGATGTCCAAGGGCGGGAGGAGAGAAAGTAAGCATCTGGCATGGGAAGGGAGAGACAGTAAGAGACTCCACAGCTGCTTATCCCCATTCTTTTGGCTCTTTTGTTCTAGCTGTGCTGGCAGCTGATTGGATGGTGCCCACACACATTGAGGGTGGATCTTCCTTCTCTCAGTCCGCTGACTCAAATGTCAATTTCCTCTCGAAACATCCTCACAGACATACCCAGGAACAATGATTCACCAGCCTTTTAGGCATTCCTCAATCCAGTCAAGTTGATACCTAATGTTAACCATCAGGAATGTATTGAAATCAAGATGTTTATTAGACATCTAAGTAGAGGTGAGAGTAGGCAGTTGGATATACAAGTCTGGAGCTCAGTGGAGATGTCTGGCTGGAGATATAAATTCAGAGGTTGCATTGGTTACCTATTGCTGTGTAACAAATTATCCCCAAACTTAGCATCTTTAAACAAAACAAAAGTATTTATTATCTCATGCAGTTTCTGAATGTCAGAAAGTCAGACGTGGCTTAGCTGGGTGGCTCTGGCTTCGAGTTTTTCATGAAGTTATAATCAACTTGTCTTTAGGATGTGGTCTCAGAAGACTTAACTGGGGCTGGAGAATCTACTGCTAAACTCACTCATGTGTACTGTGGCTGGAGGCTTCAGTTCCTCACTTCTGTGGACTTTTCTATAGGGCTTTTCGCAACATGTCTTCACAATCTATAGGTTGACCCACACTAAAGAGAAGTAGAATTGAGCCCAACTGCTTGAAAAAAGGTGTATCAAAAAATTTGAGAATATATCTTTAAAAGTATCACAGAAGTTATCCGCACATAGATGATAATTAATCATCCATGGAGATAAAATATCTGAGTGGGATCACCAAGGAAATGTGTAAAATAGAGAAATCTGAGAGCTAATCCCCAAATCATACCAACAGAAAGCAGTCAAAGAGAAAAGAAGAAACAAATAAATGATGTTTTAATGGAGATATCAGTGAGATGATAGAAAAATAAAAAAAAATTACAAGGTCCTTGAACCTAGAAAAATGAAGTATATTGTGTTCCAGGCACACAAAACACAGACATTGTAATGGACTTTACAATGATATCAGCTTTCTATTTTTCTACGCTTAGTTTTCTGACGTTAATTGCATCTCACATTTACTACATAATTATTACATGCTGTATGTATGCTTGGGCATTTAAAATATATTATATCTTTATAATAAGGTTATGAGAAAAGTTTTATCAGCATTTTACAGATGAGAAATATGCAGTTTAGAGAGTTAGATACCTTTTCCAAATTTACATGAGTAAGTTGCAAAGCCCGTAACTGAATCGTGGTTGGCCTAATCCAAAGCACAAATATTAGCACCAACTTTCAAAATATGCACCAAATTATAAGCACTTTATAATTACTGTCTCTTTCATTTTTCATTAGTTAATTTAGCCATAGAAACAAAATTCGTGTTTATAAAAAATTGACCATAATTCTTAAGAACTCTGAAATAATTTTTGTAAATGAAAGAAATTAATATGCAAAGTATACAAAACATAGTATCTCATCAACACAATAGAGCATGATCATTCTTCTTTGACAATGTCCATTACATTCATCTTTCCTTTCCATTTCTACTGCTATCTATTTTCCTATTTCCCTGTTAGCCATCTTATTAGCCTCTAGTCTCTCCCTAAAATCCTTTCTGTGTATAACTGCCACATTAATCTCCTGAAACACAAATATCATCCTGGCTTATCCCTGCTCGGAAAATTTCAACGACTAAATGGAATCAAGTCCAGACCTCTGATTCTGGCATTTCTTTCTAATCTCATCTTCTTAGCCTGGCCTCCAGTACAGCCAGCCTATAAATATTTTATGTAGTTCTATCTTCATTTCTTTTTCTTTTCCTTCCTGAAATGTTTGCCATCCCTTCCAAAATCTCCCTTCAATATAACTGACCGATCTATGTCCTGCATGGAGCCACAAGGATCTCTCTATTCTCTCAACTCCTGATGTCCCCATATACTTACTGTACTGCTTTATATTCTTAATTTTCTTTTTTATGAATTTCTTTACCATTAATATGCAAACTTCTTGAATAAAAATACTATGCATATTTCATTTCATTACACATTCTATGCATGTAACAAGATATCACATGTACCCCATAAATATGTGCAAATATTATCTATCAATAAAAATTTTTTAAAGTGAATCATATAGTTTATAGTATAGCCTTTTACATGTAATAGATGCTTAATATTTACTTAACGTTAACTAAGTCAACAGTGACTATTATACATACCATAATAATAAATGCAGAGAACTTTGAGCTATATGTACTTTCTAAGAGCTGTACATATATTAACTCATAAATCCTCTTTCTTAATTTCCTAAGACTTTACAAAAATGTCTAAAATTTACTTTTCAGAAAAAGAACTCTTGAATAGGCTAAAATGTGCATTTTAAATAACATGTGTGACATAGGTCATACATACCATGCTCATAACTTAAGCAAAGGATTGGCCCTGTGCTTTTGGCTTCTCTATCAGAACAGAGATGGTGCATAATGATGTGAATGTGTCTGGTTATCACTTCTTTCCCAGTAACACTTTTTTTGCCTCCAAAGACCATCATCTTTATCCTATTCACCTTAAATAAACATAAAGACCAATTTATGTTTCAATACACATTAAGTGCTATTAAATAGCTCCATTAAAAAGCAATTAATTACATTGTGAATATAGGCCTAGTTTGGCCAAATTGTATCTCCCATAGTGCATCCTGATGTTAGGTGTCTAAATCAGTATAACAAAAAGGGAAGTACTCTAGGTTGTTGGTTGCAGTATCTGAACTTGGAATGATGCTACATGTAGACACAGAAATAAATAACATAAAGTAGCTATATCTACACTACCAAATTTAATCTTCTGAGGCCTCTTTTTTTTACACAGACTTAGAATAGAAAGCTAACATTCATTTTTTACAACATAAAAAAAAAGTCAACCTTGATAATGGAGAAAAAAATAAGCGTATTTATTTTTTACAATCAACAGTTTGTAATCTACGGTCTTCTTCTTATAGAGTACACAAAAAATTCCTGATTTCTGTGGAATCTAGCAGTTTCAGAAATGTAACATTTTATGAGTGACATTAAAGTAATACAAAAGTTCCAAAGTAAGATACCTGGAATTGGAAATCCTGATAAAGTAGAAACTATTTTGCAATTTCCTAGAGATGGTTGGTTAATATTTTTTTCCTAAGGCTTGGAAGATTGTCTTTTTCATCTCTGTCTCACAGCACCTGAACAAAAAGACAAATGTACCCATAACATACCCATCTCAAAAACAAAAGAAAGAAATGGTATTTCTGGGTCCAGCAAAGAATCATGGCAGAAGGGTTTGGTGGGCTTCCTAAAACTCAGTCACGATGTTTATTCTGGTTTGGATTTAATCAAAAATTAAATGCTATATGGAGTTTTAACTTTTTTAAAAAACTGTTACTTTCTTGGACTATTACAAAGCAATGATTATCTGGTAGCATATTGTTCTCACCAAACCAGATGAAACTTCAGTACATCCTTCCAAATCCCCTCATGACTTAATCTTGAATTGAGCAACACAGAACAAAAGAATCAATTCTCTTTTTAAGGAACAAATGTTTAATCATCACGCTGGACACAAGCCAACCTGCAAAATCCCTACATCTGCCAAAAAAGACACTTAAATTTTTTTCAAAGACATTACTAGCACTATCCAGAATTGTTAATTCATTCAAGTTTGTCTTTGGCAAATCCCGGTACCCTATTTCCCTGAGGTTTTGTTGGTGATGTTGGTGGTGGTTTTGTTTGTTTCTTTGTTTGTTTGTTTTGTAGAAATAGGGTCTCATTGTGTTGTCCAGATTGATCTTAAACTCCTGGCCTCAAGTGATCCTCCTGCCTCAGCCTCCCAAAGTGTTAGGCTTCAGCCACCATGCCCAGCCTCTGTGCTTTTTTTACAATTTTTATTTTTTCTTTTTTTTTTTTGAGATGGAGTCTCTCTCTGTCACCCAGGCTGGAGTGCAGTGGCGCAGTCTTGGCTCACTGCAAGCTCCACCTCCTGGATTCATGCCATTCTCCTGCCTCAGCCTCCCAGAGTAGCTGGGACTACAGGTGCCTGCCACCACGCCCGGCTAATTTTTTGTATTTTTAGTAGAGACGGGGTTTCACCGTGTTAGCCAGAATGGTCTCGATCTCCTGACCTCGTGATCCACCTGCCTTGGCCTCCCATAGTGCTCTTCTTCAACATCTAACATTAGGTTCCTAGAGTTGTCAAATGTATCCTCCAACCCCAATTTAAGTATGTGGAGAAATAAGCTAAAAAACATTTTCTAAAAAAATGTCAGTGGCATTATTTTTGCCCAGTGTTTGTACTTTAAAGAAAACATCTTCTGAGCACCCATTTTGTTCCAAATTCTGGGGAGAAAAGTGAAGAAGAAACCCAGACACTGTATCTGAATTCTCACAGTCTAGCAGGAAAGACAGAATTACAACAGATACTAACTTACACTGAAGTATGGTTTTGACAGAACAGTGTTAAAGATATAAAGAGAGATATTATACTCTATTTTGGGGGTCAGGAATGCCTTGGAATTCTTTGCCTTGGAAGAAGTTCTGAGTTTGAGATATTTGTGGAACTTCAATCTGGAGATATACAGGAGGAATTAATATTAGGGTCTGGGGTTCTGTGGAATATCAGGGCTAAAGATATTAATCTGAAAAGATCAGTATCATCCATCCTTAGATAATAAAGAAATGCATAAATGGAATATTTCCCAAAGCCTATACCCTGGACTAATTATCTCATAAGATGTTTTGAAGAAAATAGAGCCCCATGATAAAATAAGATAAAGGAACACCACACTTTATCCCCCTCCTCTGGAAATGTGTAAATGACATGAACATTTTAAAGGTACTGACAAGTCCTACATTAAGACAAGATGTAGAAAAGTATCAGGAGATTATTTATTAAGAAAGACAAAAGGTAAGAAATTTGAAGAAGTTAAATATGATAATTTATATAAATCCTAGAATAATTTCCAAAGATGAGAATTTGCAAAGAGAAAGTCTTACTCAATTTCCTGTTCCATGACCAAGCAGAAAACATGGAATATATTATGTGCTCAGTGATTATTTGGCAGATGAAAAAATAAACAAAAAAATACAATTCCTCATATAAGCCTTTTATACATTCTACTAAATGCCAATGAAGATAGAAAAAAAAAAAAGACTGGCAACAGTACAATCAAATTTAGACAAATTGACAAAAAGAATAGAATTTGATTTTGGAGAAAGTTTCATGAAATTTAGAAATGTGTTCTTAGTCTCTAGAGCAGTGGTTCTTAACGAGAGAAAGCGATGATAATTTTGCTCCCCAGGGGACATTAGACAACATCTGGACATATTTTTGCTTATCACAACTGGGAGTGGGGTGTATCTACTGAGTAGAAACCAGGGAGGTTGTGCCCTACTCAGGAAACACAACTCCTACCACATCCTACAATGCACAAGACAGCCTCCATGGCGAAGAATTATCTGACCCAAAATATCAATAGTGCCACTGTTGAGAAATACTGCTCCACGACAAACAATACAACTGCAAATGCAGAGCAGAGCAAGAAGGCTGAGTCCAAATCAGTGGTCTTTGATTTACCCTCCCTTTGCTGCTCTAAACTCTAGCAAATAAATAAATGAATACACAAATAAATACATAAAATACATGCACAAACCACAAAAACATGCAATTTTTTCTCCTAAACCCTAAGGAATCACTTTTTAAGCCAGCCAGAGCCTGCCCCATACATCCCTTCAGGGTCCCCAAGGCCATGAGAACCATATGTTGGGAAACATTGATTGAGATGCCACTCCTCTCAAGAAAAGAATTCCATGGTCAATCTTTTCTGGACTAACTACTGTTAGAAACAGACATATCTGTGCAAGACGTGCAGATCTGTGCAAATAAATCTGCCTTTGGTTCCAGAGCCAAAGAAGGAAGCTGCCTGAACCTAGGTGAAGAGCAGACCAAGCTAATGAAACTAAGAAACTGTCTTTCGAAAAATGCCAGGTCTAGATAGATCTCTATCTGCTAAGGGTGAACAAACAGAAAAATAATCAGTAGGGAAAGGAAAAGGCAAAGCTTAGCAGACTATGCTTGATGTCTTCAAAAACATGAAAGATGAAAGTGGCCTCTGGAAAAAGGGGGTGAAGAGCATAGAGTGTAAGATCGACGCAGAGATACAAAGAACTCTGACTAAAGTAGAAAAAGAATACAATGAAACACCAGAGCAAGAGCAGGGCTAAAACTCCCATTAGAGACAATAAAAATAGAAGTGATCAAATCAAATCTGTAATAAGGATGGCAAGTTTGAGAAGCCTTGAATCCAAAGGGAAAGAACAGAAGTGAAAGTGACAAGAAAACTCATAGATATGAATAAAAGGAAAAAATAATCAACTTTAGAAAGCTGGTTCTGACATCACTCAAGGAAACCTCATAATACATATAAATCTACCTACAGTGAAGAAAAACAAATTTATAGATTTAGAAACTTCACCAAATATATCAAGCTAAAATAGTAAGACTCATTATTGAAAATAATAGAAATTTGGGATTATGAAGCATTAAAGAAAAAGGGAATAGTTTGCCAATAAATGGCTAAAAATCAGGTTGATGTTAGACTTCCTGAACCATACCAAATGCTGGAAGAAAACGTAACAGCTTACTAGATGCCTATATACATACATACAAATCTGTGAAGAATAATTAGAGAAAATGACCAAAAGATGATTGCGGTATGAAACTTGCTTACCCTATAAGTATGTGATAAATATAAAAGAAAAACAATGTATGTGGTTTTCACATTTTAATGAATAAGATTAATACTTATGCATCAAAGAGAATAACCCTTTTCAAATGTCAAAAGTTACTGATATTTTAATATACTGTATTACATTTTAATCATAATGTCTGTCCCCTCTGCTTACAATAAATTTACCCCTCACTCCCTCCTTTTTCCAGTTCAAATCCAGTGCTACTTTGGCAAATAGGCTCTCTGTACAAAAGTAAGTCCCAATTTGCAGTTTTTGCCAATTTCCATGGTGGAGATATTCCCACCACAGCCCATTTCAAGCTACCAGTGATTTAACAACTCAGCTGTTGATTCCTAAATACTTAACAATGGAGCTGGTAAGAGCCAGCTCTTTTACACCACTGAGAAATGTTACCTTCTCTGTGAAGCAATTTCTCACTTACTACATGTCATTATAGTTAGCTCTTGGCATTTATGTTTTTATCATTAGACTAGGAATCACTTGAGGGTAGAAACTGTCACAACAATAAGAGTTGTTGCTAGTTTAGTAGAGAAAGGGAAATTTGGCTGGGAATCTTGAATCCTGGATGAAGAAGCACTGGTACCACAAATTTCCACTGGAAAAGACCAACAAACACACATACTTTATTACTGCAGGTTGGCCTCAATATGCGGGATGTGATTCTAAACTCCAGTGAGCTAGAATGGACCCCAGATGAACCAAACTCTTGTGTGTCTTGGCCCACATGAAAATGTGTCAGATATTCACTGTTGCCCCTTTTCACTAAACATGCACACCTGTAATCCCAGCACTTTGGGAGGCTAAGGAGGGCAGATCACGAGGCCAGGAGATCAAGATCATCCTGGCCAACATGGTGAAACCCCGTCTCTGCTAAGATACAAAAAAAAAAAAATTAGCCAGGTGTCGTGGTGTGCGCCTGTAGTCCCAGCTACTCAGGAGGCTGAGGCAGGGGAATCGCTTGAACCTGGGAGGCAGAGGTTGCAGTGAGCCAAGATTGTGCCACTGCACTCCAGCCTGGCAACAGAGTGAGACTCCATCTCAAAAAAAAAAAAAAAAAAAAAAAATCCAACCTAAGTTTATGATCTTTCCACATTAATGGCATAGTGAAGAAAAACAATGAGAGATAATTTTAGGGCTCAGAGCAACAAATTAGCACATCCACCCCCCACCCATACTCTAGGGCCCTGGACTCTATCCTGATTACTAACTGGCTTTCAGATGGATACAGCAATGAACTTAATCGAGTCTTCTATAATGTGTACACAGATAAAAACATCACATTGTACCACATACATATACAAAATTATTATGTGTTAAATGTAATGTTTTAAAAGGTAACATTTTCCCAAGGGAGGGAAGACTTTGGATCCCTGTATGATGCTGTCATAAAAGAAAAGCAAAACAAAAACAAACAAAAAGTTCAGAAGTCTGTACTTTGGATTTTAACTCCTTTGTTCATTTCACCCAAAGCTCTAACCCCTAGACCCCTGGCCCAATGGTGCCTCAGAATTTCTGTTGTCCCTGATCTGAAGTAGAGTGGGACACCTTAGGATCCAGGGATGGAGAGACAACTGTTGTTGAAGTAAAAAGAGACTTGGACTCTCACTATAGGGCAGTAGTAACCCTAGCAGCGGGTCAGCAAACTTTTCCCAAAGAGCCAGATAGTAAATTAGACTTGCAAGCAGTATAGTCACTGTCAGTAGAGATTAAAACTGCATAATTCCCATTTCATAACAATTAAATTATCTTTAATTTTCAATAGGACTAATTCAGAAAAGATGAAATATTATTAATGATATAAAATAAAACATAATTTGCTCATTTCACCAAAATCAACAAAGAGCCTAAGAACATAATTGCAAGAGCCAACATCCTCTTCAGCACTGAAGGACAGCAATATTTGCTAATATGCCTCATTGTTAATCTAGCAGTTGTGTCCACCTGTTTGACACAGAAGAACGTTCAGCAACCATTTCCCTATTGTATCAGAACACTTTAAATTATGTTCCACACTGAATTCTATTTTAACGTGTAGTCTCTGAAAATAAAAGTTATTCAAATTAAACTTTATTTTGGCTGCAGGTTTAATATTTTCATGACCATTTGAGAATGTAAGGCATTTTATATATATTTCTGAAGGTCTTTTCTGACACCTTGTCTGTACAGCTAAATTAACAACTGTAACAGAGTCAATCTGGTATTTACATCTGTTCTTAACAACCAAATAAAATTGCTATATGGTCAATCAGTTGATCAATGCATAATCGGTTGTGAAGATAACCAGAAATATTAGCCAACTTGTTAACTGTGTGAACATATAGACAAAGACAATGAACAATTTTGGAGGATGGAAATAAAAAAATGTAATCAAAATTGCTCTGATGAAAAAAACAATTTAGATGAATGAGGCCAAAATTTTATTCTATTTTTTTGTCTTGTAAAGTCCTGAATGTTTCATGCTTAGGATTTTTGACATTTATTAACTACCTCCAGCAATATCTTATATGAGACTTGCTTGAAATATCCTCTCCCCAACCTTCCATCAATACCACCACTTTACATTTACTAAAATAAAAAGTATGGAACTCTGTGTTTTCTGAAGTAGACACAGATAACAAGTTAATTTAAGCAGTTATTTTACATAAACAATATTGACTGTAACAAACTACATACAAAAGACGATACAATAAAACCAAGGAGGGAAGCAGCTACAGAAGACAGTGAATAATAAAACCAGCTTTTAAGAAAGAACATAAAAAAAAGTAGATGAAAGCTTGAGAACACAACCTCAAACATAACTGAACAGTTAAATTTTAGGCTGGGTGCAGTGGCTCCTGTCTGTAAGCTTAGCACTTTGGGAGGCGGGGTGACTGAATCACCTGAGCTCCGGAGTTTGAGACCACCCTGGGCAACATGGTGAAACCCCATCTTTACCAAAAATAGAAAAAATTAGCCGGGTGTGGTGGCATGCACCTGTGGTCTCAGCTACTCAGGAGGCTGTTGTGGGAGGATTGCTTGAGCCTGGGAGGCGGAGGTTGCAGTGAGCTGAGACAGCACCACCGCACTACAACCTGGGTGAAAAAGTGAGACGCCCCCATCTTAAAAAAAAAAGTTAAAAGTTTAAAAATCAATTTTGTATATAATGTATATCATATGTATATACAATGTATATACAAAATTCAATAACATTAAAATTGTATATTTTATATAAATTTTATATATGTATATATAATTTTAAACAAGTAGATTATTACCTCTTGCAAATGGAGCATATAGATACCTTGACTGATTTTTTTTTACACTTCCATCCAAAATATTTTTGGTCATGTGTATGCAAACAGATACTACAAACTTTTATGGATTTAGTATTAAAATATTAAAGGAAAATGAGCCTTATATGGCATTTTTACACCTTATTCATAATTTCACTTGTGTCTAAGAGCTCTGACAGGTGGGTCGATTAAGAATTATCATCAGACATATTTTATAGATGACATACCTGTAGGTCAGATAGACAAAGTGACCTTCCTGAGGTCACACTATTAGCTAAAGGGTGAAACTGACATATGATCAAGGTGTTCTGACCTTTTCCGTGGTACAATTCGGCTTTCCACCATATCATTACTGAGATGTGAAAAATAAGTTCTTTATTTTATAAATAATCCATCTATTCTCCTAAAACTTGCTGAAAAATGCATAAACATCAAGGATAACATGCATGTTTATCCAGAAGAGTCAGAATAAGTTAAGCCTCCCTGGTGAGTTACACATCTTTGGCTGTAGAAGAATATGAAAACACACCCAGTCTCAGTCTCATTTGGGTTCATATTTTAAGAACTTAATTGCCTGTTTGTCCAGACACACTGCGCTAACCATAGGGGAAGGAAAACAGACTTGCTTCTGTTTTGGACCAGTTGATGTGGGAACAATAATTCATTATTGTTTTGGAACTGTAATGTAAAATTATCAATATTTAATGGGTGAGATGGCTTGATACAAATACTTTTTTTAAACTAGGCTTTTCTCTTCTCTAGCTGTGCCCTGTCAAAAGTCAATAAAATAAAAATTTCAAAACAAAAACACAGCAGCAAGTCTCGATTTTGACCACCAATTGAATCGATAGTTAATCAGCACTGAGAAAGAAATAACTGACGGAGACTTTCTAGTGATTTGAGAGAGTATGGAGAGTTCAGTTTATTTCCTAAAACCTAAAATTTTATGTTTTCATATGAATAATGTTGAAAACATGATTACTAGAAAACAAGCTGCCTGATTTTGACTGCACTGAGAAAGAAAGATGCCCTCTAATTATTCACACAGTAGTCTAACCTTTACCAGTAGCCTTAAACTTCAGCTTGTTTTCTATTTACTATCTTCACGATGTTCAGATTCTGCAGCATTTATTGGGTGTCTGTGATGAATGCCTTCAATCCTACTCATAGTTTTAACATTACTGCTTCTTCCCTCATATTGTTTTAAAGTTTTTGTTTTGTCTTGCTTCGTATCAATATCATGGCTCCTGTTACTTTCTTTTTTACAATTTTTATCATTATTTCTTGAGTATTTTTTATGCATCAGACCTAAAACGAGTACTTTTAGATATTATCATATTTCATCTTACTTGACCTTCAAAACCCACGAGGTGGGCCGGGAGCGGTAGCTCATGCCTGTAATCCCAGCAGTTTGGGAGGTCGAGGCGGGTGGATCATGAGATCAGGAAGGAGATCGAGACCATCCTGGCTAACACGGTGAAACCCCCTCTCTACTAAAAATACAAAAAATTAGCCAGGCGTGGTGGTGGGCGCCTGTAGTCCCAGCTACTCGGGAGGCTGAGGCAGGAGAATGGCGTGAACCCAGGAGGCGGAGCTTGCAGTGAGCTGAGATCGCCCTACTGCACTCCAGCCTGGGCGACAAAGCGAGACTCCGTCAAAAAAAAAAAAAAAAAAACCCACGAGGTGGGCATCATTATGCCTATTGTGCAGATGGGAGAAATGAGGACTCAAGACTCATTTATCAGCAGTCTCATATTCATGCAGTAGTGAGGCTGGAGCACAAAACCAAATCTATCTGATTTCAGATCTCATGTTCTTAATTTCTAACCAACTCAGCTTCTGCTTTGTTATGTTATATCATATATAATTTCAAATTGTACACCTATGGTGACTACTTCTTTAAAAGTTTATACAGAAAAGGAATAATGTATCCATCCTTCTTCCACACATTATCATCCCCATCAAATCTTCTGCCCAACCATGGCCCATGGGGACTTCTTAATTTCTTTCTATAGAAAATATAAAAAGGCATCAGGCTGATTAACACATTCAGAGAGTGTTAACTCTGCACTCTCCTAAAGAGGTATGAAAAAAATATTTCACCCTGTCGATTAGTCTGTGTGGTAGGTTAGAGATGGACAAAAATTCTTCCATACTTTTCCCATCTCCTTCCTCTCATTTTACCACCTAAGCTGGACTACTCCTTTGACCAATAGAGTATGGAGAAGGTGATGCTTATGTCATTTTGGGGGCCAGCCTTTAAGAGGACTGGCTGTTTCTGCCTTGGCCTCGCAAAGCCCTGAATCACAATGAAAGAAGTTTGACCAGCCTGCTGAAAAACCTCATGGAAATATCTTGAGATTACATGAAAAGAAACATGGGCTCATCAGAGCCTGGCCTCCCAACCACGCCTACCAAGGTTTTAGGCATGGAGTATGGTAAGTCATGTTCCCAAGAGACAGAATGTGAGACTTGAACTTTGTGTGCAGTATGTTACTGAGAAATTCTTTCCCAAGGACAATACCTGTGAGTGAGGAGCAAAGTACACTAGGGAGAGAGAGGAGTTGAGCTGTGATACCATTTCAACAGGTAAGTTTTGGAGCTATGGTGGCCATTGAGAGTTGTTTTGTATTGAAACAAAAAGTCAGTTCTTATGCTATGCTCCAGCATAGGAGAATCACTGGATGCGGGCCCATGTCCACCCATGCATTAGGGGGTTTGCAACTTTTATTTAAATGGCTCTTATTTAGGAGTCTATGCAAATAAGTTTCATTGTTTTTTTCTTTTCTACAAATCATAGTCCCTTTAAATATGTATTGTTAGTATGTTAAGTTTTTACATGAACATTTTGTAAAATGTTCTAAGTTAAAATTGACAAGATTCTTCTTGTAAAACCTATTCCAAGAGTCCTCTCCTGACACCTACCATCTTCAAACTAATTTTAGTAGAGAATCAGGAAAGTCAAATTAATATCAGTCTACTAGGAATATCTTGCCCAAAATCCTTTCCAATCCCAGAGCTCTTTTGTTAGATTCTTTTTTTGTTCTAATTAGTTGTATAGAGAATCAATCAAAGGAGTATATAGATAAAAAGTTTCAAGTCTTACTGTATTAAACCAATAAGAATCAATAAGAAAATCTTCATTTTTATCTACTTCTGATTTCCTAGACAAAGAACTTATAAAGTAGGGATCACAAACTAGGCTGCACATAATATTACTGCCAAAATTAGAGGGGAAAGAATTGCTTTTTTGACAAATTAATTTTATATTTCAAATGGCCTAAAGCAGCTCTGTCCCTTGTTATATTTTAAATTTATATTAAGTTGATAGGTGCAGCTCTTGATGAAGTGGCATCTTTCTCTTCGGTCATAGCAAGAAGGAAACAATCACGTTTCTCTGGGTCAGTGTTCCCATTTGCTCTTATGAAATGGCCTTAGAAAGCAACTGAGCCTGTTTTCTCTCATTGCCATCACTCCATAAACACGTAGTTTTACAACTGCTTAAATTAAAATGACTTGACTCTACCCAAGAGCTCTACTCATTCCACTATTTAGAAAACCTTTTAACCTATTTAGTTAAGTAATAAGATTTTACTCTTATTCAAAATCTCACATTTTAATTAAGGTAATCGGATTGATAGAGTTGTTTCTAAGACAGAGGTAGATTATCAGGCCAAAATCGCCTCTTCTTAATATGTGGCATAGAACCTAAACATCTCAACTAAATAAGTGGCCATGTACTTACAAAACTAACAATTTTTTAAAAGAAATTTATATTCTCAGCATCTCTACAGCTCACCTCCATTTGATTGGAAAACCCTGAAACTGAGCAGAAACTTAAATCAGGCTCCTACATGTTCACAATGGAATGTCAGATCTGTGGTCTCTGCAGCTCATATCTAAAGCATATGGTTTTCCTTGATTCAAGAACACAAAATCGTGGCCCACAGGGCACTCATCAGAGAATTTTCCTCAGAACTGACTGCCTTTCAGAATTTAACAAAGACTCACTTACCACAATGAACATTTGATTCAAATGGGATAAGAGACATTTTAATTATCTGTGACCCTGGCTACTGGAAACATAATACCTCTATCACTAGCTACCCCAAAGCTTATCAAGAGCTTACAGAAATGAACACTTTTATGTTCTCTTGCTGGAAGTAAAAACATATTTCCAATTTTCTGTTGGACACCTGACAATATGAACTAAAATTGAGAATGCACATGTTATATGACCTAGAAACTGCAGGGGCAAGTATTTATTCTAAGGAAATTATTGCATTTTTTACAAAGTTGCATGGACGTTGACTGAAACTTTCTTTTCTTAAGAGAGATAGTGTCTTGCTCTGTTGCCCATGCTGGAGTGCAGTGACATGATCATGGCTCACTGCAGCCTCCACCTCCTGGACTCAAGCAATCCTCCTACCTCAGCCTCCAAAGTAGCTGTGACTATAAGAGCACAGCACCACACTTGGCTAATTTTTTTTTTCCTAGAGATGAAGTCTCATTTTGTTGCCCAAGCTGGTCTCAAACTCCTGGGCTCAAGAGAGCCTCCCACCTCAGACTCCCAAAGTATTGGGGTTACAGGCATGATCCACTATGCCAGGCTTGAAACTTTTTACAGTGCAGATAAATTGGAAATAACCTTAATACTCATTGAGAGAAGGCTAAGTCTGGCATAGTAATACAAAGGAATACCATGTAGCCATTAAAAAGACTAAAGTAGTTTTTTCTATATATGAATCTGTAAAGATTAATTGCTAAGTTAAAAATGTGAAAAAAGAAAGTATAATTTCATCTTGTTTTTAAGTGTATATAAGTATACATATGCATATAAGAAGGTATAGAAAAATAGACACAGAACTGTAAATAGTCACTATGCAGTGGTGGAGACTCACTGATTTTAGACTTTATACATTTCTGTATTCTTAACTTTTTACAATGAGCCTACAGTACCTTTTTATTTTAGGAAAATTAATTTATTCATTAAAAATGCTTCAAAAAGAACAGGCTGCACAATATTATTTTAGCTCCCATTTAACTTGTAGAGTTAAAATTTCATGTTAAATTCTCATATCTATAGAGGAGATGATATAAGAAAACTTGAACAAATGTTTTTAAGCAAAATTATAGTTAGATCACAATAACGATTGTTAGTATCCAGCACTGTGCTAAGTGCTTTACATGGTTTACTTCTTTTAATATTCAGAACTCCCTAAAATAGGCACTATTATTATCCATACTTTATAAATGAGCTAAAAAATAGTACTATTATTAGCCATATTTTACAAATGAGCAAATTAAAATTTAGATACATTCAGTAACTTTGCCAGTTTGGGGTAGAATCAAAATGCTAAACTAAATATGTCTAATTCTACAGCCAATGTTCTTAATCACTATGCTAGACGGTTTCACTATTGTATTACATTAAGGCCATGATCAGAAAAAGAAAAGCTGCTCTTTGCATTCCATATTTGTCATTTTTAAGATAGGGTTTGGGGCTTTAGAAAGGTCAAAAGAGCTGTGGGAAAGAAGGTCAAAGCAGCCTCCAGCTATATCTCAGTCTGAAGGTCAAAGTCACGTTGTTCTTCATAGCTCACAGAAGCTTCTGCAATTCTCAAATCTCTGGGAAGCTTCCATCAGTGGTCTCAGTCTATAGTGGGAAAGCAGGTGCTTCTCAGCTTACTGGGGGAGCCTCCAGGACATTTCATATCTGCTCATGCAACTGCCTCTGCAGAATACTGGTTCCTTCTGTCCCATCTTCCAATATCATGCAGCACCTCTCATCGGCCAGCTGTAAACTGAAGCAACACGGAAAAGAGGATTCTGGGAAATATGATACCTGGCTTCTTCTCTACAGTGCAGAAATAATCTTGGAAAGGGGTTGTGGGATGCTAAGTTGACAACAGATGATCCAAGATTATTGGTTTATTAGATATTTCATGTGTATATCTATATAGAGAGACATATACAGATACACACATTTATATACATACGCTATACATTTTAGATGTATACATAGGCAGTGTAGCATAATAGTTAAGAACACTGACTAAAGTGAGATGGTTTGTACTCAAATCCTGGTTCCCCCTTTTTAATTGGGTGGCTTTGGGCAAATTGCTTAATTCCTCTATGCTTCAATACTTTCATCTTTAAAGTGGGTTAGTAATATTACTTACCTCATAGGATTGTTGTGAAGGTTATATATAAATATATATATGTATGTAAATAACAAAAAGTGCAAATTTAGCATGCTTAAGGCAATAAGTGAGACACAACAGCAAAAGATGTGTTCAGGAATGTTAGTAATGGTATTAAGTATGAAGTTCATTCTAAGTGTGGTTTAGAAAGAGAACTCAGAATTATTAACTGAATTATAAACAGAATTAATGGAAGTATTAACATAATAGATGTTGTGTAATGTTTTAATTATTGTTGTATTTGTGGTTATTGGACATCGCATAATAAAATATTTTAGTATGCAGTGCCAGGAAAAAGTTTTTTCTTTTGACACAATATGAATCAAAACCTCATCATACTTTATTTTGTTTGTGTTGAAATTCAGAAGTAGATTTAGCACTTGTTTAAAATGACTAACATACCAGCTTCAGATAAATCTATTCATTAACTACACTTGTTAGATCTTTATTCTGAATTTTATCCTCCATTGTCCAATTTATATATTCAGTTTGTAAGGTAGTGGAATATAAAGATAAGGAGGAATTTTAGAAAAGAGAAAAGAAGGAGGAGGACTTGCCCTTATACTCTATATTGCTTATTTTCATCTCTTTCATGCCCTCCTTTAATATTTGGTTCTTCATTAGACTGATCTTCTTAAAAACTAATTTCAATTATTATTTCTGATTATTGGATGCTTCATTTCTAAGAGGTTTTTATGTTACCTCTTAGCTGGACTTCCTAACTTACATTAGGAAATTCACTAACCCTGATTCCATTTTAAAAACAGATACATATTTTAAAACTCCTTGCTATAATTCTACAATTCACTTGAGTAAGAAACAGAGTTACTCATGTAAGAAGCAGCTCAAGTCAAACCAGTGCCTGGAATTCTGAGCATCTCTCCCATCATTTGTTAAAAGCACTGATTGGTTTCACCACCCAGCGTGACCTCAAACATAGGATGGTTCTTTTCCACTGAGCAGCAGCAATTGGGCCTTGATTTGAACCCTGTTTTCAACCTCTGAAAGTTGAATTTCTCTCTCTCTCTTAAGTGTCCTCAGGTTCCCTCAAAAAGAATTTCAAGTATGTCACAGTTGATTTTTTAAAGTCAGATGGTATCCCACATATCTTTCATATTTAGTGAAAAATATCCATCCTCATTTTCAGCTTCTCTGGAGGGTGGCTACCTCTTTCTTTGACATAGTCTTCAGAGCCCTCCTAGTGAATCTTGTAGATGATACCTACACAGCTTACATTTTTACATCAGGCCATTCCAAACTTACAATACAAATTTGGTGACAATCCACATATCCTTTTTCACATGACACATTAGTAAACCAGCAGACAGGTTTCACTTTTATATAGATTTGAAAGATTAGGTAAGTGGAGGTAATGTCTCCCACACACACAGAATATTTAAATATGATTACTTCTAACTCAAGCTGTCAGTTTATTCTTAAAACTCAAAAAGAATCAGGAGATTAATACTGTAGCTTGTCATGTTCTTTGATTTCCTTTGAAATCATGATGGATTCTTCTCCTTTGACAACCTTCATAATGGATCTAGGAATGCATGGGGAAAAATTGCTGGCATTTAAAAAATCTATACACTAACTCTTACAAATACAGTTTTCAAATATGCAATACTCGTATCTGCCACAACACCATTTAACATTAATAAAATTTAAAACACTAGAAAAAAACTTCCTTTTTTTTTCAACAGCCCAACTTAATAGTCACATACATACACACAGATTAATTATTCATGTAAGTTGGCATTGTTGAGAGAACAATAATGGTGATCATGCTAAAGAGGGAATCTGGGGTTTTCATATAATTTCCATTTAGGTCATGTTTCAATTTCATATATAACCTAACCTACTCCTAACTCCTCTTTATGATTATGAAAAAGACTTCCTTCTACATTGGACTCATTCTACAAATGTAGAAGACAACCTTCTACATTTCCATAATAAATAATGTTCCTGCGTTTAGGCTTCTTTGATGTATTTACTCTGAGGATAATCTAACGCTGAAAATCATATCAACAGGTCAGATTACATTTGATAATGGAGGAGGTGGGACTTGTACAGGATCCTTACGGCCCAGGCCTTTGCCCAGCTCTTAGACAGGAGAACAGTGCACATGAGTCCAGACTCCAGTATCCAGTGCTTAGGTACCACCTTTTCTTAGAGCTCTACAGGCAGTACTGTGGAGGCCTGAGAGCTTGAGAGGTCTGACGAGACAAAAGTGAGTATCCTGAGAGCAGGTCTTATAGAGAGCCATTACAAAGTAAACAGAAACCACCAGCTGCAGTCTCAGTGACCACTGCCACAGAGCTCCATCTTGACCTGAGGATTCTAGTGCCAGTCAGCTCTCCTACAGTAATTCTGTGTTCCTTACTGACGATCTTCAGTAAACTTGCTTTGCCACTGCCCTGCTTCCTGGATCCCTGGGACTCATCTATCCTGAGTGGCATATAAGTGCCAAGCCTGTGTCATTTAAACCTTCCTGACCTAGATTGACACTGTTGTGACTGTAACTCTGACCCAATGCCACCACCAGCTGATGCCAAAACATCTTTTTCCTGCTTGCTCATCTCGATGCAAACAACTGTGGATTAATCCAAGCACAGGTGTGCAGCCTGCATAGTACAAAGCAGGGGTTCTGCTTGAGCTTCTCAAGCATTATCTCAACTACTCCTCACAAGCTCACTAGGAAGCGGGCACTGAGCGTCCTTACCCTACACATGAAGAAACTGAACTCGAGGATTAGGTAACTTCCCAAGTCATAGAGCTGGTGGAAGGAAGTCATAGAGCAGGGAGAGAACCTGGCTTTGTGCTAAGCTGAGTATAGACTGTGAGTACTTAATCACTTCACTAGAGCACTTCTCACTGGAAAGAGAAGGTGGGCTCCAACTCAGAAGCAAAGCCAGGCCGAAGTAAAGCTTGTGCTATCAATAAAAATAATCTATTAAAACAAGAAAATTTCTGCATACTACTTCAAAATAATAGTCAATCTCACACTTCTGGGTCTTTCCGTGACCCTGCACGTCTCAGTCAGTATTCCAAATTCACTCCCACTAGTCTGCATATTTTGTTTTATTCTGCAGGTGCCTAGTTTCTGGAGTCAAAAAGCCCACTTCACTTCAGTGCACACAGATCCATGCCTTCATCTTGAGCTACAGAGTAATCAAGAAAGGAATGTCCAGCCTAGCCACCCACAGATGGGTGGCAGAGGCTTGGAAAAATAATAAATCTACCCTAGCATGTTTCATCTTTTTCTAGGCTATGGCCACAGCCTCCTGTCTGAATCTGTGCATGCATTCTGCCTTTCCGCAGTTTGTTCTCCACAATGCAGTCAAGGTATTCTTTTCAAAATGCAAATCTGATCCTGTTTCTTGTCCTAGAACAGTGTTCCCTTCCTCTCATTTCCTGATTAATTCACCCCTATCCTTCAGATTTCAGGAACTCAACCATCACCTCCTTGGGAAACCTACTCTGGTCTTCCTGACATGGTTAGATAATTATATTATATGCCTTTATAGTATCATGAACCTCGTCTTCAGAGGTTTTGATACATTTACAACAGGTAAGCAATCATTTTACAGCATTTGCTTTTGTTTTTCATCATCTCTGTAGCTCTCACTACAGTGCACAGCACAGTGTAGAGGCTCATAAGTATTTGCTGAATGGTAAGTGATCTGGAGAAGTGAATGATATTGGCAATTTGCATTCACACCTGGGCACGATTGAAATTGACCCAAGTGACTGGCACACTTACAAACTGACTAAAGTAAAAGGTCAGTAAAACCTTTACAAAGAATGACCTTTCTACAATATTATAAAAACCATAGTTCATACACAGCCCTGGAAAAACTTTTGTGAGATAAATTATGATAAAAAATGTTGTATGTCTCATGGTTATGATATATTGATATCATGGCCCCTGTTTTAACTTTTAAAAAAATCAAACTAACTAGCTAGTTATACTATGCTTAGGGAAACTATTCCTTCTTGATTATAAGCTGCTGTGTTACTTTTCTCTTCCAAGGAAATACGAACAGTTATCCTGCCTCAAAGGCATATAACTAAAATATCATATGGAGGAATAACCTGGCTATTCGATTACTTAATTTCCAAGTAGCGATGTATTACCAAACACCATTCTTTTGTTCAGTTTTTGTATTACAGAGTGACATCCTAGCATCAAATCATGGTGCTAGTGTGTATGCTACAGTCAAGACACACATTTGAGTGATTCTTTTGTTTTTATCCTTTTTTCCCCTTTAACATGGTGATAATCAGAACAAATTGATTTTGTTTCTCAGATTGCTGAAATCCTCCCAACACTTTCTTCAACACCAAGGCTGAATAAATCATTGTAATGTTCCCCTGAAGTGAATTGAAAATTAATTTACACAACCAAGATGATCCTTCTAATAACAGGGTACATGGAATGGGGAAATTGGAAATCATTACCCAGCAAACATTATCTGCATTATTTTTGTAGCTGCTTTAGATTGCATTGTAATAGAAAATTAGGAGACCGGCTGTGAAGAAGTTTAAGAGGGTCCCCTGAAGAGCTTCTGCTTTAAAATTGATTCTTTAAGAAAGCATTAAAAAGCTATTGGAATTGATTGCCTGCTAATATAAAGGAAAAACTCTTTGCCACCATTTGAGTTAAAAAAGAGCATCTTCATTCATGCATGTTATTAAAACTACTGGCCTGAAAGCCCCTGTAGAAAGATAAAGGATATAGATGGGATATTAAAACGGCAATCTTTACCTTATCTGGGATTTAGACTTAATATGTTGCTTTTATTAATTTAGCAAGAACCATTAGTTAGGATGTCAAAGAGTGACTATACAATTAAAATGCTATAGAATGGTGAGATCTTTAATAAACAGTAGACCAGGAATTCCTCATTAATCTTCCAAGCATAAGCCACATCCTTACAAAAAATAAATCCTGAATTTACAGCTTTTGCTTTATTGCTAAGTTTCCTGTGCAGCAGCGGTAGAAGTCATAGCTGATAACACCTCTGATTAGCTTTTGAAGCTTCCCCTGAAATAAGGTAATGACCAATCGGATCCCAGCAGTTGGCCAGATAGAAAATGACAATTACTATCTTTAAAATATGTCTATGGAGCTTTGAAAGGTTTCCATGTACCTGGTACAGTAGGCTATTTTTTAAGCAATGATATTATAGACAGATTTACAAACACATAAGCAAACACAGTAGGATGTCTTGACACTAAATTGTTTTCTTTTTATAGCCTTTTTATTTTTACCACATTCAGTGGGAAATTGCCTTGTCTTTTTAAATACATGATAAGTAGGATTACTTAGCAGAATAATGAGTAAAAAATGCCTTTTCAAATACAATAGATTATCTTTTTCTTTAAGAGTTATCTCAGACTTAAACAGCACCCTTGCCCCAATCCCTCCCTTTGTCTCTCTCCCTCTGTTTAAATGGATTGCAAATAATTTCTACACAGATGAACTATATCAACAAAGTTCTGATAGACAAATAGTAGATCACTGTAGGAGGTAAGCTAAAAGTGCATTCCTAGATGAAAAATTATACCCACTATCACATTGGAGCATTGTTTTCAGTGGTATCAGGTCCTTGGTGAGGTAATAGAAAACAGCCTCATAATGAGGCCCTTTGGGTAGCTCAATTATGCACCCCCTGGAGATCATTGAAATGGCCACCCACAATATACTAGACTAATAACACATTTCTCATGTATCCCTTGAAATATTAACATGAAACCTAAAAAAGTGTTCTGAACTTAACATCAGAACAATTCTATATTAAACTATATTCATCAAAATAGATTTTAAATAAGCTTTTCTATATCTGTTTTATTAGTATTTTATTTTCAGTTGATTAATAGAGTCATAATTTCTATATGTTCTGGTTTGCCTGGGACAGTCCCATTTGAGGCCTGTTGCCTAGAGTAACTATTAATAGCAATCCCCTTCACTCCAAAACTGTCCTGATTTGAGGGTAAACTACATAGCCACCCTACTTATAAGTGATTTCTGATATATTTAACTTTTAGGTCATTTGTAACAGAACTCAGAGCCATTTGTTATCAAAATAGTCAAGCTTAAAGCTAAAATAGCTAAGTTTTTATGTTTTCAAAATGAATTTCAATTTTTCTACCACCCATAAAACTTCTTAAAAGCCAGGACAACAGTTAATCCAAAAGGCACTGTTACAAATATTTAATGTTTGTTAGTGTTGGTTATAAAGATAATTATAATGATCATATTGTTAAAATGTTAATAAGAAATAAAAAACATTAATAAAAATAACAAAAATTATTATCTTTATTACTAATTTGTAACACTTTTAGATTACAAAAATCATATATAATCCTGTTAAAAAAATTTTAATGACTAAAATAGTAAGTGAAAGTTCTTCATAAACTTACCTCACAAAGCCAACCATTCTGAACAGATCTTTGTCTACAGATGCAAACAGAGGTGTTTTTTTTTTCTGAAAATAGAATCACAATATTTTTAAACTGGTATTTTCACTCTGTTGCAGAAACCAGAAAGAAAAGAAATATCTTAAATAACGAACATAATTATAACTCTTTATTATGTCCCTCAATTCTGTTGATAAAAAGTGAAGAACAAAAATAGTATTTGTTGACAGGGAGTAAAAGAAACCTGTAGAGCATATGGCAAGCCCAGCAGTATGTATCTCTGTCTGCCATCAGCCTCTTTCATGTTTAAGTTTCTGGGCTTCTGTAGCTTCTTCTAACTTAAATTTTTTACTAACATTCCTAGTGCTAAACACCATGATAAAATTAAAACTAAAAGAGACAAAAAAGGAATACAATTAACATGAATGTTTTAATTAAAAATAAACTTCCAAAATCAACAATCTGGATTCCTGTTTAAATTAAAAGTATGTTCATTACATGAATATTATGGGCCAATGCATATTATAAGGATTTAATAGAGATTTGTTAATGCTTGTGATAAAGATAACAATGTTTATGATAAAGTATAAACAAGCACAACAAACATGTCCTTCAATAGGTAAATGGATAAACTGTGATACCTCCAGACTCAGTGCTAAAAAGAAATGAGCCAACAAGCAACGAAAAGACATGGAGGAAACCTAAACCCATACTGCTAAGTGAAAAAAGCTAATCTGAAAAAGCTACATACTATATGATTTGAATTACATGATATTCTGGAAAAGGCAAAACTATGGAGACAGCAAAAACATCATTGGTTGCCAGGGGTTAGTGGGAAGACAGGATGAATAGGCAGAGGATAGTGGATTTATAGGGCAGTGAAAATACTCTGTATGATAATATAATGATGGATACATTTAATTATACTTTTGACCAAACCCATAGATAAAATTTTCAAAATCAAGAGTGGGCCCTAATGTAAACTATAGTCTCTGGGTGTCATGTATCAATGAAGATTTGATATGGTTTGGCTCTGTGTCCCCACTCAAATCTCCTGTCAAATTGTAATCCCCACATGGCAGGGGCAGAACCTGGTGGGAAGTGTTTGGATCATGGAGGTGGATTTCCCCCATGCTGTTCTCATGATAGTGAGTGAATTTTCATGAGATCTGATAGTTTAAAAGTGCGGCACTTCCCGCCTCACTCTCTCACTCCTGCCACCTTGTGAAGAGGGTGCTTGCTTCCCCTTCGTCTTCTGCCATGATTGTAAGTTTTCTGAGGCCTCTTTGGCCATGTGGAACTGTGAGTCAATTAAACCTCTTTTCTTTATAAATTACCCAGTCTCAGGTAGTTCTTTACAGCAGTGTGAAAATGGCTAATGCAAGCTTCATCAATTGTAATAGATGTATTACACTGGTAAGGAATGTTGATAATGGGGGAGGATATGCTTGTGTGGAGACAAGGATATATGGGAAGTCTCTTTCCACTCCCCTCAATTTTGCTATGCACCTAAAACTGCTCTATCTTAAAACATGAAAACAAAAGAAATTAACAAAAACAATAAAATTAATATGATATTTTAAAATATTATTTTATTATAGATTTGTAACTTTTCAGATTACAGAAGCCATGTACAATATAAAAAAAGCTATATGAAATTTTTCCTTGTGTGAGCTTTGGAATTTTCTTCTTTCATAAAAGTTCTCACTACTTAAAAATTAGAATTTTCTATATTCTAACTAAACTCTTACACAAATAATAACGTGAAACACCACATGTATTGGTTATAAAAATAACTTTAACATTAAATTAGACAATAAAATGTTTTCCACATTCGCTGATAATAGAGATAGAATTAAAATGGAAAAGCAAACATTTTTAAAAAGCTTTTCCCCCTGAGAAATTATATTTTGTTAGTTATTTTTCAAGACTCAGTGTCTCTCACTTTTGAAAGAAGTACAAAGCTAGAAACTTACCTATGATTCTAATGGATAGGAATGTCATTAAACAAAAGACATATTCGTCAATCAAAAATTAGTTGAAAATGACTCTAAAACCATCTCCACATGTCAAAAATCAGAGAGAAAGAAAAAAAATGGAAGTGAGTTCATCTGTATATCATATATCTGACTGAGAGATATAGTCCTCCAAATGGGTAAGAAATTGGTTGGAAAAGAGTGTTCAAAACCTCAAATTGGTAGAGATTATGTTCTCTTTTCTCATTCATTTCTTAACAAGTGCAAGTTGCTACTTCTCTACACACATACACAAAAGGAAAGCCCAACAACAGCTTATTGGAAAACCGAGAAAATGTGTATCTCTTACATAGGCCTACATTAGTAGAAAGAACTTAGGAAATGTAAAGAACAGAAAGTTAGTTTTACCTTTGTAGTTTCAAAGGAGTTATAAAAGACTAAATAGCTTTATTTGCATACGTTTCTGCACTCCTCAATCTTTACAAAGTAGATGAAAGTCCACTGAAAAGGTAAATACTCTCACCTTTATTACCTGTTAAATTGGTTTCAAATAAACAGTGGGCATAACAGCTAAATTGCATGTCTCTTGGGAATGAGAGTATAGAAAGACACACACATACACACATACACACACACATGAGAAGAAAGCCAAAGCTGATAGAATATCAAGTCATTCCTTTTTATACTGAAAACTCCAGGTCAGTGTCAAGCTTTGTTAGAGATGCTTAAAATAAAAAATGCAGAAGTTCAAAATCTCACATGTATCATCATTTTAAGAAGCATTTCTCCCACTTTTCCTCCCTTAATTAACATGTTAAAGGAAACTGAACAAATGGAAGCGCTATCAATTGAAGGACATTCTTTTTAATAGACCAGACATCATACTTCGACTACCTTCACCAGATCTGGAAATTGCCTGTTGCCATGTCACTGAGGGCAACTATAGAAAAAGAGCCCCTATCCTGAATTGCAGCTCAGCCATGCTCATCATTCTCCCTGTTGTTGTGGCAGCTGTCAGGAAAAATTATTTGAACAGCAGCATCTTGAACAGATGGCTTAGAGACAAGTTAGAAATGGAAACACCTATGAGAAGAAAATTGCAAAAGTCAAGCCTAGACTTCAAAGCACAGGGAATGGACTGCTCACCAGCCCTGTTCTCTAGCTATGGGATGGAAAGGTATATTTTTCCTACACATGTTAAACACACTTCTTTTACCCCTTTGGTCCATGCCAGACTCTTGCTGGCTGCCTTACATGGCTACCCCAACTCCGTAAGTGTTGAGGGACAATGCAACTCCATTCTTTCTTTCTCAGCAGTCAGTTCTTCTGGGAGAATCAATCCAAGGTAGTAGCAGACGGGAGACACATTGTCTACCAGTTTCCTTCTCTTATTCCTCATTTCTTTCTCTGTGACCAGGGCCTGCTTTCCTTCCCAGCCTTTAGCTGTATGTCCTGTTTTGTCCTTATCATTCAATATGGCTGTGGTAGACAGGAGAATGTGCCTTGCAGTACTGCAACTGAGAGGAGCATAATTGACCAAGGGACCCATTGCTGTATTCTGAATCCAGCACTGAGTTGGCTGAGGCCATGCTTCCCATGTGCTGCTCCCAGGCAGTGATTGAGCGCAGCAGGGATACTGAGGCAGCTACATTTTTGAGAGACTCAAACTCCTCTGCCATGTGACTTTGGCTCAGGGACTACACATAGGCTTTGCCAAAAGTTTCTTAAAACTACTCTGATCCCTTTGACTTTTCCTGCTCAATCTTCCTCCCTTCCCTCTCTACTTTACAGGGGTCAGGCCTGCATCATGATGTGAGAGCTCTCCTACCTTCCCCAATTTTCCCTCTAATACATCCTTTTGTGTCTGCTTATTGAAGAATGCAAACCAACACAGTGGCTCTGCCCCTTTACATCTCCTAATCTGTATATATCCTCTGAAGATCTGCTGAGTAATAAGCTGGCAAAAGGGGCCTGGTATGTAGATTTGAGGAAGTCCACGGTCAGTCAAAAGCCCACACTGTCAGTGCCAGTCCACATGATCAGTGATAAGGAGCAGAGAATAAAAGGATAAAATTCAGTCGGAACTCTAATGGAGATGCTAATCATCAGATCCTAGGAGAGAGAAGGCATGCATAAAGCTATCTGAAGGTATTGGAGAAAAAAACATGTTAGTGGTAAAATTAACAAGATGTGCAGAAAGTACACCCGGGGCAAAATTCCTTGTTCCCATTCAGAGGCATTCTTTTGAATCAACTGTCTGGAACAGCACAGGGGACATACACTGAGCTGCTCATCAAGAATGGAACAGGAACTGCAAAAAAAAAGTGTGGGAGGGCGGGTGGTTGATAAAATTCTAAAGAAAAAGCTCAACTTGAAAAAGGAGTCATTCAACTTTTCCTGAAAACGGCCAGATAAAATGTAAAAATCATTCTTAGAGTAGGAACTAAGCAGGAGGAGAATTAAATTCAAAAACAGGAAAAAAATTTAAATTTGTTCTATAGGCCATGGGCTGCAACACCTGGCCTTGAACAGTGAAGAGAATTCTACCTAAGAGCCAATTCAGTAAACATAAAAATGTCACATTTGTATTGTATTCAAAATGAAAATAATTTGATATCATTCTAGAAGGGGAGTGTATATTTAAATTTACTGCTTCATTTAAATTATCAGCTTAATTGAATAAGAATATTACTAAGAGAATCTGCATTTTTTTAAACTCACCAAAATGTTAATTATCTTAGTATATTTAAAAAGTAGCAATAAGAGGGCAGCTTTTACATATTTTTAGGTTGAAATTCCATTCAGAGCTACATCTTGCAACTAAGTGGTTTCTTGTGTCCAAAGGAGACAGATTTCCACTCCCTGTTTGGGAACCACTCAAGCAGATTACACAGGCATCAAGACTAGCTGGCTCTGTCATTTCATTTTATTTGCAAGGGAAGAGTCCACCCTTTATCTTTTTTTTTTTGAGACGGAGTTTCACTCTTGTTGCCCAGGCTGGAGTGCAATGGCACAATCTCGGCTCACGGTAACCTCCACCTCCCAGATTCAAGCGATTCTCCTGCTTCAGCCTCCTGAGTAGCTGGGATTACAGGCGCCCACGACCACACCTGACGAATTTTGGTCAGGCTGGTCTCGAACTCCCGACCTCAGGTGATCTGCCTGGTGCTGGGATTACAGGCGTGAGCCACCATGCCCGGCCCCTTCATCTTTTTTAATACTTTAGTTCCCAGTACCTGAAATCTGATGCAAACCATATTTGTTTATCAGTAGTAACATTGCTGATATAGTTATTCATTAGGCATTTTTCTCTATATGTTTAACCTTGGCACACAACCTTCCTTATATAATTTAACACTATGAGGTTGGCAAGTAATGGGTGGTGAAACCGAGACTCTTGGTCAAGTGACATGACTTGACCAAGGTCACAGAATGAATCTGTCTGTAGCAAAATTTGTTTGGCTTTGCCAACACTGTACTCTTTCCCTTTCTTCCGGTAGTAGAACTATTTTCCTACTGTCTACTCTACCCTGTGCAGGATTCTGGTAGATATGTCATTTATGTGGATGGCCCTGTGTTTTATTTGCTGACTTAAGCCCACCACCAGAATGGATAATCACGGTAGATTCAGTGATTGATCTAGGAGGAAACTGTGATTCTTGCAGGAACAGAGGTCAGGCAACAGATGTGGATGCTGGGAGAGAATAATCTTTCTGCTTTTATGATAGTGAGTGCTACATGTTGCCCATATTTAGGGTGCCAAAGGCCTTCTTTGTCACAACACAAACATAGCCTGCTGGTGAATAAAGCCAATATTGAGAAAGGCAGAGCAGAGAAATGGAAAGAGAGCGAATCCCATGACATCCTCTAAAACCACCTGTAGCTGAAGCTCGTGCAAAATCCTTGGAATTGCCAGTAGCAAAAGCTAATAAATACCCCTTTTGTTTAAACTAGAGTTGGGTTTCTATTAATGCAAGAGAACAAGTCCTGTCTAATACAGTATTAGAGCCAGAGAGCCAGAATTGGACTCAATTCCCCTGATTATGTAACCACATTAATTGAAAGTATAATTTTTCATCAAAACAAATTAGAGTTGGGGGCCCTATCCTTGTTAATAGTGTAATCAATACAAAATGTAGGAATTACACCTAAGTGTCCTATGCATTATAGCTCCATCATGGTAATTAGCATTTCTTATTATAATTACCTTTTTATGTGTTTCTTCATGAATCTCTTGATGACAGGGATTGTATCTTATTCATCTTTGAAATCCTTCTGCTAAGCACAGTCCTTAGGACTTAGTATGTGCTCAATAAATATCTTCTGAATAGGGAAATATTTATAGCAATTTACCAATACATGAATTCCACTTCTTATTTCAAATTAACTTGGAAATATCTTGTCTAAGATAAGTACATATCCCAATCTTCAAGGACAGTCTTCAATCTTATCTTTGTTTAAAATGTCTGATCTTATCCAAGAGGTTTCCCAATCACTCCATCTAATACAGTATTCTTGTCACTTTTGTCCTCTCCTTAGTTTTCTTAATAATATTTACCGAAATTTTTATAGTTTATTCTTTGCCTTGTTTCACTAGAATGTAAGCATCTTAGAGCAATCTGTGGCATAGAGAGGGCTCTCAAAAACAATTGAATATTTATAAGTAAACAAAGTAACTGGTGGTACATTCGATTCTGCATTTGTGATACCTTCCAACACATTTTAGATATTCATTTTATATTTTATAATGAAAAGCATAACAGTTAAATCTAATATATGTACATTCTAATATAATGAATATATGTTTTAAAAAATAAGAAATGCTGTCCTCAGTAAAATATCTCACCAATGTATGAACACTGAATCCAAAAATCTTCTACTAAATCTATACTGGTAATCTTATTGATTAACATAGTATTGCCTTAAGACAATCTGCTAACAGCCATCTGTTTGCTCGTGTTGTTATAGTAATGCTATCTTAGCCTAGATTAACTGTATAAACATATTGAGGTTTTAGTGAAATCTAGGTGTATATCATGGTTGATCCATACAAAGTAGTCAAATGTTATTTTAAAATATTTTATTTGACTTTGACTTTTTGTATAGCCTAATACAATTATCTATAGTCATCAACTTTTAAATATATACATGTATAAACATAAAGCAATTATAATTTAGTAGTAAAATTATATTTTATAAAACTATAAGTTAAAAATATATTTAAGTGGAAAAATAGCAGATAAAAATCTCTCATGATAAAAAGTGATGATGGGAAGGATGGCATCATGGTGGATTAACTAGAGAAAGTATTTTATTTTTACTTCTTGTTTCATTAACCTCTCTATTAAACTGATGGCTTCAGAAACTGTGACAATCATCTTTGCTCCCTCTCTCTTGGTTTATGTGCCAAAGCTTAGCTCTTCTTGGTGATCTTTGGGGCTATGAAAAATGACATGCTAGTTATTTTTCCTCAAATAACATTAACTTTTAAAAATATTGTATTGCAATTATAATACAAATCACTAGCCCTGTGTGATTGAAATGATAACAGTATATTGTCCTTTGTTGACTTCGAATACCCAGCTCCTTCTTGCTCTTTATTTCTCCAGTTACCAGAAAGAACAGCTGTGGTTCTACATGGGGTCCACCTGGCAGCTTGAAGCATCCAGATGTCAACTCCTACTTAAAAAAAGAAAAAGCAAGCACTCTTTTGCCATGGTAATGTTGCCTTCAGAGGCAACTGGTGTGGGAGTGGAGATTAAAGGAAAGAAAAATTAGAGGCGAAAGGGCCACGCTTCCATTTGATTCTCACCTGTAACAAATGCAGATGACATGCAGTGAAAAATACCAGTTCCCTGATCAATGAATTACTCTTTTCTATTTGACAGGTGTAAGTCAAGTCTCCGCTTACACTTTTCTGTGCAAATGGGTGACTTGACTATAGTTGTCATCTTATTATTTTTTAATGGAGTTTGGTTAAAGCTTTACTCCCTGTTGCAGAGAAGAGATAAGTACGTGACATTTACACCAAGAGCATGGAGCCATGACAAATACATAAAGTGAAACCCTGGGGGAGGGGAGATAGGCAAGGTTTTATGTGTATTTTATTAAAACTCAAGATCGCTTGCTTTGAAGTTTTAATAAAAAGTTAAGTATAACCTAAAAGTTTTAGACTGCAGATTGATCAAATGCTCTTCATATAAAGTTTATATATAATTGTTATTAAATACTTGAACACGATAAATAACTAGAGAAGACTTAGACTTATGTGTTTTATAAAGATCACACTAAAATATGATTCAAAAAAATTCAAAAATATTGGATTACCTAAAAGAAGTGTATCCATTTCTGATTACTTATTCTCACTTTCCCACGAAGGAAAATTTCCAAATAATATTCACTTTTGAATTGAGACCCAAAAGAGAAAAATAAGCCATCACAATTATTGCTGTGTTTGGAAAGACAAATTTCTTTTTTGAAGTTTTAGTTTCTTTGGAAAAAGATGGGCTGGGCACAGTGGCTCACACCTGTAATCCCAGCACTTTGGGAGGCCAAGGTGGTTGGATCACCTGAGGTCAGGAGTTCGAGAGCAGTCTGGCCAACATAGTGAAACCCCATCACTACTAAAAATACAAAAATTAGCCATGGTAGCACAAGCCTGTAATCCCAGCTACTCGGGAGGCTGAGATGAAGGGATTGCTTGAACCCAGGAGGTGGAGGTTACCTTGAGCCGAGATTGCACCACTGCATTCCAAACTGGGTGACAGAGCGAGACTCCATCGCAATAAAAATAATAATAATAAAATAGAAATTTTTTTTTTAAAAATCCTATCTTTGCAATTCTAATCATGAGTCATAACTCAACTAGACTCAGTCATTTTTACATGAATGAATTTACCCACTTGTATCAAAATTTTAAGTTCACTATTGTCACATTCTGGTACTCAATCTATGTTGATAGAAAGACATTAGAATTACAGTATTTTTCTTCATAAGGTTTCCTAGAAACATTTTGCAGCTCTTCTTCTTCCAGTATAACTATATTATATTCATATGACACTGTTTTTTTGACTGTATGTATGTCCCCAGATAATGCCTTTTCTTCTACTCTAGTTGAATAACTATAAAGAAACAATTCTATCTTCTTTTACTATTTCATACTTAAATCATAGCCCCAACTTGCCATTCACAATTTGCACTAGGACAGTCTTACAAATGCTATCATCTTAAAATAATCCTGTAGCCCAAAAATTACTATGTAAACCATCCTAACACTGAACTTAGGATAGATATTTAGTCTTTGCCCCCATTCTCAAATAAGTTTGTTTAGTTTACCATAAGATAGCTATCCCTCTTTATAATTACTGACTCCAACAATTCTTGTTTTTTATATATTAACATAGAGCCATCATAGTTCTTACTCTAGTTAAAATCTGCTGACTTAGCCAATATCTTCCATGTATCCTACAATTCTGAGAGCCACATCTCTCAAAAAGTTAAGAGACAACTGTAATCTACAAGATGGTCTTGTTAGGGATTCATAACGGCTTCCATTTTTAGACAAAGCATCAAGAAATGAAAGGCAAAGCAATGTTTGGGGAAACTCAGAAAAAGACCTTTTGAAATTAAAACCCCCCAAAGAAAAACATTTATTTAAACTCCTAAAATTGGTCATTGCAATTAGAATACTAGTTTTTTAATCAAAAAACAGCATTTTAAAAAGCAGATTACTATATAAAGAATGTTTAATAAAATAGTCAGAATAGGGGCCTATTTAATGTCCACTGGCAGTTGTAAATTCTCTCTTATCATCAATTTTAGAATAAGCTCAGGTTCTTATTCTAAGAACCTGAATAAGATGGATATAGTGTACCTGCCCCCTCACGGCACCTGAAATTCCCCCACCAGTCTTGGCAGTAATGACCACAACCCTCTTTCACAATGCCCTGGGGAAGAAATAAACCTTTGCTGATGCACAGCTTTCAAGCTCATCACATCCTCTCAATTTTCATGCTTCTGTCTAGTGAGTTACTTCCCTTTCTTTTGCTTGATATTGCTCAAACCGCTGTAGGACACCACTATTTTTAAAAAATTGCTTCATTCTGAACTCATTATCCCATTATTTTCTTCTTTCCAGTTCAATCTCTATAATGCAAAGAGTATTATTTGAGCAACTCCTTTTTACCCAGCACCATTACTTGGGGAAATACACATGCTCAAAAATATGACCCTTGTGGAAACTCTATTCAAATCGTAGGTTAAAAACCAAATAGGACACACAGAATAGAAGAAGCCACTGTATTTAATTGCTAAATGTTGTATTTCAAATATCAAAAGGTAGAGTTGTATTTTTTATACCCTTCAGATATGGTCTAGGCATAGATGTTTTTAGAAAGCTTTCGAGGTTATTCTAATATGTAGCCAGTAATGAGATCCACTGTGCTAGAAAGTCTCCACCCTGACTGACAAATAACTTTCAGTTCTGGTTTAGGAAATCAAGGTGAAGATACAGATGTGAATCCTTTGTTTCTCAAACTTTAGTGTGCACAAGAATTATCTGGACTTCTGTTAAACACACATGGCTGGCCGGGCACGGTGGCTTACACCTGTAATCCCAGCACTTTGAGAGGTGGGAGGATCACGAGGTCAGGAGATCGAGACCATCCTGGCTAACACAGTGAAACCCTGTCTCTACTAAAAATACAAAAAATTACCCAGGCGTGGTGACAGGTACGTGTAGTCCCAGCTACTCAGGAGGCTGAGGCAGGAGAATCACTTGAACCCGGGAGGTGGAGGTTGCAGTGAGCCGAGATCACACCACTGCACTCCAGCCTGGGCAACAGAGCGAGACTCTGTCTCAAATACATACATACATACATACATACATACATACATACATACATACACACACACACACACACACACACAGCTCTGGGGCTCAGACTCCAGAGAATCAGATTTCACAGGTCATATATAGAAACCCAGAACTTACATTTTCAACAAGAGGCTCTGGTGATCCTGATGCAGTGGTCTTCAGACCATGCTTTGAGGAAGGCCACTCAAAAGTCAATCACTATCCAGTCCCATGAACTAATATTTAAGAGATGATGATATTTTAGATCATAATAAAGTAACCCAGAATCAACACGTCAACATGAATATCTTGTAAGTGAATTATTTTATAAATTTATTTTCGTATCCTTTTAGTGTACAGTATTTGATTCATATTATTGCTGTTTTATCATCACTAGACAGACTTTCAGAGAAATTTGAAAATTATCCTCCTCTTGCCACCCTTGGACTTATTTAGAAGACTAAAACAGTTGAGATTCACTATTTTAGAAAATAAAAAGGAAATATGAAAAAATACAGAAAAAAAGGGAAAAGAGCTTTCTTTAGTTTGTACATGCATGTTTCTATATCTGTGTGTTTTTTTTTAAGAGGGAGAGGGGATGACAAAAGTTAAAGTTCTTATTTTAAAATTATTAAAGGATTTAACTAATGTTATATACACCCAAGAAAATTATGTGACTTGCTTATTTTAGCTCATTGTAATTAAGTTGTTTATTAAAATGACAAACTGAAAATATTTTTTAAAACATGTTTATTCCTCCAGAGAAAAAATGTCACATAAGCAAAAATAGGACAGAAACAGAAAAATGCACAAAATAGGCACTTTTTCTGCCAGTAAGTACTTGGAAATTAAATGTCAATGTAAATGCAGAACGTAACACATAAGAAAAACCTTGATATGCTTTATTTATTTATGTTTTGTGTTTTAGACAAAAATTTCCAGAACAATGTTAATAAAACTTTATATTTGTACTTTTAAATTCATTTAACATTAAAATTGAGAGCATGCATATTATTCCTTAGTTAGTTCTATTGTCTCCTTCTCTCATGTAGTTAAATCCATTCTTTCTCCTTGATTTAAGGCTTGAAATTCAGCTAGTTTAAACCATCTAAATCCTACCTTTCTGAGAACAGGCGCACCTGCAGAAGAGCAAAGTTCTCATTGACCTTGGGAACACAGCAGTTTCAATGAAATAATCTCATTTAGTAAAAAGAAAACCATATGCGAATCAACATTAACCGCTCTTAGCCCACATCAGGGATGATAGCTCCCTTGGCACCAGTCTGAATTTTGAGCTAAGGAATTTGGCCTGATCTTCCCTATGCTCAGCCAGGACAGATTGATAAAGAGGTACAACATTAGCTTAATCAGTTGCTCCATATTTCTGAATTTTTCTAAATATGTTCCTCATTAGTTTGCTTTCAATGGAAATATAGAGAATGCTTTCACACACATTTTTTCTTCTGAAATCAGTTCTCTGTGCATTAGAGCATTAAGCTTAGCAAATATGAGTTACGATACTACTAACACATTTATTGAGTGCCTACTTTGTGCCAGGAACTGGACTAGGAGTTATATATATATATATATATATAAAATATATACATAATATATAAAATATATATATAATATATATATTTATTTATATATATATTTATATATATATATATTTTTTGTTTCTGATATTCACAAAAATCCTTCTAAAATAACTATCATTATCCCCATTACACAGATGAAAAATCTAAGGGTCAGAGAGGCTAAGTGATTTGCCCAATGGCAGAGAATTACAGGGCCAGCAAAACACTTATAATACAATGTTTCATGTGCATTGATTTACATTTTTCTAGTCTATACTGTATTTTAAAAACAAATGTCTAACTTTTAAGAAGTGTTCACTATATTCTGGGCATTGTTCTGAGTGCTTTATATGTATTAATTCATTCAATATTTTGAATAACTCTTTGAGAGAAGTGTTTTGTTTCCATTCTACAGGTGACAAAACTGAGGCACAAAGAGCTCAAGCAACTTGTTTGTGGTCAAAAAACTGATAAATGAAGGAACCATGATTTAACCCAGCCATTGACTCCAGACCATGCTATACAAATACTAAGTAGGTTCCAATAGCCATTTTTTTTACACTTAGTTATTAAAATGTACCACTACATGCTGCTTGTACACCAGGATTTACTATAACAAGACAGAATGTCAATGTGAGTAATTCTAGTTGATAAAAAGGACTACTTCAATCCTCTACCTCCAAAAGATGGGCAGGGGTGATCGACCAGACATCAGAGGAATCATGCTATATAGGACAAATCCTGCGTCTTTTCCAGCAGTCAAGAAATTTCAGAGTAATAGTCACATCATCCTAAGTGAAGGTGTTTTTTGCAAACCCCTTAGCATATCTAAAGGGTACAACAAACAGTAAATAGGAAGAGGTGTAGATAAATAGCCTTGCAGTACTGAGAGAGGTGACACCTGACATGTAATTTCCATTAAGTTGCCTTTTCTGGCCTTTGACAAAATTCAACAACCCTTCATGCTAAAAACTCTCAACAAATTAGGTATTGATGGGACGTATCTCAAAATAATAAGAGCTATCTATGACAAATCCACAGCCAATATCATACTGAATGGGCAAAAACTGGAAGCATTCCCTTTGAAAACAGGCACAAGACAGGGATGCCCTCTCTCACCACTCCTATTCAACATAGTGTTGGAAGTTCTGGCCAGGGCAATTAGGCAGGAGAAGGAAATAAAGGGTATTCAATTAGGAAAAGAGGAAGTCAAATTGTCCCTGTTTGGAGATGACATGATTGTATATCTAGAAAACCCCACTGTCTCAGCCCAAAATCTCCTCAAGCTGATAAGCAACTTCAGCAAAGTCTCAGGATACAAAATCAATGTGCAAAAATCACAAGCATTCTTATACACCAATAACAGACAAACAGAGAGCCAAATCATGAGTGAACTCCCATTCACAATTGCTTCAAAGAGAATAAAATACCTAGGAATCCAACTTACAAGGGATGTGAAGGACCTCTTCAAGGAGAACTACAAACCACTGCTCAAGGAAATAAAAGAGGATACAAACAAATGGAAGAACATTCCATGCTCATGGGTAGGAAGAATCAATATTGTGAAAATGGCCATACTGCCCAAGGTAATTTATAGATTCAATGCCATCCCCATCAAGGTACCAATGACTTTCTTCACAGAATTGGCAAAAACTACTTTAAAGTTCATATGGAACCAAAAAAGAGCCCACATCGCCAAGTCAATCCTAAGCCAAAAGAACAAAGCTGGAGGCATCACGCTACCTGACTTCAAACTATACTACCAGGCTATAGTAACCAAAACAGCATGGTACTGGTACCAAAACAGAGATATAGACCAATGGAACAGAACAGAGCCCTCAGAAATAATGCCTCATATCTACAACTATCTGATCTTTGACAAACCTGACAAAAACAAGCAATGGGGAAAGGATTCCCTATTTAATAAATGGTGCTGGGAAAACTGGCTAGCCATATGTAGAAAGCTGAAACTGGGGCTGGGCATGGTGGCTCAACCCTGTAATTCCAGCACTTTGGGAGGCCGAGGTGGGCGGATCACAAGGTCAGGAGATCGAGACCATCCTGGCTAACACGGTGAAACCCCATCTCTACTAAAAATACAAAAAAAATTAGCCGGGCACGGTGGCAGACACCTGTAGTCCCAGCTATTCGGGAGACTGAGGCAGGAGAATGGTGTGAACCCGGTAGGCGGAGCTTGCAGTGAGCCGAGATCGCGCCACTGCACTCCAGCCTGGGCAACAGAGCAAGACTCCTTCTCAAAAAAAAAAAAAAAAAAAAAAAAGAAAGCTGAAACTGGATCCCTTCCTTATACCTTATACAAAAATTAATTCAACATGGATTAAAGACTTAAATGTTAGACCTAAAACCATAAAAACCCTAGAAGAAAACCTAGGCAATACCATTCAGGACATAGGCATGGGCAAGGACTTCATGTCTAAAACAGCAAAAGCAATGGCAACAAAAGCCAAAATTGACAAATGGGATCTAATTAAACTAAAGAGCTTCTGCACAGCAAAAGAAACTACCATCAGAGTGAACAGACAACCTACAGAATGGGAGAAAATTTGTGCAACCTACTCATCTGACAAAGGGCTAATATCCAGAATCTACAATGAACTCAAACAAATTTACAAGAAAAAAACAACCCCATCAAAAAGTGGGTGACTCAAAAGAAGACATTTATGCAGCCAAAAAAAACACATGAAAAAATGCTCATCATCACTGGCCATCAGAGAAATGCAAATCAAAACCATAATGAGATACCATCTCACACCAGTTAGAATGGCGATCATTAAAGTCAGGAAACAACAGGTGCTGGAGAGGATGTGGAGAAATAGGAACACTTTGACACTGTTGGTGGGACTGTAAACTAGTTCAACCATTGTGGAAGTCAGTGTGGTGATTCCTCAGGGATCTAGAACTAGAAATACCATTTGACCCAGCCATCCCATTACTGGGTATATACCCAAAGGATTATAAATCATGCTGCTATAAAGACACATGCACACATATGTTTATAGTGGCACTATTCACAATAGCAAAGACTTGGAACCAACCCAAATGTCCAACAACGATAGACTGGATTAAGAAAATGTGGCACATATATACCATGGAATACTAGGCAGCCATAAAAAATGATGAGTTCATGTCCTTTGTAGGGACATGGATGAAACTGGAAACCATCATTCTCAGCAAACTATCGCAAGGACAAAAAACCAAACACCGCATGTTCTCACTCATAGGTGGGAATTGAACAATGAGAACACATGGACACAGGAAGGGGAACATCACACACTGGGGACTGTTGTGGGGTGGGTGGAGTGGGGAGGGATAGCATTAGGAGATATACCTAATGCTAAATGACGAGTTAATGGGTGCAGCACACCAACATGGCAGATGTATACATATGTAACAAACCTGCACATTGTGCACATGTACCCTAAAACTTAAAGTATAATAATAATAAAATTTTTTAAAAAGTTGCCTTTTCTGAATGATAGCACCACAATTTTGATGCATAAATATAAATATAGTGTATCTGATAGGAAAGAAATGCATATAAGGTGGCATGGCACTTCATAAAAATAGGAGAACGCTAAGAGAATAGTAAAATTCTCTTAGAAATCTAAGGAAGAGAAGGGATAGTGTTTATAATATCTAGTAGTTTTTAGTGGGTTTGTCAAATTTGAAGGAAAGCAAAAAGGGTGATTATCAACTTGTCTTATGGGAACTGGCCATGATGTAACAGCTTGAGCTAAGAGATTTGTTCTGCAAAAGCCCTAAGACTTGTTAGCAAATAATAATTTCATTAAAAGACAGAAAAAAAAAAAAACATGTATCTGCAGAGAAAATAAAACTCTATCTTTTTTCACTTAATAAAATAGCAAATATCACCACTGAACTCAGACATATAAACTGCCAGGATTTTAAGTGTTGAGATACTCATAAAATATGGACTCTCTCTCAGTATTGGTGGTGTTTCTTCCCTCCACCCCTCCTTTCTTACTCCCCTGGGAGTCCAGCCCCAACAATTACAGGGTTGCTATCACGGCAGCTGTCCCTGTTGCATAGTGCTGATTTTCTACATGCAAAAAATTTGGACTCTAGAGAGCTATGACAATGTGAGTTAACAATATGCCTGAATCTAGTTTGGGAAGACATGAGTTCATTGTGTTATAAGAAAAAATACTGAATATAAGTTATTTTCTTAAGATTTTTAATTGTTGCCATTGTCATTCTGGTTTTAATTAACAACTAATACTCTGAAATGAATTATTTGAATAGAATTAATGAAGTGTACAAGTAACTTAAGGAAGTTTCAACCCCTGGCTTCTGACCTGTATATAATTTAATGAACAAACAGAAAAGAGAATGGAAAATGGTAAAATGAATGTATTATTTTCTTAACCTAAATAGACAATATTGTTTTAAAAATTGAATATCCTCTCTCAGGCTATAGAACCTATTAAGATGACTTTTCTTTTTCTAACAAACAAAAAAATGATCCTTTTTGGTCTCTTTCTTAGATTTGTCTGATCCATCTAAAAGCCAGTTTCTACATTTCTGAACTTGACTGCTCACTATGATTAAAAGAGGATTTCCACACAATCATTTAGAAATTTCAAAATGTATGGTGTTTGGGAAATATATATTCATTATGACTACATCCAAAGCTTGGTATCAGAAGCTAAATTATTTTTTCCTTGAAATATAAATACTGCAACTTAGGTGGCATGGCACTATTGAAAACAGCTTGCCATATGCCTTTGATTTCACTGAGAGACGTGCCATCTGCCACCACACTCAAAAATGATTCAAAAAAATTAAAAAGAATGGTAGAAGATTGTCATCAAATGTGAGAATGTTACCCATCATGTGTGGTCTAAGACTGGGCCTGGGTACTAGTTCAGATTACCTCTAGTCATGAAGTCAAAGCTGGACAGAAACAAATAAATTCTCATTTTTTCTGTGGGTAATGAACTGAGTACGGTGTAGTTCCCTCAGCATGATTATTGATACAGCTTTAGAAAGAAGTCTTTGATATGAAAGTAAAAAAAAACAAAGATCCTAGGGCAATGCTTATTTTAAAGGAGTTTTGGCCCAAGGACTGGGATTAAAACAGGGAGAACTTGCTTATGCACAGTTAATTTATTTGTAAAAATTCAATACCTTCATGGGACTTTGGAGAAAGAAGAAAATGGCAAGATATCAGAGACTTTTGGAGGGGATATATGTATATCAAAGAAATGTATAAATCTATTTAGGTACTATATTTTATCAAGTGCTAAATCAGCCAAGTGTGTATTTTAACTCTACATAATAAAATCACTGAGATAAATCCCTTCAGATGATTCCCAAAGAACAGAGGTAATTTTTCTAAGAAGCTTAAAAATAGAAATCTCTCTTAAATGCATCCAGACAGTGCCCCTTACAATCACTACTTTGTCCCAAAAGAAAAAGAGAGCAGAACAAAATGTAAATTTTATAGGAAAAATTTTACAAGTAACTATTAGTTTATTTGGTTTGTTTATTTGAAGAAGGAAAAGATTCAAAACCTACAGACCAAATTTTGGCTAAGAGAATACTATCTTAGTCTGTTTTTTTTTGTTGCTATGCCTGACTGAGGCTGGGCAGTTTATAAAGAAAAGAGGTTTGTTTAGCTTATGGTTCTGCAGGCTAGGAAGTTCAAAGACCATGACACTAGCATCTGCTCAGCTTTTGGTGACAGCATTTCGTGCTGTGTCAAGACATGGCAGAAGGTCAAAGGGGAAGCAGACACGTGTGAAGAGACAAATTCTGAGGGGTATCCTGACTTCATCACAACCCACTCTGGGAGGAACTAATCCAGTATTCCCATAGCAGAAACTCACTCATTACTATGAGAACTGAAGCAAGTCATTCAGGAGAGCTCTGCCCCCGTGACCCAAGTACTTCCCACTAGGCCTCACCTCCCAGCACTACCACATTGGGGATCAAATTTCAACACGAGTTTTGGTGAGGACAAATTAAACCATACCCACATAGGAAGTACCATATGAACAAAGCAGCTGGATTTCTTTATAAAAGAAAAAGAGAGAACATGTTATTAAACTGTAAAATTGGTTTTGAGAATGAAATGCAATCCTGTTTCAGAAATTTGTAGCCAGTATTACAGGGTAGTCTTGTGCCTGGCTTGTGAGGTTTATTTGAAATGTTTCATTCCAGATAATCAAGGGAAAAATAGTTTCCAAATAATAGCATTTCCAGGACTCTTCTAAAAAATAAAATTAAAGATACGCAGCTCCCCCAAAATATCTAATTATTACAAATAACTATATTATAACTGCTCTAGAAAGTTTATGCCACCATTTATTGAAAAGTATTTAATGTGCATCTAAAAAGGCATTATAGGAAAAGAAGTAAAGAAATAATAATAATACATGGCATTTGTATATCACTTTTTTATTTATTTGTATTATATTTATAAAATAAGTGTTCCTATTTTATAGATAAGAAAATTAAGGCTTATCAGGGTTCACCTATCTAATGTCAAATAGCTAATAAATGTTGAAATCAGAAGTGAACATAGTCTTATGACATCATATCAGAGTTCCTTATATTCCAGCACCATTCCTCTTAGCCTAAGACACAGTGGTTTCCACTTTCAGGGTCTGATATACAATTCCATACAGTTGCCCTCAATATTTTCCATCTTAAACGTGGAAGTACTCCAGAAGCAGTAACATTTTAGCTCTTCTCAACAATAGACCCCTCTGTATAGACTGAGGAATTAAGGGTTTAAAAGGGAAAGTGAGAAGTATATTTATGTCACAATTTGACACAATCTACTTGTATGACAAGTTATACATGCATGAAATAAATACTATAGTAAACAATATGTCCTTGCTAATAGTATCAAATATGAACATATGAGAGTGATAATTTGATCAGTACAATAGATCAGACATTATATAACAGGGTTCATGTAGAATAAATATCTCACAATTTGCCTATCCAGATCAAATTTGTATATATAGTGTACAAATGACTATATATGAAATATATATATACACAAATGACTATATATATATATAGTTGGCATAGCACAGTGGTATTAGGCAGAGAATTTTGAATTGTAAAATAAATAATCTCTGCAAATTATCTAATAACTTATTTGTGAAGAAGGTCTAATTTTGAAACTGTTTCGTTGCTGTAAAATCAACTTCAAATAAAAGAGACACCACAAAATAGGGTGTCTCCAAAGGAAATCTTCAAAGACAGGAGAGTGGGGTAATCAAAGAAAAGTTTAAAGTTTGCTGAATTTCTTGGGCAAAAAAGTTGAAGTCTTTGAATAATATTTCTCTGAGTCATATTGCATCTACCATTTCTAGAAATATGTACAGCTATTAATAGAGAAAAGCAAAAGGAGCATCAGAAGCTGAGAAAAGGCAAGAAGACAAAGCAGGAAAGAAAACAAATGTCTTTGCAGTGCAGCCCTCAGAGTTTAGTCAAAATATTCTAGGACCATGAGACTGGGATCCTGTCCAGTCGGGAGGAGAGAGCTAGATATGGATGAAGGGACTTAGACAGTCCAGTTAAGAACTCTGATCCATTCTTTGTCTACACTCTGAAATCTGCAGAGTCCTTCATTCACAGGGGAGTTTACCCTTCACTTTGTGGAGCTAAGTATGTTAATAAAACATTACCCAGAGCTGTTCCTACAAAAAGCACATATCAAATAAGAAGGTAGAATGAGATGATCTCCAAGGTCTCTTCCCACTTTAACATGAGAATTTGCTAAGTGAAAAGCCTAATTATATTTTCAATTTTTAAAAAACGGAAATTTTCATTTAAAAAAAATTCATACTTCAGGAGCTCTTTTATCAAGAGGTTGGGAGATTAGGTGGCTAATGTTATACAACCTATTTTCTATTAGGTTTGGGATGCAGTTTTTGTCCCTAGATAATGGAAGAAATTCTCTTAATTGATACTTGTTATTAATTCTTTTGTTTCCCCATTTTCTAGTTGCGCTTTTTTTCACTTGCCAGTTTAGGAATTTGCTTGGCTCTTTTCCTATATTTAATGACTATATTTAAAAAAAGGACTTGGCCATGTGCCTAGAGGCTCTTGGGTGTTGGGTGCCATATAAACAAAATTAATTACTAACTTCAGTGCCAATATCACATCATTGGAAATGAGAGGTTAGTCGACCAAAAAAAAAAAAAAAAGACAAGTAAAAATTTCAACAAATAATAGTATGCATAGGATGCATAAAATAAAAAATTAATCAAGCATAAATTTGTATATATTTGTATAGTGTTCAGTTTTTCCTAATATACTCATATACATTATGTCAGGCCTTTGAGCCCAAGTCAAGCCATCGCATCCCCTGTGACTTGCATGTATACACCCAGATGGCCTGAAGTAACTGAAGAAACACAAAAGAAGTGAATATGCCCTGCCCCACCTTAACTGATGACATTCCACCACAAAAGAAGTGTAAATGGCCGGTCCTTGCCTTAACTGATGACATTACCTTGTAAAAGTCCTTTTCCTGGCTCATCCTGGCTCAAAAAGCACCCCCACTGAGCATCTTGCGACCCCCACTCCTGCCGGCCAGAGAACAAACCCCCTTTGACTGTAATTTTCCTTTACCTACCCAAATCCTATAAAATGTCCCCACCCTTATCTCCCTTTGCTGACTCTCTTTTTGGACTCAGCCCGCCTGCACCCAGGTGAAATAAACAGCCATGTTGCTCACACAAAACCTGTTTGGTGGTCTCTTCACACGGACGCGCATGAAATTTGGTGCTGTGACTCGGATCGGGGGACCTCCCTTGGGAGATCAATCCCCTGTACTCCTGTTCTTTGCTCCGTGAGAAAGATCCACCTATGACCTTAGGTCCTCAGACCGACCAGCCCAAGGAACATCTTACCAATTTTAAATCAGGTAAGCGGCCTCTTCTTACTCTCTTCTCCAACCTCTCTCACTGTCCCTCAACCACTTTCTCCTTTCCACTCTTCAACCTCTCCCTTCTCTTAATTTCAATTCCTTTCATTTTCTGGGAGAGACAAAGGAGACACGTTTTATCCATGGACCCAAAACTCCGGCGCCAGTCACGGACTGGGAAGGCAGCCTTCCCTTGGTGTTTAATCATTGCAGGGACGCCTCTCTGATTAAACACCCAAAAGGGCAAGTACCTCAACCCCTTCTCTCCTTGTCTCTACCCCTTCTCTGCTTTTCTGGGAGAGGGGCAAGTACCCCTCAACCCCTTCTCCTTCACCCTTAGCGGCAAGTCCCGCTTTTCTACGGGGCAAGAACCCCCAATCCCTTATTTTCACGCCCCAACCTCTTATCTCTGTGCCCCAATCTCTTATTTCCATGCCCCAACCTCTTATCTCTGTGCCCCAATCCCTTATTTCTGTGCCCCAACCTCTTATCTCTGTGCCCCAATCCCTTATTTCTGTGCCCCAACCTCTTATCTCTGCACCCCAATCCCCTATTTCCACACCTCGACCTCTTACCTCTGTGCCCCCATCCCTTATTTCCGCACCCCAACCTCTTATCTCTGTGCCCCAATCCCTTATTTCTGTGCCCCTACCTCTTATCTCTGTGCCCCAATCCCTTATTTCCGTGCCCCTACCTCATATCTCTGTGTCCCAATCCCTTATTTCCATGCCCCAACCTCTTATATCTCTGCACCCCAATCCCTTATTTCCATGCCCTGACCTCTTATCTCTGCGCCCCAACCCCTTTTCCCACTTTTCTGGAAGGTAAGAACCCCCGAACGCCTTCCCTCCGTTTCTCTACTCTCTCTTTTCTCTAGGCTTGCTTCCTTCACTATGGGCAAACTTCCACCCTCCATTCCTCCTTCTACTCCCTTGGCCTGTGTTCTCAAAAACTTAAAACCTCTTCAACTCACACCTGACCTAAAACCTAAATGCCTTATTTTCTTCTGCAATGCCTCTTGACCCCAATACAAACTCGACAGTAGTTCCAAATAGCCAGAAAATGGCACTTTGAATTTTTCCATCCTGCGAAATCTAAATAATTCTTGTCATAAAATAGGCAAACGGTCTGAGGTGCCTGACGTCCAGGCATTCTTTTACACATCAGTCCCTTCCTAGTCTCTGTGCCCAGTGCAACTCGTCCCAAATCTTCCTTCTTTCCCTCCCGCCTGTCCCCTCAGTACCAACCCCAAGTGTCGCTGAGTCTTTCTAATCTTCCTTTTCTACAGACCCATCTGACCTCTCCCTTCCTCCCCAGGCTGCTCCTCGCCAGGCCGAGCTAGGTCCCAATTCTTCCTCAGCCTCCGCTTCTCCACCCTATAATCTTTTTATCGCCTCCCCTCCTCACACCTGGTCTAGCTTACAGTTTCGTTCCGTGACTAGCCCTCCCCCACCTGCCCAGCAATTTACTCTTAAAAAGGTGGCTGGAGCCAAAGGCATAGTCAAGGTTAATGCTCCTTTTTCTTTATCCCAAATCAGAAGCATTTAGGCTCTTTCTCATCAAACATAAAAACCCAGCCCAGTTCATGGCTCTTTTGGCAGCAACCCTGAAACGCTTTACAGCCCTAGACCCTAAAAGGTCAAAAGGCCGTCTTATTCTCAATATACATTATATTACCCAATCTGCTCCCAACATTAAATAAAACTCCAAAAATTGGAATCTGGCCCTCAAACCACACAACAGGACTTAATTAACCTCACCTACAAGGTGTACAATAACAGAAAAAAAGTTGCAATTCCTTGCCTCCACTGTGAGACAAACCCCAGCCACATCTCCAGCACACAAGAACTTCCAAACACCTGAACTGCAGTGGCCAGGCGTTCCTCCAGAACCTCCTCCCCCAGGAGCTTGCTACACATGCCGGAAATCTGGCCACTGGGCCAAGGAATGCCCGCAGCCTGGGATTCCTCCTAAGCTGCATCCCATCTGTGTGGGACCCCACGGAAAATCAGACTGTTCAACTCACCTGGCAGCCACTCCCAGAGCCCCGGGAACGCTCTCTGACTCCTTCCCAGATCTTCTCGGCTTAGCGGCTGAAGACTGACACTGCCCGATCGCCTCGGAAGCCCCCTAGACCATCACGGACACCGAGCTTCAGGTAACTCTCACAGTGGAAGGTGAGCCCGTCCCCTTCTTAATCAATACGGAGGCTACCCACTCCACATTACCTTCTTTTCAAGGGCCTGTTTCCCTTGCCTCCATAACTGTTGTGGGTGTTGACGGCCAGGCTTCTAAACCTCTTAAAACTCCCCAACTCTGGTGCCAACTTAGACAATACTCTTTTAAGCACTCCTTTTTAGTTATCCCCACCTGCCCAGTTCCCTTATTAGGCTGAGACACTTTAACTAAATAATCTGCTTCCCTGACTATTCCTGGATCTCATTAAAACCTAATCACCCTTACCCCACTCAACGCCAATATCCCATCCCGCAGCACGCTTTAAAAAGATTAAAGCCTGTTATCACTCGCCTGCTACAGCATGGCCTTTTAAACCCTATAAACTCTCCTTACAATTCCCCCATTTTACCTGTCCTAAAACCAGACAAGCCTTACAAGTTAGTTCAGGGTCTACGCCTTATCAACCAAATTGTTTTGCCTATCCACCCTGTGGTGCCCAACCCATACACTCTTTTGTCCTCAATACCTTCCTTCACAACTCACTATTCCGTGCTTGATCTTAAAGATGCTTTTTTCACTATTCCCCTGCATCCCTCATCCCAGCCTCTCCTTGCTTTCACTTAGACTGACCCTGACACCCATTAGGCTCAGCAAATTACCAAGGCTGTACTGCCGCAAGGCTTCATAGACAGCCCCCATTACTTCAGTCAAGCCCAAATTTCATCCTCATCTGTTACCTATCTCGGCATAATTCTCATAAAAACATACGTGCTTTCCCTGCTGATCGTGTCCAATTAATCTCCCAAACCTCAATCCCTTACAAAACAACAACTGCTTTCCTTCCTAGGCATAGTTAGTGCGGTCAGAATTCTTACACAAGAGCCAGGACCGCACCCTGTAGCCTTTCTCTGCAAACAACTTGACCTTACTGTTTTAGCCTAGCCCTCATGTCTGTGTGCGGCGGCTGCCGCTGCTTTAATACTTTTAGAGGCCCTCAAAATCACAAACTATGCTCAACTCACTCTCTACAGTTCTCATAACTTCCAAAATCTGTTTTCTTCCTCATACCTGACGCATGTACTTTCTGCTTCCCCGCTCCTTCAGCTATACTCACTCTTTGTTGAGTCTCCCACAATTACCATTGTTCCTGGCCCGGACTTCAATCCGGCCTCCCACATTATACCTGATACCACACCTGACCCTCATGACTGTATCTCTCGGATCCACCTGACATTCACCCCATTTCCCCAAATTTCCTTCTTTCCTGTTCCTCACCCTGATCACGCTTGATTTATTGATGGCGGTTCCACCAGGCCTAATCGCCACACACCGGCAAAGGCAGGTTATGCTATAGTACAAGCCACTAGCCTGCCTCTTAGAACCTCTCATTTCCTTTCCATCATGGAAATCTATCCTCAAGGAAATAACTTCTCAGTGTTCCATCTGCTATTCTACTACTCCAGGGATTATTCAGGCCCCCTCCCTTCCCTACACATCAAGCTCGAGGATTTGCCCCACCCAGGACTGGCAAATTAGCTTTACTCAACATGCCCGAGTCAGGAAACTAAAATACCTCTTAGTCTAAATAGACACTTTCACTGAATAAGTAAAGGCCTTTCCTACAGGGTCTGAGAAGGCCACCGCAGTCATTTCTTCCCTTCTGTCAGACATAATTCCTCAGTTTAGCCTTCCCACCTCAATACAGTCTGATAACAGACGAGCCTTTATTAGTCAAATCAGCCAGCAGTTTTTCAGACTCTTAGTATTCAGTGAAACCTTTATATCCCTTATGGTCCTCCGCCTTCAAGAAAAGTAGAATAGACTAAAGGTCTTTTAAAAACACACCTCACCAAGCTCAGCCACCAACTGAAAAAGGACTGGACAATACTTTTACCACTTTCCCTTCTCAGAATTCAGGCCTGTTCTCGGAATGCTACAGGGTACGGCCGATTTAAGCTCCTGTATAGACGCTCTTTTTTATTAGGCCCCAGTCTCATTCCAGACACAAGACCAACTTAGACTGTGCCTCAAAAAAAAAAAAAAAAAAAAAAAAAAAAAACTTGTCATCCCTACTATTTTCTGTCTAGTCATACTCCTATTCACCGTTCTCAACTACTCAAACATGCCCTGCTCTTGTTTACACTGCCAGTTTACACTGTTTTTCCAAGCCATCACAGCTGATATCTCCTGGTGCTATCCCCAAACTGCCACTCTTAACTCTTGAAGTAAATAAATAATCTTTGCTGGCAGGACTATGCTGAATCTCCTTAGGCACTCTCTAATCAGATATCCTGAGTCGTCCCAATTCTTAGACCTTTTATACCTGTTTTTCTCCTTCTGTTATTCCATTTAGTTTTTCAATTCATACAAAACTGTATCCAGGCCATCACCAATCATTCTATAAGACAAATGTTTCTTCTAACATCCCCACAATATCACCCCTTACCACAAGACCTCCCTTCAGCTTAATCTCTCCCACTCTAGGTTCCCACGCTGCCCCTAATCCCGCTTGAAGCAGCCCTGAGAAACATCGCCCATTCTCTCTCCATACCACCCCCCAAAAGTTTTCGCCGCCCCAACACTTCAACACTATTTTGTTTTATTTTTCTTATTAATATAAGAAGGCAGGAATGTCAGGCCTCTGAGCCCAAGCCAAGCCATCGCATCCCCTGTGACTTGCACATATAAGCCCAGATGGCTTGAAGTAACTGAAGAATCACAAAAGAAGTGAATATGCCCTGCCCCACCTTAACTGATGACATTCCACCACAAAAGAAGTGTAAATGGCCGGTCCTTGCCTTAACTGATGACATTACCTTGTAAAAGTCCTTTTCCTGGCTCATCCTGGCTCAAAAAGCACCCCCACTGAGCATCTTGCGACCCCCACTCCTGCCCACCAGAGAACAAACCCCCTTCGACTGTAATTTTCCTTTACCTACCCAAATCCTATAAAACGGCCCCACCCTTATCTCCCTTTGCTGACTCTCTTTTCGGACTCAGCCCGCCTGCACCCAGGTGAAATAAACAGCCATGTTGCTCACACAAAGCCTGTTTGGTGTTCTCTTCACACGGACGTGCATGAAATTTGGTGCCGTTTTTTGTTGCTCACACAAAGCCTGTTTGGTGGTCTCTTCACACGGACGCGCATGAAATTTGGTGCCGTTTTTTGTTGCTCACACAAAGCCTGTTTGGTGGTCTCTTCACACGGACGCGCATGAAACATTATTTCATCTGGTTGTCAAAATAACCTCATGTGCTGGCTATTACAGATATTTCTAACCTCATTTTACAAACTTAAGGAACTTAGCCCCAGAGAGGTTAATCTGTCTCTGTTTTTTTTTTCTTTTTTTCATTCACTCAACAAATACTTACTGAAAACCTACTAAGCGCCGTATGTTGCCCTAAGAATTGTAGGGTGACAAACCATCCCAGCTTGCCCAGAACTAGGGAGATTCCTGGGATGCAGATTTTTCGTGCTAAAACGGGACTGTCCCGGGCAAACTGGGATGGTTGGTCAGCTTAACTCAATCTGGCCACCCTAAGAGCACATCACAGTTCAAGTCACAAAATCAACCACACCAGATGGAGAGCTCAGTCTCTCTCTCTCTCTCATTATTTTTGCCTCACCTGGGACTTTTATTTCTGGACCCTACTCCCAGCATTAGACTAAAAGTTCTCCTTAATGTTGCCAGTGATCACCCAAGCACCCAAAACTAGCTTTGTTGCCCACTTGTCTGCAAAATTTGATATTCTGACAACCTGATACTCTCTTTGGCCTTTACTCTTTCCCTTGCTTTTCTCTTTCATAATGCCCAACATCTTCCCATCTAAACTTCCATCATTAAGCGCATGGCACCCAAATGTATACCCACAGCTGCAATGTGATGGCTTTGACATGTGGATGTGTATGACTAAAAGGTATCTCCTTAACTCCTGGCTATCCCAAGTATTCAAATAAACTAAATCTCAACAAAAATGTTGGTTTCTTCACCCCCAATTCTTCCTCTTGACTTTCCTATCTCTGTCTTCAGGCAACACCACTCTGTTAGTACTAGGCTCATTCTCAGCCACCAGTGGTCTCTTTCTCTCCCTATTCACCACATCTAAGGTGTTAACAGTTCCCAGCAAGCAGTCCTTCAGAAAGTTTTTCATATTCATCCCTTCTTTTCTTTCCCCACTATTACCACCTTAGCTAAATTCCTCTTTACCTCCCTAGGGTTATTGTTCTGGTCTCTTCCCTGAACCAGCTCCACCCTCCACCTTCACATTCATTTCTTTCTTCACTCCAATTTAGTCTACACTGCTCCCAGGTTAAAGTGCATTCTGGCTTTAATGCCCGATGTTCTTTCGTATGAGCCCCATTCTCCAGCCAAAAAATAACCATTTGCTATGCAGTCTTTTCCTCTCTGTGCCTTTGTTATATTATTCCTTATGTGCATAATATTTTATTCTGTCAAATTCAACTCATCTTTCAAGGCAATCTTAAATTTCAAAGTTCCATAGAAATACTTTGTAGTTTCAAATGGATGAGAACCCCTTCCTATGAACTCACTTCACTTTGTACTCCTAAACGCTCATCCTCACCTGCTTTATATTGTAATTATTTGTATTCTTTTCTCAGTCCTCCAACTAGAATGTATACTTCTCAAGACCGAGGCTGTGTCCTATTCATTCTAGTTCCCCTGCTTAACGCAGCAGGTGTTCATTATGTTTTTATGAAAGATTGAATTTAACTCCTCACCCAATTCTGGCTTCAGAAATGAATTTTGTAAATTAGTCATTTCAGATATTTAAAATTTAGTGTGTGCCTTAAACAAATATATAATGAATTCATGAACAATGTAATTAAAAAAAAAACCCTCAAACACCCAAGGATTATCCAACATCAACACAAAGTTCCTGAGTACAGAGGTATCCCTAGGATCATTACTCTAGTGTGCAAGTTTGTACACATACATGTTGTCAGCCCAGCCAGCCCCTTATCAGCTACTCTGCAGAAAAGGCCGCAGACAAGGAGAGCTATTCCAGGATGGGCAATCACTTGCATTCAGAAAATAGACTTTAATTGAGTAATTTTTCAGATGGTTGAAATTGAATTGGTATTGCACTGGAAAAAGAATGCCTGTTTGGGGCCTAAATTGTTCCTCCCCATTTAGAGGGGACACAATGTAAGCATAAGACTCATGCAGTTTGGGAATTATAAAGATTTGGATTTTAGGACAGTCCCAAAATAAACCCATCAATTCAGGCCTTAGAGGGTTTCACTTAATCTGGAATCAATTGAAACACTGTAACTAAAAGGTTCATCACAATATTTAGTCTTTATAGACCCAATTTCCAAAATATCAAAGTTGAAGGGAAGTAGAGTCATTTTTCATCATATTTGCAAAAAAATTCTCCCACAGGCTTTGGACCTGCATCTGGAGGGAAAAATAAGAGATTAATGGGGAAAAAAATCATATTATATCTTACCTTATCCACTGCCCCCTGCCTTCAAATCTTTCCCCATCATAAGGTTTCTTCAGTCATGCACAAATACTTCAGAGACTGCTACCTCAGACACTGCCGTCAGCGCCCAGAGGATTGAGATTTAGTCTTTGCATCTTAATTACAGCTGACTCTTTTTCCCTTGTTCTGAGCTGAGTTATAGCAAGGAAAGGGGGAGATGAATGAATGACCCATGCATCTGACATCTAATATCTGCTACTTCAGATTTGGGGTTTGATTTAGTGTCTCTATCAGAGAGTTTGAGGAAACAAAGTCTTTTATCTTCTTTAAATAAATTCATGCACTGAAGCACAATTTACCTTCTCTGGCAGTTTTATTATTCAGAACAATGGGCTTTTTTAGTTGTGCAATATTTTGGCTTTTCCCTTTCCTCTCACGTTTATAAACAAAAACATTCAGTTTAGTAATTTAAACAAGGATAAAACAGAAGTGGTGCATGGCACTAAGACTACAAAAGTGCCATGTTGTCATTTTCATTTTTTTTTTTTACAAAGGACATATAATTGAAAGCAAAAGACTCCTTATCTTTGTATTTAAATAATGACCTAAATTCAGTACACGAAAATGACCTTTTCTGTGGATGCATTGTGGCTGTTACCTCATCACCCTTTCATCTATATGAAACTTTGTATGAGTCAGTTTCTGAAGCATGAGGGCCTCCACTCTGCCCACAGGCTCCAGCCACAGTGATAAATGGGGCCCAAGTCCCACCTCTGTTCCACTAACTAACCATAGCTACCCTGCCTGGCAGTTGCTCTTTCCCAAAAGAGCACCTCTTTTTCGACACAAATGTACCACCTGTTCTTCCAAATGTTTCCTGGTGCTGCATTGGCTCACAGGAATATGCTTTTGTTTTCCCTAATTGACCTGCTTAGAAGAGGCATTGTTTTGTTATTTGCACGAAGGCATTATATAACCTAGCTGCAACTTGGCCCTTGGATCTGATGTATGTGTTCTGGATGAATGGTGAAAACACTATGCAATGAGGATTAAGCAGGCTTCATTAAGAGAAACAAAAAATCATACAACAGTTTTGCTAATCCAGCATTTACTTGCATTGAAAGTCATTTACTTGCATTGAAAGTCAACAAATGGGTGAGGTGCGGTGCTCACACCTTTAACCCCAGCACTTGGGGAGGCTGAGATGGGAGGATCACTTGAGCCCAGGAGTTTGAGACCAGCCTGGACAACATGGTGAGACCCCGTCTCTGCAAAAATAAATAAATAAATAAATAAATAAATAAATAAATAAATAAAAGTTTAAAAAATTAAATCAATTGATGACAAGAAGGGAAGTTGGAAAGACACTTGGGATTCTGACAGAACGTGTTCAGATGGTATGTCCCACTGGGGAAGCTGTTATGGAGAAAATGGGGTCTCAGGGATACCAGAACTAGGTTTATGTCACCCAGAACAGTGTCATGACCAAAAGGACAGGTGGAATGGAATAAGCCCGTGATTATCAGGAAGTAGAACACACCTTGGTGAGGTGTGTCTCTAGGTGGAATATTCATTACAAGCTCAAGACAGTACTGCAGGAGAGGGCGCATCTTGAGTTTAATGGAGAAATCTCTCAGGCAGCAGAAGATAACAAAGACCTATCCTAACTGTAAACTAGGTCCTTGGAAAAAATGGACAAACCTAATTGCTTTCTTCATCTTCTGTGGATGCTGATGGAGAAAATCAACCTCTGTGCAACAGATGCTACTGAGATTCCATGGTCTCCTGCAACTTTTTTGTCTCATTTTTTCCCTACAGAAACTGTTCCAATGCTTCTTCACTCTGATCAGTCTCTGACCCCATCACCCTCTCCTTTACTTATCATAGATTTTTAACTAATATTTTACAGAGAAATTGAAGATGAACTACTGACCGCTTCCCTAATCATTCATTCATTTAATAAGTATTGATTAAGGGTATGCTGTCTGCCAGGCACAATAACAGGTACTGTTTATAAAGAGATGAAGAGAGACAGGTGCCTGCACTCTTCAAGATTACTCTTCTCTTCCAAACAGAACCACATCCTTTCTTCCTTTCTTACTGCCTGTTTTATTAGATCTTACTAAATCTTATTAGATCTATATTAGACCCTGTGTTCTTTATCTTATCCCACAAGACTTTCTTTGAAATTTTTTTAAAACACTCTCCTCTCACTGTTTTTTCTTCAGTTTCTTTTTCCTATCAGAATGTCATATTCAGTTCTCTTTTTTAAACAATTATCCCTCAAACTCCCTTGAGATTCTGGTTACTACTCTCTCTTGACCCTTTTCCTCCCAGGTTTCTTGGATGCATTGCTAGCTCTTGGTATGGTATTTGCTTCCTCACCTACCACTTCAAAATTGCTCACCTTGCTCTCACTAGAGTGACAAAATTCAGTGAGTATATTTTAGATCTCATCTTAGTGACTCTTTGGTAGCAGTTTTAATGTTAAACAAACTTTCCTACATTAACGGTTCCTTTCTCTAGTCTTCCAACACAACACAAACTCTAGTTTTCTTCTTAAATGTTGGGCCATCAATTCTCAGTGTCTTTTATAAACTGCTCTTCCTCTGGGCTTCTGATAAACACTGGTGGTGTGTTCCTTCTCTTCACTTCGTTTTAGTGATGTCACAAGTGAAAGGTTTCAGTTATATAAATTAGTGGATTTCAAATCTTACTGTAAGAATCAACTGGAAAATTCGATCTAGTAGACAAAGGTGGGGACAAATTTAGTGTTTTAACAAGCACTCCTGATAATTCTGAGAAAAGTAGTCATCACATTCAAATTTCTCTTAAGCTCTGAGATAAACCATAAATCCTGCAATAACATGAATTGTGTCTTTCTTACTTATCGTGGTCTTCTCAGAGTCTAGCAGGGTATCTAATTAACACAAGTGTTCATTTGCTAGTTGTAGAACAATTGAATGTATATGTAACTGATAGACAATCTCCAGCCCAGACTTCAGTTTTCATTCCCCACCAACCACCAATCTCAGTGAATGGCTCTATCATCCACTGATATCAGATCAGAAACCCCGATTCTTCTATCCACTTCAACCCTGCCAACCAATCAATTGACAAGCACATCTACTTTAATCTTCTTATATCTTGCAAAGCCTTCCACTTCTTTCCATCACCATTGCCAATGTCCTAGTCCAGGCCACCACCATTTTTCAACTGGATTACTTCCATGCTCTTTTAACTAGTCATACTGTATCTATTCTTACTCCAAGTTTTCTTAAACAAAACTTGCATCATTAGAGTTCAAACACAGTGATATGGCTTGCATTGTCCTTTATGACATGGCCTCTGCTCACCTCTACCAAATTCATTTTCAACTTGCTTACTTCTGTTCACCCCACTTTATGCCCTACTCAAATTTTGGAAAGTATTTTTCTTACCTTTTATTCTAATGGTATTTCTTTTTACAAAAGCTTTTAAAGATGTATTTATTTAAATGCCAGTTCCAAATGAAAAATTTTATTTTAGGTCTCATTTATATAAGTTACTTACTTTTTCATATTTTGATTCCTTTACTATACAGTTTCCAACTCCATTTTTCAGCCTTTGTTAATTTAGTTTGATATATTTGATATAAATTATTATTGTTGCATTATTATTAAATTATTAATTTTGCATGATATACATTTTCAAGAATAAATTTTTGAAACTTTAATTGTAACAATGAAAGTATTTTCAATTTTTCTCTAACAGATTTCAATAAAATTTTTTTAATACTTCTGTGCTTTATCCCTCATTCTGTTGAATGGTATCACTAATAATTTTTCAAAAAAGTAGACAATATTTTCTTAATAAAATCTGAAATTACCATTCTATTATCTGAATGATAGGATGATAAAATTCTTAGGTTACAGAACTTTTTATACCCTTTTGTTTTTTGGAGATAGGGTCTCACTCCATTACCCAGGCTAGAGTTCAGTGGTACAATCATGGCTTGCTCAGCCTCCTGGGCTTAAGCAATCCTCTTGCCTCAGCCTCCAAGTTGCTGGGACCACCTGCTTTTTTTTTTTTTTAGAGAGAGAGGCTAGACTTGAACTCCTGTGCTCAAGTGATCCTCCCACCTTAGCCTCTCAAAGTGCTGGGATTACAGGCGTGAGCCACCATGCCCAGCTTTCAATATTTTTTTGGCATTCATTTTGCATTGGACAACATGTGACAAAACTGAATTTTTCTCCTTGAAAGGCCAATTACTTTTGTCAACTTAGATACTTATAAAGCATTTTAATCTATGTAGTTCAATATTTTTTATTCTGTGATCAGATGGAGATATGTTTTCATTGTATTTTCATTGTATTCTTCCTGGAATACAGTGACGTTTTTCAACCCACTGTTGAATACTAGCTTTCTAAAATATCACCAAATCAACCTGTTAATAAGACAGAGCTGAGTTTATTGCTTACCTCAATAAGAGAAAGCACTACTCCCAGTGTTAACAGCACCTCTGAAGAAGAAGCACAAAGATATTTATGAGATTCTGAAGTCTGGCTTAACATAGGTCTTTTAACGGGAAGGAGGAAAGGAAGAGGTTTGATTAGGATTGGGTAAGGATCATGATAGAATAATATAGCATTGGTAGGCATAGGAAGGAGAGGATTTTGAAGAGAAAGGTTCAAAATGTTTTGGGAAAAAAATGAGCCACAATAGCATTATCATTCCTAAAAGATAATATTTTTAATATCATTAAATATAAGTATTCAAATTTCCCCACATTATCAAATAAATTGGAGGATGAAAGAAATATCTCGGGATATAACATTTGCTTCCTGTTGAAGAGTTGGTGGGTCTCTCAGGAAGTTTCTGGAGTAATCAATAAAATTATTTGCAGACAATAAAAGTCATTTGCAATTTTTACCTTCCAGAGCAGGAGTTTCTGGGAATAATAAAGCCATGTTAATGTAAACAGGAATGGTGTGGGTGTAGATATTAATAGTTTCGGCTTTTAGTGCATGCACATGTCTTTCTTCAGCTCAGGAGAACATTATTGATTTGGATGTTTAGTTGTTGTTGTTCTGAGCTCTTCTTCAGAATTAGTGATGTAAAACATGGCCACTTGCTTTCTGAGCTTTTCATTATCTTCCTGGGTTGCAGAAACTGACTCACCAAGTGTCGCCTGAGATGTAAAGAGGGTGCCCAGATATATATTTTGTTCATACCTTAGGTCTAAAGTCACCAAATGGGTATGGGAGAAGAGAGGTATAAAGTATAGTTCATTTTTGTTAGATAATATGGTTTGTGATATGGAACCAAGGCTTGAAATGAGCTGAAGCCTGAAGATTTTATATCAAGCCATTTCTATTTGCCTAATAATTATTGACAGTCTTTTCCAAATGATTGGCATTTGTCCTTATGCCTGTTTATAGACAGACAGATAGGCATATAGATACATAGAAATACAAAGATAGAGACATAGAGACAGATAGATGTAATTTTTCATGTACATGAAAAACTTTTTTGGCTAGGCCCAAAAAACTTTGGGATGCTGAGGCAGAAGGACTGCCTGAGCCCAGGAGTTTGATACCAGCCTGGGCAACATGGTGAGACCCCATCTCTACAATTGTTTTTTTAATTAGCTGAACACAATGACACACACCTGTGGTCCCACCTACTCAGGAGGCTTAGGTGAGAGGATCACTTGAGCCCAGGAGGCTGAGGCTTCACTGAGCCATGTTGGTATCACTGCCTTCCAGCCTGGGCGACAGAGTGAGACGCTCTCTTAAAAAAAAAAAAAAAAATCACAAAAAACAATCAAACAAAACCTTTTCCTTTTGGAAAAATTTTATATTTGCTAAAATGTTTCAAAGACAGTACAAAGAGTTCTCATATATCACTTACCCAGTTTTATCCATTTTTATCATCTTATTTTATCATGGTATATGAAATAAATGTTAGTATATTACTAAACCCTAAACTTAATTCGTGTTCCACCGTTTTTTTTCCCATTAATGCTCTGTTTCTGTTCCAGAATTCAATCCAGGGTACCATAGTATGTTTGAAAGTCACACCTCCTAAGTCTCCTGGACTTCTACACTTTCTGTCTTCCTTTGTTTCTTATGTCTTTGAAAGTCTTGAGGGGGACTGGCAAGTAGTCTGTAGAATGTTTTCCAATCTGGGTTCATATTCACCAGAGAAAAAGAGCTAGAATGGATAGATCGATCAATACATAGATGGATAGATGGCAAGAACTTGGCTTATGGGACATGCTCAGTAAGACCAAAATCTGCTGGACAGGCCATCAGAAAAGGTAGGCTGGAAACTTTCAGGCAGGCATTGAATCTGCAGTCCAGAATTTCTGCTTCCTCAGGAAAATCTCACTTCTTTTCATTCAGATTTTTTAGGATAATCTCTTTTGCTTAAACTGATTATACAGGCTAAACACATCTGCAAAGTCTCTGCACAGCAACACCTAAATTCATGTTTGATTGAGTAACTGAGTATTGTTGCTGAGCCTAAGTTGGCACATAAACCTGACCATCACACTAAGGTTATGAATTTTTGAAATCATGCAACAAAGGTGCATCCCATTATATCAGGGTGTATGTGACATCTAGATGACATTACAGTGACATTAACCTTTATCAGTTTGGTAAGGGGGCTTTCGCCAGGATTCTTCTTAGTAAACCTATCACTTTTCCTGCTTTTTTCTCTATTCTTTGGAAATAAGCTACAAAGCCTAGAATGCCCTAGCAGGTAGAAGGAATTAAACTTCACTTCTTGTACTGGGGAGTATCTACATATGTTATTTGAAATTCTTCTGTAAGAAACAGTTGTTTCTTTTCCTCATTTATTTCTTTATTCTGTCATTTATCCATGTCAGGATAGATTCATGTATATACTTTGGATTACAATCTAATACTATATCCCTTTGTTGTTCAAATTGTTCCATTGCGGGCCACTGAGCGCTCTATCAGGTTGCTTCCTATGTCTCTTTGACATGCCCCCATCCTTTTGCTTTTTAATCACTTTTTTTACTTTCTGGTACTAAAAGATATTCCAGGCTCATCTTGTATTTTTCCTGTCCTGGTCCCAGAATCAGCCATTTCTCCAAGAAACCTGTTGCTTTTATTAGAAAACAATATTTAGAAACCAAGAAAGATCTGAATGTGCAGTGTGCTCATTGCTAGTGGGTGTCATGGTTTCTAGAACCTCTCAGAAGATAGCGCTAGGTAAAATATACTAATCTGTATATCTATAATTGTTTCTATATTTATCCAATATTTGGATATATTTATTGGATATATTTATCCAATAAATTGGATATATTTATATTGGATATATTTATCCAATATTTAGCTTTAGTAAGCTAAACATTAGTTTATACCAATGTGTCCAATTTTACTCCAGCAGTGTGGAGCTCATTATGGACCTTTTTTCTTATTTATCAGTGACTTCCTTCTCTAACAGTGAGAAACCTGGCCCCCACACCCAAAAGCCATTTACATATTTGTTCAACCTCAGTATACATGTAAAGCACTTTTAGAATTGTTAACCCATAAGCCTGTGCAAAAAAAAAAATACCAACTAGAGTACGGTGTTTATGTCTAGTTCTTTTTCTGCAGTCTTACAATTTCTAGTAAAAATTTCATTTACCAAAGTTACTTGTTAGGATTTTTCTTTTAGGTTGCATACATTAAACTTTACTTTCTATGTATAATTCTAGGAATTTTGATATGTATAGTAGTGTATCATCCCCCCAGGACCACACAGAATGTTTCCTTTATCCTAAAATTTCCTCTGTGCAACCTCTTTGCAGACAACCACTGCCACTTCCTTAAATTTTCCTAGATTTTTAATATTATTTTTGTTTTTTAGTCTTTTTCTTTATATGTTTTGTTGGATAATTATAGAGGAAGCTCAACCAAAGTAGGCTAACCATATAGCATCTTTCTGTTCATTCTATTTTGAACAACTGTTTTCCAAGCTCTTCATTCTATTTTGAACTACTGTTTTCCAAGCTCTTCACATTGCCATGCATTTGGATGGGTAGAGAATATATACAGAAGGATACTTTTTATTAAAGGTCATGTTTACTGTAGTAGTATATTTGGACTTTCAATTATTTTATTTCTTTATAGTTTACACTTTAAGATACAGTAAAAATCAACAGAAGCTTTATTTTTACAAACCAATTAGAGTCACAAAAAATGTTTTATGTCATACTAATGATGGTATATTACGGAAGAAAGTACAATGACCTGTATGAACTATACTTGCTGTTAGTTATAGTAATTATATATCTAATTCTGTGTTTTAAAATAATTGTATACTAAATGTAGCAATGTAAAACATATGAACCCTGAGGCTCAGTGGTTCATGCCTATAATCCTAGCACTTTGGGAGGCCAAAGCAGAGGAATAACTTGAGGCCAGGAATTGGAGACCAGGCTGGGCAACATAATGAGACCCTATCTCTAAAAAAAAATATAGAAATAAAAAATTTGCTGAGTGTGGTGGCACATGTTTGTAGTCCTAGCTACTGGGGAGGCTAAGGTGGGAGGATCACTTGATTCCAGAAATTTTAAACTGCAGTGAGCTATGATTGTGCCACTGCACTATAGCCTGGGTGACAGAGTGACTCTCAAAGAAATAAACAAAATCAACTCTGTAACTTTAGAATATATACGAATTTCATTGTCATATTTATTTTAGAATTTACAAATATTAAACCAGTAGGTTGTTAAGTTTTATTTCTCCTATACTGGAGAAATCTCTGGAGGCCACTTTGCTTTCTGATAAACTGATATCTCAGGCCAGGTGTGCATGGGTATGTGTGTGGTTATTGGTGGAAGAAACTGAGGTTCATCTTTGAATAAATTTATAATCTTATCTTCCCTGACTCCATAGAATTCAGCCTGCTTAAGTACCAAACAATACTGAAGAAAATATGTTCAGAGAATTTTTAAATAAAGTCTAATTATCTTTAAAATAGACAAACAGAATTAGATCATGTTTTCCATTATAATAATTATCTCTTGTGGAAAACAGCAGTTGGATGAATTTAGAAAATGAATGAATTATGTTATATAATGTGTATACCCATTTCATGATACCATTTTTTAAGACACAGAATTTCTGTAATAGCAAATCACTTACCATAAGATTTTTTTTTCATTAATTTGCATTCTTCACAACAACTAACAGAAAAGTATTGTGATTGTGTCTCACCTGCAATTTGGTGGGCAAACTGGTACACCTACTTTAACCTCTATGATCAAATGACACTGCTTCAGGAGTATTTTAGGAAAGTCTGCTGCCTTGACAAATATGATTCTCAACTGAATTTAAATAATGCATTTTGAACAATATTTGCAGTTGAGGAGAACACAAAGCATTTGTAACTTTGGTAAATAGCATTGAAGGCCACAAGGGATAGGAATGTGTTTTTGTTGTCATTGTTGTTTTGTATATACCTGAGAAAGCCTTTCCTTTTATTATCATCCTAGGGTCTGAGAGATAGAGGGGACTACAGAGGTCATCTAGATAGCAGGCTTTGTAACTCATGCTTGTGTTTACAGTTGAATGTTCCTTGTAGTTCCATTATCTCTTTACTAAAAATAAATGTGGTGAATACTAATGGAATGTGTTCTCTTTGGGAAACTATTCAACAGAATGATTAATTAATCGAGAGAAAGGTTAGGTGATAGCTGAAATAAAAATTAGTGTTTTTTAATTCAACATTCAAAAACACATTTGACATTTTGTTGTAAACTATGTTTCTAGCAGCTGTTAGGGTAATTGTTTTGCTAGTTTCTAATTGCAGATGTTGGCAGCTGGAAATTAGAAGCAAGTAGTAGTTTCTTTAGAGCATGGAATTAAATGTGTGAAAACATGAGATTATGCTTTTTCAGTTATCTTCAACACTGCTATGAAGATCGGAGTTTTAGAATCTCTACTAATTATTTTAAGGGTCAGATAACCTTAAATATTAAAAAGTTTTAAGCCTTTACTAGATATATAAAGGCCTGTCACTTTTCAAATGTAAGTTAGATGACAAAGAAGTCTCTATGGCCAGAGAAAGGAAGGAAAAATAAAGATTTATTTGAATAATTAAATAAAAGAAGGGGTTTATTACATTATTCAGAAAATTGCTTCAATTTTCCCACTTGGCCTTGCCTGTGCAGACCTGAGAAAATGCTCTTTTCTCCTATATTTAATCTCCAGAGCAACCTAAAAGGATACTGACAAACATTAATTTTGCATTATAAAATAGTCTCGGTAAGTGACAGCAATTTCAAGATTAATGTGTTGGCCTCCTGAGATTTCAGTAAGGAAAAAAGTTTCTCTTAAATCTTGTATTTAAGTCTTATATAATATTGGTCACTGTCTTGCAATGGTATTTTCCAATCAAACAGACTTCTGAAGACTATGAGTTCTCCAGCAGCTAGGAATGAAGAGTGCCTGTTCCTAGAGGTATGGTTTCCATTGCGCAGTTCACTGAGCTAGTCACTCACACTAAGTCTCTGGCATGCTTCTTTAAGATTTATATTCAGGTATAGGATAGAAAATAAAGTCAATAAAGATAGGGAATTTAAAACATACCCAAACTTTTGCTCCATAAAAGTTACTGTTAAGAGAATGAAAAGATAATCCATAGACTGGGAGAAAATTTGCAAGTCACCAGTCTGATAACTTGTATCCAGAATTTTTTTAAAAGCCCTCAAAATTCAACAAAATAAGAAAAAAATTACTCAATAAAAAAATGGGACAAAGATTTGAACAGCTTCACCAAAGAAGATGTATGAGTGGCAAATAAGAACATGAAAATATGCTCAATATTATTCACCATTAGGGAAATACAAATTAAAACCATGATAAGATACCACTATGAACTTATGAGAATGGTTAAAAGTTAAAGAAATCTTACAATACCAAGTGATGGCAAGAATGTAAAACTACTATAAATCTCATACATTGCTGGTGAACATGCAAAAATGTACAGCTACTCTGGAAAACAGGCAATATTTTATATTTAAGTGAATGCTTAGCCATATGACCCAGCAATTCCACTCCTAGCTATTTAACTAGCAAAACAAAAATTTCCGCGTGTGCAAAAACCTGTATGTGAATGTTTCATAGAAGCTCTGTTTATAATCACCCAAACATGAAAATAACTGTATGTCTTTCAATGGGTGAGTAAAAAAACTATAGTTCAAAAATAGAATGGAATATATTCCGCAATATAAAGGAATGGGGAATTGATATACACAACAACGTGGACGAATTTTGAAAACTTTATGTTAAGTTTAAAATCCAATTTTCAAAAGTCTTTAATAAATGAACTAATTTATATGACATTCTGGAAATAGGAAAAACCATAGCAATGGGAGCAGATCAGTGACTACCAGGGTGGTGATAGGAGGAATCAGGTTGGTGATTCTAATTCCATATTCTGATTGTGGGAGTGGTTATTTAAATCTATTTGTTGAAATTAATTAACTATACACCAAAAAGTTGATATTAATGCATATTAAATTTTAAAATTTTTAAATTAAAATTGGCTTCCTAAGTACCCAAATTGTGATGTAATAATCCATCTTTTTCTAGTTTTACCTGTTTCTCTTACTTTTTTTGCTGCAAATTGTTCATTGACATTTTCAAATTAGTAATAATCACCTATGCTGTGGAGAGATTGGCGGGAGAAAGGCTTGAAAAATTTCTCACCATTAATCAAGTCTCCTTGGTCTTTAAAAATAAGTTTTTGATATAATGTACATTTTATCTCACAGCCTGCCCTCAGGATATTGCCAAACACTCCTTTGAAGAAAATAAGGAAGCAGGGTCTGGGACATTACCAGTATTTGGGACAGGAAATTTTGGAGTCTACCATGCTAGAACTCATAGGCAAAATTTGAAACTGTGGGGCTTCTGCCTCCTAAATTCTGCTGTGATGACTCCAGAGTTATCAAGGCATCGGAAATAGAAAAGCCCTGCAAATCAGGCGCTCTGTTACTGAGAGGTCCTAAATAGCAATCCTGGCCAAAGTATCAAGCTCTGTCTCCCTCTGTGGCAGTCACAGTGCTATCAGTAGGCTAAATCCATCCTCTCTTCACAGTTGAGCCTCTCTCCCACACTCACATGGCAATAATTGAAACTTTGGGTACATTTGCCTCGCCTTTCCATATATGATCCTACACTGCATAAATCCTGCAGCTTTTATGCCATCTGCTTTATCTCCCCTTTCTTCTCAACTTAAAGTCCCACTTTTCTGAATACTCTCAGAAAGGGGAGGCATAAATCCGAAACTATGCATCAGATTAGACTAGAAATCCCTATAGAGCTCTCTAGTCCCTGTAGCTCATTCTTCAGATCAGGTGTGGAGTCAGGATAAAACGGCATGATTATCCAGAATAAATGGCCTTGGCTCGTTCCATAGAGAGCAGCGTAAAACTTGGAGGGAAGACTTATCTTGTTAATTCTCAGCAGCTGTCTTTAGGTTTTAGCAGCTGTTTGGGGGTTTAATGAGAATAGAGGAGAATAGCTCTCTATTTGGAAATGCAAGAGGGTTTTGGACTAATTTTTTTCCAAAGAATTGGTGCTGAATGTATAAATGTACTCCTAATATTTTTCACGTCTTGCATTTTAACATGTTGAATTGTAAAGAGTTAAAAAGATTTAAAGAGTTTTTAAGTTCCTCCGGGAAAGGTGAAATATTGGCCAACTGGTAGACCACTTAGAAATTGCCCATCATAATTTCTACATGAGGGTTTATGAGGTCAAACAGGAAAAAAGGAGATGAATAATTTTAAACAAAGCTGTCAGAGACCCAGGTGGGAGTTAAGTTAATAACTGCACTGTTCAAAATGGAGAGGCTACCAGTATCCTGAAGCAGATATACTTGTATCCTAAGTCTTGTAAGTGCCTTTCCTTGCCTCCGTTCCTCAGAGTGTGACTACAGGGCCATATATGATGCTTTTTGACTCTGCCATCACCCACAAGCATGTCCTTTATATATTGTATATTCTATAATGTGCCAATGTTTTTTGTCATAAAATATTACTTATCATATTTATGCCCATCAATCAACGAGAGGATAAAGAAACGATGGAATACTACTCAGCCACAAAAAGGAATGAATTAACGGCATTCACAGCAACCTGGATGGGATTGGAGACTAGTATTGTAAGTGAAGTAACTCAGGAATGGAAACCAAACATCATATGTTCTCACGCATAAGTAGGAGCTAAGCTATGAGGATGCAAAGCCATAAGAATGATACAATGAACTTTGGGGACTCGAGGGGAAAGGGTGAGAAGCGGGTGAGGGATAAAAGGCTACAAATGGGGTTCAGTGTATACTGTTCAGCTTATGAGTACACCAGAATCTCACAAATCACCACTAAAGTACTTACTCATGTAACACCGGTTCCCCAAAAACCTATGGAAATAAAAAAATTAAAAAATATATTACTTATCATATTTAATTTTAAAGGGACACAATAATTTATTTTGTCAAAAGCAAAACCAAAATTTCCTGATTAAGTTTATGAGGAACTTATTTAACTTGATGAGTGACAATTTAGGATAAGATGTTCCGTAAGTTTTTTGCTACAATAGGTACATTTAAAGAAAAAAACTGCACCCACCTCTATGTATTCAAAAGCTTTCTCTTAAATTCTAAAAAATGCTCACTGATTGACATCAGAGTGAGTGAGATTTCTTAATACAGAGGCCTATTTTTTTAAAAATTTCACTCAGATGCTTTAGAACCTCTTGTTCACTGACAATATATCACAATGCTGGTCTCTTTAGATATCAAAGCCACAACTTTCTGACAATCCTGCCTCCTATCTCTTCTTTTTTATTGATCCTTATTTTCACAACCTTTCCAAATTGTTTAAATCATTGTAATACTGCAATGTGTTTGTAGTTATGAAAAATCATTATTTACATTTTAAAAATAGTTTTGACAATGCTCTGGTTATTCTTACTGATGTGATAGAATCATTCTCTCAGTACTTCCTTCACTCCTTCCAACAAAATCGTAAATTTACTTAGAAATATGCTAATCTATAATTAATACAGTTATACAATCTGCCTTCCTGATGGGCAGGGACCATTGCTTGCCCTTGTATCTCAGATTTAGCACAGAGCAGAAAACAGTCAACAGTAACACTTGCTACATGTTTAGTAACACTTGCTACATGTTTGCTGAATGAATAAATAATTCTCATCATACTTCCTCACAGCTTCAGGAGGAAATATAGAACTTCCAATACTGGGCCTCATGTCTCCCTTTATGTATGAAAATTTTCTGTTTCTCTGTCTCTGTTTCTCTGACTGCCTTTCACACCTTCCCCGAAACTGTCCTCCAATGTTAAACTTGGCTTGTGGCTTTTGAGCTATCCTCTTTCTTCTAGAATGTTCCAGTCCAAGAGCAGGCGGCTTCTAAATTGATTCTAGAATGAATTACTGGCTCATGCATCTTCATCTACTTTACCTCCACTATACTAGAAATCAGTCAAACATTTTTGTTTTTTCTTTTAATTAATGTCAATTCATACCAAATGATGAAGCATGCTTCTCTCATAATAAAGGAAAATAATGAAAAAAATTAAGTTCCAAACAATGATAGTGAAGTTGCCCAATAAAATAATTAAGAAATAGAAAACATTTTTGGTTAATCATCTATTGAGAACTTACTATGTGTCAGGCTCTGTGCTAGCCACTTAAAATATTTCATTTAATTATCGCAACACTATAAGGTAGATGTAATTTTGAGTCCCCAGTTCCACGTGAGGGCACTAAGGCTTAAAGAAGTTAAATGGACCTAAAACGGAGAGGTAGAGCTGGCATCAGAACCCAGGTGATTTTGCTTCTAGGATCAGGGTCCTTGAGTGCAATGTTATTATGTCCTCCCAAATTCACCTACACAAATCAACATTTACACCAAGGTTGGAGATGTCGTTAAACATTATTTTATACCAGAATCACAGTTACAACTGCATTTCAACAGGCACCATTCAGAGCATTAACTCCTGGCTCCTTTCAATGGAGATAATGGCTGAACAAACTCTCTAAGCTCTAGGTAGAGTCATCCTTTGATATTCTACTGGTGATGTTCAAGGATATTTTAACCAAGGGAAGTGAAAAAAGGGTGAGAACAATTTTTTTAAAAAGTAAAACAAAGAGAAAGCAGATGTATTTCTGAAGCAACTAGCTTTACACAGAGCGCCCTGGACTTAGAAGCATTGAGAAAAAAAATTGCCTGTTGTCATAGACCCAAACTGGCTGTAAAGCAGGACAGTCTCTGTGCTGGTGAGAGGGCAGCAGGTTGTAACAGCTTGTATTTGCAGTATGTCTTCATCCACCTCTGTGCATCCTCTAGAGTTCCCCCTATCTGCCCATTTAATACTAAATACCTAAAGTGCATTTTAAAGTCTTGTATCAGATTTGTCCTCTTGAGAAGCTATTAAGCTAGTTACCCTGCAGCCCAGAGGGCTCTTTTTCAGTAAAACTGATTGTACCACAGCATCACCATTAGAACAGCCCTCCATGGCTGCCTGCATAATTCCTGTGAAAGGTCACCAGTACTTCAACTACAAAGGCCTTTTTGCTTTTACAAAAAAAAAAAAAAAAAGGAAGAAAATTGTAAATCAGTATTTTCAATTTTTCAAGAACAAAAACCAGCAAAAAAGCCCAGACACATTTTTTTTCCTTCTTCTCACCATACTCATAATAACTGCATTCAATTGCAAACCTTGGAAGGAAAGCTACCTCATTATGTTATGATCTAAGCCAAAATCCATTTTAATGTCTATTCCTGTATCTAGATATTGATTCCATTCTTCAGATATCCCACCTGGAAGTGTGGAAATTTCTACTATTGGATGACATAAAGCAGAATCTGGGCACTATTTTAGGCTGATTTTGTAATGATAAGCCAATCTGCCCCACAGTGGAGTAATAAACAAGCTCCCTGCAAGGTGTCCATGGGGAACCGCAGTGAGAAATAGCTGATCTCCTGTGTGACATCAGTTCAAAGCAGTTGTCCTGCAGCCAACCTTGAGACTGGGGTAAGACTGTGTGTGATGGATTCATACATGGTAGAATAGAATAGAATATAATGGGATTGTGAGTTGCATCAAAGCAGTACATTAACAGATTATCAGATTATCAATTTTTCCTTCATAAATACCCTATCTTCTCACATCCAAGCTACCTGTAAGTATTCATCTTTTAAAATCACTCTCTCTCTCTCTCCTGTTTTCTGTGAGCACACTCTCAATGAAAAGCATACTCAGAGGCAGAGAAAGCAAAAGCTGAAGGAATTTTCAGTGAAACTTGGCCTTACTATAAACAAAAATTAGATTCTTTAAATAGTTTATGAATGAAATATAGTTTGATAGGCACTATTTCTTCTGATTTCCTATAAATGGACAACTCTTTCTCTGGATTTTCCCCTGAATCATTTAAAGACAAATTTTCTATTGTTTTGGCATTAAAAATAGTTTTTCTTTCCAAGATAAAGGACTAGAAAGTTCTAGCATTGTCATGAGGATAAGGACACTGAAGGACAAGGATTTACTAATGCCTCCTCAATCCAAAACACATAGGAGCAAAGAAAATTCATTTTAAAATTTGAGCATCTTGCCCATCATGGTTGAGATGAAATTGTTTCTATAAGTAATTCAGAAATATAGTTTACTGGACTCCTGGACAATTTTACTCTCTTAGAGGGTGAATAAAAGGTCAGTGAACTCTGGGATAACCCGTCTATTTGGTGATTTAGGGTAGAATAAAGGAGGTAGACAAGAAGGTTTAAAAAAATCACAGTAGTGAGTCAGTCCTAAAAATTCAACTTAAAAACTAAATATTGTTAGAATTTTCCAGCAAGATTCTTGAAGCTAATAGCCTTGTGATAGAGACTACAATAAAGATAGAAAAATTGAGGCATAAGAAATTCAGTTATTTACATAACATCTGATTCAACTCCCCACAGCTTTTTCATGTCACTTAACTCATCCATTTGTTCAACTGTGCCACCTCCTCAATATTCTTATTTAGGAAAAAATAAAATATTACCTGAAGTTTTCACACTTGGTTATCTCGAACCTTCCTATAGTCCTAGGTTTTATTCAGTGTTTAAGAGGTAAATCCTTCTACTCCTTAATTATCATTTAAAAGACTTTAGGCATTGTGCCAGACAAGAAAGATACAGATAGACAGTGGTTCCACCTTTTAAAGGGAGAGAAGACAAGATATGCACATATAAAATAGCTGGACAATTATCCCTAGACACATAGACAAGGGTCTCAAACAATAACTAAAGAGCTAAAATTATTAAAACATGGAATAAAGATTCTCTTGGGAAAGAGTTAAAGAACTTTCATTAAGGATGTCATTTGAGTTCAGTCTGAAAGTAATCATAGGACTTGGTTGAGAAAATAAATATAGTGTGGAGAGAATAAAATATTGTCATTCAAGAAAAAGAAGCAAAATCAAGCAGGGCATGGTTTCTCTTAATAATTAAATATGTTTTTTTCCTAACCTACATCTTCTGCAAATGCTGATAAACATCAATAAAATAGAAAAGGCTGAAATGCTCTAGGCACAATAGAAAAATAAGGAGAGTTAAGATATAAGAAGCATTCAATAAATATTAGAAGAATGAATTAATTAATGAGTGGTGTTGGTGAGATGATAAAATAAAAATATATCTTACTGTACTATTTCATATTCAGCTGCTCCCTTACAAAAAAATTTAAAAAAAAATAATTAGAAATGGTCTGAACTTCTTTCTCTTAGCTTTATGAACCCTGCCATGCTGCCTCCTCTGCAGACAACACTGAACAACAAAAATTGAGGAAATCAATTTCAACATTTGCTTTGGAGACAATGAAGAATGTGATCCCTGTTTGCTAAAATTCGGTTCGAGATGTCAGCATTCAGCTTCATCTTCTACCGCAGAGCCAAAAGAGGCTACTGTGGTTGTGTGAATATGCCTTTTCTCTCTTCCACACCATGCATATCCTAAGGGAGAATCTGACTTTTGTGGAAAATGACGCTTGCACAATTTGGAAGGGGGTGCTTTTAAAAAATACAAAATGAGAAATGCAAACAGCTATAGAGCCTCGGAAGGAGTCCATGCAAGTGAGAGACATGCAAGTTTAAGAGTCAGGAGATTAACGGTAAATCCCATGTGTTCTCTGCATTTTGTGACTGGTCGTGTCCTTCTACTCCCTTTCTGGGTACACAATTCCTTGTCTCTCTTCATATGAATACTGAAATGTTACAATCTTTATGCAATTTTCTGACACTTGACACCCAAAGAAGAAGCACAATCACTCCAGAACTGCTCATTTTCCTGTCATTAATACCACTTATTTAGTTGTTTTGCAATTAGTTATGTGGATATTTATTTATTTATTTATTTATTTATTTATTTATTTTGAGAGGGAGTCTCACTCTGTCACCAGGCTTGAGTGCAATGGCGTCATCTTAGCCCCCTGCAACCTCCACCTCCCGGGTTCAAGCGATTCTCCTGCCTCAGCCTCCCGAGTAGCTGGGATTACAGGCGCTGCCACCACAACTGGCTAATTTTTGCATTTTTAGTAGAGATGGGGTTTCACCATGTTGGCCCGGATGGTCTCCATCTCCTGACCTCGTGATCCGCCCACTTTGGCCTCCCAAAGTTCTGGGATTACAGGCCTGAGACCCCACACCCAGCCAGTTATGTGTATTTTTGAGACCTCTGCCAGACTGTGAGCTCCTTGAGGGCAGAATCCTTGGCCTTTGCATCCACAGCACAGAGATTTCAATACAAGATTAATTGCATGATTGGCTAAATTATGTTTTTTGTTACACAAATTACTCATGCTTAAAATGACAAAAGTATTATTATATTTATATAAACTTAGCAAGTTTTTTACCAGACTATTTCTGTTGATTAAAGAACAGCACCTGAACAGCAGGTTAGTTTTCTCACATATATATATATATTTTTTTTTGTACCAAGGAGGTGATTTTAAAGAAGTGTAGAAAGTTACAAAAACTTACACATACAGTCACATGCTGTACACATCTCCAAGCAGCCTAGAAGTACTTTATTCTTAGTCATGATGATCATTTTCAAATGAATAATCTAAGTTGGAGTTTTTCAAGCAAAACAATTAAAGATTATTTTACAAAAATATAACCAACATAATCTTTGATTAACAAATTATATTGTGGAAATAACAATGGAACATTAAATATACCATTTTGTGAATGTACCGTAATGAGTTTCAGAAGAAAAAGAAAATCATTTTGTACTATTTTCTGGGCTGTGACTTGGATTTACACAGAGGGAGAATAAAAAGAAATTAGAACAAGCCTGAAGTTTTGCTTTTTAAGTTTATTTTTCTGCAGCAAAGCCTATAGGAGCAATTAAGTTGGAAAATAAAAAACACATCAGCTGTTTTTTTAAAATAAAGTCACAAAAAAATAAACATAAAACTACATTAAAGCAAGAAGATATAAGAAGAGAAAAAAAATTAAAACACACCATATTTTGTGTACCTTTTAACCCCATCCCCTCCCTAAAAGGTATTTTCTGTTTCTGAGATTTGCTTGTCTTTACTTCAGTCATATACAGCTTATACGCACCACTTAAGATTTATTATTTTCAATATCTAAATATGATAAGAGAAGTATTTATTATAGCAACAAAATAAAGATAAATAATACAGACTACTACATTATAAATGGCTCAAGGACTAAAGTACTTAACTGATTTACACAGATATTGATAATGAAAATAATACAGATGTCATAACTTGGTTTTTGTTTCTGGCTTGGTTTCAATCAGAGTTTCATGTTAACAGTCAAATCTACCTTTTTCTTCGAATTCATCAGCAGATATTAGCACATGGACAAAGTATAGGACTGGCAATGCTGTCTTGTTACTTTTTTCTCCCTCTTTTGTGTGCAATTCTTGTATAACAAAGGGGAGAGCAAGTTCAAAAAAGGATCTAAAACACATAAGCTTATTACTATTATTTCTTACAACGAGTGGCTTTTTTCTAGTTTAAAAAGTAACTTATTGGGAGCTATGGCAATTCTGATATAATCTGAAGTCACCTATGTTAATTAATTTGATTTGCAAAATAGGACTTTCCAAAAATCAGATTTTTTCAATTTTAGTTTCCCACTCTGCTTCTTTTTCACTATCAGCAAAATAAGATATGAAGAAAAGGTATAGAGAATAGAAAAATCTGATCTCTTCTGTCTCATAAAATACATCCTTAGACTACGCTTTTTAGTTGTTATTTGATATAAAGATTACTATTTTGAATTGTGGATACAATTAATGATTTTAAAAAATCATTATTAACATTATTCTGGTTTTATTAAACAAGAGAATTTGGTAGCCATTATCAGTTTCCCACAACATAATCACCATAGTTGGAGGAATAGCATAATTTTGGAAATTATAATGTAATTATATTAAGTTTCATAAGTGTTTTCTGTATTTATACTTCGAAAAATTTTTTAAATGTGCTCTTTCTCTACTGTGTGCACACAAAGATCTGCGGTTCTATTTGCTTTTTATTTCTCATAAAAATAAAACTGAATTATAGAAGCTACTATGTTAACTATAGCTTTTAGCACCTCTGTTTATCATTGTAATCAAATTATATTGAAAGCCAATGAAAACTTAATAGTTACACTTATTTTGTTGACCCTTACTATATGTCAAGAAAATGGGACAATGCAATCTTTATTTGCAGGCTAAAATCATTTTAAAATTTTCATGAAGAAAATAAAATAAAAAGTACAAAATGCCAAATTATCCAAATAGAACATAGTTCACCTCATTCAGTTAAATAGTTTCTTTTAACGCAAAAGATTAAAAGATATGGAAGACAAAGAAAAGTGAATGGAGGCAAAAGAAAAAGAGAGGGAGAAGAAGGAGGAAGAAGGAAAAGGAGAAGGAGAAAGACAGCACTCTCTCTTCAGGCCATTTTCAAACTGAGTCACTTGGTTTGCTTTTAGCCAGAAAAAGATTCTGTATTTTCCTGTCAAACTTTGAAAATCAATCTGTATTTTCAATATTTATCAATATTGGTTCATATAACTTTTTCGTAAAACTTGTAACGAAAAAGAAAATGAGACCCCATTGTTTTTTTTTTTAAGGTTTTCTTTTCTTTTTTTTTAAATTATACTTTAAGTTTTAGGGTACATGTGCACAATGTGCATGTTTGTTACATATGTATACATGTGCCATGTTGGTGTGCTGCACCCATTAACTCGTCATTTAACATTAGGTATTCTTGATTCAATTCCTAAATGACCAAAGAGCAAGTGCTGCTTTGATGTTGCTGGGCTCTGTTGATTTTCCTGTCTGTATCAGCTTGCATCATCAGTAATGTCCTTAGAGCTCTGAATCTTGTTTTCATGTGTCTCTGCCTCCCAGGTGAGATGTTAATACAAACAGTAAACTAAGCACATGCAATTCGTAAGAAGAGCCACAACTCACAGCCTTCTAGTCTCTTTTGGTCAAGCAAAAAAAAAAAAAAAAAAAAAAATGAACAGACTCTAAAACCCAAGAAGCAAATGATTGAAATAACGAGAGAACAGCAAATGAACGTCAGCTGTGATGATTAGAGAATGGGTGTGGGCTCAACTTCTAAATGTGTAAGAAAGAGATGTGTGAGAAAGAATTGAGAATTATACCACTTGGTAGGAAGTCAACGCAATTATATTCGGTGAAAAAACAAAAATCTCTACGCACAAAATAATGATGAACCAAAAGACGCAGTGGACTCTGCAAGACAAGTTAAGTATATTAGTTTATTGTAATTCCATTTGCTGTTTTTAGAGTAGGAACTGGCTATTGAGTGGACTGAAGATGGTGGGGGGCAGAAGAGCAAAATAAAGAAAAAAGACATATGGAAGAATGAAAAGAAGGAAGGAAGGAATTATGAAGTCAGTTTTTTAACTCACAGCCAAGAAAGGCCAGAAGCTCTTACTAGAATTTATAAAGCAAAAAATTAAAATTGTAAATATCTTCTGACAAAGAGAATCTATATGACTTGCTGATATAAGGGAATCAGTTTGTATCTTTATTCAACGAAAAGTTGTATACTCATGTCACAACCTTATTTAAATATATACAGACTTATGAGAATGTGTGTTAAATGAGTTTGCCCAAAGGGGGTTTGGATTATAATCCCAAAAGACACAATCCTAAATGCCATAATCCCAAATGTTGAAATCTCAAAAGATCAAAATTTCTAAAGTCTAAAATCCCCAATGTCTAAAATCTTGAAATTCACAGTCACAGAATAGTTGCATTATGTTAGGTAGAGCTATTAACTTGTTATTGTCTTTATTTGGAAATTAAGTATGGTTTAAGGCAAGGGTGTCCAATCTTTTGGCTTCCCTGGGCCACATTAAAAGAAGAAGAACTGCCTTGGGCCACATATAAAATACACTAACACTAACGACAGCTGATGAGATTTTTTTAAAAATCACAAAAATTCTCATAATGTTTTAAGAAAGCTTATCAATTTGCATTGGGCTACATTCAAAGCCATCCTGGGCCTCATGTGGCCCATGGGCCATAGGTTGGACAAGCTTGGTTTAAGGGGTTATATATGAGTGCTAAATTGACAGTGCGCCAACCTGTGGACTTAATTTTAGGTGTCAAGTTGACTGGATTAAAGAATGCCTAGAAACCTGGTAAAGCATTATTTTGCATGTGTCTGTGAAGGTATTTCCAGAAGAGATTAGGGTGTGAATCTGAGTGGACTAGGCAGGGAAGACCTGCCCTCAAAGTTGGTAGGCATTATTCAATCAGACAGGGACCTGGAGAGAACAAATGCTGAGGGTAAATTGGTCTCTCTCTGATAACTGAAAATACTTTTTACTATTATTATTATTATTATTATTATTATTTTTGAGACAGAGTCCAACTGTGTCACCCACAGGCTGGAGTGCAGTGGCGTGATCTCAGCTCACTGCAACCTCTGCCTCCCAGGTTCAAGTGATTCTCCTGCCTCAGCCTCCCAAGTAGCTGGGACTACAGGCACGTGTCCCCACACCTGGCTAATTTTTGTATTTTTAGTAGAGATGGGGTTTTGCCATGTTGGCTAGGCTGGTCTCAAACTTCTGACCTCAGGTGATCCACCCACCTCAGCCTCCCAAACTGAAAAGACTTTTATTCTGCCGCCTTGGACATCAGAATTCTAGGTTTGCTGACTTTTGGACTCCAGGACCTCCACCAGCTGTTTCTTGGGTCCTGAAGCTTTTGACCTCAGATTGAAACTTACACCAGCTTCCTGGGTTCTGAGGTTACTAGACTTAGACTGAGCCACACTACCAGCATCTCAGGGTCTCCAACTTGTAGACGACCTGTGCTATGACTTCTCAGCCACCATAAAGATGTTAGCCAATTCTTCTAAAAATCCCCTCTTGTGTATCTATATACATATCCTATTGATTGAGTCTCTCTGAAGATCCGTTACTAATACACACTTGGCGTTGAGGAAGCCAAGTATCATTCCTGCTACTGTATTCCTTACAACACAGTGGAAGAGATCTGTGAAATTGTTCCCTCACAAAAAGGCTGTGATAAGTTAAGTGTATGAGGCTTCTTAATAGTGAAAGATAAAAGTTTAAAAGCTAATTATTATTGGTGCTGCAAAAGCTGAAAATCCCTTAATTGCAAAGGCCAAGCAATAATCAGACTTTCAGATGGACTGCATATACTTACAAAATTTGTAGACCACAACCACTGTCCAAATACAGATCACAGAAGTAAAAACACAGATGAAAAATACAAGAAGTCCTCCAAGCCAAATTATCCAATCACATATAACTTCTACCTCTTCACACATAGCGCCAATTTGTTATGCTATGTATTTCATCTTCACATCATATCCCATATTAGAGATCTAAATTGTGTGGAGACTTTTAGAGAGTTCTAATTTGTTTTATGCTGCAAATTTGATTCCATTGAAGTGCATTATCACAATGTTGACTTTATGTATAAGCACTGCACATTTATATAGAAATGTTGAAATTTCCTCACTAAATGAAGAAATGTCCTTTTTGTAGATCTGCATTTGTGAAAGATACAATTTCTTGAGATCTTGACTCTTTGGGTGATTACATTTGTGACAGTATCTCATCATGGTTTTCCAACAGTCTCGCCAAGACAAGATTTATGTTGTCTGTCATTATGTTTCATATGACCAAAGTTATAAAGCTAGACACACGTAATTACCAACTATAGTATATATTTCACTTTTGACCTATTTATATGAATACAACTTGACTGCTTATAACTGTTATACCCATGCAACTGTCATTAGTATGCCAAAGTGTTAATGCTTGCAAAAATATGCATGTTATTATTGCCTATTTTCTTATGTAAAATGGCCTAGGAAGTGTTTTGTTGTGTTTTTATGTTTCTCAAATAAATCTCCTTTTAAAAGTGTAAATACAATTTTTTAAACTTTTTTAGAATTATATTTTCAGTATTTTGATCTTTTGGAATTTCAACACTTGGGACTATGGCATTTGTGTTTGTTTGTTTTGGAATTATGATTAGCTCCCACCTGAAGGACATACTGAGAATCCTCAAATATATGAAGTCTTTTGTTTTTTCGGTAAATTTAAAATTCTTTGTTCACTGAGTAAGTACTTTGTGAAGAACAAATGCTAGATTATTAATTCCTTATGAATATTTTAAATCTCATTATTTAGAAGTTCGGCTAAAATCTTTAATTAGGGTATAAGGTAAAAATGGTACCTGGTAGTAATGTGCGGACTCTAATTTCTAGGATTTGATGGATGCAAAAATTCTTGAGCACAGAATTCCTATAACAGAATAAGAGATTAAATTTTTACTAAAATATTAACTATATTCAAAGTAGAATTGAATAAGGCTTACATGCCTAAAACATACAGCTCCAACTGTTTAGTTCCAGTTGGAAGAATCCTCAAATATATGCAGTATTTTGTTGTTTTGGTAAGTTGAAATTTCTTTGTTCACTGGGTAAGTACTTTGTGAAGAAGAAATGCTAGAATATTAATTCCTTATGAATGTTTTAAATCTCATTATTTAGAAGTTTGGCTAAAATCTTTAATTAGTTTATAAGGTAAAAATGGTATCTGATAGTAATGTTTGGACTCTAATTTCTAGGATTTGATGGTTGCAAAAATTCTTGAGCACAGAATTCCTATAATAGGATAAGAGATTAAATTTTTACTAAAATATTAATTATATTCAAAGTAGAATTGAATAAGGCTTACATGCCTAAAACATGCAGCTCCAACTATATAGCTCTAACTGGAGTCTGTTATATATTTAACTAAAATTTGCTCAAATGAAATTTTAGTTAAATATACAACAAGATTACAATTCATTTATGTAACAATTATTGAGTCACTACTACGTGCCAGGTACAGGTGCTCTAAGCCCTTAAAGCACAGCAGAGAACCCTGCCCTCATGGGACTAGTAGTCTAGTGAGAGAAGACAGGCAGTAAGCAATCACTGTAATAAATGAGGATGCCATCCACGATTCTGGAGATGAAAAATGCTATGGAACAATAAGAGAGCTGGGTAACCAATATTGAAATTGTTGAGAGTGGGAAGGGGAGATATTCAGTTTGCAATTTTAAATTAGTAGTGGTGAGTAGTCAAAGTGCAGACATATCTTGAAGGCCAAGAAAACAGAATTTCCTGATGAATTAGATATAGATCTTGTGAGAGAGGTTGGTAAGTCAAGGATGGCACCAAGGTTTTTGACTGAGCAACCTGATGGGGTTGCCACCAACTGAGAGGAAGAAGACTGGAAATGACTAAGTGCCAAAGCCAATGAGCTTTTTCCCTGTGATGCTAAACTTTACCAGATAGGGATGCTACATGTTAAATATCCTAAAACTTTCGTGAAATCTCCTGCCCCTGCAGTTTTTGTGACACCAGTCTCCTGAATCTTCTGTTTCCCTTTTCCAGCAGCACCTCTTCATTTACTGGCTCTTACACGTCTGTGCACAATCAAGGTTCCTTGATCTCCAACTCGCCACTCCTTCCCCATCCTTCTGCCATCATCCTTTGGTACTTATCTCAGATCTCCAAATTGTCTTACACTCTTATCCAAAAAAAATCTAATTCTAGTTCTAGTAATTTAGCAATTTAAACAAATAGGCCCTCTTTTTCCCCCTTCTTAGTCCTCAGCAACAAAAATGCAGAAATTATAAAGCATACCAAAAGATTGACAATGTTGTCAAGCTTTAATTAAATAACAGAAGTCTCTGCAAATGAAGAAAGAAAGGAGTCAAGGCCAGAATACAGAATACACTAACTAATCCTTCAGCAGGCCAAAGGGACTTAGATATTGGCCCAAGGAAGTTGACCACTCACATGGGAACAGAGTAAACTTGGACTTGTGCACGATAGAAAGCAAGATGTAAGACCATGCATAAAAAGAAATCTGAAAGGCTGCATCTGAGTGTAATGATATTGAAAATAGCTATTCATTTAGGCAATCCAGTGTCAGGCAAGAGGAGGAGGAGATGGGTACTGTGTGGATTGAGTCTAATTGGAAAAATTCAACCTCTGAGCCTGTGCCATCCTAGCTGTAAAATTTGAATGTATTAGTGTAATTTGAATCTATTAATGTTGTGTGGAAATTTCAAGTTGAAAAATTAACATGAAAACTGAGTAAACTCATAAAGTTCCAAGAAACTGCTATCTAGGGACATTTTTACAACCCACAGCAAAATTACCACAATACCAAAAGAAAAAAGCCAGAAAAAAAAAAAAAATCAAGGGAGAAAGTCAAACACATAGAAGTAGAGAGTAGAATAATGGTTTTCACTGGCTAGTTTTATGGGAGGGGTGAATGGGTGAAAGGGAGACGTTGGTTAGCGAGTACAAAGTTTCAGTTAGGAGAAGTATGAGCTGGTGTTTCATTGTACAGCATGGTGACTATAATTATTAATGCATTTCAAAATAGCTGAAAATTTTAAGAAAGAGGATTTTAGCTGTTCTTACCACAAAAAGAAATGATAAATATTTAAGATGTGGATATTCTAGCCTGACTTGATCGTTCTACAATGTATAAATGTTTCAAAATATCACACTGAATCCCATAAATATACAAATTATTATTTGTCAATTAAAAACAAAACTTAAAAAAGAATAAACATCTTTGATAATTACAGTGAACAAAATTTCTAGCATATATTGGCCTATCCTAAATTATAAGGAAGCATTCAATTTAATTCTTATATTAGAAACTGAACTATGTAATCCTTTAAAAGTAGTAAAATGTCTCATGAAATTTTTTTTTTTTTTTTTTTTTTTTGAGACAGAGTCTTGCTCTGTCAGCCAGGCTGGAGTGCAGTGTCACGATCTCGGCTCACTGCAACCTCCGCCTCCTGAGCTCAATCAATTCTCCTGCCTCAGCCTCCCGAGTAGCTGGGATAATAGGCATGTGCCACCGTGCCCGCTAATTTTTGGATTTTTAGTAGAGATTACCTGACCTCAGGTAATCTGCCCATCTCGGACTCCCAAAGTGCTGGAAATACAGGCATGAGCCAGTGGTCCCAGCCATAAATTTTTTAAAGAAATAATTTGCAGTTGATAATGTGCAGTATCAGGAACTTTGAATCTGGAAATAAATGCGTGTAATAGTGAGCATGTCAACTGAATCATATTCGCCAGTGACATGTTTTGTTAACTAAATTATAATCTATCAATAAGTATATGAAGTTGATAACTTTCCAAGATTAATTAAAAGCTGGCACAAACGTAATATAATACATATCTAGAGATAAATATTATTGAGATTTATTTCCTGACATTAAAAACAAATTTGATACAGGCCAAACACTTTGCCCTTATTTGACCTTGGGATTCTCTGTCTGCAAACTCCCGCCCTTCAATACTCAACAATGGCTTTATATATGCCATGTCCCATGGGAACAAATCTGTTTCTCTCCAGGTAGAATTCATCACTTTCTTTTTACTTTTTCCTTTTTTTTTTTTTTAATTGAGATGGGGTCTCACTCCATCACCTGGCTGTAATGCAGTGGAGCAATCTCAGCTCACTGCAGCTTCCTCCTCCTGGGCACAAACAATCCTCCCACCTTAGCCTCCTGAGTAGCTGGGACTACAGGTGTGCACCATCATGCCTGGCTAATTTTTGTATTTTTTATAGAGGCAGGATTTTGCTATATTGCCCAGGCATGTCTCGAACCTGTGAGCTCAAGCAATCCACTGGCCTTGGCCTCCCAAAGTGCTGGGATTACAGGCATGAGCCACTGCACCTGGTCTCATCACTTTCATATTTGAGCTAGATCCACTTCAAGTTTTCCTGGACTACAGAATGCATCATATTATATTATATTATAGTCATTAGCCAACCCATTCTTTTCTTCTGGGAACCATAAGCTTTTTGAAAAGCAGGAGACACTTGTGTTCCAGTGTCTTCTAAAACATCTGACAGACTCCTATTCACAAGCATTTTACTACCAAACAAAAAACTCATTTGAATCCCTTTACCTCCTTATATCTAACACTTTGTAATAGTTAAACATGTGTTATATTAAGCAGTCTATAAAATCAAAAAAAGACTTGTATATTTTCTATTAACAGTAAATACATGGAAATTCCAAGAAGAATTAATATGCATAGACTGGGCAAATTCAGTAACTAAGCAAATCTAGATAATCTAATAACTTAATGAAAATTAAAATGTGTAGCACCTCTAAAACTATGCTCTTATGTTTATATGAATAAATGAAGTTAATCTATAAATTGGTAAAATTCATCATATTAATCAATTGTTCTATAATACAATCTTATTAAATCACACAAACTCTTGTGTGTGTGCATAAGTAACAAGTAAGTATGATTTTCAGATAATTTAATTTTGCTTTAAATTATATATTTTGTTAAAGTGGAATTATTGACATTACTTTTAATCTCTTATCTGGAAAATGCCTGAAAAATAAAGTTTGCCCAGTATGTCCCCAGTTAATAATAAGTCTTCAATGAGTGAATCAACTGAATGAATATGCTTATTCAAAATATAATTTTACAGAGTGTAGTTTCAATTTATATTTATCAGTAAGTAACGTGTGAATTTGCCTAAGCAAAGCTCTAAAATGCATTTTCATCAGCTTGGTTCATCCAAATATCTTCTCCTTTAAAGATTTATCAGCGGGAAAATTAAACCATATTGGTTATAGTATAATTGCATAGGTGATATAACTATAAAGAAAAGCTGCTAAAGGATTATCAGGCAGTGGGGGAAAGAAGTAGGCTATGATAAGAAAGGGGTATATAAGAGAACCTTCCAAGGATTCAGAAATATCATTCTTGTTTATTGACCTGGAGGGTGATCAGAAGGATATTTGCTTTATAATTTTAAAACTGTACATATATTCTATCCATAGTATCTATGCTTTTTAATATTAGAAAGCAAAAAGAACAGATTAGCATATAGCATCTATGTAACCAAGTGGCACAAACTGGGTGTCTTTCAACAGAAATTTATTCTCTCACATGCCTGGAAGTTAGAAGTCTGAAATCAAGGTGTCACTGGGGCTGCACTTTTTCTGAAAGCTCTAGGAAAGAATCTAATCTATGCCTTTCTCTTGGCTTCTGCTGTTGCCCAAAATCCTTGACATTCCTTGACTCATAGATGCATCACTCCAGTCTTTGTCTACATTGTCACATGGCATTTTTTTCTCTGCGTCTCTGTGTGGCTTTTCTCCTCTTCTCATAAGGGCACCAGCATATTGGATTAGGGCTCCCCCTAATTCAGCATGACCTCATCTTTATTTGATTACATCTGCAAAGACCCAATTTCGAAATAAGGTCATATTCACAGGTATAGGGGGCTAGACTTCAATATGTCTTTTTGGAGTACACAATTCAATTCATAATAGCATCTTTCTCAGAAGCCTTGTTAATATAATAAGAAAGGAAAGTTTGAGCTATTCCCTCATTATTTTAATTACATGCAGGCTATTTTGCATATTCCTGTATTTATTATTTTAGTAACTTGTTCAGTATTAATGGTAAAGAGTGTGCACCATGTGTGGCAATGTGTGTGAAAGAAAGAGGAAGAGAAAAAGTGAATTATCAAAAATTAAGTGCTATCATCAGGCCTGAGTTAAATTTGGCCATGTCCATTTATTCCATTAGTTAAATGTGCAGTAAATGAGATTCACATTGTAAAACAGGCAATGACAGAAGTCTGGCCTCCTTGTTCTTTTAGTTTCTGCTTTTTTACTTCTCAGGGTTTTCTTTTTTTTTTTTTTATCATGTTTGTCTTGTTTTTTGTTGCTTTTGCAAGCATTGGTTCTCGAACTTGCAATTAAAAGTTAAGTAGAAGTTTTTGTTTATTTTGCAGCAGTATTCTTAAATATTTATGAAGGATCTTAAGTCTGACTCGCTTTGAGGAAATATAGATGAATTAATAATTGATGTGGCTGCTTTGCAGAAAATTAAAGGGTGGAAGCACGTGTTAAAAAATTAAATCATCCATGGCTAAGACAGCAGATGTTATTTATTTAAAATCTTGCAAAAATGTACAATTAGGTTTTTTCTTCAGTCCAAGTCAACTGAAAACCTAATGACTCATTTCAACTTTTCAGATTCTAAAACCTGAGGCTAGTCAAATACTAGACAATAAAGGAGAAAGAGAAATTTCAATTCTTTATCCTAGGAATTTTAAGAATGCTGTTTATTCACACAGAAAAGAAGTAGGAAAGAAGGATCTGTGTGTTCTGTATGGGCCTAGAGGCAGGACCCATTTATAGTCTCAGTATTTGTTTATACTTATCATATTGCCTATTAGCCACTTTGGCACAAAAAAATCTCTACAGAGGTCTAACATATGGACATTCACTTGTGTAAAGTAAATAAAATAATGAAATACAAAGATGTGGAAAAATGTTGGGTTAAAAAAGCTTGCTATGATGGAGCAAAGGTAATTCCAGTAGCTGGAGAAGAAATTCACACTTTTCCACAAGATTTATATAACTTACAATCTTGGCTGGAAGTACTTAGAGGGCAACTTCTCTATAAAAGAACAGCGATTTTATTTCTGCCTATGGAGAATGACAGAGAGTCTACCTGAACACTCACACTGTTCTAGAGGGAGAAGAATGGAAAGCACAACCTCTACAAATCCTCACCAAAAGCCTCATTTTCTTATCTGAAACAAACAAACAAAAAAAGAAATTGCAAGTTTAGTGAGAAACAAACTATGCTACTGTTGTATCTTGAAGTTCCTACTTAAAGCTGTCTAGTTGTTTTGAAGGTGTCGTTTTTAAAAGACATATTCATCTAGCCAGATTTAGAGCCTCTTTTTTTTGCAATGAAATACTCCATAACTTGATGGATCATTTTTTATAATTCTGGTTTACCCATCTCTGCTACTGGAAGATTCCCATAAAACAACTGTCCTAAGAATGGCTGCTGTCATCAAGTTGTAATGCACAGGGTAATACTTTATGTATTTTTTAAACATATGAATCAGGAAGAACTTTCCTGAGTTCCTTAAAAACTGAAAATTGTAATATTTCTAATATGAGCAGATTTTTGAAGAACATGCGTATCCTTAGTGTGTCCAAGGTGGCCTAAAATCTGAAATATCCTTCCCCAATTCACCAGCATTAGTTATTTTTCTAAAGACTTCATTAACCCAAACCTTATACTTTTTTTGTTGATCCTATCAAATTCCTTATATTTACTGTTGGTTCTATCTTATATTTCCTGGAAATATAAGATTGGTTCCATCAAATTCCTTATATTTCCTGTTGGTTTTAACACAACAAAAAGAAAGTTATGTCTCTATCACAGTATTGACTGGAAATCCTCTTTATTTGATTCCCCCAGTGGCTCAGAGAAACATTATGGGGTTGAAGTAGTGGTTTCTCAATAGTCTCACGACTGGAGGGTCAACAAAATGCCCTAGCTTCATTTAGCTCCCATTAAGTGTCCTTTAGTCACTTGACGGAGGTCACTGAGCTTGCGTGGCCCCACAGAGAACTGATGTACTCAACATCTCATTGCTTCTTACATCATCAAATATTTTCTTATTCAATCCAAGAAAGATAAATTTTTCTATTCTCTCCTAAATATCTACTACCTCTGTTTCTAAATTAAATAAGCCCAAGATCCTATTGTATGATCCCAAAATGTGCTTATACATATCTTTGCCCACAGTTCACTATGAAATGAAAATATTGTGTTACTAAATAGCTAGCCTTCTCCAGGTAGTTAAAATTATAACCGTGTCCTCCAAGCATTGTTATGTGGTATGTCTTATTCTTACAATCTTTGCAACAATGGTATAAAAAATTAATAAATGTTCAAGATTTAGCCAGTGCATTCAAGAAAACACAAGAGCAATGCATTCAAGAAAACATAAGAGCAATGCTTTTAAAGCTTAGAAAGGAGTGGACTGGGCTTGTTCATCCAGCTTTCAGTTACATTAGTAGACTCACTCCATCATGATTGAAATGTGTAGCTTATACAAGGAAAAGCAGCTACTCAGTACTTTCAAAGAAGGTAGAATTTAAAAATCTAGACTTAATAGGAGTAATTTAGGTTAGAAATTAAAATAATCTTCCTCATTTTAATGCTATAGTGAATGTGTGACAAGCTGTATAAATCCCCCTTTGAGACTTTGGGACTTGTTTCTCCAGATGCTAGAAGAGCTGTCCTCAGCTGTTAGCCTTCTCAAGAAACTGTCCTGGACTACAGAGAGCAGTCTTGCCTAGCTGTAAGCCTCCTTCCTGGGGCAGCAGCACCCACTGACTGGTGTAATTTCTAAAGTATAGTATATAGCATAAACTCTATATCACTGTACAGTATAAATTATGCAGTATATTATGCAGTAAATTATGCAGCATATTGAATAGGATGTAAGGATCCAGCACCCTCACTGAAGTATGGGATAACTCTTTGTTATTGAGACACCGTGACAGCTACAATTTTTCCTTCGGCTTGTGTCTTAGGTTAGGCTATTACAACAAAGTACCGTAGGCTTGTTGATGTATAAAACACAGAAATTTGCTTCTCATAGTTCTGGAGACATGAAGTCTGAAATCATGCTTGCGGTCAGGCTCTGTTAATGACACTCTTCTGGACTGCATACTGCCAACTTCTCCTTGTATTCTCACGTTGTACAAGGAGGGCTAGCTAATGCCCTGGCCTCTTGATAAAGGCACTAATCCCATTCTGAGGGCTCCACTTTCCTAACCTAATTACCTCCCATGGCCCCAGCTCCAAATACCATCACATTGAGCATTAGGTTTCAGCATATGAATTTTGGGGGTACACAAAACATTTAGCCTATTGTGCTGCCCAATCCTGCTGCCTCCCCCACTTCTCCCTTTCATCCCCTCCCTCCTTTTCCTCTCTTTGCTCTCACATCCAATTCATTCCCTTCTTTCTCCTCCCTCTTCTCCCTTTCCCTTTCTCCATCTTCCCTTCCCTTCTCTTCTCTGAGAGCAATCTTGCATGTAATCTCAGTCTCAGAGTTCGCTTCCCAGGGAGCACAGCTGCAACCAGTGCTTAAGAAAGATGGGAATTTAACCCAAATTAGTTTGTAATATTTCTTTCTAGACAAGGTTTTAAAAGAATAAAATAAGTGATTATCTTTCTGGAATCATTTAGGACTGAATCAACCCAGAATTATTCAGATTAAATGATGTTGAGAATTATGAGATGCATTGAAAGAGTTAAAAAATCAATTAGTACACACGTAAGAATGATTCAACGACAGAGAATAACAGATTCCATTAAAAACAAAAGTGATTTCACCAGCCACCCATCTGTGTACACTTCCAACATTCTTTTACTTTTCCACTAACAGTTGCCTTTTCTTGTTAACTTCTCTTATCTTTATATAAATATTAATTTTCACTGTAATATAAATCAAATATGCAGTCTATCTGCTTTGCAAAATACCTGTGTTATATTCTCTTTTGAGAGGTAAACTGCAGTTACTTTAATAGAGGTCTAGAAGCCCACATATCCACTATTGTCAAAAGAATCACATGGTACAGTATTAGAAAGCATCAGCAATCCCAAAATTGGGGTGCTTACATCAACAAGGGGCCATGGGCACTAACACTAATGTTGGTAGAAAAACATCAGGTGCTAAGTGGCTACGCATTGCCAACACAGTCTTTTATCTCTGTTTAAAATAGCAAAGTATCACTCATGCACCTTTTGTGTTGTTTTGAAAAGTTTTCAAACTTGTTAAACTTTCATATTATAAATTCACAAGCAGCTGATTTGCATTTAACAAAAATTCTTCTATCATTTCAGAATGGCTACCCATGTCTAAAAGGATGGCATGTATCTAAGCTGAAAAAGTGTGTTCTCCTTTACATTTTAGTATCCTTGTCTCATTACACAGTTAACATTCTGTTTCACCATCTAATGTAACATAATATGACAAGTAAAATTTGAGGAAAGAAATCATTTTTTATGTTTTGTAGCTACTTTCTATTTGAAAAGCTGATATCCATCTACACATTCTTAAGCACACAAAAGAGCACCACAGCTTAAGCCAACATCTGCTTGCAGACACTGGTTAATGAGTTGATGGCTGACTTTTAAAAAATCCAAGTAGCTTGGCACATCACATTCCACCAAAAAAATTGTGACATATGATGTTTTATAGCTTCCAATTTGCTTGAAAAGGCTGTGTTTTTTTTGTGTGTACCATCTTTTCTTGTCTTGTTTATATATTTTACCACCTACATGGATTCACACAAAAATATTGAATTCTTTTCATTTTCTTAATTAAGAAAAACTATATAATTCTATAAATGCCAATGGAAAAAAAATTGCTAAATTATGTTCCTTCTAAGATAAAAGCACAGAAAAAGATGGTCTAAGACTGTCTTTGCTTCCCATATGTTCCAGTCTTGAAAAGAATGTACTTATTTGCCCCAGTTGATATAGTGCGCAAGAATTTCTGGGTGCAAATTTATCATTCTCCTTCCAATAGCTCATATCTCAATATTTAGATAGTCTTCATGTACTTTTTCCACATTAAATATTAAATGTTTATTCCCTTTTCTGAAACTTTTTAAAATTATATCAACTATTAATTTAACAATAAAGCTATCTTGTTATCAGAGGATCAAAGTATTGACATTGAATCCAATTCTCTGACCACCCACTACTTAACCTTTCTTATTGCTGTTTACATTGCCACTATTATCAGTTCGGTGTTCATCTTTTGACTTGTACCTCATTGACTCTGAATTAAAACAATGTAAGTTTCCTGTGGGGAAAATTTCTTGGAATTTAAGACTGAATATCCTTTTCTCATTTAAAGTGGTAACTTTATTGTCAAGAAGCAATGATATTGAGGGGAAAAAAATAACATTTAAATTTTTTAAAAGACTGCGCTAACCTATTTAATTTTTATAAAACTTCAATTGTATAATTGATATAAAGAATTTTGAAATTCCAATTCCTTAATAAAGGATGAATCTCTCCTGCCACCTGTTTTTGTATGGCCCACAAGGTAAAAATGCTTTTGCCATTTTAAATGGCTACATTTTAAATGGTTATATAAGTACCTATACAATATCCTTGATTTGTCTCTTGACTCAAAAAGCCTAAAATATTTACCACACATACCTTTAAGAAAACATTTGCGAGCTCCTGATCTGGAGGAGAAGATCCCTGTGCCTTTGTTACTAGTATGCTAGTATATAGTTTTCTTTCTTTCTTTTTTTTTTTTTTTTTTTTTTAAGACAGTCCTGCACTGTGGCCCAGGCTGGAGTGCGGTGGCGTGATCTCAGCTCACTGCAACCTTCGCCTCCCCAGTTCAAGCGATTCCCTGCCACAGCCTCCCGTGTAGCTGGGATTACAAATGCGCGCCACCACACCTAGCTAATTTTTGTATTTTTAGTAGGGACAGGATTTCACCATTTTGGCCAGGCTGGTCTCAAACTCCTGACCTCAAGTGAAACCGCCCACCTCAACCTCCCAAAGTGCTGGGATTATAGGTATGAGCCACTGTGTGGGGCCTGTTACTAGTATGTAGTTTTCTATGACAACTGTGGTCACTGGAGTCAGAAATTACTTCCCTCAGAAAACATAAGCAGATTAGATGGATGTTGGAAGGAAAATGCTTTGGTTTATTTTCCCCCTGCTTTCTGTTTTTATGTATTTCATCATATTTTACTTGTCAATCCAGCACTGTTTTCCCCCATTTCTTCAATAGGTTTTTCTTCCAGACAGAAATATCATATTTCTTACAGAATATAAATGCAACATATATTTCATGTATTTGTGGCAAGTGGGGACCATGATGTCGTTATCTGCCTACCTCATAAAATCTGACAAAGTGATTACTAATAAATACACATAAATCAAATTAAAAATAAATCAATAATACAAATGTAAAATAAATTTTTGAAAAGACAGAAAGTGTTTTAAAAAAAGAAAGTGTTTTTTTCCCTCATAAGTAAGCTTTGGGTAACTGAAAAATCTGTATAAACTGAAAACATGCTAATAATTGATATGAATTACCAACTTAAATAATGTGTTCATTTAATAAAATTTCAGTTTTGTTAAAGATTTTACACTTTAATTTTTTATTGGAGTATTTTGACATGAATATTCTTGATTATGTCAACAATTCAGTGATGCTTGCAGACACTGGATTTGTAGGAAGTTTTCTCAATTTTCTAGGTGTCATCTTTTATAAAAGAACAATTATTCTGTCTATAAGCATGACCTTTTTGATGTTCTATTTGTATGACTCTAAATAAGCAATATTTTAGACCTAGATAAGTTAAGTGTCTTCTGAAGTGTCAGGGATTCTGTATTCTGTCTTTGTAAGTTATTACAGAACAATGAGTTTATAATAATGCTCCAAGAGAGTTGGACACCATACTAGATATTTCATTTTCAGATCAGAACAAATAACACATTCCATGCCATGCAGGTCTGGCTTCCCAGGCTGCTCAAAATGAAAAAAGCAAAAAAGCAAACATAATCCCTAAATTTCTATTTTTTGGGAATAGCAAACAAGATGAATGATATCTAAAAAAACAACTTCAAGCTCTCATTTTAGAAAAGAGAGAAACTGAGGTCGAGGGCAATAAAGGAGCGGGGGCTTTGCAGGCTCTTCCAACGCTTGGCTTCTGTGATTTTTTTTATCTTTAAATGAGTAAACATGAGCTTTTATATTGGATTCACACTTGGAATGGAATAAAATAGTATCTAATGCAATTCAAAACAGCTTTAGTAAGTCATTGTGCTAGTATCATAACATTTCTTTTTTCGGTACATCTTTCTTCCAAAGTCAGTTTTTCATTTAACACCAAAAGAGCCCACATTGCAGCACTCAGAAAAGAAATAAAGGTTTTATTTTTAAAGAGTGTTAAGTCTACAAGTGACTAAAGAGTCTTTGATACTAAAAATACCCTAGGTAAAGGGGGAAATTTTTCAGTTTGAACAGTATGTAGTCATAAATGTGGCAGACTTTCTATTAGCTCAGACTCTGGGAAGAACAGTTGGTGAGGCTGCAGCTCTTTGCTAAGGAGCATAATACATATCACAGGGAGTTATGAAATAAGAATCCTCCATTCTACCATAGGTACAACTACACAAGTACACACACACACAAATACACATATACACACATCCACATCTAAATATTACCACATGCAGAAATGCCACATCCATACACAGACTCAGAGATATACACAGCCAGTATCATGGACACACATACACACATGGACACACACACACACACCAATGAGTAGGTACCACAAGTAACTATAGTAATAGCAACTGTCATTTAAACTATATCACTTATATTAGTTATTGGTCTTCTTTAGTCTAATGAAATGACTTCCTTATTACAAAACATCTTGTCACCATATTGAAAACAGCATGTTACAAAGATGGCAGAATCTTGATCGACTGAAGAATGAGTCAACATAATTACAATAGCAAAAGGAACAAACGCAAAAATTGTATGTCTACGAAAACATGGCTTATTGACGGTTCTTGGGAAAAGATAACAGGTCACTCTGGTTCCTCATCTGTGAAATATAGGAGCTGGACTGGGTGTTCTGTGAGGCTTCTTACAGCTTTCATACCCTCAGAACATACATTTCTATTTGCATATGAATGAGAGTGATAAATTCTTATTGGCTAACCCCAAATGCTTTGCCAAAACATTTGATTAAAACATTTACTGCACACCTGAATATTCTGCAGAGATAAATTACAATGTTTTCCATATAAAATATTTAATTTGCCTGGGCATGGTGGCTCATGCCTGTAATTCAAGCACTTTGGGAGGCCGAGGTGGGCAGATCACCTGAGGTCAGGAGTTCAAGAACAGCCTGGCCAAAATGGCGAAACCCCATCTCTACTAAAACTACAAAAATTAGCCGGGCATGGTGGGTGCCTGTAATCCCAGCTACTCGGGAGACTGAGGCAGGAGAATCACTTGAACCCAGGAGGCGGAGGTTGCAGTGAGCTGAGATTGTGCCACTGCTACACAGCCCTGGTGACAAGAGCAAAACTCCATCTCAAGAAAAAAAAAAGAAAAAGAAGAAGAAAAACATTTAATTTGTGCCTAAACTAAGCAGAGAAATTGTTGGTCGACACTTACCTTTAACCTTGACCACACAAGTGTTTCAAGAGACTAATAATCACTCCTTAGGGTTATCAATAGTAAACTATCGATAGCATCATGAAATACATAATTTACTAAGGGCATCACTGCCTTGGGTGCTGAATAGACACTGTCCATGTTGAGCAGACTTCAAATAATGATGGCAAAGTGATAGCTCTATATTAAAACAAAAACTTCCTGTTTGTGCTTCTTCCGAAATTGTTTTAATTTGGATATTCTTTCAAATTTTTTCATATTAGAGAAATTAATAATGTGATTTAAGTATTCTTTTATTTCCTCTCTCACATGGAAAAGAAAACCAGTGAACTACCCACACATATCATAAGCTATCACATATTGAGTCTCCTTTTTAAATTTGCATCACCAATGTCAATTTTTAATTCAAGGCCATAATCTGTTGTTAAAAAGAGGAGTCTTAAAAGATCCCTCGCAGTAGTAATAAATGAGAGAACACAAAATTTCCTCTATAGCACATAAAATGCACCAAATGAGACAGGAACTAAAGGGTTCCAAATCCAGTTCTGGATAATAATAAACAAGTCTCATGACTTCTTTGTGTCTACTTTTCTTCCTTTTTAAAATAAAGAATTTAGAGTAGATTTTTTAAAGTCTTTTTTAGCTCAGAATTATTTGTGTATTGCTATGGTTAGAACATTTGTGTCACCCCCCAAATTCATATGTTGACACCCTCTCAAGTTGATGTCATTAGGAGGTGGAACTTTGGGAAGTTAATTATGTACCGAGGGCAAAGCCCTCATGAATGGAATTAGTGCCCTTATAAAAGAGGCCTTCATGGCCAACATGGTGAAACCCCATCTCCACTAAAAGTACAAAAATTAGCTAAGTATAAATTAATACAGGTGGCCAGCGCCTGGAATCCCAGCTACTCAGGAGACAGAGGCAGGAGAATCGCTTGAACCGGGGAGGCGGAGGAGGTTGCAGTGAGCCAAGATTGCACCACTGTGCTCCAGCCTGGTCAGCAGAGTGAGACTCCGTCTCAAAAAAAAAAAAAAATGCTTCAGAGAGTGAGCTTGTCCTTCCACCATGTAAGGACACTACTAGAAGATGCCATCTGTGAGGAAGCTCAACCATGCTGACACCCTAATCTCAGACTCCCAGTCTCCAGAATGTGATAAATAAATGTCTGCTTTCCTGTTTTACCCAGTCTATGGCATTTTGTTATAACAACCCAAACAATCTAAGACATGTGTGTAATTAACTTTGAATTAGTCTCTACTGAGCACTCAGTGTATTTTCATACTCTGCTTGCAATATGCTGTTGAATGCAGGAACTGTGACTTGTAAATCTTTAAGCCTCTACAGCATTCTCATCATGCTCTGCTCATAGTAGGTTCTTCCATCTGTTTGTTGGAAGCACTAGAAACAAATTATAAACTATTTTCTCAGGATACCTTTTAATGTTTAAAACAACAGCCAGATTTTCACTTCTGTTCTTTGCAGAGATTGTCTTTCTTTGCACTAATGAGAAAGATGCATACCCTGAAAAATGCTTTTAAGTAACTATGAAAAAAGACTTGCACAAAGCATCTGCCCTATTGCATCGCTAATGGGGTAACCTCTTTATGTTTATGCAATCCATAAATAGTGGGCACAAAATGCCAAAGGTTTTTAAAGTGCTGAAAATAACTTATCTCTTGGAATAGTAGCATTTTTATTTTAAGCTGCAATTTACAGATATTAAAGATTGTCATTTTGCCCCTTCTTCTGTAGTTGTAGTTTAAAAGCAAAATAGACAACTACTTTTTGAAAGGGCAAAAGCAAAATGATGAAAGAAAATAAAATATATTATTTTACAGAGTTCAGTACTTTTAATAACACTGGCTTTGAACTCTTGCTTTTCATTTCCAAAACCATGGGGGCAAGATAATTCCTCCAAAGGCTAAAACCAAGACAGGGTATTGGTGGACACCTGGGGCTCAGCAGGCCTGGGGAGATAGTGAAACCTGAGAGTTAGAGTTTACCAGGAAGGTGTGATAATTATAATTTGGCTGGAAAAAATAGTAAAACTAAATTGGTTGGGTTGACAAATAGCCAAATTACTCAGCAAGTTCTAACATGGAGTTGAGACCCATAGAGAACATGGAGATCTGTCTTAAGAAACAGAAGGCTAATGACAAGGTGTAGCCTTGAGAACCAGGAAGGGAACAAAGACTAGTGTAATCTATTCATTAGCGTTGTTCTGAAAAATTGATCTGGGTACAAAAAGTAGTCCAAATGATAAAAATAATGCATTTTCTGCCTACAAAAGGAAAGTACCCTTTTTTTTTTCAGCCAGATAATACACAGATACAAAAAAAATAAGAGACAGAGATGGATGAAAAATGTTTAAGTAACAGAAGCAGAATACTAGCATCACAGTTAAGACATATGACACTGGTCTTTAGCATAAGGAAGCAGAAATATGAATTGCCCCTGATACCAGCATAAGTGAAATCTCTATGCTTAGTATTGGGGATGCAGTAACTAGCAAAAACAGACATAGGACCTTCCTATATGATCCTATTATTCAATATGGAAGATGTCCATAAAATAGTCACCCGAGCAAATGTAAAACTGTGACTGGCACTAGGAAAGAGAAGTGCATGGTATTCTGATAGCATAAGAGGGGGATTTGACTTGACCAGGATGGTGCAAAACAGCACTCTTAAGGAAGTGATGATTTTGCTGAGATCTGAACAACGAGTAGGAGTTAACAGGATGATATGTGTTTGGTGGTGGGGAGGAGGTGTTAATGAAGAAGGGATAGGATTTTCCAGGAAGTGGGAAGAGCAAGAGCAAAGTCCCGTATTCAAGGGAATGGAAGAAGGCCAATGGCTGAAAAGTCAAAAGGAAGGAACATGCAGTGACAGGTGACACTGGAGAAGAGGTGGAAGGAAGACCAGGCACAGTAAAGGCCATGTTAAGTATTTTGGTGTTTATTCTAAGATGAGTGAGAAACAATTTAATTGTTTAAACAAGAGACTGACATGGGACGTTAAGTTTTATTTAAAAGAAAATAAAAAAAGATTATTCCAGCAATGGCATAGTGATGCAGTACAGCCCAGATTTGAAAGAAATAAAGTGGAAGGTTTTTGGTGGCTTTCATTATTTTCCAGGTGAAGATGACAGCAGCTTGAGCTAGGGTCATAGCAATGAAAATAGAAACAAGTCGGTTTGTGAAATGTTTAAGAAGTAAAATCAGCGGGCCTGGAGATGGTTTAATTGGATATCGTATATGAAAAGAGAAAGCCTTTAAGGATGACTCAGGGTTTTGGCTTGTATATCTTTGAAATAGCAATGCTAGGAAAAGATCTTATTTTGTTTTGTTTGCAGTGGGAAGGTGGTAATGATATTAAGTTCAGTTTGGGATAAGTAGAATTTAAAATGTCTTTAAGATGTCCATGTGGAGATACCAAATAGGCAATTGAACATACCAGTCTGGAGCTTAGAGGACAGTGCTGGGCTGGAGATAAAAACTGACAAAGCATGAACATGGTCAGAGCCACAGGCCTGGGTGAGATTGCCTGGGAAGAGAGGATAAACTGAGAAAAGAGATCTTAGGATGAGCCTTGTTAAAGCTAAAATGTAACGGAGAAGGATACATCTGCCATACCTTCCTCACTCTGACCAGACTTTACCCTAATGTAAAAATGTGCTATCAGTAAAATGAAAAGTAACAAATAAACAGAGAATACACTAACAGTCGGCCGTGGTGGCTCATGCCTGTAGTCCCAACACTTTAGGAAGTGGAGGCAGGAGGATGGTTTGAGCTCAGGAGTTTGAGACCAGCCAGGGCAACATCAAAAGACCGTGTCTCTACAAAAAAAAAAAATAGAAAAATTAGCCAGGTATGGTAGTGCATACCTGTAGTCTCAGATACTTGGGAGGCTGAGGTGGGAGGATCACTAAGGCCCAGGAGGTCGAGGCTGCAATGAATGGAGATAATGCCACTGCACTTCAGTCTGGGCAACAGAGTGAGGCCCTGTCTCAAATAATAATAATAAATAATAATTAGAAGAAGAAGAAGAATACACTAACATTATTATTGCAAAAGTCAGGGAACTTACCAGAGAAAGATAGCTTAGAGTGGTCAATGATTTAAGTAAACTATGTTAAAAAAAAAAAAAAAAACCTCAAATAATGAAAACATACACTAAGGTCTGATTTTCACCTTACCAAACGATGTTTTTATTTATCAACCTAATTCTTTGTCCCATGTCTATTAAAAACACATTTTTTTCAACAATTTAAAATGAGATTTGCTTTGGCATTTGGACCAAGTGAGTTGTCTGTGCCCTTATTGATTAACACTGGGGCTGAATCTGAAGACAGCAGCCATGTGCCTCAGACAGGAAGCTGAGACCCAACACAGCAGTGCGGGAGAGGGGCTCAACTACAAACCTTAACAAAGCAGGCTGGGTTTCCAGATAGAGGAGAGGGTTTACAATAAAACAGAACAGGAATAGTATCTCCTCTTTGAGTACAACATATATATATTCATGTACATATCTCCTTAGAAGCTCCCTCCTCAGTGACAATCAGAAAATATTGATTCTGAGGGAAAAACCTGGACGTTGTTTGTGAATCACTAACCAAGCATTTAAGGCTTTGGACTGAGGTTAACCTGTAAGTACAAAGGTGAATTTTAGTAAGGTATTTCTAGGAAGAAAATAATGCATGTAGGTCTTCATTTTGTAATGGTTGATTCTATATTTTATTACAAAATAAAAGAAAAGCACATCTGCTAGAAGTATCATCACACTAAAAGATAAAATATCTGTAGTTTTTACATCTGAGTTTATGCAAGTGTTAATTTCTTTCTATTTTAAAAACAATAGCTGTTATGGGAGCCATAATGGTCTGCAGTGAGGCAGATGAACAAACTGAAGAATTAGTAAAATACTCCCAGTTGGTAACTTCATCATGAGAAAGAAATATTCTGTCAGGGCTTTCAATGAGATTTTTAAATCTTGTGTTGAGTGATTTATTGTTTTATATCTACAATTTTAAATTGTTCTGAGAAATGTTTTTGTACTCTGGAGAGAATTGATGAAAACATAACTGAAAATATATGCAGTGCCTTTTAAAAATCTTTGTAATCTTTATTTTAAAATTCCTTTTTATGTTTTCTTTCAAAAAGATAGTTTTCTTCTGACAATGTTATTCTATTATAAATTTTAATTTTCTTATTCTGCTTTGTCTAACTTTATAGATTTAAATACCTCAGCAAATCTAAAGTATAAGGATGAAAAAAAAATTCTGATGTGATGACAATGTGCCAACTGAATGGTATTTATACTTTGTAGTCAGAAATGTTACAATGAAATTGTCTCTGCTTGTGATCTCACATTATGGAGAGTTCTGAGGGTCTGACAACTCCTGACATTATGATATACTCCTATTACATGGTTAAAGCAGACAGTCAGAGCAGAGTTCTCAGCAGAGCACAAGGAAAGATTTATAGACATGGCAAAAGAACACTTTGCCTGTTCCCTTCTTTAAATAATTATGACTTTCCATGAATCTCTTTCTAAATCAACTACAGAATGACAAATATCTGGGCAAAGAAAAGGCCACAAAAATATCACTTACTGTAAGCACTATTGAGGTTTTAGAAGCACAGTATTGAATTCTCTGTTGTACATTCTGCATATGATTCATTATGTGGGATGCTCCCCACCTCTCCACACACCATATATTTCTCCCATTCTCATTCAAAAAGGACTTTTAAAACTCCCTCTCTCTGTCAAGTTCTTTCGTTTCTCAATACAAGGAGTCAAGAAGAAAATATTTCAGTGTATTTTTCATTGAACAAGTTAAGGAGATGTGATAAAAAGATTTGTCTAATTGATTAAATGGTATGTGCACTCTGGAAGGACTTTCCAGGATTTTGGAAAAGGAAAAATAACATTTGCAGGTATATGTTTTATTTAATTGTGAAGGTTTATATAAAGTAACATTTTGAAATACTGGGCTGGGTGCAGTAGCTCACGCCTATGATCCCAGCATTTTGGGAGGCGGAGGCAAGTGGGTAGCTTGAGCTCAGGAGTTTGAGACCAGCCTCGGCAACATGGTGAAACCTCATCACTACAAACAATACAAAAATTAGTCAGGCATGGTGGTGTGTGCCTATAGTCCCAGGTACTCGGGAAGCTGAGATGGAAGGATCGTTTGAGCCCAGGAACCAGAGTTGCAGTGAGCTGAGATCAGGCCACTGCACTCCAGTCTGAGCAACAGAGTGAGACCCTATCTCAAAAAAATAAAATAAAACCTGTATTTTTTTTCAATACTGAAATACTGAATTTTGAAAAATGCTTCCTTGTTCTGAAAAGGGAAAGACAATATTTATAGAGTGTCTGCTCTGCAAGGGCCTTTCCATAGATTATATCTGTCAATCTTTACAACAGCCCAAGGAGGGAAGAAATATCAGTGCCATTTTACAGATAAGCACACTAAATTATAGACAAGTTATGTGCCCAAGATCACACAGCAAATAACAGACCCACACTCTAAAGCTTTGTCTGGCCCTCAACTCATGTTCTTTCCGAAGGCCTGACTATTGCCTACTCCTAAGTTTTGCATACAAAAATGGATAAACACACAAAGTGAAAACAAAAATAATCTAGCCCTCTTGCTTTGCTATTATAATCTAAATGCACAACGGGGAAAAAAGAGGTGACTGCTGATTTCATAGTTTATATAATTCCACCTATTTGAAGAGTCTAACAATAAAATACTTAAGGGATGTAGCATTTATAAATTTGCAGACTTGCTGAGCTCTGAGCTATGCATATTATCTGCATTATATTCTGTAACTATTTTAATCCTCACAATAATAACACAAGGTAGGCACCATTACTATCTCCATTTTAATGATGAGGAAACTAAGGCTGAGAGGTAAAAAAGTTATCCAGGATCACACAAGTGATTCTATAAGTGGTAGAGCTGGTCTTGAATCTATGATTATAGGGTGCTGAAGCGCTCTTATCCATGATGCTAAATTGCCTCCTTTAATTACATAATTACTACAAAATGAAACTAAAACAAGCCACTGATTATGTTTATATTTCTATGTATTTTACAAGCAATATATTGCATTATCTATGAAAACTGTATGATTCTTATTTTTAATTCCCAAAAAATGCATTAATTCTGTTAAAAAATACAGAATCAATGCAAAAAAATGCATTAATTCTGTAAAAAGAAAACTGCAGAAAACCAATATAGAAGTTAACTTGAAAAGTAACATGTGAATCTAACCTGTCACATTCCTCATTAAACCTACCTTTCTTATCAAAGGTAACTACTGTTCACAGACATATAACCTTCCAGACTTACTAAATGTGTATGTGTGTTTGTATATATATGTGTGTATATATATATAAATGTATTTATATATACCAATGTATTTATATATATACACACATATACATACATATATATCATATTATATATTATATCACATTATATATGTATGTATATATATGCATGTATACATATGTATGTATATGCGTGTGTATATATGTACATATGTGTGTATATATATAATACAAATATAATTTTAAGTCATATTACATACCCTAACTTTTTTTTGGCTCAATAACATATCTTGGAGTTCTTTCTATATTGGAACACTTAATTTTAATGCTTTCATTCTTCACTTCTGAATAGCTTACCATAATACAAATATGTCATATTTTAATTTTCCATTTTACAGCATTATTTTGTGGGTTCTTTAACCTTTCTCTAAAGCATCTGTCATGTTATTTACCCAATTACTTATTGAATGCTTCTGTTTGGATGCCCATCAGGTGGGCTTAAATTTCCCCATGTCCAAAATGAAATTTATCACCATCCTCCACATTGCTAGCTCCTATATGTTCTTTAAGTCAGGGCTACTGAAAATGTGAGCAATGGACAAGTGATGGTCAGGGATTACTTGAACTAGTCCATGGTTAAATAAGTACAGAAACTAAGAGAAGGCATTTAGAAACCTTCATAGCACTTTGGCAATGCTGCAACATCTTCCTGCACTAACACGCTTCTACTAATTTATTTTTACTGCATTTTACAAAGTATGCAATGAAAAAGAAATTTAAAAACTAAAACCAGAAAGCTTATCCTTTACCACAGATACTCTGAGAAACAGTTACCACTGCAATTCAGTGAAGGGCCCTGCTATCCAACCAGTCTAAGCCAGAAATGTGAGACTTACTCTTCCTATCTCTCTGACCAAGAATATACATCGGTAGAGAATCTAGAGAAAAACCATGAGAATGTTTTTAGAGCAAAGGAATTGCTTTCAAACTTTTGTCTTTACTGGTCCCTTTTCCATTAGGATAAAAACATGCTGATTTTCTCTGACCTTTTGAATACCCTCCACCACTAGTGGCATTGAAGTGGCCCTCCAACTATTACCTTAGCTCTTTCCTTCTCTCTGTAATAAGATTTTTATTAAACATTTTTAGGAATGCAAAGTTCCCTTTCATATTCCCCATTAGTTTTGTTAAACCACTGCAGTGTGATTTTCCACAACTCCTCTGCTGAAAATCTTAAAGTAACCAATCATAGCCTTATTTCTATGAGGTTGGTGGAAAAGTAATTGAGGTTTTTGCTATTTCTTTTAATTGCAAAAACTAGAATTAGTTTTGCACCAAGCTAATAAATCCCGTCTTTTTTTCCTTGACTTCTGTGCAACATCTAATACCACTGACCATTCACCTCTTCTTGATAAACTGTCTAATAGTTTCTATTTCAAATCATTCAATAAAATGTGAAGTTATCTGTCAATAGGTGTAGGAGAAGCTATAAAATTGCCCCTGTAGAGATTAAGAGAGGGCTATGTCTGTAGAAAATATAAAGATGGCCAGGCAGTGTTGAGGGCCTAGCTCAGCCTGGAGACCATCACTGTGGAGTAGCACCAACTGCTTCTTTCTCTTATTTTCTTCAGTGAATGTAGCCCTGGTGTAGATACGGAGAAAGTGGGTGGTTGGATTGACCCAGAGTTTGTCATTTTAAAGAGTTTGGGTGGTAGCTGAATGTTACTAGAATAGATAAGATTACCTAAGGAAAACATGTCGAAGGAGAAGAAAGCAAAACCAAGGATAAAGTTTCAGACAATGTTAGTATTTAAAGAGTTGGCAGAAAAGGTGTTTACTGATGATGTTAAGGAAATATAATAGCCAGATGAAGGGACAAACATGAAAAGATAGGGGCTAAAAATTAGAGGAGAGAGTTTTAAAAGGCAGGTGTGGTCAATAGTAGCCACTGTAAGCAAATTACGCTGTATGGGGCAGGGAAATACATAATTGGTTATAAAAATTAAGAAGCCCTGAGTGATTTTTTCAAGGGTGGTTTCAGAAACACCCTGAGAAGTCCATGCAGCTACAGCTTTTGCTGAACCAGACCTGAACACTGCTTCTGCTGCTCTGGGACTTACACTAGTGGCCATGGTATTCCCAAGGCCATAAAATACATGACCACAATTAGTGGGCAGAAGCAAATCTCCCTGGAAAAATCTTTGTACGCACAATGCCTTCCCAAAGGCTTTGACCAGAGTGTGTTATCTGTCATCATCTACTCTATTGCATAAACCACCTAGGCCCCTCTGTGGAAGCCATTCAATCAAGATAAAGTCCCTTTACTTTGATAAAGAGAAATAGCAAAGTACAAAGCTGATATTTCCTACCTAATGCCCCTTCCAAGCCCTGTCTTAATTGACTTCTAAGCTCTCGTGTCTGACTTTTTATGGTGATTTTCTTCTGTCTCTCTCTTCTTCAACACTTCTTTCTGCCAAAAAAAAAAAAAAACAAAAATTACATAGGACATGAAAACCTTCTAAATCAACAACAACAACAAAAAAGACTAATCTTTTTTTGTTCTTCTCATTTTCCATTTATATTTTTCATTCCAAAAAATATCCCAAGAGCCCTCCTTGTTTTGGCACACGTGTCATGAAAACCCCAGTCACTTCCTCCCACTCCCAAAGTGCCTGATGAAGGGAACACAAATTTCTCACCATCCAACTTGAGGGAAAGGAGTGGGAGTCATATTACATACCCTAACTTATTAGGGTATGTAATACAAGATTTCCTAATGTGTCAAAAGTGCAAGAAAAGTCTCAGGACCACCCTGCAACTTGAAGTGTCCCTCAGTAAAGAGGAAAATTCTCCTGCTTTTTCAGAAAGCACTGGACAACAAGCATGTTCTAAATGCCATGATGTTAAACATGGGACAGGAGAAACTATTTCACTGGATGTATTCCCCGCTCTAATTTAGCACTATGGCAGAATCAATATGTGGCCACCCAATTTCATTTTATAGTTGTGATGGTTAGTATTGAGTGTCAACTCGGTTGGATTGAAGGATGCAAAGTATTGTTCCTGGGTGTAAAGGAGATTAACATTTGAGTCAGTGGACTGAGAGAGACAGATCCATCCTCAATCTGGGTGGGCACCATCTAATCAGCTGTCAGCATGGCTAGGATAAAGCAGGCAGAAGCAAGCAGAATAAGCAGATTTGCCTCCATCATTCTCCAGTGATGGATGCTTCCTGCCCTCAAACATCAGACTCCAAGTTCTTCAGCTTGTGGACTCTTGGACTTATATCAGTGATTTGTCAAGAACTCTTGGGTCTTCAGCCACAAACTGAAAGCTGCACTGTCTTCTTCCCTATTTTTGAGGTTTTGGGACTCAGACTGGCTTCCTAGCTACTTAGCTTGGAGACAGCTTATTATGGGATTTCACCTTGTGATCATGTGAGTCAATTCTCCTAATAAACTCCCCTTCATATATACATCTATCCTATTAGTTCTGTCCCTTTAGAGAATCCTGACTAATACAATAGTTGTTTTCCAAGTATATATCAAGCTAGCTACCATGCAGTTAAGGAGGGTTATGATTCTGTTCCAGCCAATGAAATGTGAGAAGAGCCAATGTGGCTTGAGATGGACTCCCTGTAATGGTGAAGGTGGAGTTCGTGTATACAGTGGTAGATACACAATATTCAAGCAGACTGGTTTGCATCAGCTGAGACATCACATGGAGAACAGTCATTACCAAGTATCTCTCTACTTGTAATCAGGCTTTTCATGAGTGACAAACTTTTGTTGTTTTAAGCCACAAGATTTGAAGTTTAATTTGTTACTACACAGTGTACATAGTCTTTCCTATCTCGATTAATAGAAGCTTCACACAATTGTAGATCTAAAAGAGATTATTTTCTCCAATTTCTTCCGAGGCCCAGTGAGTATGCGTGACACGTCCAGTATTACAAAATTACTGAGTGGCGCAGAGGAGCCTAGAATGCCAGTCTTCTAACATTTGGTTCACTGTTCTCTCTTTTTTAACAAAGTTTACAATCTACGATATTGGAACAATAGTGTCAAATATTTTCATAGCATGCATTTATCAACATTTTAGAAAAATAGGCACATTTATATACATATGTGTAATAAATAAATATTATTTTAAATGTATGTGTATAAATGCAGAAATGTATATCTTCAATGTCTTTTACATAACGTGTTGGAACTTGGTGCCACCCATCTTGATAAAGATTTGTAGACTCATATTGTTGTTTTAACTAGAAACTGCCTTAAATATTATATATTGTTTAGTTTTTCCTTTGTTGTTGGTAAATGACGAAAAAGAGGCCCAGAAAGTAAAACCATATTTCATGAGTTCATACAATCTGTAGGAGGGTAAGATTTGAGAGGGAATACATTGATAGTCTTTAGGAATTATTTATTATTATTATCTGCTAGGGACTAGGAACAAAGCAAAATAGTGTGAAGAAAATTGCTGTCCATTACATAAGACTGTGGTAATCTCTTGGATTCCTCAGGGGAAGGAGGTGAGGAAAACAATGTCACTCCAACTTGTTTTCCCTTGTGGTTAAATAAGCCATTATGATAAATTACCTCCCACCTTGTGTGCCTATGTGATGTCTCTGCACAAGCTTTCCTTTTTGTGGTGTTTTAGTGTCCTTTCTTGGTAAAGTACTCATGCCCTAGATTCAAATGATCCTCTGTTAGACTGTAGTCTCTGTGAGGCCCTGAGATCCTGAGGTCCAACAGGTCTCTACTAGCGATCTATTTAATTGTCAAAGAGCAATGCAATTCCTTCAGAAAGCTCTGCTAGAAAGATAATATTTCAAATCCCCTCCTGTTTATGAAGTATTTTCTCCATTAGAATTGTGAATATTATATGTACACATCATATACGTAAGCTCAACAGCCATCTTCCATGATATGAGCTGAACATAATCAAAAATCTATGATCTGGCTCTCAGTAACCCAACAATAGAGCTCATAATTCCTCTCTGTTGGTTAACTTTTACCTTGCCTTCACTGGTCAACAAGTAGAAGCTTTTCTTCTTTTTTTTTGGAAAAAAAAAGGTATTTGACACATAGTAACTGTACACATTTATGGGGTACATAACGATGTTTTGATACATATATAGTGATAAGATCAGACAATTAGCATATCTATGAACTCAAACACTTATCCTTTCTTTGTATTGGGAACTTTTAAAAAACTGTTACACCTCAGCATTAAAGGGTCCCAAGCAGGTTGAAAAAGGAAGAAATGCTGGTTATTCCTCCATTGGCAAAATTATGCATATAGCATTGCCTCTTACCAGTTAGCAATAACCATATCTCCCCTATGCCATCATAGTACTTGGGACATATGTTCATTACAGATTATTTCATTGTGACTTAGTATGATTCATTTGTATAAGTCCCTCCTATTAAATTATAAGTGATTTAAGGTAAGGGATTGCTTCGTATATGCCTACATCCCGGCACCAATACTAAAAGTTAAATTTGTTTGTTTCAATAAATAAAAGGATAAATTGCTATGGAAGTAATGATTTGAAAGTGATGGAAAGGATCCCACAAATATAAATAAATTACATGTACAGAAGGTAAGAAAGCGAAATTCAAAGTTGATTCTGACTTCACTGCTTATGAGTTTTACATTCATTTATTTTTCAAGAGGGTCAGGCTCACAAGCCGGCCTTCCTCTTTCTAGGAGAAATGCTTTTTCAGATGCACAGAAATACCCATTCTTGGCTTAAGACATAAAAAGAAAAAACAAGACTCTATGTAGAAATCAGAAAGTAGGGCAGGGCCCAGAAACATGGTATCTGATAAACTCTGTTCTCTGAGAAGGAAGAAGAAAATGCCTTCTCCAACTAACCCAGCCAGCTTCAGCTTCAGCTCACTACATTTTTCAATAGGTGGAAGTATATCAAGCACAGAGTAAGAAGAGGGTCCTTCTAGAGTATAGGATTTGTCTAAATCCTGCACAGAGAGCAAATATAAAGGCACAGGAAATGAAAATTATGGTGCTGGAACCACCCAGACAGCATCCAATGGGACTCTCTCTCCCTTGAATGCCAGTTAAGTGTTAATGAGAAACCTGGGAGTACCCCCAAGATACCATGGCCAAGACTTCTATTCTCCCCATTTTTTTAATCCTCAAGCTGAATATCATCACAACAGGCACTTATTCACAGGGACAGTTAAAAGGATGTTTGTAATATGGCTTGAAACCCCTCAGGTGAAATTGGCTTTCTGAAGACAAAGCTGCGGTGATGGATCTAACTTCCTCTCACTTCCTGTAACTTGCTCTGCTTCCTAAAGCTCTATTCTCTGAGTTGACCTTGCTTAGCTGGTATTATATTTTAGATAAACCTATCTATTAATAATTTACTCATTTCTCATTTACATTATGTTATGTTTGTTTTTTAAGGAAGTAAGAGTATTGATTTTAATTCCTATATCATGAAGCAAATTATTTCTGACCTCTGTATGTACAGAAGATATGCACTTAAGCTGCAACTCTTACTGGCCATAAAATACCCTGCTGAATCATGAATAGTAAAGCAAATAACTTTCCATCTTGAGGCCAAGGGTGCATACTTCCATGGGAAAACAAAATAAGGTGATTTAATTTTAAGAAAAAAAAATCATGTAGAAATTGGGGAAAATTTAAGGAGGACTATAAGAGTTTAATATAAGAAAATCTAAATATTATTGCCATAATTGTAATGCTACAGGGGAAAATATATTCAGAATTGTATCATCCCTTTATAATTGAAAGACAACTATATTTTCCTCAGGAAGTTCTTACTTTAGTGAACACCAATCCTTACCTTAACTTCCCAGGATATAATTTTTTCTTATTTGTCTAGCCACTCTATTGAGGCATATAAGGTCATGGCCTTGGAAATGCTCTATACACACACACACACACACACATACATACACACATCTATGACATCATCAAAAATTTTTAAGGCTAATTTATAATTATCCTTTAAGATTTCTTATATGTACATGGTATTACTACTGTTTCCTTCCAAAATCATGAGTGTTCTGAATTTTGTGAAATTGATCCTTCTAAAATGTTTAAGCTAGAAGGGAAAGAAATATGGATGCACCACTGGGAAAAGAGAAGGAAAGGTGATGTAGTAGGGGGTGAGTTCTCTCTGCTAGGACCTCTGCAAAAGCAAAAGTTAAAAAGGGATTAATAACAGGGTTGATTTGCAATAGAGTCCAAACTCACATTGCTTTGACTCTTTGTTCTTATTCTGATAACACAAACCAAAACATATTCAAAATTGTAGGATACAAACATATATAGATTTTAGGCTGATGAAACGCTTCTCTTTGGGACCATTATCATCCTTACCCTCATCAGTGCTTCCCTAAATGTTTCAGTACACACTGGCTTCTCCCTTTCTGCCTTCTGTGTTCTGCCTTCTTTGTTAACTATCCTTATACTCAATCCCAAACAATTTACCAGGTTGCTTGCATATGATCATCTTTTCTAACATTTTCTTATCGTCCCAACGATACTGTGAACTCCAGGAAGACACGGTTTGTTTTTTCATGCACCAAAAAAAAAAAAAAAGAAAAGAAAAGAAAAAATCCAGCACTATGTATGACTCTTTATATTTCCAGCTTCTACACAGTGCCTGGCCCATAGCAAATGTTAATTCTGTGTTTAATTAGTTAGTTGCAATAGCTGAAGAATGATTTATATTATTTATCTAGAAGCTAACAATGGTATTTCCATTTTAATAAACAGATAGTAAGAATATAATTTTGCTCTTAGTCTTCTTTAAAGTTGTCACAATAGAACTCTGGAAGGGAAATGTATCTATCCCATGCCATTTTACATTTTAAAACCCACAAAAAGCCATCTAAACCTCTAGGACAAGTGTAGGTTTAAGTGGCTTCCCGCCTGTTCCAATTAAAAAAAAACACTACTAAGCACTGTAAAGTATAAAAGAACATTAAAATATCATCATTTGTGATTTTGTGACACAATTCTCTAATGTGCAGTTTTACACATTCATCCAGTTGGTCATTAAGGCAATTTTTGTGATAGTTGTTTTTATCTTTATTTAGATCTGAGTAATAGTTATACCAGATAGTTTTCAAATTTGTGTATTCTTAAAGAAAATTGAGATAAAGCACTGATGAGCATACTTTTACGCATTATTATAGTTATTCTTTTTTTTTTAAAAAAAAAAACTTCATTTCCGTTGGGTGCCATGGCTCACACCTGTAATCCCAGCACTTTGGGAGGCTGAGGCGGGTGGATAGCTTGAGCCTGAGCCCAGGAGTTCAAAACTAGCCTGGGAAACATGGCAAAACCCCATCTCTACAAAAAATATACAGAAATTAGATGTGTGTGGTGGTGGGCACCTGTAGTCCCAGCTACTGGGAAAGCTGAGGTGAGAAGATCACTTGAGCTTGAGAGGTTGAGGCTACAGTGAGCTGTGTTTATGCCACTGCATTCTAGCCTATTCAACAGAGGTAGACTCTTTTTCAAAAATAATAAAATAAACTTCGTCTCACAAGTATGTAAGTAAAAATCAATATGTACTTAAAATAAGGCATGCCATTAATATTTAGATGCAACAAATTGCATTTTCTCAATATCAAAGTGCTTGGCAAGATAGCTCATTTTGTATTATCAATTTTTTTTTTATTTTCCAGAGGTGAAAATTTACAGAGAATTATGTCATAATCAATCACGATAAGGAAAATACATTAACTGTGGGCTATTAAAGAAAATCTTTTATGTGCTTGTGATCCACCTCCAGGTAGATTTATTGACATATAATAGATGTCAAATAACTCTAAATGGTTGTCTAGTGGTAATAATTACATTTTGGGGCCACACTTTATCAAGTCGATTTTATATATAAGAATTTTACTACCCAACTGACAATGTTATGATGGGCTCTTCTCTCCTAACTGATGATATTTTGTTAAATACCATGATCAAACCTTCAGCACTTCTTGAAATTAGGTTGAAGACATCTTGCAAAATTAACATTTCACATACAGTTTGAATTCAGAGGTGTGTTTAACTCTTGAGACAGAAGGAAATCAAGGAATCATATTTAGCAGTTGTTTTTGCTCTCAATCTGTCACGTTTTCTAGATAAATACAACACTGATGTGAAGAAGTAAATTTTCATATGACTTCTGTAATCTCTAACAGCTCATTCCATGTGTATATTTATATAGTTTTATCTCCCTATGCAGGATCAAAGTTGATGTCCAGCAGCCTCTCTCTGGTTCCTCCCATTAAATTCACACCACATGCCTCCACCAGCTTTTGTGTAATTAAACTTGCTATTTTTAACACACAAGCAGAAACCATTGAAAGGTAATGGTAACTGTTGTGTAGATGAAAAAGGCCTATTTGTCACCATTCATTATACCAATTCAGCCATGATAAATGAACAGAAATGGAGTATTCTCCTTATTTCTAGTGCAACTCCCCTAAGCTCATGGTCTGAATGCTGAGAGAGGGTGCTCTGTAGGGAGATGGCATGCATAATGCGGAAATACTTAACAGCACTTTGCAGTCTGGAGCCAGAATGGCCCAGATCTGACTCATCTCCATGTCAAGCTTGTTTGGCATTTAGCTAATGTGTAATTTTATTTTGACATGAATCATTGAAACTTAAACATGTTAAACTAAATATTTGAACTCTACATAAAACTCTTTTTAAAAAAAACTAAAGTATATATTTAAAGCCTTTTAAAAAGTGCCTTAGCTAAACATAAAATAATTATACATAATAGTCTCAAAGATTCCTGACTTTTCTCTTTTGAAGGGGTAGACTATTCTTGGCATATTGATATTTTGCTTTGAATAAAAGGAAAATTATTTCAGTATGAACTTGGCTCTTCAGAATGAGGTGATGTGAAAGCTCAGCATTTATCAGATAAGCTAGAAATTCAGGTCATCAGTGACTGAGGACTTGGGGTCCATAAACACCAGAGGGCAAATCTTTGTATTATCTGGGTAAGTACTGCCTTTTCTTTCTAGGCCATTTAAACTTGAATGGAGAAATAGAAAAGTTAAAAGATAGAGTAGGAAATTTAGAAAAAGTCACTTTTAACATAACTAAACATGGTCTTTCTGATGTTGTTAACATTTTAAACTGATGATCTGAAGAGAAGAGTTGTGATATTAAACCTTAGATTTAGCATATAGGCATCCACTGGAAAATACAGGATAGAAACCAACTCTGACTGGAGACATTCTGGATCTAGTTAAGGGACAGTCTTCCAATCTAATCCAACGAGTACTTCACCCAGAATTCAGGCATCTCAAAACTTACAAACTTTATGAAAGGCCCAACCTTACTTCCTACGTTTTAGAAAAGCATATTGTGGGTACTAGTGGAGCATCACAGTACTGAGATCAAAAATGGTATTCTTTATAACCTGACTCCAACTTGCCTCTCTGCCAAATGGTTTTCCTAGAACCTAGAACTTTTCTAGGAAAAGTTTCAAATTTGAAAACAGCAAAAAAAGAAAATTTTTTCATGACAACCAGTTGTTGAAGAAAGCTCAACTTACCAAATAAAATGAATATGAAATACAAAACACAATATTAGAATATTTGTAAAGGCAATGGAACCCAGTCCTAAAACAAGTTGTAATAAAATAAAGTGATTGAGTTTTTATTTGGATCATGAATCAATTCAGAAAATATAGAAATAATTGAATTTCCAATTTTGCACTAGTGACAAAAAGGCTAAGGGTAGCTTGCTATAGCGGTATCAAATGCAGAGTCATGGCCCTCCCAGCCATAGTTGAAGGAACCAACTCAGTGAGTGGAATGGTATGAAAGGATGAAAACCTCCCCTGACCGCTGCTCAATTCCCTCCAGCAGAGCTGATTTAAATTAAAAAAAAAAAAAATGCCCTTTTGCACTACATTGGCCTTTTCTGTGAATAGGTCAGCCAGGTGCAAGCTACCAGATGTGACTTTCCATGGTCTCTAAGCCCCAGGAGGCCATTTATCTCTTTTATTAGATAGGACTCAGTGCTAAAAAGAGGTGTGGCAGAACCAGCATCTTACTATTAGGGTATCTGAATTTGTCAAAATTTTAGCTTTTTCAATAGGAAAAGCACTCTGAATGTGTTGTTTCTCTTCATTACATCATGATTTTATCATAAAACAGACTTCTCAGTAGTTTGGGAATAGTTTAGACGCGCTTATAAAGCCATCTCCGACAGCCTAGATTATTTTATACTTCTACAAAATGCCCTTTTCACCCACTTTACCTAGATTTCTTAATGATTCAAAACATGTTGAATAACTTATGTAAAGATTTTAAGAAACTTGAAGAGACAGTTTACAAAGCTCAAATATCTAGTGGGGCTTTACTGGAGAACCTCATAACATTGAAAGAATGCTTTTGTACTGTCAGCGCTCCCCTTGGGAAGCCCTCACCAAAGCTCAGGCCCCATCTCGTGCTTTGTGGCTTTTCCCCTAGAAAACTGCAGATGCTTCTTTCTCCTTGAGGAAACTTGAGGGTCTCCAATCCCATATTTCCACGTCTCAGTCACCAACCTAACCAGATAAACTAATCTCAGCTGACATTTAAAAGACCTTTCCAAAGATAACACGTACTCAATTTAACATTCCCCTACCTGCTTCTTCTTCTCTAAGTCAATGAGACCTAAAACTGGCTGCCTTTAGAATAATCTAGACAGCTCCTTAAAAATGCAAATTCTTGGGGCTGGTTGCGGTGGCTCACACCTGTAATCCCAGCACTTCGGGAGGCTGAGGCAGGTGAATCACCTGAGGTCAGGAGCTCGAGACCAGCCTGACCTACATAAAGAAACCCTGTCTCTACTAAAAATACAGAAATCAGCTGTGTCTAGTGGTGGGCACCTGTAATCCCAGCTACTAGGGAGACTGAGGCATTAGAATTGCTTGAACCCAGGAGGTAGAGGTTGCAGTGAGCCGAGATTGTGCCACTGTACTCCAGCCTGGGTGACAGAGCAAGACTCTGAGAAGGAAGGAAGGAGGGAAGGTAGGAAGGAAGGAAGGAAGGAAGGAAGGAAGGAAGGAAGGAAGGAAGGAAGGAGAAAGAAAGAAAGAAAAGAAAGAAAGAAGGAAAGAAAGAAGGAAGGAAGGAAAGAAAAGAAAGAAAGAAAGGAAGGAAGGAAGGAAGAGAAAGAAAGACAGGCAGAAAGAAAGAAAGAAAGAAAAAGAAAGAAAGGAAAGAAAGAAAGAAAAGAAAGGGAGAAAGAAAATTCTTGAGCTATACTCCAGACTTTTATTCTGCAAGTCTAAGGGGACTCAGGAATCCCCAAGTAAGTTTGGGAATAATTTGGTCAACACATCAATGGCTATTGTGGAAAATTTGTGATCACAATAATTGGTAAGACACTATCTCCAGGCAATAAACAAATTCATGATCTCAATATTGACAGATCTCGGTTCAAATCTTTATCACTTGTGAGTTGCTTGGCCTCTCTGAGCCTCAACTTTGTCCGTTAGGGAAAAAAAAGATGTAATAATACTTGCCCAGGTTGTTATGTGAATTGAATAAGAGAATTTTGTCAAAGATGTTAATATGAGGTAAGAAAAAGAAAATTGGGAAAAGGGAGGCAAAACAAATCTTAGTACAGAAATAATGGTTATGCAAGGCAGTGCTGAAAGAAGTAGTCAGCTATACTGCTTTCCTGGGGAGGAATTAAAGTCATTACACTCTTCTGGGCTCTGGGTGGAATAATTCTGGATGGAAATTAAGAATTGAGGAGATTAAGAGGTGGTCTTGCTTAGGACACAGGGAGCTTCCTGTGAATTCCTGAGAATTCCATTCACTGAGTTAACATAATTGCTGAATGCTTACTGTCTTCCAAACACTGTTCTAACGCAAACTATGCCATATAAGAATGTAAGAATGACATTGTTCCCAATCTGTTGGAATTTATATTCTAGTTGGAGCAAGGCTGGTAATATACAAATAGACAAATTAGAAGTAAATAGATGAGCAAGAAAGATCAGAATCAGAAAAGAATGACTTTTAAAAGTCACCTTCTTGGTGAGATATTTTAATATTATAATACACAAAACTATGAAATGACATGGTAAAGTGCAGGTAAATTGATAATCTAAGTTAGGGCTTGATTTTCTTGTTGCCATGAGGTTAAAGGTGGACAAATATCCTTTAATATCAGGTCAGCTATAGAGACAGCAGAAATGACTGAGCGCTCACAGTGTGTCAGGCACTGTTTGAAATGTTACTCTTTCAGGAACCTTGTGAGATTCCACGATCATCCCATTTTACAGAGAAGGAACCTGAAGTAGCTTCCCCATTGTCACTGAGTTTGCCAGGGGAAGTAGAGCTTGAATTTAGGCAGTCTGACTCCAGAGCCCAGACACTGAAATCACGCTTGCACCCCCTGAGAAGGACGTTGCTGTGACCTCCGGCTTCCCTGGTTTCTTCTCTTCAGTGTTGTTTCCATGGAAAGAGTTAAAAACTCCACATCCCTGGCATTCCTTTGACAGAGTTTTGTCCATATACAACTAAAGATAAATGAGCCCCAAGCCCTAGGTGTTTGGAAGCTATGATATGAGAAAAAATAATTGGGTTATTTTATTCGTATATTGCTTTAACTTGCACTATGCAATAAAACTCCATTAATCCACACTTCACTGATCTCATGTGAAGATAACCAACTAAACTATATGTAATTAAGAAATGTTACTTTTTCTTCAGATAGTTCTTTAGAGTCTTATTTGTAAAGTAGGCAAATCCAGTTTTTTAAAAAAGAGTCATTTATTTTTGGTTCTAGTAATTAAATTTATTATGTTATCAAAGTAGCTTATTCTTAGGATATAGTATAAAACCAGGGATTTTGTGAAGTGTAGTTTTTACAAACTTAGCTTTATTACTTATTAAAATCCATTTATATCTTAGTTAATAATACTAACTTTCCTTGACATTACTAAAACTCCACTTGTTCCCAAATATTTTCTCAGGCAGATTTCTCACATTTTTCTTTCATTATTCCAAATGAATGAGGTTTTAAAGTGTTCACATTTATGGGACTACATATAAAAATAATAATAAACACCAACTTTTAAAATTATGTTCTTTTTCATTTTGCAGAGATTGCTTAGAGAAATAAAAATGTAAATGGTACAAATTTACAGCCCTTGATTCATGGAGCAATCCTTCCCAAGTGGATAGAAGAAGCCCACAAATATCCAGCCACATAAAACTTTTAATGCAGACATTTCAAACACCACCAGATTTTTGTCACTTCTTTAAAGGAGGGAAATTTTTGTGTTGAACAATAGGAAACCATGAACAGCTGGTTTCGACTGAAGCCTAGTTTTCATATTTTAAACATGATCATTTAAGGTCAGAGAAACCAAAACTTGATAAATTAGTGTTAATTTTTGAAAAGAAGAAAGACAGCTTGTTTTGAGAACTTACCATGAGCCAATACCTCTATTAAGTACTTTCCATGAACATTCACAATGTCCTGTGAGATGTGCCCTCTGATTATGCCCAAGCAGAGGAGAAACTGGCCTGCCAATTGGTGGAGTGCCTGCTGGGTCACAGTAAAGGATGATGCTGGTGTTAGAATCTCACCCACCTGCTTCAGCAGGGTGGGCTCCAGATGAGCTTTTCTTTCCTGAGAAGTGCCCAGGGAACATGATCAGCATTGGTCTTTTTTACATCCCTATATCAGCATCAGGCTTTGGGTGGTAATTTACAGTGACTTGGAGAAGAAGAAGTGTACTGGCCAGTTGATGCCCTTGAGTAATAGAGAGTACCAGTCTACGGGGCTATGCCAGCTCGGGGACCTCAGGGAAGGCTTTTGATTCTGTCCAAACAGCCTATTCATTATGGGACTACATATAAAAATGATAATAAACACCAACTTTTAAAATTATGTTCTTTTTCATTTTGCAGAGATTGCTTAGAGTAATAAAAATGTAAATGGTACAAATTTACAGCCCTTGATTCGTGGGGCAATCCTTGAATTAAATGTGGCCAAGACAGCATACACATCTCTTGACACATTTACCCCTTCCCAGACCTCAATTGTTTTGGGGAGAAACTTCAAAACAAGGATTTTCATATGTGGTATAAAAATAAATATGTTCTTATTTACAAATTTTAAATCTACCAGAAACATATTACATGTTCACGAGTAAGACTTCCCTACACATTTATCTCCTATTGTTTTCCCTTCTCTTTTCCCATAACCTTCTATTTTCTCCCTCCTATTCTCTTCCTTTCTGGCATTTCTCTCTTGCCTTCATCTATTTGAAGGAGGAAGGAGGTGAGAAAGGAAAACATGGGAAAAAAGAGAAGTTATGGCAAAGCAATTATGCTTAGCACTTCTTTTATATGTAGAATATGCTTGTGCCATACACTTCTTGGATATTTGCTTCCTGGTTTTAAACTTTATTTCTTTAGATGAAATTCTTTAGAACTACTGAGGGTGACTTTTTTTCCTTACATTTTTTGTGCCTCAAGCAGAGAACTTGAGTTCTACTTTCTGGATGCATGTCTTGGTAAATGTGTGACTTTGGACAAGCAATAGCCCCTTGCATTTTTCACTTCATCATCAATTATACAGAGAATAATACATGTTTTACCAATCAGACAGGGCAGCTGTGAAGATGAAAAGAAACAGCAAGGAAGCCACACTGACAAAAGACTGATTTTATGAGCAATTCTGGTCGCACCATAACATTTCTGTTCCTTTCCCCTTCCTTTCTCCATAGTCTTATTTCCTCTTTTCTGCCTTTCTCATCTGCCATTTTAGCAATGTCTCATTTATTTGACATATCAATAAATAAGGTGTTCCATTAGAAATTAATGGATTTTTTTGCCAAAGTAAACCATGGAAGTTAATTTTTTTAGATTTCATCATTTTAAATGGTATATTTTAAATCCAAGATTTACTTATATTCTGCCTCTTTAGACATAGTTTATCAACACAATTTACATTTCCTGATGGTTCAGGATTATCTTCACTATAAACACATGATGCTCTCCCTCAAATTTTTGACACCCACCCCATGCTGCCATTAGTACATACTGCCTCAATTACTGGAACCTACTTCTATTGTTTCACCTTAACCTACAGTCTAACTTATGTTTTACAATCTTTCTTCCCAAATAACTCTAAGTTCCTTGATGATACAGACTGTCGTTCATTTAATTCCATGTCCCAGTGCTTTGCATGGTGTCCACATTCCAGTATGAGTTTAGTAAGTACTACCTGAAGTTATAAAAGTCACTGATAACCTGAAAACCTATTCATTTTTAGGAGAGAAGGAACTATTTGCAACACCCATGTTGGTTTACACAGATTTAATCTTCACAACTGAATAAGGAAGGTAATATTACTATCTCCATTTTAGAAATGAGAAAACTGAGGCTCAGATAACTTAAATACCTGCCCAAGGTCACACAGCTACCAGCAGAAGAGCTATAACTTGAGTCTGGACCTGTCTTATTTCAAAGTCTATTCTTTTCCTGCCACAACACATACCACATACACTAACTCTGACATTGAATGGGCTTTGTGGTTTGAGATGAAGTTTAGGGCTTTTATAATTTTTCTGCCCCACCCTCAATATTGCCTGCCACCTCTTTGGCTATCATTTATCTAATGCCCTCTTTTACTGTCCTAATCTGCAACTGACTTAGAAAATACTAACTATGTTTGTTAGACTTGTTTAAAAGTAAGAATAAAACATTCTCAGCAACAATAAAAGGAAAGAATGACAAATGGTTTTAAAGCTGCACATTGACGCGGGCTTAGTAGTAGCACCTAGAGTTGATGTTTCTGCAGCAATAACCATGGCTCTTCAGGAACGCCCATAGGGAGTGACGGTTTCTGGCGTGGTTAAGTAAAGGGAAAGTGAGGCCACACTTCTGGGACCTGGAGAGTTTTCAATAAGTAAATTGCAATGAAAAATACCATGTAGTCTTGGCATCATCTATCTAGATTTTCAGATGTGTCTTTTGCTATTCCTTGTTCTTAGCTGGAGGATATATTGTTAAGGGGGCTAGATAAATGACGTCTGGATAACCAAAGTGTTCATAATGGTCTTTTTCTTTCTTGTTCTTCTTACTTTATTTTTCTTGGCCCATGTTCTGTGTTTCAGGTCTTAGGTTTGACAGCATCACCCATAGCACCTAGGCTTTGGTCACTGAGAGCACATAGGCCAAAGAGAGTGCAAACCTCTGGTAGAAATCAGATAACTGCAAATGAGTAAGTAAAGCATCAAACAAACAAACAACTCTAGTTGGCATAAGTAGTTTTTCCCAGAAATATTGTGCCTGTGAAGATGTAATTGTGGGATGTTGTACCCAAACATCCACTGGGTTGCTGATAATGTCTCTGCACTTCATGTCTGCCTCATTCTTTCTGCTTCCACAGAGCTGATGATATTTCTTGGGCTCTTTTGCTACTACTTCTGTCTTTGTCACCACCACTTTTGTTCCATATATAATCTCCTTTGCTTGCTTTCCTCTTCTCTCTGCTTTTTTTATTTCTTATTTTGTTGGGTCCCTATCATGTCATCTGAGCTTCTTGGCTACATCTATATGAAAAGACTGACGTATTTTGTAAATCTCTATTAAACCAGAAGATTTCTTCCCTCTTGTTGGAGAATTAATCAATCCCGGCTCATCCACCATAATTTTCATATTTTTGGTTCCTCTTAATCATGTACAAAATACTCAAAGCTCATGGCTTATTTCGTTTTTTACAAGATGCACGTTATTCTTCCTTTTGTAACTGACACCATTCCTGGTGCTTGAACACTAGACTCCAGATAACTGAAGTTATGCTGTACTCCATAAAGCCTAGCTGCCAGAAATCACTTCTCCATTGTCGCACACATGGTAATTGATGTATACATTCACAACTCCTCCCAGGAGGTATGAAGGTTAGGCTCAACTTCCAAGTGCCAGCTCCAACAATTCCCTTTTGGTCACTCTTCACCATATATCTCGAAGTAAAGGAAATTAGCATCACCAGAGGGGTAACCTGATTCTCGAAGTGATTTTCTTAAATCATTATAGATAGAGGAGGTAGATCGATAAATAGACCAATTATTTGTGGCAACTCATAGCAAAACATAGTGAGTTTCGGTCCTGGTATTAAAAACTTCTAATACATAGGCTTTAATTTGCTAGAAGATCATCCTAAAAATATGATTCCTGATGGTTTCACATCACCCAGGCACCAGTTTATCAAGTGGCATCCTAAAGGACCCTGTTCTGCCATTAGCCTAAGACCAGAGTTACCTGCTACTGCAAACTCAATTAAATAGAGATGTGAAGGAAAGAAAAACACTAGAAAAATATCTTTGAGGAAGAATGAGAAGGGGTTTATTGTTGTTATTTTGTTGTTGTTGTGTAAGATATAGAGTTTTATCTATGTTTACCTGTTGAAGAGAAACAAGAAGAGAGAGAGATAGAAAATACATGAGTGGGTGGGTGAAAGGAGGTATTTGTGGTTTAAAATTGTGCTGTCCAATATGATAGCCAGTAACCACATGTGGCTGTTGAGCACTTGCAATGTGGTTAGTCTAAACTGAGATGTGCTGTGAGCACAAAATGCACATAGAATTGTGAAGGCTTAGCATGAAACAACCATGTAACTATCACATTAATATTTTTCATGTTGATTACAGGTTGAAAAGATAATATTTTGGCTACAATAGTTTAAATAAAATACACTGTTTAAATTAATTTCACTTTTTTTGTTTTTTAAAATGACTAGAAAATTTTAAATTACACATATGGTTCACATTTGTGACCCACATTATGGTTTTTGACAGCACTGTTATAAGGTCTTATCTACCCAGATTAGGTTCAATGAGGAGTAACAGAAAACGATAAAATGACCCACAATGATTACTAAATATAAATACTTATTGATTCCTCACACAATAAGCCAAAGGTAGACTGGACTAAAAGGGCTTATGATCATCAGAGGCTCAGGCTTCTTTAATCTTTCTGTTCCACCATCTTAAGCACACTGCCTTGTGATCCAAGATTGCTGCTAAACCTCTAACCAGAAAAACCACATGCCGGACAGTAGGAAGAAGAAAGGAACCCATTAAGACTCTATCTCTGTGAGGCCTTCTACAACCATCTTCTACCGTCTTCCTTGATTGGTAAGAACTAGCTTTGGTCAAGACATGAGCTGAGAATCTCTGTAAACTTTGGGGAAGAGGGGAACTAACTACTGTGATCTGGTACTTGGCCCCCTGAAAATACAAGAGAGATCGAACAGTGCAGACTTTATTCCTAATAGTCACGCACACAGCTAAACATCAGGAGTTATATTTAGGATGACCATTTGTCCCAGTTTGCCTGGGAGTCTGTTCTGTATGTGTTGACCTGGCATAATTATTAATAGCTCCCCCTTTTTCTCTCTCAAGTGTCCCAGTTTGGATGATAAATTATATGGTCACCCTTGTTATGTTTCCAAGAAAAAAGAGAGAAACAGATGATAGGGTGGCAATTCTCTCTGCTAGGGGTTCTTGAGAAATCACTCAAGAAATCCTTAGCAAACAGATGTGTCATCCAACCCACCCCACCAGAATTCTGAAGCTGGTTGGAGGTGAGTTGAAGGAGACACTTATTTGCTAAGGACTTCTTGTGATCTTCATACAGAAAATTAAAGGACTTTCCTCGCTCTTTATTATTATTATTTATTCACTTAAATATATATGGTGCAACTCCATTTGCCAAGTGCTGTGCATTTGGGAGACATATATGTAAAACAGAATTTAATACTATTAATCCCATACTATTAAACTCATTTTCTATTTTAATGGAGTAATAGGAGTTTGAATTATCTGAATAGTCTCAATCCTGGTACTACTATTTCTCCCCCTAAATACTTTTCTAAGTCTCTTTCTTTTACTGGTTCCAGAAAATTCTAGCCCACTGTTTTCCAAAATGTCTTCAAATATATTGCTAATTCTTTAAGAGAGTTCCTAGCCAAATAATATTTGGAAACGCAGCATTATTAAAGCATTATAATGCAAGTTAGTATATTAATAGCTCTGAGAAGTACCACAACAGAAATTCCTATTTAACTCTTCTAACCTGAATAGGTTTGGGGTTTAATACCTGCTAACATCTAATACAGCATCCCTTTGTACTACTCCTAGAGTCCCAGAAGTATGAAGATATTATCAGACTCTCAGTCCTCGGTTCCTCCCTCTACATTCTGCTTCCTCATGCTCACATTTGTTCTCTATTTTTACCTCTAAAGAGGTGATGCCTAAGCTACCTTCTCTGGCCTTTACTTCTTTCTCAAAACTAACTAACTGGACATCTCTGCTTAAGTTAAACATTGTAATCTCAAACTTAACAACCTAAAATTTAATTTGACTTTTTGTCCATAATCAAGTCTCCCCTGATGCATGCCTATTTTTGGAATTGTACTACCTGCAGTAGACATTTTGTTTATCTGTTTGTTTTTGGTTTTGTTTGAGTTTGGGGATTTTTTTTTTTTTGGTGAGGGTGGAGTGAGGGGTTAGGGAGCAAGCCTAGCAGTATTGTACTTCACTCCTATTTTCGTTTGAGTGAGAAGTGCATTGCCAATGGCTCTTGGCCAGACCGGGCTTGAGCATGTGGTCTGGGCTTAGCCAATCAGCCTCCCACTGGGCACTTTGAATTTTGAGTTATTAATATTAGAACAGAGATGTAAGAATGGTTAAAATGCATTCACAGTGTGGTGGGGTGACATTAGCAGTGTTCTGTGACAACAGTTTTCTCGACCTGGTTACTTTAGATGATTGTGATGCAACCTAAAGTTTGAGAACCACAGTATTAGGTCTTATATATCAGCTCTTCCAAGAATAATTATTCCACCCAAAATTGACTCTGCCTTTTCTTCAGTCCTATAACCCTTAATATCTACACCACTCATGCTGAACCTATCCCATATTGCTTTGCAGTTATTTATCTTATATCTTGACTAGCTTCTTAGCTTCCAGAAGGCAGGGTGATATAAATCACCATGACTGACATAGAGTAATAACTCACTTAATGAATCAATGAATATTCACTAGTGACAAATTAATTGCTCCTGATATATGAACTTCCCCATTTTCTATAAAATAAACTTTAAATTAGTTCACTTCTATTCAAGAGCTTCTAAAGCAGGGATCCTCAAATTTGCTAGATGTTTAACTAACCTAGAGAGTTATAACAAATATTGATACTCATGTCAGAGCTCTAGAGATTCTTAAGTAATGGATTTGGGGTGCAGCAATCTGGTCACTGTGACTTTAAAAGTTCCTGAATAGTTACATATTGCAGGCAAGATAGTGTGTAGTCCAAAGACTGAATTGCAGGAGCAGTTTACCCGGGAGTTTCTGAATGTGCATTTCAACAAGATTACCAGATGATTCCTTATATACTTTAAAGTATGAGAAGCACTTGGTTTAGAGCAATGATGTTCAACAGAAACATAATACAAGCCACATATGTAATTTAAAATCTTCTAGGAGCCATATTAAAAAAGCTTTTTAAAAGGTAAAAATAATTTTAATAATATATTTTATTTAACCCAATGTATCCAAAATATTATCATTTTAACAATATAAAATTATTAGTGAAATGTTTTATAATATTTTTGTACTGAGTCTTTTAAATCCAGTGTGTATTTTATACTTACAGCATATCTCAAATCAGACTAACCACATTTCTAGTGTTTCATAGCTACATGGGGTTAGGGGTCACTGTACTGGATAGTGCATATCTAGAGTGTTCTGACCTTTCCTTCTCCAGCACCAACTATAGCTTTCCTTACAAAAGCTTTTTGCTTTAGTCAAAAGAAACTTTTCATCAAACAATCAACCCACCATTCACTTTCCTCTCTTCCACTGTTACCTTCACTGCTCCTCGAACCCTGGAAAGACCTCCGTCTGCTCTCTCCTGGTCTAGGTTCCATTTTTTTCCTTTAAACCCAGTCTAATTTTATAGCTCTTTGGTGAAACCTTCCTACTATGGTTCTAGATTACAATGATTAGTTGTTGCTCTAAATTTTGCAGGATAAACATATATTTTCATCTATTAGGGGAGATGGTAAAAGATGGTTTTAGAAGGCTAAACATGGAATGTAATTAGAATGATAAAACATGCTGCCCTTCTTAATAAAAATGAAACCTAGACCTCAGAAGGTTGATATTGAAAGGCCAACTCTCTGGTGAGGAGTAACAGCCTTCCTAGGAAAGCTAAATCAATCTGCATAATTCTACTCCTGGAGATCTTCCATGGCTACCCTTGCCTACCTTGCCCTGACCCCATAATGCTAGAACTAAATAACTAATGCTCCATCTCAAGCATAAATTCAGGTGTGAGCAACAACTCTTGTCTTGATTGCTCCAAAATTTAACTGAGATAAAAATGAAATATTCAAAAAATACTTTTTCAATAGCCAGAAGGCAATTAAACAGAAATTTCAGAGTCTAATGAACTTAGACAATCTAGAAAGTTTGTAAAATTTAGCCTGTTTTCTGTATGAGCAAGATTATCCAATTCACAGATTACAGGAAGGGGAATCAAAAAAGAACTTGCCAAGTCCCCCCGTTCCTTGATCATCTTCTCTTTCCACATGGTGACATTATGTTTAGGCTACAAACCTAGCACTTCCTAGACATCTTGACTCCTGTTAGTCTACATTTGCACTGTCCAATACTGTAGCCACTAGCCACATGCGTGACTGCTGAATACTTGAAATGTGGTTAGTACAAATTGAGATGTGCCATACATGTAAAATACATACTAGGTCTCAAGATTTGTACATATATGAATTTTCCATTGCTGCCATAAAAAATTACCTCAAATTTAGTGGCTTGAAACACCCCTTTATCACATTTGCTATCTGACAGTTCTGTAGACCAGAAGTCCCATATCGAGTGGCTCAGCTGAACCCTCTGCTTATTAGAGACTCCTAAGGCCAAAATCAATGTGTACATGGGGTATCATTCTTTTCTGGAAGCTCTACAGGTAAATCTGTTCCAAACTAATTTGGATTGTTGGATGAATTCTGTTTCTGTGGTTGTAGGGCAGGAGTCTTGTTCCCTTCATGGTTGTCAGCCAGAAGCCACTCAGCTCCTTAAGACCACATGCATTCCTTATCACACTGTCCCCTCCATCTTCAAATCAGCAAGGACATGTTGAATCCTTCTCATGCTTTGACTCTTTCTGAATTCTCCTGTCATATCTCTTCTTCTTCCAGCCTGAACAAACTCTCTGCTTTTAAGAACTCATGTGAGGGAGCTTTCCAAAACACTTGGTGAGAGGTGGAGGAGTGGTAGCTGCCCAAACTCCTTCTTGCTCCCACACACCAGCCTTAGCCCCCTTGCCAGCTGTAGAAAGTGGTGAAAGAAACCACTTACTGTAATGGTTTGTGGGTGATACCCAATGCCATCCAGGAAGAGTTAAGAGAGTCTTACAGGAAACTGGTCTTGAATTACTACCCTGGTGAGAATCCAAATAACAAACAGAAGTGTAAACAGATTTCTCAAGCTTATGAAGTGCTCTCTGAAGCAAAGAAAATTGAATTATTTGAGAAAAGAGGAGAGTGGGCAATTAAAAAGGGTGAAGTGAGTGGCAGTTTTGGCTCCCTCATGGACATCGTTGATATGTTATTTGAAGGAAGAGGAAGGATGCAGAGAGAAAAAGAGGTAAAAATATTGTGCATCAGCTCTCAGTAACCACAGAAGATGTATTTAATGGTGCAACAAGAAAATTAGCTCCATAAAATAATGTGATTTGTGGCAAGTATGTAGGCCAAGGTGGTAAGAAAGGGGCAGTAGAGTGCTGTCCCAATCACTGAAGTACTAGAATGCAAATAAGAATTCATCAGATACGACCTAGAATGGCTCAAGAATTTCAGTCTGTGTGCATGGAATGCCAGAGCCATGGGGAGGAGATCAGTCCTAAAGATAGATGTAAAAGTTGCAATGGAAGGAGGATAGTTTGAGAGAAGAAGATTCTACAAGTTCATGACAAAGGCGTGAAAGACGAACAGTAGATATCTTTCATGGTGAAGGAGATCAGGAGCCAGGAGATATTATCATTGTTTTAGATCAGAAGGACCATACTTTCTTATTCGACCAGAAGACCTTTTCATGTGTATGAACATAAAACTGATTGAAGCACTGCATGTCTTCCAAAAGCCAATATCCACCCTTGACAACCAAACCCCAGTCAACACCTCTCATCCCCCAACTCAGATTGTCAAGCATAGAGATATTAAGTGTGCGCTAAATGAAGGCATGCCAGTTTATTGTAGATCCTATGAAAAGGATCACCTAATCATCAAATTTAAGGCCTACTTCCGTGAGAATGCCTTTCTGTCTCCTGATAAACTCTCTTTGCTGGAATAACTCCTGCCTAAGAGGTAGGAAGTAAAAGACGCTGATGAAATGGATCAAGTACATCTGGTGGACATTGACCGGTATCAGCAAAGATGGGCAATTACAATGGAGAAGCTTAGGAGGATGATGAACATCATACCAGTGGTGGTGTTCAGTGTCAAACCTCTTAATGGTGCCAGTGAGTAACACTCACTGCTGGTATTATATGTGCAGTAGTGAACAAGTGAAGGACTATAACCATAATATGCTCACTTCTTGCTATTGTTTTTGTTTTAATACTCAATTATAGTAGTGTTTTAAAAGTTAAATGAATAATAAATGAAAATATAAAAGCTCTGACTTTGCCCTAAATATATGTTGACATCAGTGAGCAAGATGACATTTAATATCTGTAAAAATTACTTTTTTTTTTTTTTGAGACGGAGTCTTGCTTTGTCGCCCATGCTGGAGTGCAGTGGCACGATCTCGGCTCACCGCAAGCTCCGCCTCCCGGGTTCACACCATTCTCCTGCCTCAGCCTCCCGAGTAGCTGGGACTACAGGCGCCCGCCACCACGCCCGGCTAATTTTTTAATTTTTAGTAGAGACGGGGTTTCACCGTGTTAGCCAGGATGGTCTCAGTCTCCTGACCTCATGATCCACCCACCTCGGCCTCCCAAAGTGCTGGGATTACAGGCATGAGCCACCACACCTGGCCTAATATCTGTAAAAATTACTTTTAAGAAAAGTTCCGCTAGCATTTGTTAGGTCATGTCTTGTAATTAATTTCAGATGTGTCTATGAGCAAGCTTAGCTTGAAATGCTAAGCATATGTATCGACCTCCACTTATGGCCATTCATTGTTAAACTTTGAAATTAAAACTCTGTATGGTTCGCCCTCCATATCAGCAAATTCAACCAGCCCTAGATTTAAAATATTAAAAAAAAAAAAACAATAAAAAAGATAAAAATTTTTAAAGTACAGTGTAACTATATAGCATTTACATTATATTAGGTATTATAAGTAATCTAAAGATGATTTAAAGTATATAGCAGGTTGGCCAGGCATGGTGGCTCACGCCTGTAATCCCAGCACTTTGGGAAGCTGAGGAGGGCGGATCATCTGAAGTCGTGAGTTTGAGACCAGCCTGACCAATATGGAGAAACCCTGTCTCTACTAAAAAAATACAAAATTAGCCGGGCATGGTGGTACATGCCTGTAATCCCAGCTACTCGGGAGGCTGAGGCAGGAGAATCACTTGAACCCAGGAGGTGGAGGTTTCGGTGAGCTGAGAACATGCCATTACATTCCAGCCAGGGCAACAAGAGCAAAACTCCATCTCAAAAAAAAAAAAAAAAAAAGTATATAGCAGGTTGTGGATGTGTTATAGGCAAATAGCACACTATTTGAACATCTGGATTTTGGTACCCAGGAGGGTCATGGAACCAATCCCCCATGGATACTAAGGGACCACTATATTTAACTGGTAATCAGAAGATAAAATGAAATAGCAAGAAGTGAGCATATTATGGTTATAGTTCTTCACTTATTCACTACTGCATATATAATACCAGCAGTGAGTGTTATTCACTGGCACTATTAAGAGGTTTGACGCTAAACACCACCTCTGGCATGATGTTCATCATCCTCCTAAGCTTCTCCATTGTAATGGCCCATCTTTGCTGATACCTGTCAATGTCCACTAGATGTACTTGATCCATTTCAAGTACCAACAGAAATCTTGGTCTGTATAGTTATGTGTATTAAGTGGAACTCATTGTGATGCTTCTGCATTTACCCTATTGCTTCGACTTTTATTTGAAGATGCATAATACATAATTTAGCTATGGCATCAGTAACATAAATGATCATATTTATAGTTTATATATCATATAACTAATGTTATACAATATAGTACATATATAACATATGTAGATCATATATAGTTACATATATATAGAAAACTTGTCGATCAGTCCTCGTTACATTCTTTTTTCCTTCTTTTTAGGCCATCCTGAGCCCCTAAGTAGTGACTTACAGAGCTGGGTTAAACTTAACTTAGAACTTAAAGTGATGAGATCTTTACATGGAGGAGAAGTAATCTGCATGTACAATATGGGAAGGTATTCCTTAGGTATGTTACAGGTTCACTTTAAACCATTTGATTTATGCTCCAAAGTATCTGTACTTAATGCTGGGAGTATAGCAAACTGTGATAAATACCTTTAATTGTATATTTTAAAGTCAGCATATGGTCACATGCTTACATTTAAATATCAGCATTTAAGCAATTCTTGAAATATATGAATGTCTCCTTAGTATACTGATTACAAAGCATTTTCAACATTTGTCACTACAGGCATTTTCTCCCTAGGTCAAAGAATTGGCTTTTCACTAATTAAAATATGTAACTTTTCATTTTAAATAGTTAAAATTAGTAATACAAAAATATTATTTGGCTGTTTAAAAAAAGAACTCGTGTGATTAGATTGAACCCATGCAGACAATCCAGGATAATCCCCCTATTTTAAGGTCTTTAACCTTAATTACATCTGCAAAATCCCTTTGCCAGGTAAGGTAACACATGTACAGGTTCCAGAGACTCGGGTGCAAACATCTTTAGGAAGTCATTCTTTCTACCACAGTATGAAAAAAAAAGTAAAGTATTTCATTAATGATAACTATATTGATTACATGTTGAAATAATATTTTTGATATATTAAGTTGAATGAAATATATCATTAAAATTAATTTCATCTGTTTCTTAAGTTTTTGAATAAGCTCCTAGAACATTTTAGATTATATATGTGGCTTACATTTGTGTCTTACATTGCATTTCTATTGGCCAGCACTTGTCTAGACCTAGAGAGAGGTCAAATCCTCTTTACCACCCTCGGAGTTTTTGATATTTGGTCTGTGGACCCACTCCTTCCATGAGAAATGCTTCCCTTACAATCAGTCGTGGCCTTACACTTTTAGGTCTCTCATGACTAAACACAGCATTGCACAATACAGAAACCACAATTTTCATACAAGAGATACCCAAATACAGTGATGGAGCATGGAGATGTGGGTACAGGGGCATATTTCCTTATAATAAAATGAACCTTGTTCAACTTGATAGCCCTAGCGATTACTGACCTCGCTCAATGAGAGCAGAGACTTCTTCTATTCATCTTCTGGTTTCCAGTGGTAGCACATAGAAGGACCCTTTTCTTTCCTTTTTTAAATTTTTTGAGATGGCATCCTGTTCTGTTGCCCAGGCTGGAGTGTGGTACAATCATAGCACACTGCAGCCTTGACCTCCTGGGCTCAAGCAACCCTCCCACCTCAGCCTCCTGAGTAGCTGGGACTACAGGCATGTGACACCAAGCCCATATATATTTTTTAATTTTTTTGAAGAGATGGGATCTCTCCATGCTGCCCAGGCTGGCCTCAAACTCGTGGACTCAAGCAGTCCTTCTGCCTCAGCCTCCGAAAGTGCTGGGATTACAAGTGTGAGCCACTGTGCCTGGACTGAAGGGCCCTTTCAATGAATATTTACTAAACCAATTGAAAGTCAGCAATTGGCTGGTTAAAAGAAAAAAAGATAGATTTTGGAAAGTAAGTCAGCTGCCCTCAATTTCTTCATAATGACAAACATTTCTATATTTTACTGAGAGGGCAGTCTCCATTTGAAGCTGTAAAGTAAATAATATTTCTTATATTTTGGAGACAGAGCCTTGCTCTGCTGCTCAGGCTGCAGTGCAGTGGTGTGATCATGGATGACTGTAACCTCAAACTCCTGGGCTCAAGGGATCCTCCTGGCTCAGCCTCCAGAGTGGGTGAGACTACAGGCATACACTACCCTGCCCAGCTAATTTTTTTTTTTTTTCTAATTTTTTGTGGAGAAGGGGTCTCGTTATGTTGCCCAGGCTGATCTCAAACTCTTGGCCTCAAGTGATCCTTCCACCTTCTCCTCCCAAATTGCTGGGATTATAGACATAAGCTAGCATCACTGGCCCAAATAATATTTAATGGTTACATCTTTATGAGACAAGAGAGTATGCTGATGTTCAGGAAAAAAAATATATTCTTTACCAAATGAACACTCTAATTAACCAAATGTTTTCATTGCTGTGTACTTTATTTGGCATAGATGACTAAGCTAAACCAATAAATCTGTGACTGTTTTCAAAACTGTATTTCAAATAGATTTTTTGGGTGTACCATTATGTCTAGTGTTTAGTTTTATTTGTTTAATTTACCACAATACCAAAATGTTTCTTAAAATGTTAGACCACACCCACCCACCTCCACACTTCACCTAGCAGAAAATCCAGGTCATCTGTAGAAGTTGAAAAGCAACACAAAAAAGCTCATGCACCTTCATCTAATCCTCCAACCCTGGGCAAGGTAAAAGCTCTTTCCAGAGCATTGCATCCCAGTTTTTGGAACCGTACCTGCTCCCAACCCCAGGTGTGACCCTGTAGCAGGTAGGCAAAATTACTGTGACAATCTCACAATCCATCAGCTACAGAGCAAAGGATCCTCTGAGGAGAAGTTAGGATTGCTGAGAAAGCACAGGCTGCTGAGCATTCCTCTCCTGCCAGACATAAACCTGATGCAAGACAGAATTATGAGAAACCAGATTCAGCTCACCCATCCTCCTTCTCAGTCATCTTCCAGGCACAAAAGAAAGACTGAATACCAATCAAAAGATAATATAAATAAACCTTTTAAATAAAGTTTACTAATTGAAAGGACTAATAGATGGAGTGATGCATTCTTCAAAATCTATTGTCATGCTTTTGTGGACTTTATTGCTTATCAGCATTTTTCCCCTCAAGAAAAAAAAACAGAACAGCAACATTTGTTCAGAAAAAAAACAAACCATGTTTCTTCCTTTCTTATTACTTTTATTGTTTGAGGTTTCTTTTAGACTATAATGTGGCATTGTGATTTTAAGATGGGAAAAAAAAATCTCTTGTCTTTCAAACATAGGAATGTGATTGTATGCTATTGTTGCCAACAATGAGCTAAAGAGGTTAATGGATCACATATCTGGCAAACAGCCATCTTTCCTCCTGCTCAATATATTACACAGTATACATTTTATTGTTGCTGCTGAGCATATGATTTTGTCTGAGTAGTTGGTAAATAAGTTTAGACTTAACTGGTCTCTTTCTAAAACTCAACAGCTTTGTCATTCAGGCTATATCCTGAGATTTAAAAAGTGCAGTTTCGGTTCTTAGCTCATGACCTTTTGAGGTGATGGTAAGAGTGGTGGGAGGAAGGAGGTGGGGCGGGCTGTTGAATGAGAATCTAGAAATATTGTGCCTTGTAAATTGCATCCGACCTTTCATTTTCAGATTGCCTAAATTAACAGAGTGAAATTACCATAATAAAAAGGAATGGGTACTGGAGAAAGTACAGCAATTCTTTCTAGTGTTGTTTCCCAGATTCCTTCCAAAATACCTCTAATTAAATGGACCAACTCTCTCCACTGACCTCAGGTTGACACAAATTTGCATTCTGCGACTGTCATTTGAAAACAGACAAGCCGTCATAAGCAATAATGCTGTGATTTCTTGCCTAAAGGACTTTTCTGTGTACTGCATTTGTACTATGAAATGTAAGCAAGAGACTTAATGCCTCTACAGATAAAAAGGGAGGAAAGATTTTCATTTTTAGGGAACCCCAGAGGGAAAAAGTTTATCAATGAGAAATACAATGTTCTGGATAATTTTGGTTGGGTAGGAATGTATGTTGAGGGAGGGGACTAGAGTTGGGAGAGAGGAAGCAACACATCAGTCTCCTTGGAGCAGTAGAGTCCTTTCAGTCCGGTAAAGAGCACAGTAAGTAGCAGGTAGAATCAGCTCCTGGCCTGTTGTTTTGCTGGGGGCAAAGGGTTGGAGGAACACAGACTAAATTGGGAAGGCTAGTGTGCCTCTCGGCTTTTGGACTTGGGACCTGAAAGAAGGCTGAGTCCTGAGCTCCGCTTCCCAGCTAGGCGGTGATCGCCCCCTGTGACTCCGGATGCACACAGCAGCCCCAAGCACGCCGCGGCCGCCGCCCGACCCTTCACCGCCTCCGGCTCTCCCGCCTGGCACTCTGGAGCCACACACACCAGCTTCCTGGACACCTGTGTGCCCCAAGCTCTGGGTCTAGGCATCCCCCTCACCCCAGAGAGACCGGTCTCAGCGCCTCAGCAATTGGGTCCCTCCGACCTCTGTGTCCCCGAGTTCTGCCACCCTGGTCACCTCCGCAGGTTCCCCAAGCTGCGACCTCAGTCCAACTGGGAGCCCTGCGCGCCCACCCGGCAGCCCCACTGCGCTGCTCGCCCGCGGTTCCAGCGCCTGGGTGGGACGCGCAGTGGCTCAGCTGCGGGACCTCCGCCTCCGGGTAAATCCTCCTCCTCCCCTTTCTCCGCCTAAGGCCCTGCCCTCCCCCTGCAGCAAGCCGCTCCGGTGCGTGCGCCCGTCTCTCCGCCGAAGACACCTGCGCTTCCTTCCCCACCCTCCTCCTCCTCCCTTTCGCTGCGGTTTCTCCGCTGCCTTTGGGAGCTCGGGAGCGGCAGCTGGAGGAGGAGCACGGGGAGGAGGGGAAGGCGAGGAGGAGTAGGGGCGGGGTGGGTGGGGAGAGAGCCGGGAGGGTGTGGACTGGCAGCCACTCTGCAGCTGGTCGCCAGGGACCCGGTCCCTCCTGCGCGCCCAAGTGATGGAGGGGAAGAGATTCGCTTAGACACACACACGCGCACACAGCTGGGCACGTCTCCGGGAGGCAGCTGCCGGCTCGGGCGCTCTGGGGGCCGGGCGGCGGCCGTGACAGCGCCAGCCGCGGGGAGCGGGGCGCCCGCACAGCTTGGCACCGGAGGCTCGAGGACGCAGGAAGGGAAGATCCCAGTCACACTGAGTGTTGCTCTTTTGGGCGGATTGGGAGGGAGCGGGCTGCCCGAGGAGCTGTCACCGAGGACGCCCGAAGTCTCGCCCTCTGCGCGCAGGGTCCGGGGCTGCGCCGGTGCCCTCGTGGGGCAAGGAGGATGCGCACCTCCCCCCGCAGAGCGGCTGCGGTCTCCGGCACTGCGCGGACTCCGGCTCCTGCGGCCGCCCGTGCCGTGCCCGCGCCACGGGAGCGCGCCCTGCCGCACCTGGTTCCAGCCTCTCGGGGAAGTGCAGGAAACGCGCCCTAAACTCCACTACTTCTCGCCCGCCTGCCCCCCCGCCCGGCTCCCCGCCTCAGACCTCGCCGCCGCCGCCGCCGCCGCCGCCGCCTGCGTGTGGGGCCCGCTCGCGTCTTACTCACACGCGCCACGCACAGCCCTGTTGGTTTGCTCTCATTCACGCCGACTCGCTCTCCGCCGAGCCTAGCCCGGGCATCCGAAACTACTGGACCAACTGCCGTCCGGACCGCAGCAGCGGCCGGGTGACCCCCACGCGACCCGCCGCCGACCCCCGCGCCCTGAGGCTCCCGCCCGCGCCGCCACCGCCGGGGACCACGGTGAGCAAGGCGCGCTGCCCGCCTCGCGCGGGGGAGGGGCTTTGAGACCTCTAGATTTGGGGGGAAATGAGAAGGGGCAAATCGCCAAAGGGAAGCATCCGGGTGATGCCAGCAAAAAAGCACTTTGTGGGGTTCGGTTCTCCTGGGCGCTGCCTGGGGAAGACTTTTGAGAGGTTTGCTTAGGACCAGAGGTTAAACTAGTGCGAGATGAGAAACGGCGGGGGCAATTCCTGGGGTAAAATTAGACAGAAGGTGTCAGTCAGCCTGCCTGTCTGTTTCTCTCTCAGTCTCTCCCAGAGCGCTGGGTAGCGCTCTCTTTGAGGGAGAAAGGGAACACGCGTTTACTGCGCTCGCCAGAGTTTAGGGGTTCGCGTTCGGTCACTTCTGGGGTGGCTGTGGAGCTGTTTGGAGCGCGAGGGCAGCTTTGGGACAGTGGGGGCCTGCGAGGCCCCAGCAGAGGACAGGCAGAGGGCAGGCAAAGAACAGGCAAAGGCTAAGTTAACATGTGGGTGGGGTTTTCTCTTCCCAGCTGGCCCCCCCCACACCCCTCACAGCCCCACTTTATGCATCTCTTCCCACCCAACACACACGCGCGCGCGCGCGCGGGATGGATGCAGTCGAAGGGTGGTCATACTGTTACTACAAACAAGTCTGAGAGGTCGCTGTCGCTACTCACTGGAGCGCTGAGACTCCTGCTCCTGTTACTTGGGCGACCACCTTGGTTTAGGGCAACCTGCAAGGAGCGTCCAGCTTAAGGTGGATGTCTTTACCTGGAGGTTCCAAGCGCCCAGCAAACAAACAACTCCGGAGTCACTTCACCTTGGTGGGTTTCCTCTACTCTTCCGCTTCCCTACTTCAGTGCTTCAGGGCACCCACCCAAGGGAGCTGATGCTCACATTCGTGGTCTACCCTGTCTTCACCCGGTGGGACTCACTCTCTCTCTCTCTCTCTCTCTCTCTCTCTCTCTCTCTCCCCCTCTCTCCCTATTCCCTCTCCCTCTCCCTCTCCCTCTCCCTCTCCCTCCCTCCCTCCCCTCTCTCCCCCTCTCCTCTCTGTCTCCGAATACGAATACCAGTTTCTTCTTAGAAAACACTGGGGAGAGATTTAATATTTGCAAAGTGCTTTATGTCATATTACTTCGTGGATACATTTAATAGCACTGTAACTCTTCTCTGATTTATGTAAACTTGGTCTGATAAATAGCATGCAGGGTCGGGTTGGGTGGGGGCGAAAGTGGGTGGGTGGGCCTTCTTTCTGTGCTAATGCTCCTTTCTAAACTGATTTGCTAGAAGTAATAAACAGCTGGTGCTTCTCAAAGGTTTTACTTAGTAGTTTCTACATATTTCAGAGCTTTAGACAAATTACACATTATAATTTATTTCAAATATATTAAGGTCTTTTCAAGAAAAAGTTGAAGATAATAAAAGGGGATTACAAATATGAATATCAAAAATGATTATTTTTTAAAAAAGGTTTTATTGCTATCAATTATGTTGCAATAGATTTTTGTTGTTGTCATTGTTACCTTGGGGTTTCCTCCTAGTGAAGTTTTTAAAGAAATGAAAACAATACTACTTACCTTCCTCTCTCTGTTTGGTCATTGCTCAAAGTAACTGCATGAGCATCAGGGCAGGCTTCTTAACTTCAGGAATATGAAGTTATTCACCAGTGAACTGATGGAGACACAAGAAGATATTACAAGACACATAGCAATGGGAAGGAAACTGTTGCTTAAATTTAACCGCCTCCAGTGTTTTAACAGTGAAAAAGAAAACTGCTTTGGCCTCTCCCAAGCTACTCTGGCCTTTTAGAAACACTCTTTTTTCAATTAATAAAACATATAGAAACATCATTACTTGAGAAAAATATTTTCAAATAGGTATGTAAGCAAATTACATGGGAAATTATGAGCACAATATTCAATGGAGTATTACAGCAAGTACTGGGATCCTGGTTTCTAGGTTGAGCCAGAGCTCATGCTTAAATTTTAACATTTGAAGTTGCTCCCTTTGACATCTTTGTGAGGAGGTGTTGCCCAGTGTTTTCATTATGCTTTTATCATTGTCCTCACCATTTTTGCCGGCATACACAGATGTTTTTGAATGAATAACCTTCTTACTCACTGAATTTTCACTCATTCAAAAAGTATTTATTGAGCACATGAACACACACAATATGCAAAGTTGAGCTGGGTTGTTATTTTAAACAAAAAGGGAGGATTTCTGGTAGAAGCAGGAAGCTTACTCCTACACAGTGTAAATAGAACTGTAGAGCAGTGGCTTACTTAGGGAAGCAGCATCTTGCCCAGAGTAGGTGGTCAACAAAGAGCTGTTGACTCAGAAATCACATAAGATATTAACCAGCCAACTTTGTTTCCCTCCTAAATTCTACAATTATCCTTATCCCACCATGTCGTTAAGATGTGACTCAACTTCAGAGAATTGATGTTGACTCTAATCTCCTTGCTCTTTGTCTGAATACTTTAGAGTAATATAACTATCTGTGCACTGTATGATTTCTAGCTCTGGCTTTCTGTGTGTGATTTCTATGGAGTAATGCCAGCTCTGAATTTGTCATTAGTATTCATTTATGAGTAAATGCAAATATTCTTGTTGCACTGAAAAAGTGAATTCGCATTCATAGAACACAAGAAATATTTTGCTCCTAAATCTTACCGTCTCTTTATTTTTACAATCTCAGAAACAGTAACGTTTTTTAAAAAAGCAATTATATATAAATGAACAAGTTAACAAAAGTAGTTATTTAGGATTTTTTAGAAAAGGGGAAATGTCTTATGGAAATTTTAGTTGAAGTGAATTTTATTTGATGCTCTTGACATGTCTAGCAGGATGGTCTATTTATTGTAGGCACCCTCATTTCATGAATAAAATAATTCTCAAGGTAACTTCCTAGTAAAAGGGGCTAGTGGAGGAGAGAATGCTTACTAAAAATGATTCCAATTTGGGAATAGAGTATGAGCAGTAACACTAGAGTTGTGTTTGAACATTGAAATTATGTGAATATTTCTATATTTCATTGGTTTTTATATGGATGAATTTTTTGGATTTCTAAATACTTTATCCCAATATTTTCATATTCTGAGATGATTGCAATTAAGTGAAGACTTATTATTTGGTAATGGAATAATAGTTTATTTTAAGTACAGGTGAATAGCTTAAAAGAGAGAACAAGTCAAGTTAAGGAAATTGTTTAAGCCATAGATTTCAAATCATTTAAATCCTTTCCATTTTTTGGTGAGGGGAGCTCAAAACAAAAATACCTAGTTAAACTTTTCATTATAAATTAAACTGTTACCATTCAGAAAAATCCTGTATTTTAGGCTTTCTGTGAATTCAACATTAATTGTTTCAAGTTAGCAAAAATGTAACCTTTTGTATATATTTTCTGGTATCTAATTTAATTGTTGACAAATTTTGCTGCCTCTGGAATCAATGTTTGTTTCTGAGTTTTAATGTTATCTTAACCTTTAAGCAGAAGTGCAATTAAAGCAAGATATTAGTAACTTCATTTAAAAGTCACCAATCTAAGTAAAAAACATTTCATAGTAGCTAACCCTTATCAAAAGTAGAGTAAAAGATTACATATGGAAATTCATATAATGTAGATAGGATAAATGAACCTCTCTAAATCTCATATGGAAGTTCCATTATGGTGTCTTACTATTAATTGGCATTGGTCCAGTAGATTATTTTTCTTCTTCTTGAAGTTTTATGAAGGAAAGCTATGTCCATATTAAGAAATGGTTGAAGAGTTTATTTGACTTTAGACCACTTTGCCTAACTTGACTCTGCATGGGGGAGGTAAATTTTATTTATATTTATTTACATATACATATATTTATGTATATGTATGTATATATATACACAATGTGTATGTATATATACATTGTACATATGTAAATAGTATATATTTATGTTTCTGTTTATGTATATATCTGTTTTTTAATAACCTTGTACAACAGGAATAGAATCCCTTTGTGCCATACATGGTTTGTGAAGTCAGCATCACTTTGAGAATGATACTCATAAATGCTCTACTAGTTTGATATTGAAAATATGGAGTATGATACTTTTTTTAAATAATTTATTTAAGAAACACTTGCAATAAATTTTATTATGTGCCTGACAATGTCCAAAGAGCTCTACTCATATTAACTCATTTAATTCTGGTAGCTCTCCTGTCATTTCCCATTTTACAGAGGGAAAATAAGTAGGTACAGCTGCTATTATTTTATTTTTCATTGATGTTATCATTTTTACTGCCATTTAGGAGTTGAGGAAGGTGAGGGTTTATGAACCTAAATAAATGACTCAAGCTCTGCAGCTACTATATGGCAGAATTGGCATTTGAGTCCAGGTAGTCTACTCTGCTCTTGAATAGATTTTTTTTTTAAGTTTACTTAAATAGAGGGCCCAGTGGGGAGCAAGTTAGATGTAAAGCAAATAGATTCTAGCAACTGAGATTTATGATAATTTTCAACTTCTAGTGAATTCTTCTGAAATTCATAAGGAAGGCAATTGTAATGAAGCCGTGACATAACCTGAACCACAGCGGTCCTTGAGCATAGTGCTGTAACTTAATGTAGTTTTTAATGGACTCAATAATTTCCAAAGGTTCAGCTACTTTTAAATTAGGTAACTTTAAGAACCGATGCCATATTTAAGTAGTTTTAATAGCTCAGAGAATCTGATACTGAATGTTTTATGCTTCCCATGATATCCTTATAATGTGAACCTCTTGCACAGAGGTCAATGTTGTGTTACTACGGTGTATAGTACTTGCCAAAGGAATCTGAGTTTTATAGAAGGTGTGAAGTGAGAAGACTTATTCTGCTCAGACTTGGATACACACAGTTGGCATCCCATTAATATTTACTGCATGTACTGAAGCAGAGCATTCCACATGTTGCTTCTCCAGAGGTTAAAAAAAAGGCTTCAAGTGTCTTTATAATTGCACAGTTTTAAGATGTGATTTAATACTGAATAGACATTTTATTTTGTCATGATGATCTCAGGACATTACTATCTATGAAACCTTGTGGAATAATAACTTTTATGAGATGGAATGGCCTGAGATAGAAAGGAGAAGGATGGTGTAAGAAGTGTGAAATAATAAACAGGTTTAAATGTTTAAGTTTAGGAGTAGACAAAAGGAAGAATGCCTGTAATTGTACTTTTTATTTTAAAAAGGCATACAAGGCATAATTAACATGAAGTAACAGAATCTTTAAACTGCTAATGAGGTACCACAACTGTTCTATCATAAATATTAACAATCTTACTATTTGAGTATAGTTTGGGGAACTATTCAAGAACATATTAAAATGTCACTGTAATGCTCTCTGCCATAGCTAACTAACTCAAGTCAATGAAAAAAATCACAATAATTCTGAACATGCCTCAACATAAATGAAGTATTCATTGGAGTGTAAGTACTATAGTCAGACAGAGTTGGCTGAATTAAAATCCCTGCTTTACTGCTTATTAACTATGGTGTCTTGGGCAAGTTACTTCATTCTTATAGTTCTTAGTAATTTAATTAATTAATTATTATTATTATTATTATTTGAGTTGGACTCACGCTCTGTCACCCAGGCTGCAGTGCAGCGGCACAATCTTGGCTCACTGCAGCCTCCTCCTCTTGGGTTCAAGTGATTTCGTGCCTCAGCCTCCTGAGCAGCTGGGACTACAGGCATGTGCCACCATGCCCACCTGATTTTTGTATTTTTAGTAGAGACAGGGTTTTGCCATGTTGGCCAGACTGGTCTGAACTCCTGGCCTCAAGTGATCTGCTCACCTCGGCCTCCCAAAGTGGTGGGATTACCGGCGTGAGCCACTGCACCAGGCCAAATTCTTAGTAATTTTATCTATTATATGGTAATGGAAATACCACTTCATTGATATCCATATGATAATCTATGTAAAATACTTAGCATTGAGTGTCATACATAGTAAAAATTCAGAAAGTAGTAATTGATACTGCTGTCATCACCACCATCTTTAACATCAACATACCATCATCATAGATGATTAAACATAATGGGCACAACATGCTCATTATGTGTATTTGAATACATGGTTCTCCATTTTAAAACATGGGTTCTCTTACTCTTGATGGAAGTGTATGAAGAAAGAATTATGTGTTTTAAGACTTAAGCTTGATTAAAGTAATACCAGATTTAAAGGCCTATGCTGAACACAGAAATTAAAAGGAGGCTTTTGGGGCCGGGCGCGGTGGCTCACGCCTGTAATCCCAGCACTTTGGGAGGCCGAAGCGGGTAGATCACAAGGTCAAGAGATCAAGACCATCCTGGCCAACATGGTGAAACCCTGTCTCTACTAAAAATACAAAAATTAGCTGGGCATGGTGGTGCATGCCTGTATCCCAGCTACTCAGGAGGCTGATGCAGGAGAATCTCTTGAACCCGGGAAATGGAGGTTGCAGTGAGCCGAGATTGCACCACTGCACTCCAGCCTGGCAACAGAGTGAGATTCCGTCTAATTTAAAAAAAGAAAAAAAAAAAAGAGGAGGCTTTTGGGACAGCTAATTCATTGTTCTTATTTGCAAGGCCTCGCTTTATAAGTTCACTTGATTCTTTGGAATGTGTATCCTCTTATCCAGATGTAGTAAATGGAAAAGAATGAAAGTTTTTGCTATGGAATTGAAATATTTATATTTGTCTTTATATCTGATATGAGTTGAAAACTTTAGGTTACACAAATTTCTTCTGACATCTTTATATTTCATACCTTATAGAACTCAGTGTATAAAGGGAAAAGCTATTTCCTAACTCTGGTCACTAAATGTGAATAACTTGACTTAAGAGATCAAGTTTAATTCTATTCTTAGATTTTTTTTTTTTTTTTGCCACTCATTTAATTCTGGTAGTTGATATTTACTATGTATCAAGCAGTATAGGTCTTTATACATTTTGCCCTTACAAAGCATTCATTGGGACATATGCCGTTAGTATTTCCATTTCACAGATGAGGTAATTGAGGCCCAGGAAGGACCCAGAGCTAAAGGGGTGGAGCCATGATCCTCACCCACACCATCTGTCTCTGAAGCCCATATTTAACCCTCACACTAATGGGCTTCTTAGTTACAGTTAGCCCCCAAGTATTTTCTGTGGATTTCTGGGCCTTAAAACCCATGCCTCCCTACTTTCCTGTATCTTCCTTGCAATGAACAAAAGAGTAATTTAATTTCAATAAGGCTCAATTTCTTGACTTTGTGTACATACTTTTCATATGTATATGCAATGGCCACTAGAACAAAGAATTAGATAACATTAATTTTTAGCAAACAATTGAATCGATTTTAAAATAGACTTAAATAAGTCTGCCAAAATCCTTCTAAATACAGTAATTTGTCACTTGACAATGGAGATACATTCTGGGATATGCATTGTTAGCTGATTTTGTCATTGTGTGAACATCATAAAGTGTACTTATACAAACCTGGATGGTATAGCCTGGTACACACTTAGGATATATGATATAGCCTATCATCTCTAGGCTTCAAACCTGTATAGCATGTGACTATACTGAATACTGTAAGCAGTCGTAATACAATGTTAAGGATTTGTGTATCTAAACATAGAAAAGGTACAGTAAAGACATAATAGTGTAATCTAACAAGACCACTGTTGTTTATGTGGTGTGTCATTGGCCGAAACGATGTTATGCAGTACATGACTGCAGTTGCACTCACACTCTGTAGGCAGTAGTGGGAACTGACATTTTATGCAAATGGAATGTCCTCATCTGGTGAGCTAGCTGTCTGTGACCTAAAGTTTCTATTTGGCTCACTTTTTCTGAGCTGAATGCAACAATATAGGATGAGAGGGCACTGGAAAAGAGCCTTTTTCCCAGGGATGCAGCATGGAGAATTGGAAAAGCTTGCCACGGGGAACTCTAGGGTTCCTGCAGATCTGAAAGGTCCCCTCGCACCCTTGAAAACATCCAGAAAAGGCTCAAGGACTGTTGTCTTGCTCACCTGACTTGAGTGCTTCTCAGGGACAGGGATTGTATTCTTTTCATCCCTATTTCCGTGGTACTTGGCACATGGTTTAATGGTGCAGACACAGAGCTCCTTAGTGTGGGCACTCAGAACTTCAGAAGCAGAGAGCTGAGGCACCCAGACAGGAGGACCTGGGGAAACTGGGCAGAGGCAGAGCACAAGACGGGTACAAGGTTGTATGTGGGACTGATGGGCTTGCAGATGCTTGGGTAGCTGGGAGATACTTCTTTCCATTTTATTTTTACTTAACTATGGTTCAATTCCTCTGTTTCCAAATCTAGACTAGATGTGTGATACCAACTTAGCTCTGATATCTGACTCTTTAAAGTGAAGAACATTATTCCCATTGTCTTGATAGATGTGCCTGGCACATCATAAAATCTTTAAAAATATTAGCCGTAATACGTAAACCCGGGAGACGGAGCTTGCAGTGATCCGAGATCGTGTCACTGCACTCCAGCCTGGGAGACAGAGCAAGACTCTGTATCAAAAAAAAATTTTAAAAAAATATATATATTAGCCATAATATTTTCAGATTTTCTCTGAATATAATTATTTTTTCTTAATCGGTTGTTTATCTTATCTTCATACCCTGTCCATTCTGAAATGGATTGCCAGTGAGTTAAGGGTTATTTATAGCAGCATTTACTTTGGGAGTTTCTGAATTCCACAAATATTAGCATTCTTTAAATAAGGGCTTCCAACTGTATACTACCAACAAAAAGATCAAGTGCTTGAAAATTTTTATACACCATTACTTTTTTAAGGTTACCTCTTCTCAAATACTTTATGTTATTTTGCTCTTCTGTATTGGCAGTATCATCTGCGCAGACATCCAAGAAAAGTGAGAAACTAAGAATAGTTTGTCATAAAGATCATAGCAGGAACATAGGTACCTCAAGATCATCTCCTCCCACTTGTAGTCTGTCACCAAGATGTGACAATCCTGCTTCCTGAACACTACCTATCTCACCAGCCCCAGTGCTATTCCTTAAGTTCAGGCCATTGGAACTTCTCACCTGAATCATAGTAGCCTCCTAATAAGCCTTGGATCTCCATCCTCTTCAATGCTTGATTTTTTTTCTGACTACAAATCTGATCATGCAGTTCACTTGCTTACTAACCTGCAGCATCCCTTACCTTCAGGGTAGAGTTCAAACTAGCTCAACCTACAAAGCCCTTACTATTCCAGTGGACCAGCCTGGGACTCAACTTCTGTCACTCCTCTGCAAGGTCCTTACAATTGGGTGACTCCAGGGAAGGAATGGACCATGCTCCCTCATACTTCATTCCTTTCTATATGCTGATCCCTCTCCCTAAGGGTTCTCTGCTTGTCTAACCTCTTATCTTCCACACTACCTCTCTTTGTTTTCTTGCCCCTTTTCTATGTAGCTCACCCACCTCCACCCAAGCCAGGATGGGCTATCTTTCTGCTTCTCTGTTTGGTAGTACAGATCATACTCTATTGAGTTAATGTTATTCCCCTGTCACGCACACACATAGACACACACTCTCTCGCCACCCCCAACAGTACCTATATCTCCAGTGCCTAGCATAGTGTCTGGATTATATAGGAAGCACTAAATACATTTTGATAGGAGAAATAATCATCTTAACTCTCCCTGTGTCTGACTTTTTTATGCCTTTCTTACTCGCTGAACTTATTTCAGTATACATTGAACAGGTACTGTGTGTCAGGCAGTGTGCTGGATCTGAGAATATGATTACTTTATTAGTCTTTATATTACAAGTTATCAAAGAACTTGTAAGCCCAAGGGCAACCCAACTTTCAACGAAACAAACAGTATCGAGTGTGCTAGATGATGGAGAAAACGCATAGTGAGGGCACGATATAAGAAAATGGGGACAATGTGCCTGGTGGAGCAGGGAAAACTCCACCCCTTTGTCCTGCCCTAACCCCCTACTACCTATTTTTCTCTAGTATTCTAACTGCCTAGAAGTAAGCATCCATCTGTCAATATGATTATAATAATTTTTAAGAGATGATTTAGGTCTCCATTTCTGTAATAATAGTCTATAGAGAATTAGGCCATTTTTATTTTCATTTTCTACTTGCAGACCAAGAAACCTTCAAAAAGTTCTGTAATAGTCCATGAGCTCATTTCTGAGGTTTTCTTTTATTTAAATTTTTTAAATTATATCTAATAATCATATTATTTAAGTTCATTTTTCTCTACAAAGCAGAGGACTTATATTTAACCAATTATTAGTAGCCACTTAATGAGATTTAAAAGTCTGAGTTCTCTTTTAAGAATGGAAATAAGTATGAAATTAAATTCTTTTACCATGACCAAAATGGAAAACTTAATAAGATCAGAAGATTAGCGAACAACGTATGGTAATCACACTACAGATGTGTCTCTAGTACTAAATAAATAGAAATGACCTGTAGATTAATACATTTAATGGCAAACATTTGGAAGCAACTCTTTTTTTAGATGTGCATGGTCATCCCCTGGTAAGTAATTATATATGCAAGTAAAATAAGAAATTAGTTTCAAAAATATAACATGTAAAATGTAATATTACCTTCAAAATATATAAAATATAATACACTATTCTCTAAAGACATTGACATATTTAATTTACTGAATAAACTAGACCATTTTAGGTGACTTCTTGTATATGATTCCTGAAGTTAAAAACAAAGTAGTAATTAAATATTATGTTCTTTGCTTTCCTCTAAAGTACATAAAAATATTTTAATTAATATTCCCTAATTATGTGTATATTATATTCCCATTTCCTGTCTTAAAGTGAGAGAAAATCTTGAGCAATAAAAAAGTAGAACCAAATTAATTCTCTGTACTTTTAGTTATAAATTTACTTTGAAATTCTTAAACTATTTTGAAGATGTAACTATATCCTGTTTTAAAAGACACCTTAACTTCTTTCTCTGACTTTAGTAGCTTTCTGATTACCAATAATTCCATTGCCCTAAGAAAGGGCCTAGTTTTATTATCTTGCAACCATGCGGTTTACTGTGACTTAATTCTATCACAATAACAATCAGCCATTCTTGGTCTACAGGTAGTTCCCTACATACTTTTAATATTCCAAAATATTGAAATGTTGGAAAGCTGAACAAGTCTTACACGTGTTATAAGTAGCTGAAAGTAGGACTTACAATCCATACTGAGAGACTTTTGAAATTGAAAGGGGATATATTAATAATGATGCTGAGAAAAATGTTATGAAGTCCTAAATATGGTTAATGTGGTGCTTGCTGCCTTCCTGTGCCAGTGGTTTACTGTTTGGGAAGACCCCTTCTATCAGCCTGTCTTTTTTTACCCAACACAAGGCTGGGGAAGACATTCTGGTAATGACGCATGTTGCAGTCTTTGTTTTACCCAGGACTCCCTAGATACCTACAGTAGGCTTGAGGAGAAAGACTTCATTGTTTCAGAAGAGAACCAAGTGGGGTCTTGGCTCTCCAAGGTAGAAAAAAGGGAGACTGATGTATAAAGGGAGTACAGTGCAGAAAAGGAAAATAGGGACCTCTGTGAGCGTGGAGCTGGGTGGAACCTGTGGATGCTCATGTGAGGAAATAGGGTCCATGTTCTCCCCATTGTAACCATCACTAAACCAGAAGGTTGGACGCATACCTTTGGCCCTGCTGCCTAAACATTTGCTGTGAAGCATCCCCCACTCACTTCATCTAGCTGGAGTGGGTAGCAGGAAACATGACAGTAACTCAATATCATGATAATAGCTCAGAATCATTGCTCCTACATTCAGCAGCTATTTACCGAGCAACTACTGTACTCTAAGAACTTCATTCATTGATACAAAAGACAGTTCAGCATATTACAGGCCATTTAGGAATGCATTGGAGGAGGTGGTAGGACCCATAAAAGTAAAAAAAATTCAGAATTCCAACCATTATCCATGTTTATTTTCTTGGTTTTTCTTTCAATAAACCCTACTTTTTAAAGGTGTCTATTTAATGTGTTCTTTCTTCTTTTGAGATGCTGATCACTTGGAATTTTAAACATTTAAAAAAAAATCTGGAATAATCTAAATTTTCTCAGCAAAGGAAGTGAGAATTTATGTCATGGAAATGGGGACATTTATACCACTCCCACCGGACTGTGCATCTCTTACCCAAGAGGGAGTAGCAGGAAGAAGAATGCAAGTGTGTGTCTTTTGCCGACTGTATTTCAAACATACATTTAAGTAGTTCTACTTTTTGTCATTATTTCCATCTGAAAAACTTTTTTCTTTCTTCCTGGGACAAAAAACTCAAATTACTAATTCTATTTAAATAATGTACTGTATTCAGAAGAGTAGCTGCCAAATTTGTTGAGACCTACAACAAGATAATTAATTATCTAGCACACAAGGACTATTGGAGTGTTGGATATAAAACAGATGGTGGAAGAAGAAGGATGAGGCAGTCAGGATGCTCTGAGGGTGTGATAAGTCTTTCAGCCTCAGTGGGGTAAAAGCTACTTGTGCGCCAAACCTCCTTCATACTTCCTGCTGTGCTTACTTTGTTTTTGTTGATCCTTCCATCACCCCATCACTTTACTCCTTGAGATTCCAGTTTCCCTTTCCACTGCCACCACATTCATTTTAAATGTCAAGAGAAGTTAGAGAAGTTAGGGGAGGTGAGGGCAAAGGTCTATTCCCCTTGGACACAGAAATCAGTGCCAGCCTCTGTGGCAGTCCCAATGCCAATCCCGTGGAGCAAAGCAGACTGCATTATGCTTGTCCTGACATTGCTTTTAGTCATGCAGATGTAGGCTATTACAGAGTTTTAGGTTCATACCAGAATCAGTTAGATAAATTAATATTACATGCAAACACCATGAATTTCTTTTGATTTGCAAATTTCAAAGTCTTAAACTGAAATCTAAACATTTTCCCAGAGAAAACCTGGTTGAATATCAGTGAAAAAGGTTATACAAGGAATGGTTACTACTCCCCACTTCAAAGTGATGCTCCTCTATGTGTAATCAAATTTGCCAGCAATTAGAAGGTACATTCATACTGAACTAAATATTTGATGGTAGAGATTATAGTGACTTCACTATTGGTGCTTTTCTTATAGATTTATCATCTATTACAAATTACCATCATGACGCATTTACAACTCTGCGACAGTCTTAGTACTTGGCATTACAAAGAGGGGCGACAGTTAGATTTTAGATATTAAAAAAAACTATTTAACTTCAAACTTTATGACTCATGCACTAAAGAAATACAGAATAATTCAGATAAGACATCATCACAATAAAGGTACTCATTCATCATAAGAAAGAGTGAGTTTCTGATCTGGGGAAGTAAGCAGTCACCTTGCCTATCCCACCCTCTCAATATCAAGCCCATCTTTTATCATTCAAAGTAGAGTTCCCTAAAATAGATTACACTGACAAGTAGTAATTACTGACAGCTGCATTTAATTAGCAAAGCAGATTCCTGCTCATGACAATAAAGTATTATTACATGTTTAGCGTTAGCACTGCCAGTGAGAGGTGACTTTGCTAACACAGAGCTAGAAGACCTGTTTTCTTTATTTAAAAGCACACCCAGCTTGGCTGGAATTGAGCTTGTGCTACGTGGGAGTGTCTATGGTTTTACAAAAAGAAAGAAAGACAGTAGCTGTAAAGTGTTTTTCTTTTTCTTTTTCTTTTTTTAGGAAAACAGGCAGATTGTACAAGGATGAGAAGTAGTCTAGTGCCAGCCATTGGTTCCCATTCTGGGATTGTGTGTCAGTGTTTTTGTGTTTGTGAGTCTGTGTGTGTGATGGGTAGGAAGGAATGGAGGTGTTTGGGTGGCACAGATGGAAAGAAATTAATTAATCCCTGTAAATAAGTAATTTCTGATTATATTAAAGACACTATCGCTACCCTTCCTTCCTTCCTTCTTTCCTTCCTTCCTTCTTTCCTTCCTTCTTTCCTTCTTTCCTTCCTTTTTTCACTTCTTCTTTACCTTCTGTACTTAACCCTATACACATCTCTAGTTTATGGAATATCATAAAAAGTATATGTGATCAAATTTAGGATTTTATATAAACTCTAAATTTTACAATTGATTGCAATTTCCATCCATTCTTTTTTACAATAAGAAGGCTTGACTTATCTGCTCCTACCTCTATTATTTCATTTCCACTGCCCTATCTCTCTCACCTGGCAGTTCTTACTAAGTGTGAGCCTATACTGATGGAATTCCAAGCATCACGTAGACATTCAATATCTTGAGCAATATCACCTTTCCAACATCATCAATCCATAATGCATAGGTAGATGGTGCTAACTTTAAGGATTGTGAAGATGACTAAAACTAGCAATTCTTGACTTGAATGACATTTGCTATTTTTATTATTTAAATATATTACTCAAGATATATAAACAGCCTATTGTGACATTATCAGTAGAACCAGTCCTATAACTTAATGTAGTTTCTCACATTCATGGAACTCAATTCCAAAAATATTTACTGGTAGTCTAAAAGTCTGAAAAAAAAAATGATGTTGCATGTCTGGACCTTATGTTTGTTGGGATAATATAGCGTGTTTTCACAATGCTGTTTTAAGTTATCTGGATGTTGGCATTTATTTTTCAAGGTGTAAAAATAGACTCTGTATAATATACTGCCATCTTGTAATTTGCCATTATAAATGCTATATTCATAAAAATCAACTTATGTATCCATGGCAATAAGAGGCAAGATGAATATGAATAGAGAAATCCTAAATTGATCCTCAAACTAATTTGCATCATCAAACTGTTCAGCAGATCTGCCAAACTTCTTCTTTTGTCTTTTCTTCCTCCCTCCCACTCACCCTCTAGTGGACATAGCTAAAGAACAAGGAAGATGCATAGTGAAAGCCCACAGCCAGGTAAACAATGGGGAATCCACAAAGGATATGGCCAACCCACTAGTTTAATACTTATCACTATCTACAAGTACATTATGACCACCAACTGTATTCACAACCCCAGACAGGGCACTAAATAAATGTATTTAAGGTAAAGAATGTGTCATCATTGTTTGCAGACACTAATCATTCTAACAAGGATATTTAAAGAAAAAAATGTCAGGAGCTTATCTGTATTCTAGGAGATTTTACTCAAAGAAAATTCCAAGAAACAGCAGTTGTGTGGATACTAAATGTAAGTATCCAAATGGGCATTCAGTTAAGACCATTTAAGAGTTATTTTGAATATTAAACCACAAAGCTTCACTAACACCCTAAATTTAAAGCCCTACTGAGTCTTATAATATTCTGATGTTTAAATCCTATTAAGAATAGAGGTTTATTTTTATTTTGTGCTTTAGAATAGAAGATTCTTCACTGAAAAAGAAGTTTACAGGATTCAAGGGCATTGACAAATTTAAAGCCTTACTGAGTCTCATAATATTCTGAAGTTTAAATCCTATTAAGAATAGAGATTTATTTTTATTTTGTGCTTGAATAGAAGATTCTTCACTGAAAAAAAATCTAAAGACTTCAAGGGCATTGACTAAAAAGAAGTATTATGATCACTGAAATTGAGTATGTTTGACAACTCAATATTTCAACTAGAAAACTTTCCAAAATTACATCTATAAAGTTGGAAACTCTACTATGCAACTGCTCTAATTACTGTGCTAGTTCATAAATTGGTACTGAGGAATAAAGGTTCAAATATTGTCTTTTAGGAATATCTTTCACTTGTAATATTGTCATTCCTGTTTCAGTCATTAGGCAAATACTTATTGAGGGCCTACTGGTTTGTTTTGTTTTGTTTTGTTTGAGACAGAGTCTCACTCTGTCACCCAGGCTGGAGTGCAGTGGCGTGATCTCCGTTCACTGCAAACTCCATCTCCCAGGTTCAAGCAATTATTGTACTTCAGCCACCCAAGTAGCTGGGATTACAGGCATGCACCACCATGCCCCGCTAATTTTTTATATTTTTAGTAGAGATGGGGTTTTGCCATGTTGCCCAGGCTGGTCTGGAACTCCTGAGCTCAGGTGACCCACCCAGTTCACCCTCCCAAAGGATTATAGGCATGAGCCACCAGGCCCAGTGGGCCTACTTTTTTAATAGAGATAAAACACAGTCCTCTGGCTTCAAGGAGTCAGGTGAGAAAGTAAATTATTGCATTGCAATTTAAATAAGGGGTAGTTCCTTGTAATTTCTCCCCTCTCATCAACAAGAATGTAAACTCCACTGAAGGCAAGAATTTTTGTTCACCAACATAGCCTAAGCATGCTAAAATATTGCCTGGCACAGAGTAAGTGCTCAATAAATACTTGTTGAATGAAATCATAGGTATATGAGGTGGCATGGGAGAAGAGCAGTGGAACAGAAAAGAGGTTGTGAGGGAAAAGGGTCTGAAAATGCTTCCAGGAGGGGGTAAACCTTGAGATCCATCTAGTAACTCTAAATAGAAAATAATTTAGCAAAACTTGCCAGGATCATGTATGCCTGCATAAAACTGAGTGGGTTTGTTTTTCCCTTTTTGTTTTGTTTTGTTTTGTTTTTGTGTGTGTGTTTATCTTAAAACCTGCGTTAACAGTGAGTTGGAGAAACACTAGTTTAGCAGGGAAAAGTAATATACAAGTAATTTGAATATTAGGATGCAAGAAAACTCCTTGAGACACCTCTCTTCATCTCTATGTATGTTTCACATGTTCAACAGTTATATCCCAAATCTATCTTTCTCTCCAGACACCTAACAATACTATCTGCCAAATCCAACCCACCTTAACAAAGAAATAACACTTTCATCATGTTCTGTCCTAACATGTTTTTGAAAGTTATCTAATTTTGATCAATATTGGGCTAGAATACCTTTTTCCATATTTTAAACTGGAACAGCCTTTTCCATAAAGCCTAGACCTCTTTTGTGGTCTAAATAGGTTATTATTTTAACCCTTCATCAATTGTGACTGAGTAACTAACCCCAACAAGTTGATGGAGTCTTGGTCTTAAGACCAAGTTGATGAGGTTTGGGTCTCAGCCTCAAGCCAAATTTCTTACTGAAGATGATAAACAAATCCTCTGCTCATGCTAAACCTAGCAATTCATTCATTCAGAAACTGGGAGATTCAACTGATGCAGTCAATGTTCACTTTCTACACCAAGCCAATCCTAAGGATTTTTTAGAATCTTTGTTTAAATGTTTCTTTCTCCTGATTATTGGCCTGGAACTAACTGTAGACATTTCCTGCAAGTATAATCATTTCCTAGTTTGACAGTACTTTATTAACCAGTCACAGGACTAAAGTTGTCTTAGGCTGTAATATCCCTTAAGTGGAGTGAGACACGTTATCCGCAATTGGAATCACTAGAAACCTTAAGAGCAGTGATTCTACAGATGTATAAGTGATAGTTCAGACCTGTGGAGCCCATCCCTGGTCCATCTGAATGCACCTGAATATGTTGGTTGAATGTCTGCTTTCAGAACACCACTATACAGTGATGGTACCGATAGACTTTGTGCATCTAGACCAGTTGTCTTATAAATTGAAATAGGCTTTGGCTTGAAGAGGCAAAGAACATAAAAACAAGTCAATAACTGACAAGTGACACTTCATATGCACAAGGGAATTTATGTTGATGGACACTGATCTGCAAGAAAACAGAGAATACATCCCACCCTATATAATGATTAAATAATTCGGGGAGAAGGTCATTCATTTTTTAAAACTGAGAGTCAGAGTCATCAAGCTAATGTTGCATCAAAATGTTTTAGGTCCAAGGATTTTGTTCTATGGTACCATGTTTGAAAGTCAAAAGCCATGTGTAAATGATGAAGAAAAGTGATGAGCTGAAACTAGAAACCTGCTCACGTAAGAAACTACTTGTCCCTCTAAGGCCAAGTTAGAGATGACAGTTTTTGGAAAAGATATTAAAGGGAACACAGTTTTAATTCTCTCACATTATCTAGAATTTAGAAGCTTTCTGATTTTTCTTATCCAGTCACTAAATTGGGTGCCAATGGCACCTGGCAGCCCTGTTGTCTAAAAGGGAACCACAGTGGGTAAGCATTTTTATGTAGTTACATTATATGTGCAAAAATAACTATAGCAATACATAGCAGTTTTTCTGTTAGGTTGTATTTACCTTCACCTTCCTCCTCTTGAATCTTATACTCTCAGAATCTAAGAAAGGACAGGAAGAAGCCAGTGTCCCCCAGCAGGGGGAAGAAGACCCTGCAGGGGTCTTCTCAAAATGTCTTTGTTAACAGAAGGAAACAGCACAGCTACTCACCCTCTGACTCAGTGTTCCTTTAAAACAGCCTCCCAGGCCTCTTTGGCCCTAAAGGTAAAACTGTGTTTGCCTTTTGAGAATCTTCGAAACACCCTGTCTCAAATTAAGATCCAAAACCTGAAACCAATACTCTATAGCTTTATACCCCGGATAACTCTGTATACTTTATTTTTCCATTTACTGAGTGGGAAAGTATAAACTAAATGTGCATAATGAGATTTGTACTGGTTGAATACACATTGTATGCCACATCATATACCATATTAAACCCGTAACATGCATTATATGTTATCTTCATAATAATGCTATGAGGTAGCCTCCACATTATACTTTTACAGATGAGGAAATTGCGGCTTAAATTAAATTATTCAAAGTTGAACATTTAAAAAGAGGAAGAGATAGGACTTGAACTCCTTATCTTTCTGATTCCTGCCAAAATTTCATGATCCCTGCCACCAATCATACTGTCAACTAAGGGTTACAATGATTTTTGAGGATAAAATGTAAGCACCCTTGTACTATTGGTATGAACAGATTAATTATTTTACCTGTATCACCCCCAACACATAAAAATCATCCCAAAATGAGTCCTCCTTAATCCTTTAATAATTTTACATATCATTAAATATGCACTAGGCAGTTTTACATATGCTATCTTTCTCTAATCTGAATACTAATCCTGCTTTATGTTTTCTTCCTTCCTACCTTCTAGGTAAAAGAGTCTCCCTTCATTCTGGGGCATGGCTCCTTATCACATTTGTTAGTTGGCAATAGGCTACATTATGTTGAGGTAACAAATGACCAGTCTCAATGGCTTAAGACTTTAAAGATTCATTTCTCCCTCCCACTATGTGTGTATTGCAAGTTGGAAACTCCACTCCAAGTCTGCACTTTAAGTCCCCGACCAGCAGAGCAGCATTTATCAGGAATGAAAAGAGATCATTGCTAAGGACACACTGGCTCTAAATGCTTTCCTCTGAAAGTGACACAAGTCACTGTGTTCATTTTATTAGCCAAATCAATGCCTATGGTCAAATCTGACATCCATGAAGCAAGGAAATATAATTTTCCTACCCCCGGGTGGAGATGCAAATATTTGTGAAGTTTAATACTGTCTATACTATTAGGTATGCATGCATTGCCATATCGCAGTAATATAGCTAGTCTTTTATGTGGGTAAGTGAAATAAACCTTCAGAGAGATTGGGAATTATAGATGGCAAGAAAGGAAATAAGCTCTTAGGAATTTTCTCAAGTGCTACCTTAGCAGCTTCTACAGAAATGACCTCCAGGATTCTTGTCCTTTCACAAACAGGTTTCTTCACATTTATTACTTTTGCTTAAATGGATTTTGGTCATTATCAACAGGGAATTTATAGGCTTCACTGTTACCTTTTTTAATTTAGAATATATATTTAGAATTTGGAATCACTTTCTCTGATGTCAGTTCTGCAGCTGATTTTTTTTAATATGTTATGTGAGCAAATGTAGATTATAACCATAAACACAGTACAAGGAAAAAGCAGGCCCACCTGTCTCTTTCAAACCTGATTAGGAAAGGTTGTGCAGACAATATTTTTAGTATGGTCTTAAAACTAAGGTTAAGCTACTTTGAAGCCAGTTGGCTACCACAGACTTATTCATTTTGAGAGTTAGGATAAAACAAATTGAAAATATAAACACATTCTGAAAGACGCATTATATTGCTACTTTAAAACCACATTTATATTTCAGTTGCGCAGGAAATACATTTGCAGGCATGTAGAATTTTTCTTCTCTGACTTTGTGACAGAAATTCTGAAAGGCTAAAAATTCTATTACTTGTAGTTAATGCTACTAACAAGAATTATCATGCCAAGGAAAAGTCTGTATGCTATCAAGAACTGTGTAAATGAAAAAAGCCACATACTATGGTAATCTAAATGGTGTGGAGAAAAGTAAATTCAGTAGTGATTGTAAGAAAATAAGTGGCTTTTCCACTTCTTATAAGTATGATCTTAATAATTAATTGGAAAGATCAAGTCACCAAGTTATTAAATTATTAAGTGAGCAAAAAGTGTCAGACTAGCCTGTTTTTTCTTTACCTTCCTTTATCACGGGATATAGACAAATGCCAAAAATCAGATAAACAGTCAAATGCCAGACACAGATATATGTGTGTGTCTATGTGTAAAAAGATACATTGACATGCATATTTTGCTAGAACATTGTATATTGTACCAAATCTAATACTTTGAAGTAGACTTTATGTTATGTTGATATTAACATTTTTATGTGGGTAAGTGAAAAAAACCTTCATTTATTATTGTGTTGTGCTACATGTATTTTAAAAGATCTTTATCATTATCGAACTTGCACTGTTAACAACTATTGAGAGATGGCAATGGATTGGAGTCCCCAGCTTCTTCAGCTTACAGTCTTACAGAGAATGTGGAACACAGAGCAATAACTCAAGCCAGAAAGTGCTAAGCCCAAGCAGGATAATAAAGAGTTTTATAATGAATGAGAGGCAGAGCCAGAGCTGTTCACCAGGCTAATTGAGAAAGACCTTGAGAACACCTCTAATGGCATTAATGAAGAAAAAATTAAAAGGGAAAGAGGACAGGAAATTTCAGCTAAAGGTAGGTTTATGAAACAGCAAATCGTTTTTGATATAGATGGAGCAATAAACCCAAATGCCAGAATGTTTCAGGCACTGTGCTAGGTATTTTTATATTTTTAATCTCTACAATGCTATTAGGCGGAAGTGGAGCATTCTATATGAGGGAAAAATATAAAGAGGCTTATAGTAGTTGGGTGAATTGCCCAAAGTTTCAGTTAGATGAAGCCAAAATTAATTAAATCCATTCATTTATTTGTTCATCCAGAAATATGCCTGTTCATGCCTGTAATCCCAGAAATTTGGGAAGTTAAGACAGCATGACTGCCTGAGGCCAGGAGTTCGAGACTAGCCTTGGCAACCTAGTGAGACCCTGGCTTTATATATTATATATGTATATATATATATATATAGAGAGAGAGAGAGAGAGAGAGCACTTCCTATGTACTGCCATTATAGGTGCTGAGAATACTGGAGTGAACAAAAGAGAAAAAATACTCCTGTCCTTATGGAGCTAATATTTCATGGTTTTCTGTTTAGTTTTTAGCTGTGCAAATTTTTCTCAAATAAAACATTAATAACTCCCCTACACATAAAGCAGATACAAATAAAGCTGTTTGGTTAAGGTGATGTAAGGGACTGGGACCTCTACCTGGCCAGAGCTTCCTTCACCCTTTCTCATTACATTTATACCTAGTTAGAAAGCCCCTACACCCCGATACTGCTACCAAAATGGTAGACATATCAATGAGGGACAAGAGAAGTGGGTGCAGATAGTGAAATAGGAATAGAGAGATCACAAGAGCTATCTTATGATGCAATCGAATTAATATGGGAGTGAGGTTATTTGGACAGTGAGAGGAATCATAGAAGGGAAGAAGACTTTGGGAGGTTTTTCAGTAGCTCCCCTGAACTAGTGGACACTGAGTAGATACAGAAGGATTTGGAAGACATAATGAATCAGCATATAAAGACTGTCATGCATTAGAGAGACATTATAAATTTGAAGATAGAGTCTAAGTTTAGAAATTAGAGCGTTGAGGCACCTAGCGTGGCTTTAATACTTAAACTTTGTAACTTTGGTGAAATTACTAATTCGACCTGAGTCTCAGTTTCATTAGAAAAATGGATGTAATAAATACACCCTGTCTAATTGTAAGAATTAAAGATAATGTATGTAGAGTCCCAATAACAGTGCAGTCACCTACAGAGTACTCATGCCACCACCAATATTTCTAAGATTTTTCTAGGGAATGTCTTGTATGCATTCAATAACAAGTTCTAATAGTTATTATTATTATTATTATCCTTATTTCTTCCTCTCCAGTGAAAGATTACAAAAGAAAAGGATGCAAATGAAAAACTAACAACTTGATGTGCCGTCCATTGTTATGAAAAAGGATGAGAGAGGCAATGAGGCTCTACGCCCAATTGGGATAATAGTAGAGCCACTAACAACAACAACAAAAAAATAGTATCAGATACTTAAAGACGTACTCATACATGTATGCAAAGGAATAAAGTATGTTTATTACAATCTTGTTTGTAGTAGCAAAAGACTGGGAAAAACTTAAATGTCCTTCTGTAAGGACAGAAGAAATAAATTAAGGCATAGTCATACAATGGAATATTATTCAATCACAAGAAAAAATAAAATAGAACTTTAAAATATGAAATGGTTTCCAAAATAACTGTCAAGTATAAAAGCAAGATATTTATACTCTCTGGAAAAGTAACATTTTAATTTGCTCACCTGTGCTACTTATGATATATGTACCCAGGGTACCAAAAAAGAGAAAAAAAGTAGAATTAAAAGATGAGAAATTGATGTTGCCCCTTAACAAAGACTTCCAAAATGGCCTTCACAAGGCATCAGCAAGACATAGCCATAGACTTTGAAAATAGCAGTGACAGCTGGTAACCAGAAGCTGTACTATATAAGAGTCAAGTTTACCAAAAACTTCAAGATAAAAATTATTCTCCTAGGCAGTATTTGTCTGTAGAATCATTCCCAGGAGTAATATCTTTGAATCCAAAAGAGGGGAGTTATCTAAATCATAAAGTTGTGTAATGGTGCATGTAAATTGGATAATGCAAAAGAAATGTATTAATTAAGAAAATTAAACATTCTGAATTCTTATATTTTCTGTGAGATTGGAATATATAACATCATCAGAAACATGTAAGTAAACTTGTATCATGTTTAATAGAAACCACATAAATAAAAATTGGATGCATATTTAATTTATATATCTAGATAAATATATCCACTTTGTCTTATATATCCACTGTTTGTTTTTGTTTTGTTTTGTTTTGTTTTTTGCAAACAAATAACAAAGCAAAACAAAAAACTGCTAAGATGATAGAAATACCTACATTTTGTGTCTCCTTGGGCTGATAGGAGCTAATAAAAGGGATGTTTTAATCATTCTTAGAAAAAAGATTATGGAATTATAAAATCTTAATAGGCATTGAGCACTTGCTAGGTCCAAGCATAGTGCTGAGTGATTGATATTTTAGTTAGTCTTCATAACAACTTGACAAGGTAACTGCTTCTATTTCCCCAAGAGGTTCATTTACTTGCCCATGATCTTGTAGGTAGTGAGAGGTCAAGTGGGCATTTGAACCCAAGTCTGCTGACACCTTATTTGTAATCACGATGCTGGTTGCTCTAGGCTTAGGGTATAACCTGCAAGAGGGAGATGGGGTAGGACTCAGTTAATTATAAAGAGCTAGAGGAAAAGCAATTTAAGAGAACAGATTTGTACATAGAAATAGGAAATAATGCTGTGAAGAGCCTTAGTGGGCAGAATCAATGACCTATATTTTACTATTATAATTTTGCCCAGGGCAACCTTTTGTTGTCAGACAGTTATTAAAAAAAATCTACTTAAAGAGTCTGATATTAGATCCCTGAGAATAGGGGAGAGGAGGAGAAAAAAATAGCAATTTGAACAATCCAGTGAGGAGTAGATACATAAGTTAGGAAGATAATCCACATGGATTTTGAAATCAATGAAGGGATTGAAGTTGAGTTAAAGCATTGTTAAGAACTTGTTAAAAAAATATATGTCCTATGCTTCTGGCTGGTGCAGACATTACAGCTTTTTCTAATTAGTCACCCTATATTATGGGCTGGACATGAAGTGGACAGAATATAGTTTACTCTCCAGGACAGAGAGCCATGAATAGCAAGGTGTTAAATGGTGGAGATTAATAAGCCTTGGCAGGTCAGGGTAGGGGACTTTGGGTGGCATCTGCTCACACTACAGTGGGCTTAACTCTCGCCAGTTGTATGCGTAAGAGCTAAGAGTTCCAACTTTCAAGTGGAGAAAAGCTCATTTTATTTACTAAAGTACCCTAATTTGAGTATTTGAATTAACAGTGATGTTAAGGAGGACATCCCATTTTCTCTTGTTGATGTGTGTGTTTTAATGTAATTTTGATGATGGGGTAGTCAGATCGCTAGCCACCCTGTCTAAAATAAGCCTCATAACTTTTTCCCGCCCTCCAGCCTACCCCCCCGCCCCCCGCCTCCCATCATTACTCTTATGGTTCCTTCATGGCCCTTAGGACCATTTGTGGAATAATTTAGTTTACCTGATGTTGGTGTCACTCCCCAAAGTAAAGCATAAGCATGACGAGGGCAGGCACCATGTTACTTTTGTTCACAGCTAGGTAGGTGCCTAACCTACCACTATAGGTACTCAATAAATATCTACTAAATAAACAGATGGATGTATGAAATGTATTTTTCATTAAATGTCAAAGAATAAAAAAATTACAATATACTATTTAAATATTATATCCATAGATATGGCTCCAAACCCAGAAGAAAGAGTATTTTCCTTATTGTGATTTTAAGACTGTTATAGAATTCCTTCACATTTCAGTTAGCACCTCATTCTTAAGGGACATCTGGATACTGGAACTACATGCATCCGTTTACTCCAAGTGTGTTAACGATTACCCTTGTTAGTAATGCAGGAAGCGGAGATCATTTGGGGAGGAAAAGGGCACTTCTACATGAGAATGTGAGAAATCCTATGGGTATTTCCTCCAAGATTGACCTATATATTTTACCTAAACTGAAAATAAAATTATTTATGTTTTCACAGTGACTTAGCTTTTAGGGGGACGTTGGACATAAATTCCACATTTGATATTTTTACATCTTAAGGAAACCAGGAATCAGGGAAATTAAATTACTTGCACAAAGTTTCCTCACTGATAATTGGAAAATCTAAGATATTAAATCAGAGCTTTGAATCAAACTTCAGTGAGTTTCCCATTAAAACATAGAAGAATAATTTGCTTTTAAAAGGAAAATCTCATTTTATTTTTCTAACTAACTGTGTAACTGCTATGCAACAATTTCATTGCCTCAGAACCTGAAAATAACAACCACTACCTACCAAACAAAAAACATTCATGATTCACAGCTCACCTCTTTCAGAGAAGCTAATCTAAAACATTGGCATGTTCAATAATCTAAAACATTTTAATCTTATCTAAAATATAGAAAAATTGTTGTTGCCCTTAAAATCTTTAAAATAATTTGTGCTGTTGATTCAATTGACTTGTTCATCTAGGAAGGTTTTGGTTTTTTCTAGCAGCATTAACTGTAGAACATAAAAGTAATATTGAAATGCTTTTTTGTTAGCCCAAGAGTGTAAATATCTGGCAAGTATAATGTGAGTTACTCTTCCTTTGCTTTTATTAATTTTTTTTCACTTTTTGGATCATGTTGTCACTTGAACACTTTTGCGTATATCTGGAATCATCTCCTCTGTTCTCCATTTCTTGTCCCCTTGGAATTAAAAAATCATCAATTTGATTTCAGTGCTCATCTGATATGTGACAGAATAAACAATACTGGATGTGTTCCAGGCACACATTACATTGAATGCCATCCCTCCTCCAACAGATGGCCAATGTGGTGTTTGTTTTATGAGTGTCCTTAGATCGGGACAGCTTCCTGCATCATTGGTTTATTGCAACCGGTAGTGATATGGTTGGAAGAGTAACTTCCAAAAGCAGATGACATTTTGGTATAATTTGTACAAATAATTATCTATACACAGACAGACTACTAAAATACAAAAAATAATTTCTACAGTCTTGAACAAAGGTGGCATTATGGAGGATCCTTGCTCACTGATGGCCTAATTCACTTTATATTACAATAAATTCAATAATTGTTGATAGAAAAAGTCACATGCCTGCTTCCGCTTCTCTTAATGGCACTGCAGGGTTAGATTGCAGCATGAATGAAAAGATGGTATGTTTTCAAAGCCTTGGCAGCTTGTGGTGACCTTCAGAAGAAATGAAATGCTCTGCTGGCTAGAGAAACAATTGAGCTGAAACCAGTGAGGCGCAGTAAACTCAGAGATACACTTCCCAAATTAAAAGCTGTTAGCAACAACTCAGACAAGAAGAGAGAGAGTAAAGAATATCACTCTGCAAGGTGATTTTATGCAAAGATTTTAAAGTGGGAGAGAAAACAAAGTGCAGATAAGAAAAAAAATTTTTTCTCTTCCTGAAGAACTTAGTGTACATATGGTATCTAGACTGTGAACATATATGTCTATAACCTGTTGAAAAGCATACAGAAAAAAGAAAGTCCAATCTTTTCATAAAACAGAGCATGAAAGAATTAGTAGGGGTCATAATATTTTATAATCAAATTGTTTTCTGTGCATCTCTAAGTCACAAAACATCAGTCAGTGGACTACATATTTGAAGAATCCTTTTAACATATTTGTAATAAAATATGTGTGCTATTGTTTCTCAGATGAAATGATTAAAATATGTATACTAAATCTGCTTACTAAATCTGTTGATCATTAAGCTCTATGATTGTTTGCAATTTTTTCTATTTTATTAAAATACATTTAACAAAGTTTCTAGTAGTTTGTTGAAAGACTAAAACCACCCCTTAAATATGTGTTTAGGATACAGATCAGACAAAGGCAGAAGACTGAAAATATATCTTTTTTATATTTGCACGGAATAAAAAGAAATGTGATGGACAACAAATAGATGTGCCATGTTCTAATATGTGCAGCAGTTCTGTTAAAATGCTTATAAATAATGCTAAAATAGGTATAAAATAATCCTAACCATTCATGTTTACATATTCCACACATGAAAATTTATTTGCACAAATAAAAATGCTCTTATATCCACAAAGGCTCTATTTTTCCTGTGTTACCCAAGCCACATACTATAGTTATTAATTCTACATTAATACTTGTTGCTTTAATTACATTGGAACTAGAAATGGTGGAGGATGATGGAGGTACAATAACATAAAATTAAGACTATGTTAATTTTAATCTTACTTTAAAAAAATTGTACTTCTAGAATGTCTTGCAACTCTCAGAAGCCCTCTCTTTACTTGTTACTATTTTAATGGTGCACCCTTATTCATTCCTCTTCACAGTTAGTGACCTACATAATATTTATGCCAAGTCTTAAATCTAAAACTTCTGAGTGCTCAGCATAAATAAAAAATGAAGTTGTAAGCTTTCATGTGTACCTACTGTTTATCTATGAAGAAAACAGATGTAAATGAAAATTTAAAGCTGAAAGGATACTCCTAAAGTTATTTTAGTGTTTCTTAATCTTTTTTGATCATTTTCACTTGAAAATTTGATGAAAGCCTGGCCATATCTCCAGAGAGGAAAAAAAGAGCATACACACAAAAGAACTGTGTTTTATTTTTGAGGATTTGCCAGCTCTTTCTATGAACTTCAGGGACTTCTTGGGCCTATGAAAGCAACTATAAAGCTCATTTTTGTTTTTTCAAAAAATTACTCCAAACGTTAAACTTCATTAACCATTAAATTGAGAGGCATATATATGGATTTCAACTTCAACATTTGCTCCATATTGAACTGCAGCAAGGCTATCTTGGCTGCAACTGAAATTCTTCTGTATAATGTCTTAGCTTAGGAATCATTTGTGTCTATGTCTAAAGTAGTGGTTGTTAAAGTATGATGTCTAGACCAGTAACTTCAGTGTCACCTGATAATTTGTTAGAAATGTAAATTCCTGAGACATCACTCCAGACCTATTGAATCAGAAATGGGGATTGGGGCTTGGCATAGTGGCTCACACCTGTAATCCCAGCACTTTGAGAGGCCGAGGCGGGTGGATCACTTGAGGCCAGGAGTTCAAGACCAGCCTGGCCAACATGGCGAAACCCCATCTCTACAAAGAAATACAAAATATTAGCCAGGCGTGGTGGGGCATGCCTGTAATCCCAGCTACTCTGGAGACTGAGGCATGAGAATCACGCGAGCCTGGGGGGCAGAGGCTGCAGTGAGCTGACATTGCACAACTGCCCTCCAGCCAGGGCAACAGAGTGAGACTCTGTCTTAAACAAACAAACAAACAAAATGGGGGTTAGATCCAACAATCTAGTTAAAGAAGCACTCCAGATGATCCTGATGCAAGGAATTTCCTTATTTCTAATTCTCATATCCAAGCATCTGATTTTAATTACTCGATCGATACATAATTTACATACAATAAATGCACCTATTTTAAGTATACATTGAGTTATGACAAATCTATGTACTCATTTAACAGCCACCACAATCAAGATATTGAACATTTTTTTCCATCTCTCCAGAAAGTTCTCCTGTATATTTGCAGGCAATTCCCACCACCTCCTCCCCAATAAACTACTGATCTGATTTTCATTACTATCGATTAGTGTTGCCTGTTCTAGAACGTCATTTCTAAATGAAATTATACAGTATTTATTTTTAAATCCAGCCAGCTCATTGTGTATATCATTACTTCATTTCTTTTTATTGCTGGATAGTATTCAGTTGTATGGACATACCACAACTCTTTATCCCTTCACCTGTTGTTGGACATTTGGGTTGATTACAGTTTAGGGCTATTATAAACAAAGCTGCTGTGAATATTCTTGTACAGATCTTTTTGTGAACACGTTTTTCTTTATTGTAAGCAAGTGCCTAGGACTGGAATTACTGGGTTGCATGTACGGTATATCTCCATAAGGCTATCAAACTGTTTTCCAGTGTGATATACTCCCACCAGAAACGTAAGTTCCAGTCGTTCCATCCACATCATCTCCAATATCTTGGTATTGTTGGTATGTTGTTGTTATTTTTAACAATTACCCTGCTAATGAGTGTAAACTGATCTCTCACTGTGGTTTTAAGTTTCATTTCTCTGATGACTAATATTGAGCATGTTTTCATGCATTTATTGGCCGTGAGTGTATCTAGTGTATCTTTTTTTTTTTTTTTTTTTTTTTTTTTTTCTGATGCAGGGTCTCTTTCTCTCACCCAAGCTGGAGTGCAGTGGCATGATCATGGCTCATTGCAGCCTCAACCTCCTGGGCTGAAGTGATCTTCCCACCTCAGCCTCCCTAGTAACTATAGGCATGTACCACCATGCTCGGCTGATTTTTGTATTTTTTAATAGAAATGGGGTTTCAGCGTTGTTGCAGGCTGGTCTTGATCTCCTGGCCTCGAGTGATCTGCCTACCTGGGCCTCCCAAAGTGCTGGGATTATAGGTATGAGCCACCACGGCCGGCTGAGTATATATTCTTTGATGATGAATTATATGTTCAATTCTTTTTAACTGGGTTTATTTTCATTTTATCATTCAACTTTAAGAATTTTTTTTCCACTTCTGGATATAGGTCTTTTGTCATTACATGTATCAGAAATATTTTCTCTCAGTCTGTAACAAGTCTTCTTTATTTTCTAATATCTTTTGAAGACCAGAAATTATAACTTTAATGAAGTTCAATTTCTCAGTTTTATTTTTTAAGTTTTTAATTTATTATTTCTGATCTAAGAAACCCTTGTCTACCTCAAGGATCTTCTCTTGTGTCTTGTTGTAAAAGTGTTATAATTTTGGCTTTTATATTTACAAGTATTTTACATTTCTATTTAGATATAAATATATTTGGTATATGGTGTGAGGTATAAGCCAATGGTTTTTGTTTTTTGATTTTCCATTTGTATATCCAGTTGTTCCAGCACATTTGTTGAAATTTCAGACAAGCATCAGTTTTTAATTTTCTAAAATAATTTACACTAGTTTTGTTTTAAAAGTTTAAGACTCTTCTCCATTATTCTTAGATTTTGACCAGAGCTTCTATTAGATAATGTTCACTTGGAAACATAGTAACATGAAATCCAAATATTCCTGGAGAATTTAGTATTAGTCTAAATATATGTATTAGTTTTGCCTAAATTCAGCTAGAGGAAAGAAAAGACAAGAATGCTCTAGGTAGAACTCTACTTCATTGGAAAGGTGAATCTGCTAATGGAGAACATTTCATAGTTAAAATACTTAGTTGGTAGTTAAAATACTACCAACTTTCAAAGCAGAATGCTAAATTGAAAGTAAAATGACTGAAATAATGAAATGCATAGTAAATTATGAAATTATGCATTGATTTAGTTATGACCATTGAAAATATCTTCCTTGCAGCTGGGCACGGTGGCTCACGCCTGTAATCTCATTACTTTGGGAGGCCGAGGCAGGCAGATCACTTGAGGTCAGGAGTTCAAGAACCGCTTAGCCAACATGGTGAAACCCTGTGTCTATTAAAAATATAAAAATTGGCCGGGTGTGGTGTTGCGTGCCTGTAGTCTCAGCTACTCAGGAAACTGAGGCACGAGAATTGCTTGAACCTGGGAGGCGGAGGTTGCAGTGAGCTGAGATTGTGCCATAGCACTCCAGCCTGTGTGACAGAGTGAGACTGTCTCAAAAAAAAAAAAAAAAAAAAAAAGAGAGAGAGAAAGAAAGAAAATATGTTGCTTTAAATTTCATTTTAAGTGGTAACAATTTAAAAATAGCTTTATATTTAATATTGTGATGGAAATATGTTTGTTTGTAAAAGTTGAGAAGTTATAGGAAAACATAAAGAGTAATTTAAATCAACCATAACCGTTCTACTCAGAATAAGCATTCTTAACATATTGGTATATATTCTTCCAAATATACAATCACAAGGACCAAAATGGAAACATATTCTAAATATCATTCTTTTCCTTAAAACATTGTAGATCTCTATATCTTAGTAAATGAAGGTCGAATAGCATCAGATTTTATTATTTGAAAGTAATACATCTTGTTTAACCACTTCCCAGTAATGTTCATTACAAATATTTTTGTTGTTGTTTTGTTTTGTTTTTATTTTTGTCATTATTAACAGTGCTATGATTAAGAGCCTGGTAGGTATAATTTTGCATTCTTATCTGATTGTTAGACTGTTTGTTTCAATGAATAAAATTGGTAGTTACGTTTCTTTGTTTATTTAATGTATTTATTCTTGAGCCTGAACTTAATCTTGATGACATTGGCTATATTAGCATATTCAACCTATTGGAACATTTATAATCTGGAAGTAAACCAGAAAGTTGCCAAACTCTATTTGCTTTTCCAGGGGATTTTGAGGCCTTAAGTGAGTTTACATATGTGAAAGTAGATGGAATATTCTGTTACACATTTCTATCATTGAAAATCGTCGGGGAATATAATCATATCATTAATTAAACATATACAGACAGTTCTCTACTTATCAAGGTTCAACTTAATGATTTTTCAACTCTACGATGGTGTGAAAATGAGCAACATAAGATATTTTTAACTTCCCATGAGTTTTTGGGGACATAACCACTATTGCAAGTCAAAGAGCATCTATATACAACAAACATCCATTGTGCACAGGTCTCTACCTAGATGCAAAAGGCCTGAAAAAAATAAAAGACTTCCTAGGTTCCTAGCAGGAAAAAAAAAAAGCTATTTGGTGAGTAAATAAAGTCTTTTCCACAAAAAAACGTTTTTGAAGTTTTTGCCGTTTATAATACAATTGAATTTGAGAACTTAAGATGCCATTTTAATAGGAATTTCTTGCTCTGGAGTCCTTAATAAGTTACAGATAAGCATAATTATTTGTTTTCATATCTCTCTGAAAAAAAATCTAGAATCCCAAACCTTTTCTTACACAACTACCTCTCCCTGACCATTGGCATATAGTAAAGGCACGTTTTCATTCATTTATTGAGTAGCTATTGTGCAATAAATGTACTGAGCATCCTGGAGGAGCTTGCCACCTACTCGGGACTATAACATTTGAAAGATATTTCAGATAGGAGAATTTTAGTTTGGATTTAAATCTAAGTCTTCTGTGAGGACTATGAGTTTAATTTTTTCCCCCATCATTCCATCATGGACTCATCATTTCCTTGTCCAGTACAATATATTGGAGAGAGCAAGTTTACTGCTCACTTCCATTGAATCATAGGTCTTTTTCTCTGCACATTACCCTGAAGACCTTAATGAAAGGCATGTTTGAAAGTATACGTAAATATAGATACTTTTTCTTTAGATGTACTTTATATTTATGAAATCAAAGTTGGAAAAGAGCCCTGGCAGGCAATATTTAGTGCAAACTTAATTCTCTGTTTAGAATGTGAAACAATCTTGGCCCAAAGACAAATGTAGTACTATATTTTTCAGTGTTTTATTTCTCATATTTAAAAAATTTAACACAAAAGGATATTTAATGTTTTCTTTTTTGTTGTTTTTGAGACAAAGCAGCATCTCACTCTGTCGCCCAGGCTGGAGTGCAGTGGTGCAACCTTGGCTCACTGCAACCTCCGCCTTCTGGGTTCAAGCATTTCTCCTGTCTCAGCCTACTGAGTAGCAGTGATTACAGATGCACACCACCAAGCCCGGTTAATTTTTGTATTTTTAATAGAGATAGGGTTTCTCCATATTGGCCATGCTGGTTTCGAACTCCTGACCTCAAGTGCTCTGCCTGCCTCAAAAGTGCTCTGCCTGCCTTGGCATCCCAAAGTGCTGGCATTATAGGTGTGAGCCACCACACCTGGCCAGGATATTTAATATTTTCAACCTGTGGTTACTACTGAATTCATTATATTGGGTAACATTTTAGAAATAGGTGGATGTGTTTTATTGACAAGTCCCTCACATAGTAAGAGGTTTTTACCTATTACTGCTTAAATCTCTTCTGGACAACTCTATTTGTACTTTAAGTATTTTACAAATTTCGGTTATTTAAGCCTACCACCCTTTTAGAGACTTTATGTCCCTGAGTGCTCATATGTATTCTGTGAAAAGATTTCTTAGAGTGTGGTCAAAGAAATCACTTTCAACAGCATCCCCTAGGTTACTTGTTAAAGGGCTTTCCTGGCCCTATCTCTTCTAAATCTGGATCTCTGTAAGTGTGACTCTGTATTTTATATTATTGACGTCCCAGATGAGTATGATGTTCACTACAGTTTAAGTACCAATGACTTACGGGATCAGTTCTCATTTTTGCCTCCTAGTTGCCGGTTAACATGATGCCTAGTCTGAAGGGAACATCATCCTTCTCTTGTTTCATACCTGCTTGGCTCTGAGAGCACCTGCCATCAAGGACAACTGTGTCTCACCAACTTGGGAGGAGAAATGTTTCTATGGGCATTTCAGGGTTTTGTTGGCATGCAGGGAGCTGTCAAGAGAATCACCTTACTGATCTATTTGTTCACTCATTTCTCCTTACCTGGTCTGGTTTTCACCTCCTCCTGGGACTGGGTGCTGGGGCAGTTCAGGGGGTCAGAGGCATTTCATGAGCTACAGGTCTATGTCAACAGTGAAAGAGCTATTCTTTCTTGTACTCTACTCAAATGTTCAGTGAGCCATCTAGTTAGTTTTTGTTTTTGTTTTTGTTTTTTGAGACAGAGTCTTGCTCTGTCACCCAGGCTGGAGTGCAGTGGTGTGATCTCGGCTCACTGCAAGCTCCGCCTCCTGGGTTCATGCCATTCTCCTGCCTCAGCCTCCCGAGTAGCTGGGACTACAGGCGCCTGCCACCACGCCCGGCTAATTTTCCTGTATTTCTTAGTAGAGACGGGGTTTCACTGTGTTAGCCATGACGGTCTCGATCTCCTGACCTCGTGATCTGCCCGCCTCGGCCTCCCAAAGTGCTGGGATTGCAGGCATGAGCCACCGCGCCCTGCCACCATCTAGTTAGTTTTAAACTACACTGTTTTCTGCTATGTAGGAGGGTCAAATAAGTACAAGAATATTAAGTTTAAGAGACTTATGCTCCAGAGATAATTTTTTAAAATTCAATTTATGCTTAAGATATTCCTAAACTTACTAGTATATAGATGTTCAACTTAAATATTTTAATAGTCATTTACAATGATCATTTTTCTCTGTTTTTCTTGAAGAGTAGTCTATTAATTACTTATTTTCTCTCTGTGAACAATGTCAATGTATAAAAATTTTATTTCCAAATTAATATATTGTTATCTGCTTCCTAAAGCAATTTCTAAGCATTCATTATATGACACAACTCATTAGGTATTTTACTAATCAGTCTTAATATTGCACATTGAGTAATTATCTTATAAATTTGAGCAGCATTATATATACAGACTAATCAAAACTCCCAAATCATTTCAATCAAAAAACAATATGAAACTGGTAAATAATAATATATTGATAAGAAATTTTAATTCACCTCACATTGATATTAATTAAAACGGTCATATTCCAAATTTTCTTGGTTATATTGCTATCAATATTTTATTATCTATTAAAGGAAAGCAAATCACATCTCACTAGTAAACGCCAATTCATCTACTTTTTAAATTTAAATGCAAATTCTTTCCACCCCTTACCTTTACAAAGAGATAAGTCAAAATAGGAATTGCGTATGTTATGCATTACTTTATACACACTTCAATATCAAAATTATTTTTTATCATGATTCTCCAGAAACTTATTTTAGACCGACATCAAGGAATTCAATTTTTATCCTAGTTTCTATATGAAATTGCAATACAACAATAAAATTCTTAGACATTTCTTATTAAAGAAAAAAAAAACTAGGTTTTATCCTAGTTCTCACAAATCCCTGTGTAATTTTCAATAGATTACTAGATGGAAAAAAAAAAACAGTAAGGATATTTGTGCTATACATACTTCAAAGGTGGCATCCTATGCTCTTCTCATGAAGGACAGAGAAATGCCTTTTATATTATGAACTACTAGTAAAGTGAGTAATGACTAAGAGGATGTCCTAGCAAACCTGCCCTAGGTAATCTCATACAGGTTTCAGAATCAAAGTTGTAAATTTCCTCTTAGTGCCTACAAAGTTTGGAAACTGCAGTTTTACAACATAAGGCTTTGGGCCTTCTGTATCAACAATAAAGGAATCCAAATCCACATTTTCTCTAATTATGATTTGGAAGTCCTTGCTTGAAGTGAATATAGTAAGATGTTCATGCTGCCCTTGCTACTGTCGTTAATTGTGCACAGTTCTCCCATGATCCTTCACCCGCTGCTGCTACTGCCTATACTGAGGTGGTCAGAACAAAGTTCAGGAGAAATAGATGTTGAAATGGACAAAAATAAGTGATCGTATGTCCTATATGTATTTCTTAAGAAGGAAATAAATATTTAGCATTTGGGGAGTCTCTTGGTTATTCAGATTTCTAGCTAGATCAGAAATAGGTAAGATTTACTAGATTTCTTAATCCTTTTATTAAACTTATTGGATTCTGGATTGTAAAGCACTTGATACACTTTCATTTAACTTGGGTACTCAAATAGTATCTTTCACATATAGCTATTTTTATAGCAACCACACCTGTGTCTTATAGAGCAATCCATAGGTGTCTTTTTTATTTAACCTGTAGAATATTGAGAATGTTTTTAGTCTAGAATTGCATTGATGTATAACACTTCACAGCTAAAATATAGAAACACTTTAGAAAAATTACTATAAATATAATATCGAGCACTAAAAAACAATGTTTTAGTAATGTTATAATTCAAAATTGGCTCTGAGATATATTCTAGGTCAAAATTATATACTATTTGTAATCCAGTGAAAAAATTATTTGCTTATAGATTATATATATGTAATAATTTATATGTAAATGATTTTACTAAGAGATAAAGGATGAGAAGACCAAAGATGTCCCCTAAGGATGCTGTAGGAATGAAGAATATATATTTTATATATATATATATGTGTGTGTGTGTGTGTGTGTGTATATATATATATATATATGTATATTTCATTTACAGAAGCTTTGCCTTAAATAGTCCCTGAATAAATGAGAAAAAAAACTAAACTGAAATTTGGACCCTTATGAGAATAGAAGGATATGTTGAACATTTTTTAATAGTCATAATTATTTAAAAAATTACATTCAGGCAAAGACTCCCAGAATTTAAAGCACTTTCTTAGAGGCAGAATGCAATGGTAATTGTACAGGAATGCGACTTTGGACTTTCTGAACTTAAGTGTTTATGTCTGTTAATTCAAGATGCCAACCAGTTGGTCTCTCAGTTCAACATTATGTAGTCCAGTGTATTATGTCAATCCTGCTTCTCAAATTGTGGTCCATGGACCCCTGAAATCTTCTAGTCACTGTCAAGAGAGTCCCATAATAATATTAAGGTGCTCTTTGTCTGTTTCATTGTGTTGAGATTTGTATTGATGGTGCAAAAATCAGTGGTGAGTAAGATGCTGGTGCCTTAGCATGAATCAAATCTAAGTGGCACTAGACTGATTGTATTATTTACTGCCACATATTCACGTGAAGAGAAGGAGAAGAGACAGGAGAAGGAGAAGGCAACTTTTCTTAAGAGTGTCCTTGATGAAGCAGTAAAAATCTCAACTTTTGAGCATGGTCTTTTTAATAATCTGTGTGATGAAATGAAAAGTACACATAAGATACTTTTACTGCATACCCAAGCACAAGGGCAGTCTTGAGGAAAAGTTCATGTGGGTCCTTTGAGTTGCTAGCTGAACTAGCCACTTTTTCATGGAACATCATGTTTACTTGAAAGAACAACTGTCAAGCTGCTATTATTCATAGTTGGGTATTTCACATGCATTTTCTGAAAAATAACATAGTGAGTCTGTCACTTCAAAAGAACAACTGACAATATTTGTTTTCAAATTTGAACTTTTACTTGAAAGCTTGAATTTTAGAATTAGAAAAAAGTATTAGAAAATTGTATATGCCACTCTGAGTATGACTGCTTCTGAATATGTAAAGACTTTCCTGATGAGGTGGGTGGTGATATTAATGAATATGATTTTTAAATAATGACATATGTCAACATTTAGGAGAACTGCAGAACTCAGTGCAATATTTTCAAAATGACCAGTACATGATGGTAAAATTTATGCTTAGTAAGAGATCCATTCAAAGTGAAAGATAGGCCAGTGAATTTTAATGTAATAGAGTACATTGATATGGTTTCAGATTTCACATTGCAACTAATCTTTAAGAAATGATTACTTGTCAAGTTTTGGTGTAGTATTAAAGAAAAATACCCACAGCTATTTTAAAAAGCTATTCAATTACTCCTTTCTTTTTCAACTCTATGTCTATGTGAGAGCTAACTTTTAAAAATATACATCAACCAAAACATCTTGCAAAAGATTGACTACTGAAGCATTTATGAAAATCCAGCTGTCATTTATTATGTCAGACACTAGAACTTTTCAAACATATAAAACAATCTATCTCTTCTTGCAGTTTTTGTTTGCTTGGAAAGGACAGTTATTTTTCATAACAATGTTATGTGTTAACATGGAATGAGTTCATTTTTGCTATTTTTAAATGAATGATTTTTTAAAAATCTGTTTTAATTTCTAATATGGTTAATAGTAATAAATAAAACCTACATGAAACAAAAGCTTCTAAGACCAAAAAGTTTGAGAATCGCTGATATAATCAGGGTGGTTTGGAAGCAGCTATTCAAATCCAAAATAAAGCTTCTTTTGCCACTAGAGGGAGCTTCCATTTTACATAAATGTATTGTATAGAGGCATTAAAAATTTATATGAAAAATAAATGTGAGAGTTCTAGAATCACAGCACTTACTATGCAGCACAAAGCTTTGTGAGAACACTACTGCTTTATTTCTGTGGTAGCCCTTTAAACAAAATGGAAGGATTTTTTTCCTACATTCATAATTGTGTTTGTGCCTAGTATGCTTGAGAAAATGATGTCAACATTAGATATTTAAGAAAACATCACAAATTCTTAATATATGATACCATATAGAAAGAATTCATTATCTTTTTCATCTTTCTAACTGCTTCCTTATAAGTAGCAGGTGTTGATGTAGTTCTTTCTTTTCTGACTGACCTTTGAGTAATTGCTAATTGAGTGTAGGTCAGTCAGAAATACTTCTGACATCTTGTATTTCTCCCAGAGACATTTGTATCAGTTACAGAGAAATGACTGTGCATATGGAAGCAATGGGGAAGTCCTGAATGATTTAGTTCTCTTCTCTGAGGTCCACATGGAATCACACCACTACTGCAGCCAGTCATTACTGTGGTTTTATAAACTCTCCCTCAGTGACATGCATTTTTTAAATAATAAAATTTATCTTTCTTTGTCTTCCTGAAGGCTTGATATGGAAAATCACATTCTGATTTATGGGCACAGGCTCAATAGATAAAGCTGCTAGATTAATTTTGTAGATATTTTAGAAATAATTGCATGCATTATATTTCATAAATAATCTTAAGTAGACAGTGTTATAGTAGAATTTAAGTTAAGCACATCCAAATTTGCAGCACCAATGTTGGTCCAAATTCTTTAGGATGTTTGTCTTCTTAGTATGATGTAATGTGCCCTGATAAGTACCAACGTGAGAAAACCCCTGTAAGAAAAATCATTTTCCTTGAGTACTTTCTTCTTCCTGCAGAGCCTTTTCTTATATTCTCTTAAACTAGTGGTTCTTAACATATTGAAGTAAAAAAAAATTGTTTTTAAATCAGGTGGAAGCCATAGTCACTCTGCCCAGAAAAAAAAAAATGCAAACACAGTATGATATATTTTGCTTACAAATTTTCAGGTTTTTGGACCTCCTAAGTCCATGAGAGTTCTAGGTTAAGAATCCAGACTTTAAATCAATAGGAAACCAGTGAAGCTAAAATGTGGCAGGTTTCTTTTGAGGTGGGGGTGGGGGGACTGAGGAAGGAGAGTATAAATATCTGGGACAAACATGCGTTAATCACCTTATTTATTTGAAATCACAAAAAAATCTTTGGGAATCCTGAAATACTTTTAGTAAAGGCTCCAAAATCCATTTCTACTAAAATATTATATATATAAAAGCTAGAGCTGAAAGCTTAGGTAGAGTTGAGGCCGGACTTGGTGAAACCTGGTTACACCCCAGTGCAGAAATCCATCCAACCTGCCAGTCTCCGTCATGGATTTTAAAAAGTGATGTATTTAGAAAAGCAGTATTCAGTCCATCTTAGTTTAAACAAATTAAACTTTTTTGAGTTTCCAGGAGCCAAATTAGTCTCAAGAATTCATTAAGAATAACTACACAAGTTTAAGTTATATAAAAGAAGCTAAGAGCATTTTAAATGTGGGCAAACAACTCACAATAGTAACATTAAAGTTGTTCATCCATATTCAGTTTGTAACATTTTCACTCTTAATTGAGAAAGGATTGTCATAATATATTTCAACTATGAATAATGAAGACATAAAATGATTTTACTAAGAGATAAAGGATTGGAGGACCAAAGATGTCCCGTAAGGATGCTATAGGAATGAAGACGAGAAAGGAGAGTAGAAAGACAGTCCTTTGCTCACAAATTCTTGGCAAATGTTGACAGTTGAAGCTTACCCAGAAAATGAAATAATTTTTTCTTTCTTTCAAAATAATTGTACCCCGCATCTCTGCTCCCTAAAATGTTTGTGAAGAATTTTCATTATTACACATTGCTCTCCAGATGTCCTTCTTTTAATCTCACATTTACATACCTGAATTATTGTCCTAGGTTTTACTTAAGTAGCAGGTGATTGATAGTTTAATTTTGCATATGTGCTTGGATATAGCCATGGTGGTGAAATGAAACTAGACAAACTTTATTATTAATAAACTTAACTATGACTTTCTCTTACCATTTCATGTCTACTGCCATATTCTAGTGATCATGAAATAATAATTTGCAATGGCTTTCAGCAAGGATAGATTACTGGTACCTTGATTCTACTTTTTTGAGGGTTATGTTGATTGAAACGATTAATTTTTCTGTCTTTCTCATTACCTAGTTGAGCCTAACAAATATATTAAGGGTGTCTAGGGTCATCACACATAAAATGAATGTGTGACTCCTGCAAAACTGAAAAATTGAGTTTGTAGGCTGCCAGTTTGGCAAGAATACATTCAATACCTTTCTGGGTAACTTCAAATATTTGCAAAACTTGGAGACAACAGCAGACAGTATGATTTGCAGCTTGGAGAGTAAACTTTGTGAGTCAACAATGATGTTGAAAGCCAGCGAAGATCTAATAAATACACGTTACAGTTTTAACACTGAAAATCAACTTGCAGTTATTCATGAGGCTATTTTTTCTTCTTAAAAAGCCCTTGGTTGCCCTTCCATTCCTCTAAATTTGGCAGACACACTTAAGTGGTGATGATGAGTGGATGGTGGCATGTGGCAGGCTGTGTCATGGTCCTGGGAGACCTGTCCCATTCTGAAGAGAACCCCATGAAGCAGCTGAGGGCTCAGCCATATGTCCAGATTTTTCAGGAGATGGATGATGAGAGCTAAGGAGAGTGTCAGTGTCCCTGAAATGGAGATCAGGTCAAGGATTCAGCCCCAGGTAGAGAAGTGAACCAAAGCTTTACCATATTTAGGAAAGAGTGTGGGGTAAGGAGCTCTGGTGCTGATGCAATAGGGAGAATATTATGGCTTCTTCCAGATGTAGATCCCTTAAATTTACACAATTGCCTAGGATACCAAGGCTCACTCTTAGACCTTACTTGCTACTGGGAATGAGGCTTCTCAAATTAAATATGCCTTGTTCAGGATTGACTCAGGTGAGCTAAGACAACAAGTGTTTGACAGTGGATCCACAACTGAGAAAATGAGGACATCTTTTCTCCAGTGCAACACTTTCATTTCCCAGGGGACCCTAGTGTGTCCTATGAATGACCTTTAGAAATAAATTAACTTTTCCTAGAAAAATAACAAAGATGAACTAAAAATGAACTTATTATTAATAACATACATTTTGCACAGAATTGACCTTTGATGAAACCTGCTTATTATTTTTTAAACAGCTTTACTGAGATGTGATTCTCATACCATAAAATTCACCTATTTAAAGCATACAGTTCAGCAGTTTTTAGTACATTCACAGAGTTCTGTGACCATTACCACAATCTCTGGAACATTTTATTCTAGAACATTTTCTTCATCCCCTCAGTAATCCCTGCACCCGTTAGAGTCACTTTTCAGACTCCCCCACTCCAACGTACTAGCTCTAGGCAACTACTAATCTACTTTCTGTCTCTATAGATTTTCCTATTCTGAGCATTTTATACAAATCTAAGCATACAATATGTGGTCTTTTGTGACTGGCTTTTTTCACTCAGCATAATGTTTCAAGGTTCACCCTTGTTATAGCATGCATCAGTACTTTATTCCTTTTTACTGTACAGTAATATTCTATTGTATGAATATACCATCTTTTATTCATTCATCAGTTTGTAAGTATTTGTGTTTCTACTTTCTAGCTATCATGAGTAATGCTGCTGTGAGCATTCATGTACACGTTTGTGTGTGTGGACATAAGTTTTTATTTTTCTTGGATATGTATCTAGGAATGGAATTGCTGGGTCATATGGCAACCCTATGTTTTGTGTGTTGAGGAATTCACAAATTGTTTTCCAAAGTGGTTGTGCCGTTTTATAATCCCACCAGCAATGTATGAGGGTTCAAATTTCTCTACATTCTTACCAGCACTTATTATTGTCTGTCTTTTTTGTTTTAGCTTTTCTGATGGTGGTGAAGTGATATCTCATTGTAGTTTGAGATTGCATTTCCCTAATTACTAATGATGTTGAGCATCATCTCATGTGCTTGTTGACCATTTGAATATCTTCTTTGGAGAAAATGTCTATTCAAATCTTTAGCCCATTTTTGAATTGGATTTTTTTGTATATTTAAAGTATTCTTTATATGTTATATATACAAAACTCTTTTCAGATAGATGGCTTGTAAATATTTTCTCCTATTCTCTGGGTTGTCTTTTCATTTTCTTGATGATGTCCTTTGAAATACTATAGCACAATAGTTTTAATTTTGATGAAATCCGGTTTTTTTCTTTTCTCATCCATACTTTTGGTGTCATATCTAAAAAAAAAAAGACTGCCTAAAATACTAGGCATATTAAGCCATTTTACATTTTAACCCTTAGTCTTTTAGACTTGCATAATTTTTCCTTTGCTGTATTATCAGGCTGTCTTCACCAGCACTTAAGGACCATTTCTCTGGTGTTAGAACATGAGAGAGGGAACAGTTTTCAGGAAGTCCTTTTTTTATAGAAATCATTTAGCTCCTAGCAGCCACTAGCAGTGAACATAGGAAAGAGCAGATAAGAACACAAAACTTACATTTTCTTCTTAACCTCATGTAGAAATTTCACTGAGGTATAGTATATTTCTAGTTATTTTTATGTATTTTAATTAATGCCCAACACTTTGAATGCTCACAAAGAATATCATCACTAGAAAACTCAGTCTTATCTCTTCCAAAATAAATTATTGGATAGTGTTACTTAGTACAGGACTATCGGGGAACCTGCCCCCAATAGTCACGTAGGTTCTTTTCTATTTTCCCTAAGTGTCAGCCGGGTTGAGAAATAAAGGGACAGAATACAAAAGAGAGAAATTTCGAAGCTGGGCATCCGGGGGAGACATCACATGTCGGTAGGTTCCGTGATGCCCCAGGAGCCGTAAAACCAGCAAGTTTTTATTAGGGATTTTCAAAAGGGGAGGGAGTGTAAGAATAGGGTGTGGGTCACAGAGATCACATACTTCACAAGGTAATAGAATATCACAAGGCAAATGGAGGCAGTGCGAGATCACAGGACCAGGGCGAAATTAAAATTGCTAATGAAGTTTCGGGCACCATTGTCATTGATAACATCTTATCAGCAGACAGGGTTTGAGAGCAACCGGTCTGACCAAAATTTATTAGGCAGGAATTTCCTTGTCCTAATAAGCCTGGGAACACTATGGGAGACTGGGGCTTATTTCATCCCTACAGTTTCAACCATAGAAGATGGCTACACCCAAGGGGGCCATTTTAGAGGCCCACCCTCAGGGGTGCATTCTCTTTCTCAGGGATGTTGCTTGCTGAGAAAAAGAATTCAGCAATATTTCTCCCATTTGCTTTTGAAAGAAGAGAAATATGGCTCTGTTCCGCCCGGCTCACCAGCGGTCAGAATTTAAGGTTATCTCTCTTGTTCCCTGAACATTGCTGTTATCCTGTTCTTTTTTTAAGGTGCCCAGATTTCATATTGTTCAAACACGCATGCTCTACAATTTGTGCAGTTAACGCAATCATCACAGGGTCCTGAGGTGACATACATACTCCTCAGCTTGTGAGATGACAGGATAAGACGGGCATAGGAAATCACAAGGGTATTGATTGGGGAAGTGATAAGTGTCCACGAAATCTTCACAATTTATGTTTAGAGATTGCAGTAAAGACAGGCATAAGAAATTGTAAAAGTATTAATTTGGGGAACTAATAAATGTCCATGAAATCTTCACAATCCACGTTCTTCTTCCATGGCTTCAGCCGGTCCCCCCATTCGGGGTCCCTGCCTTCCCGCAACATAGGACAAGAGTGTATACTCTGGAGTCGTGCTGCCAGGTTGAATCCTGACTCTAACACTTGGCCGTATGAGTTTGGGCAAGTTATATGATGTTTTGTGTGTGTTTTAATTCTCATCTATGACATTGGAATAATGACAGGACCTACCTCATAGAATTGTGAAGATTAAATGAGATATTATAGGTAAACTAATTAGAACAATGTCTGACACATAATAAGTGCCCTTAAGTGTTAAATGAGAATGATGTTATTGTTTTGTGTTACAGAATTAGTGTATCTGTGGAAAATTGGCCAAAACAAATTCTGATGGATCTTCTTTATTGCTGTTTAAATATTTCAGACAAAATGAAATATAACCTAGAATATGAACAGTGCTAGATATGCATACTTGAAACAAAAATCATCATGGTCATTTATATATTTCTATTTTACTAAGATTTTTTTCTCTTATAAAAATAAATTATACCTTCTAATAGTAAGGAAATTGCCTCTGCCAGTTTTTATTGTTTAATTTGTTTTAATTTCAAACATTAAAATAGCACATTAATTGATCAAGGAATCTCAATTACTTTCAAATGCTGCAAATATACTAATATTTATTCATGGCAGTCACAGCAGGGGTAGAGGGACAGGAGACAACCATCTTCTAGAGGAAGAACTTTTAAAACAATTATATTAATTCCATTTATAGGAAAAAGAATAATTCATAGAAAAATTAATGTTGCAGTTCCTAAAAGCATGTTCCAGTTACTATTCCCAAAACAATGTGTCAGATTCTATTGTATTCATTGGCTATTAGTCATTTTGGCAGCTTGGGCTATGCTGCCACTAACAGTTTCATGAGACTAGCATACTATCTTCTAGTTTACACAAAATTGTGTAGATACCTTGTCTCTCTATCAGACTGTTGCTCCTTGAAGGAAAGCGTTAACCAAGCCTGTTCTGTATTCCCCATATCCAGTATGGTACTTTGTCCATAGAAAGCACTCAGTAGATTCCAAAGGGATCATACAATTTTAGAGCCACAGGAGAAAGGCCTTCATTAGATATGGGTAAATTCATTGTGTAATGTATGAAAAAAATATATACTAACTCTACAGTAAAGGAATGAAAAAAGTCTGGAAAGATGCTTTTCCCCATGAAGCCTGCTTTCCCTTTGCTCCTTTGCAGTTTCCCAATCTTGTTCCTCTTCCTGTCACTCATGGTGCTAACACAGATGCCTCAGGACACCGCTTGGCTGGGTGCATCTACAGGTGTTCCCTGCGTATCCGAAATGGCCTTATTCAGCAGATTCTCTTGCTTGTGTACGTCCCTGTCTCTCCCTCTAAACCGGAGCCCTGTGAAGGCAGAAATCATTCTTGTCTTGTGTTGCATTATTTTTGTCTAGTGTGTAGTGGTCCGGTGTATATCTAAAAAAAAAACACTCATATATAGTAATGATTGAAGTAAATGTCTAGCTCTGCTGTGGGCTAGCTGTGTGATTTGGGGGAAGTCCGTTAGCCTCTCTGGGCCTCTGTCCATCTCTCTATAAAGAGATGAGGCTGGACCTGATCAGTGTTTGAAATGAGGTGATCCATTTGCTGATTCTGATCCAGAACGGTGTTTTTATTTTTATTTTTTCTTGTTTGTTTTTACAGAGAAGCGTGTACTCCCATTTTGCTGCAAGACCCCCTTTCAACTTTCACCTTTGTGTTCAGTGTTATCCTCCAAGCTCCTGAAGGCACTCTGGCATAGGCTGAAGCTTTGTGTTACCTTTCTGTTCTAAAATTTGGAGTCTGTGGTTTTAAGACATGCATGATTTCGTGCTTCACCTCCATTTACTTACAAGCAGGAGCTTTCATTTACATTGTCTTGTCGTCTTGAGTATCATTTGTTTTGACTCTTTCTACCTGGCAAAGCTTTTGGATTTCAAAGCTCACAAATTCCTGCTGTTGGCTGTGCCCTTTACTTTAACAGGGGTGATTATATCTTCTCTCTAGATATTTTTATTAGCATCCTACAGGGTGTGAATTTTTAGCATTATGTTGAAGATAAAATGAATAGTGGGAAAACAACATCTTTCGGAATATATATCCACACATGAATTTTAGAAATCCTATTACTAATTTGAAATTATTTATTTTCCTTTCTATGGATTATACTTATGAGTCTATGTTGGTTATGGAGATGGATGAATACATTTTGATTCTGAACTTACCAGCAAAATTCATAAGTAAGTATACATATGTACTATAGACATGTTAATAACTTTATTTAATTAGTTATACCCCAGGATTTTTTTTTCCAGGGCAAAACCAATATAAAAATGGGTATAATCCTCAGTGAATCTGTTGTGTGAGGTCTGATTACTTCTATGACGTGGCATTCTATAAATATTGCTGCTTATTAGATTGAAGTATAGTTGACATGGACCCATATTTAGAGTGGGCCATAACATGCCTTTGTTGAGTAAAAATGTTAATATAGCTAGTAGTTATGAACAGTGAGATGAACTTCTGCTATTTTTGCACTCAAAAAAAGTAAGAAATGTAAATTTTGTGAGTGTGTTTTCTGTGCTGAGTAGAATAGCAGCCATTACATTGAGAGATAGGTGACCGTTTGGCTGATTATTGCTGCCTATTTTAGAACATTCTGTATGGTTAGCTACTTGAAGCATAGATTCACAATAGGAGCAACTTTCAAATCTAGTAGAAACCCGTGGGACATACACATGGGCCTGTTCAAATAATTGAACTCCCTTCCACTTATGACTATCTTATTTGCCACTTGGTGCAGCCCTGAAGATTGTACAAGCTGTGAAGAAGCCACTTGGATATGGTCTGGCAGTCTCAAAGCAATCATTTCAGCTTCCGTCACAGTAGACCTACTTTATGGAGCACCAAGGGGCACTGTCATTAAGAATACTAAGGAAGTAATTGCTTGTACATGGCCCTGAGTAGTTCCTTCCCTTCTATATAGTTTGCATGCTTTTACACAGTTATTCTCCACGTTGTTATTTCAGATATTAGGAGATTTGTGGTCACAGGCTAAAGATGACCTTATTATACAACAATCTGACGTTTGAAGCAGCAGTATCTAGATATGTCAGTTTCTTATATATAGCTTTGAATAAGTGTTTCTGCTTTGGAAGAAGCTCTACCTATCTGATACATCTGTAAATGTGGCAAGTTAAAGATTACCATGGTCAATACAGTCTTTCTCCATCTTTGGTCTTATTACCCTCACCCTATGTCAAGTGCTTTATCTCTTTTGGAGAAGGGAGCCTGAGTTTACTGAGGACTCAATGTGCTTGCTATCAATGCCTACTCACTTAAAAGACATTTATTATTACTTCATAGACAAAATTTATTGATTAATAAAATATCTGAAATGAATAAGGGGCATTAGAGAAGACAGTTCTGATTCAAATTTATTTTTCCCCTTATTTTCTGTAAATATATTTTACCTTATTAAATGTGTGTGAGTACATAACAATGAGAAAGAGAATGAATGAGAAAATGTAGGCACACACTCTCTCAGAATAAAATCTTGCTCTTGTGTGTGATTTTGTTCTGATGCCAGCTATCTGGGTTTGAAAAAAAAGTTTTTAGTGCCTTGTTAATTATGTGTTCACCATTATTACATAAGTAATTACCTTATGTAATAATATTAATGATATTAAGCTCCATTCAATAAGAGAACTGTAATCCTCAATTGCACAGACATCCTCGCCTTTAGATATTTATTCAAAATTTAGAGAAAAAGAAAGATACATAGAAGAATTAGATATTTGATCTTTGTAAGGATTTCCAAAAAACTTTTTGACCAATTTCAGCCAACATTAGTGAAACAAAATCAGTGATATAACATTGCATGGTATTAACATTGTTTCAGGATCATGAGAAAGCTCTTTCTGTATCAGAAATGCATACCTTTAAATGGAATCCCAGCACTTTGGGAGGCCGAGGTGGGCAGATCACGAGGTCAGGAGATGGAGACCACGGTGAAACCCCGTCTCTACTAAAAATACAGAAAATTAGCTGGGCGCAGTGGCGGGCGCCTGTAGTCCCAGCTACTCGGGAGGCTGAGGCAGGAGAATGGCCTGAACCCGGGAGGCGGAGCTTGCAGTGAGCGGAGATCACGCCACAGCACTCCAGCCTGGGCGACAGAGTGAGACTCCGTCTCAAAAAAAAAAAAAAAAAAAAAAGTTTCTAACCTTGACCTTAGCCATATTAATTTTAGGAGTTCAAGAGGACACACCAAAAACCATCTAATCCAAGTTTTTACCAAAAGCTGGAATGTCTCCTGAGATCTTCATCAGACATTTGTCCAGGCTCTGCCTGAATACCTCAGAAACAAAAAGTTCATCATCTAGTAAAGTGTAAGCATTGTGGTGTTGGTGAACACTAATTCCGCAGGTTTTTTTTCTGCTTCCAATGCATCAGCTCTCTTTTCCCAATGGCATCTCCTGGAGACAAGCAAAGTGATCACATCTTCAATCATCTGAAACATTCCAAATTTCCTGCAGCTGCTTCTCCTTAAGTGTTTCTCCTTAACACGTTATTGAGATTAGGTGCCCTCCTGGTTGCCCTTCTGGGTGGATATTCTCATCCAGCTCTTTCCATAGTTTAAAATATCTCCATAACTTTGTGTCATGCCAATGCTTCCTCACTTGCAAGGCACTCCAGAAAGTACCACAGTTTGGTTTCTCCTTTGACCTAAATTCTCCTGAAGTGTGTCTCCATGGGGATATTGATGGTCTCCTGGGCACCAAGCCCTGAATATATTAGTCTCTCTGCAGCATTTGACCTGGTTGGCTGTTTGAGGCTCTTTCTTCTTTTGGGGTCCTGAAACCTCTTTCTGCTTCTTCTCAGGCTCTTCTTTGAGTTCACTATTTAAAGCCCAGAGTTGGCATTTTCCAAGGTAGTATCTGTCAGCTTTTCATACAGTGCACATACTTACTGAGTGATTTTATATGCTCTTATGTATTATTATCCATATTTAGATAATTCACAAATACATAATCACCAATCCAGGTCTCTCCTAACTTTTACAATTAAGTTGCCCCATGAACTTCCCTAGCTTAGGACCTTGTCACTTCCTACTCATTTTACTACAACAGTCTCAGGACTGGTCTTAGGTGCAATTCATGTATTCCCAGCAGCTAGGCTAAGCTTTCTGAAACAAATATTAATAATTATCCTGAATCAAAGACTTCAGTGACTCCCCTTTGCCCACCAAATCCTTTTCAACCTCCTTAGTTGTTTAGTCCATAGACTTTTTATGACTTATTTCAGGTTATGTCTCCAATATCATGTAAAACCACTTTCCATCTTAAACTCTAAAGTTATAGTCATAGAGAACCAGCCTCTGTGTCCTGAACACTTGGTGCTCTTTCTCCTGCTCTGAGCCCTAGGCTGCTGCTTCTGCCTGAAACTCCTGACATTCCCTCTCTCCCCTCTCTTCACTTGACTACCTCCTGTACAGCTCAGAGACACCACTCCTCTATCCCATGGCTTACTCTTCCAAAGAGTTGAGTTAAGTGCATCTCCTGTGGACTTGTGGAGCTCCTGTGCACGGTGCACCTCTCTACCTTAGCACTTCTTACACTGTATTATGATCATTAATGTACAGTCAGCCCTCTGTATCCATGGATTCCACATCCGTGGATTCAACCAAACTTGATCAAAAATATTTGGGAAAAAAAAAAACAAAAAATAGCAATACAATACTAAAATATGATACAAATTTCAAAACAATATAAAGCGATTTATATAGCATTTACATTATGTTGGGTCTTATAAGTAATCTAGAGATGATTTAAAGTATACAGGAGGATATTGGTAGGTTATATGCAAATATTGTGCAATTTTATATCAGAGATTTGAGCATCCTCAGGTATCTTCGGGAAGCCCTGGAACAAATCCCCTGTGGATACTGAAGGATGACTGTACATGTCTGTCCACCACCAAACCATGAGTAACTTGAGGGAAGGGCTATCTTTTCTCATAACCCCAGTACTTATGAAAATGACTCTGGCACTTGAATGTATGCCTTAATATTCATTTATTCATTCAGTGAACACTTTTTGAATATCCATCTGCTGTGGTTTTAGTATGTCCCACAGAATTTGTGTGTTGGAAACTTAATTCCCTATGTAATGGTGTTGGGAAGTGGGGACTTTTGGGAGGTGTTTGGGTCATTAAGAGAAGCTGAATGGATTAATGCCACTATGAAAAGGGCTTGCAGGAGTGGATTCTCTCATTCTTCTGCTATGTGAGAACACAACATTTTGTCCTCTCTTGCCCTTCCACCTTCTGCCACGTGAGAACGCAGCAAGAAGGCCCACACCAGACGCCACAGTCTTGATCCTAAAATTCCCAGTTTCCAAAACTGTAAGAAATAAATTTCCATTCATTATAAATTACCCAGTCTGAGATTCTCTGTTATAGCACCACAAAATGGACAAAAATACTATTGTCTACAAAGGGCTACAATAGATGTTACTGATTACATGAAAATGAACTGGCTCTTATGAAACTTACTAACAATTAAACAATGTCTTTATTCCCTTTAAATGTTATTTCATTTTTTATTTTAAAATGTGGGATCATTTTAAATTTTCATCTTGCTATAAACCATATTAGCTAGTTTTCCTGTCTATGTCCTATGGAGATTTGCTCTTTAGAACATACTTTGGGTTGCAAAGTGTGCACTTAGTGCCAACATTTATCTCCTTTCATCCTCAGAGTAACTCTATAATGTCCGTGTTGTTATTCTCTTACGTGTGAAAAAACAGAAATGTGCAGACTGTGTCAAAGCAGAGTTTCAAATTCAAGGCCCTAGAGCTTTACATTAAGCTGATCTAGAAGCTCTTTTTGCCTTTATTTAAGGAACTGATAACAAATGCTGAATGAAGAGGAGCTGAACTCTGAGCCCCCAGGACTGACATTTCAGATCTTTTTCCTGGTGGCACCATCCATTTATCAGACATTCTTATCAATCTTCCCAGTAGGCAGCCCACCTTTCTTCATCCTGTCTAGACATTACAAAGAGCTCACTAATGCCTTGCAGAAATCACTCTCTGCCATCTCCATGGCATTGCCTGTATCTACAAATCGAATACCCCATCAAATGGGGGAAATGGAACTAGATGACCCGAGGTTCAGTCCCTGCTTAATACTGAGCCTCATAAATATGTGTCAGACTAATGACTGACTTGACTTTCTTCCCTATTCTTTCCATTACAGCCACTAATAACTTGCGGGTGCATAAATACTGAGTGTAATTACCCTTTAAGTCCTTAGGTGTGCTACATTACTGTTAGTATGAATACAAAACAAAAACTCTCTTCAGAGATTGGATGGCTTCCTTGCATGAAATGCACATAGTTGTGTGTCTGTTTTTATCAGCCTTCTGCTTGCTCCAAAGAAAAGATTTCTGAAATCATGCACTCCCCAACTAGTAGTTGTACTAAGTGGCTGGGCAAGCGGGACTGAACCCAACTGTGATGAGACTTCTTTCATCTCCAGAGAAAAGGAGCATCAGGCAGCCCTACCCTGGATAGGGCCTGAGAATGAGAGCCCATTTGACAGGGGACAGAAAGAGTACCTGGTGTACCTAGAAAGAGACTGAGTAGGGTCGACTCCCCGGAATTGGGCACTGTTAGGTTCCCAGCCCCAGTTTTCCACTGCTGCTTGATAGTGCAATCAGGAGTAACAGTGGGAAACAAATTAAATAATAGATTGTTTACAACATATTTTTAGCAGTTTTCCCCCACAAGGGTTAATGGCTGATTGCTTAAAAAAAAAATAGTAACACAACTCTTGTACATAAAACCATCTCCTTTTTATTTTTTAAAACTTTCTTAGGAGGATATGACAGTACCAATACAAGTGGCACCTAGTAATTGTCAAGTTGTAATTTTAGAAATAAAAAATGTGTTCCCAATGAGCCTGTGTTTTGAAAGAAAAATTTAGCATCAACTCTGATATACCATCTGGCATTCAAATCACATTAAAAAAAATTCATAGTAGTGTGAATTCTCCTAGGACAAGGCTGGTGAGGAACAGGAGACTGAATTGAACAACCTTGAAGAAAATAAAACCCCTTTTGGCATTACCGGTTTCTGTGTGATCTTCTCTGTTAGTACTCCAATTTTAGTATGATCTTGATCAGAAAGGCATAATTTATAGACAAAATTTCAGGATGGGACTTTAGTTAGTGTCTGTACCATGACATCTTTAAAGAAGTTCTGAATTCTCCATTTAAACCTAATGGTTTATTGATTATTCTGAAATTCCAAAAAAGAGCAATAGATTGAACCTTTTGTCTTCCTCAGCCTGCACTAGTAAAAGCAGTAGCCACTGCATTTGGTCCACTTCACACTTTTCAAAGCTGATTCATACTGTGTTTAGTGTGTCTTCGAAAAGACCACTTTTGGCATGGTAATTAGATTCTAAAAATGTAATTACAATAGAAACAACAACAACCACAAAAAACCTTGTGGTTTAATCTCTCCATATTTATGTAATCATTTTAAGATAGTACATAAGTATGGAACTTATAGAAACATACCATTTATAATTGTGCTGCATTTCAGTGACTACTGAGGACAAAGAATTCTTATATAATAAGTTGTTGTGGCTTTTTGGAACCCCAGAGCTTATGTAATCATTATTATAAAAGAAATCTATCATTTTTGTTTTTCATTTGAAGTACAATACTATTATATAACCCATTGGATATTTGTGCTAAATTTAAAACTGTGGTAAATGAAAAATATTTAACTTTGATTTCAAAGCCCATAGGAAGATAGTTTGGAAAATTCAAAATTTATTTCCTTTAACTTTCCTGAGTTCAGCTCTATCTGTCCCTTAGGTAATGATTATGAAGTATGAGCTTTGTACTTGTAGAGCTCACATTAGTGAGCAAGTGGGTTCTGGAAATTACTTTTCTTTACAGTCTTCCTGAGGAGATAGATAACAAGTATTAATGTCCTTTAGCTGAAACAAACTAAAACACAAGTTATGATTGACTGAAGGTTTTATCATCTGTGATTTACAAGGAAACCAACCTCTTGGAATGACTTCTCCTCAGCCTCCCAGATACGCTGGAAGAAGTTGAGAATATTTGGTGAATTAATTCTATAAATGCTTGCTCACTGACTGGGGCCATTTAAAAATAATGAGGAGGAAGATAATTGGTGGGATGTCTTTAAATTTTATGTCTTGAATTTTTTTAAAATCCAGTTATTTGTTCTTGTAGAACATATAATATTTTCATGTTTCTTGGATGAACCAACTGTACACGTTGCTGATTTGGAAGCAGTTGCAGCATCATTTTTCCTACCCAAGGAAAAATTTATAAATAGTACTGATCAGTATCCAATGTGTATTATTTTTTTAGCTGTGACTGAATTGTCTTTAGTGGGTGTATTTTTGGTGTAAAACTACAATGTTGTATTATGATATCTTCTATGAAATAGATTTTAAAATATGTATATTCTAGATGGAAATGTAAAGGATAACATTAGAAAAATGCAGTAAATGGTTAAATATATTCACTCATCCATTCAAATATTCCATCAGTCAGCATTCATCAAGGGCCTACTATGTGTCAGGCACTGTTCCAATAAGAATGTGTTGAAAATGTTCTCTGTCCCAGGAACCATGTGAGGCTTTCCAAATACAAAGTTCATAAAGCACAGCTGTGTTCTTCGGGAGCTACAGATCTGTGCTATTGTGGGAAGCAGAGATGAGTACTTAGCAGCTGATTAGGTCAGGAAAAAGTCCCAAGGTTATGAGGCAATGGTCCTCATAACTATTGGACTGAATTACTTTTATTCGATTCTTAGGCACAGACTATATCTAACATCTAATCATTTCTGGGAATGGCAACAAAGGCAAGCAGGTGAGAAATTTTGGAAAAGAGTCAGTATAGAGATAGCATAAATGCCTTCTTCATGAAACCTTTAGTAGTCAGATTGGTCAAGTACCTCACAAAGCTCATGGATCTGGTATCATACATCTATATCTACATGACTCTCTGTCTGCTGCCTATGCACAGCAGCTCAGAGCTCCAAGAGCAAGGATTCCAAGAGACAGTAAGTGGAAGGTACAAGTCTCTTATGTTCTTATGTCCTTTTTCATTAGAAAAAGGAAAGATAGCAAATAATTTATTTTTTGGAGCCCTCTTTAAAATGTTGCTGTCTGCCTGGCTAGCATGCCAATATACTAGTGATATTTTTAGAACCACATGAAAATCCAAATATAATATAATCGCAGTTCATAAAATAAAATGTACCATTGCATTGATTTTCTGATTTGCACTGTGTAGAAACTTACCCAGTGAATTTTGCCATTCAATAATTGCCCTTTGGTTATCTCTCCTAAAGAGTGTATTTTATGATACACTATTAATGGAGGAAAAGATTACTCTATCAAATGCTGTTTACCTGTTGATCACACTGCTGCTTTACATTACTTAACAAATATTTTTGCATAGTCCTAATGGATTAATTATGCATGTATATTCTATGTATTATACATTGATAGAGATAGCTATAGTAATTCCTGACTTTCTTAAGCTACACAGGAATAAAACTCATTTCTTTACACTTTTAGCGTATATGCGAGTGGATATGTGTGTGGTAAAATAACATCTTCACACATTGCTAGTTTCAGTAAGATAAAATTTCAAGGACGATTCCCTCTTAAGTTTCTAGGTGGTAGAAGATAAGATGCTGGACAAAGGGGACATTCTCATCTTACTACAGTGTATCACACAATTAGGCACTTTATGGGGGATTTTATGTCTTCTGCTAAAATAGCCAGCATTGGACAATTTCAGAAATAGGATATTGGAATGATCAGACCATTGGTCGGTTCTGCTATGGTAACTTGTTTGCCTAAAGAGGGTGATGTTTGTTTGATTTGAATACATGTCAGAAAATAGAGAGTGTTCTTTGTTTCAGGCTTCTTGAATCATCCCGTGCCAGAAACAGCCATACCACAAGATTTCTAGCAAGTCAAAATGCTTCTTTTTCACCTTCTGTGATAAGAGATTATTTAACAATGTCAGAAGATATTTGTAATATGTTACATGGATTAAACAACAGGTTATAAAACAGTATGTACATTATAAATTATAGCCCTTTTATGTTTTACACACAGAAAAAGACTTCATGTGGTACAGTTGTGGTTATGTCTCCAGCACAATCTCTGGTGTAGTTCAAAGAGCCCAGTTTTAAATCCCAGTTTTTCCACTTACTGGAGATGTGATCCTTGACCCTAAGCAAGCTACTAAACATTTCTGGGCCCTAATTTCCTCATTTGCGAAATGGAGACAATGATAGGGTTTGTAAACTAATGATTAAATATATATAAATAATTAGGAGAGTGACTGGTACAGAGTAAGTGCTCAATGTTATTAAAATTATATTACTGCCATGAATGCATAATATTAATAGTACTTATCTTTGGATAATTACCTTAAAAGTGATTTTTATTTTCTTATTTATAATTGTCTGTATTTTCTAAATTGTCTAAAATGCACTTGAATAAAGGTTATGTTATTCAAATAAGAAGAAAAAAGGCGAGTACACTAATTTATACAAGACACCTTCAAGCACAACTTCAGTTATCTTTAACATCTAAAGAGAAACTACTCTGTACCATTCTAATTTTTATTTCATTTTTACCTTTCTTCTTAATGCATTAAAATTGGAATGTTACTAAGTTACTAACATCTGAACAGCTCCACAAAAGTAAGATTAGCAGACAAAAATGCGAGTTGTTTTTTTCTTAAAATATTATTCATGATAAATATTAAGACAGACTTTTATCATTTGTTGTAACTTCATAGGTTTCTTTTTAAAATTAATTACTTATTTCGTTCTAATGTAAAATGAACCACAAGAAAATGAGAAAAGCAAAATTGTATGCTTGAGGGAAAAAAATTTAATAAGTCACTGGTAATTCAATGCTAGTTTGTAAAAGGGAAGGATAGATTTTAACAATTTTCTTATACATTTAATTGGAAAGAAAAACAAGGTTCTTTGTGGTACAACATAAACATACTTACTTTCTCTTTTTAATTTGTTAAGCAAATTAATCAATATAATATGATATATGTGGCTAATAACCATTTAAATCGTTTTTAAATTTTATATTGGCAAGAACACTTAACATGAGATCTACCCTTTTAACAAATTTTTAAATGTACAATGCATTATTGTTGACTAAGCATAATGCTGAAAGCACATCTCTACAACTTATTGATCTTGCTGGACTAAAACTTTATGCCCATTGATTAGCAATTTCCCATTTTTTCCTCCCCTCAGCCGCTGATAATCACCATTCCAGAGTATATGAATTTGACCATTTTATTAAATTTATTAATTTTTTGATAAAATGGATAATTTTTTGATAATCACCATTCCAGAGTATATGAATTTGACCATTTTATTAATTTTTTTCTTAAAAATACTTTTCTTATTTTCTTATCAAAAACAGCATTACATGTTAATTATGGAAATTTTATTGAAAAGTAGACACCGGGAAAGGAGTAAGTATCACTTGTTATCCAACCTCTAGAGATTATGGCATTAGACAGTTTTTGCATATATCTTTTCATTATCTTTCCATACGTGTATATTTCGATTTTTTTTAATAAATGGGATCAGACTGCATGTGGCATTTTGGAACCTATTTTGTTCATTTAGTGATGTCTTTCCAAGTCATTAGCAATTGACTTCACCACTATTTGCGATGGCTTCATGAAGGTTCATAATTAAATGTACTATAATTTTTTTAAATTTTATTTTATTTTAAGTTCCAGGATACATGTGCAGGATGTGCAAGTTTGTTACATAGGTAAACATGTGGTTTGCTGCACCTATCAACCCATCACCTAGGTATTAAGCCCTCCATGCATAGCTATTTATCCTGATGCTCTTCCTCCCACCGCCCTCCCCACCCTGACAGGCCCAAGTGTGTGTTGTTCCCCTCGCTGTGGAATTTGACCATTTTATATACCTCATATGAGTGGAATCATGCAGTATTTATCTTTCTGTGATTGGCTAATTTCACTTAGCACAATGTCTTCAAGGTTCATTCATGTTGACACATATGGCAGAAATTTTCTTCATTTTTAAGGCTGCATAGTATTTCACTGGACGTATACACCACATTTATTTAAATTTAACTTTTAAGTTCAAGGGTACATGTGCAGATTTGTTATATAGGTAAACTTGTTTCATAGGGGTGTGTTGTATAGATTATTTTGTCACCCAGGTAGCAAGCTTACTGCCCATTAGTTATTTTTCTGATCCTCTCCCTCCTCCCACCCTCCATCCTCCAATAGGCCCCAGTGTATGTTGCTCCCTTCTGTGTGTCCATGTGTTCTCATCATTCAGCTCCCACTTATAAGTGAAAACATGCATATACCACATTTTTAATACATTCATTTGTTGACGACAGTTTAGGTAATTTCCACATTTTGGCTATTGTGATAATGCTGCAGTGAACATCCAATGCTAATATTCTTCAAGATCCTGATTTCAATTCTTTTGGATAAATGCCTAGCAGTAAGATTCAGCATTCAGATATTTACTAGCTAATCTATTTTAGTTTGTAAAAATGGCATTTGCTTGAAAATAGCGTACAAATAGAATATCCTAGCCCCTTAGATAATGGGTCATATTATATAGACAAATGAGCTGAAGATCAATCCAGATTTTAGTGTGATGGATATTTTCTCAGTCTTTTTTCTCCTGATTTAATTTTATTAAGTTTAATAATTTTCTTCTCAGATTTAGTACTGTTCTACTCTGATCTATATGTATATATTCACATATATATGAGTGTGTGTGGTGTGCATGTGTGTGTTATAAGGAGCAGCTTGGAGATTCACTTTTTACCTCTACAATATAACTATTATGACTGTAAACTCATGTTGTAATTTTACTTTATGCCGCTTATTATGGAAAACAATATAAATATTTGTAACACTAATATTAAAGAAGGATTTAGCTCTTCTTTTCCCTGGGTTCCATGGTCATAGATCCAAATTTTAGGAGGTGGAAGATTCCATTCCCCTTGGGTTGTGGTTGAGGCAATGCATAGTAGAGAGTGGTCATAAGGTTTTCTGTGCCAAGTTGTGACTAAGGCTAGATCTTGTGGCTGAGACAAGCTTCTCAACCTTCAGCACAATTACTTGAGAATAAAAGATTTCATAACTAGTTTCTCACCATGAAAAGGAACTCACACAAAAAAAGTTTAAAAAAATAGATGACTGTAACAACTCTCCAACTAGCACAAAAATACATTCTTGGTAAAATAATGTCTCGATATGAAAGCCTTTGGGTTTGTACATTGTGAATGGGTTTGTGAATGAAGAATGGATTTTTAATGTGAAAAATGAAGCCAAAATAGACTTAGTATTAAACTTTAAAATACTTTAATGGCTTTTAAGTTCCCCTATAAGGTGGGCCAAGCATTTTCTGAGTAAGGGCATATGAGTATATAATCATTTTATCATCTTTAAAGGAAGGTGTATTTCCTTTTTTCCTTAATGTTGAACATTTAAGATTAGATTCCTGATCAATTACAAGGCACACATATAATTAACATCCAGTGACTAGACCTACGTGGAATGGAGATAAACTCTGTCTGATAAAATTGGGTGACTCCCTCATCAGTTTTTCCTGCCTCAGATATATGCAATGTTATTTCTAATAAGTTCTTCCTCTCTGTATTTCCTGCCTAAATAATCCACCTGCTTCTGAAAAAGATTTGGGGTTCTTTTTGCAAATGTATCATTTTTTTGATATCCTGAATCAGTTTCTAATAGTATTTCTCAGCACAGGCAATAAATTTCACAAATGCTCTGTTTATTAACTAGAAGAATTGCACATCTCATTAGGAATTTTCAAGGAACATATTTTTCTTCCCTGTCGTTTTCTTTTTTCCTAAAAGAACAGATTCACTGTGTAGGAATGGAAGATAATTTGACTGTCTGCATTGTGAACTTGGTAACTTATTTTTGTAAGCAAACATTGGAGAAAAACTTCCAAAACATTTTTATTTAACTGAGTGAATTGGAATGTAAACTAAAGATGATGTTTATTTTATGACATGAAAAAATAATAATAGCAAAAATATGTTAATTTATATTACTTTATAATTTTGAAAATAAACTTTGCTGAATATAATCCTATGTGATTTTTGTAGTCTTGATAGCATTTATATTGTTACTAAGCTGCCAAGAGGTCTTACAGGTTATTAATGACAAACCAAGCTTAGAAGTTATGATTACTGTCAGTGCAATGATATATATCATCTTGATGGTGATTTTGGTTATAAATAAATCATAATGACAGCTCAAAACCTAAAAAATTAGAATAAAGGAAAACCAAGGTTGGTATTTTAAGCAAATGATGAAAAACCTAATCAAAGACTGAAATCTAGACTTTGGTATTTAAACAGCATTCATTCAACTAAAAATTTAAAAATAATTTTAAAATTAAAAAATGGTATTCTTTTATTTTTTCCTGCCCTCTCTACTGTCTTTCTCTCCCTGTAGCTTCAACAAAAAATATCAAGAATTCTCTTATTGATTCTATATTAGGAGTCAAACCAAATTTATAGCTTGGATTTGAAAGAAAAATGTTTAGAAGTCCTGGAACTCTGACTACCAAAGTATATAAATTATGTCACTTCTAGTAAAAAAACTGTTTAGGGAAAAAAGCTTTTTTCTACGTGAGAAACTTTAGTTGAGAGATTATTTTGCATGTGACTTCACATACTTTCTGTAAGAAATTAGCTACACTAAAATCCATGATTTATTGTTGTCTAGCTATGTAAAAGCTTACCAAAGTGGTCCTTGGTTCCTGCCTTTAATAATGGAAGAAAGGGGAGGGAGAAAGGATAGGAGGAGGAAAAAGGGAGACAGAGAAATCAAATTTGTGGAAAAAGAACAGTTCCAAGTGCACCTCAGTGGGCCAAACAGAGCATTCAATACAGTGTATTAACATGGGCTTGAATAATTCAAACTTTCAAACCACAGGAAGAGGCTTTCCAGGGGGAGGAAAAGTCACCGTAATTAAAGCTTCGCTGGCACATGGAGGCAGCTGTATCCTCCGACAGACCGAGAAAATTGGACATGGCCTAATAGCCTAAGAGAACGGGGATGCTGTGGGGTAGCATTGTTTGAGAAGTGTTAGGTTTATTTTGGCGTTCTCCAATTATAAAGTCAATTCTCTGGATACCAGCTTCTTTTACATATTAATGGTCTAACCCTTGGCATATGGCAAGAATGCAGGATTCAACTCAGACTGCTTGAAAAAGGAATAGTGAGTTCAAAGATGCAAAGATGCCAGCGGCTGCATGTTACATTTTTGAGAGGTAGCCTTCAAAGTAAACAAGAAAAATGGGATTTTTTATGTTAATATGTGATTCATTTTAGAAAGAATGTTTCTTCGCTTAGTCTCTCCACATAAGATACTTACAGGTTTCCAAATATTATATACATTTATTATACATACCCATAAACTCATACATACACATACAGTTTCTGAGTTTTATTTAAAGATTATTTCAGTATATACTTTCTTTTCCATAGCAAATTGAAACGCCTACCTCAACTCGCTGCTTTAAAGTGTTCAAAAATCCCAGTTGTTTTTGATTCATCCAAATGCCAAGACTCATCAGCACCTTGCTTTTTTTGTAAAAGGTGCTTATTTTTCCCCTCGAGTGCACTTCCTACTTGAAATTTCCTGCCGTCTCCCAATGTCTTCTGCAAGGATGTTAATTGTCATGCGTGTTTTCTGGGGATTGAATACAGCAAAGGGTTTATCTGAAATAAACAATGCAGTGTGTTCCTGGGGCCCTTGCCAGACTGAGAAAAGCTAAAACATATTGCGGTGTTCCCTTGGGGATTTCACACCATGCCTGGACTAAGGAAGGTGGAAAAAAGAGGGTAGCAGCAATATGTCCTACTTCCTCTTTTTCTTCTTGACAGCAGAGTTTAAAAGCTTACCTCTCTCTCCAAGTTTGATTTCCCACTTCCTCACTATCCCTAACATCAGTGTAGTGGTGAGCTGTTTTCCATGTGGCCACAGGTGATTGGAAAATAGGCTTGGAAAACAAGGAATCCGAAGTCTACATCTCCAGGGAGAAAAGAATTTTATTGTTGTCAAGCTATGTAAAAGCTTACCAAAAAGCATTTGTAACCTTTTAAAGAAACTTTTCACTACATTTAGGACAACCTTTAAAACTATCAGGACAAAAGTGTGTTATACAGAACCATCATTCCAAGAATTAGATCTGACACTATACAACTACACTGGCATACTTTGTAAAGTACAGCTCATTTAAAATCAGTTATTTTAATTGAAGATTCTTGTTACATGTTATTATGTAAGTTATACTACGGACTAAGGATGCGGTAACATGAAGTAAGTGAAACACTGAGATACATTGGAAGGGATCAGAGATGGAGATATGGTACGTTATTTGGGGAAATGGTCTACCATATCCTAGAATATATCTTCTTATTCTGAATTCCAAAATTAAATGGTATCGAAACTCTTACTTTCATGCTCAAAATCTGCTTCTAATAAGAACTTGGCCAAACTTATAAGGCTTATCTTTCTTATAAGCCTTACTTACAAGGCTACTATCTTATGTTAAAGAAGCAGAAGTGTGTGCCCTCAAAAGGTACCACAAACCCATTGACGTGAAGCTTACATTTACAGATTGCAATGTTAGTTCGATGATGATTTGAGGTTTTATGAATTTATTACTTATTTATTACTTCAGCTCTGTCTACAGCTGAAGGCGCCCTACTTTGGTTTTAATGCTGAATCGTGAATAAGCAGGTCAGATTACCTTCAAAGGCATACAAATTGAAATCAGATCTCTGAAGGCTCATCCAAAGGAGAAGAGATGAAGTCTCTTATTTACTGCCTTTAGAAATATCTTACTTTTGAATGGGGAAAATAATTGTACTGAAATCAACTTTAAATACACCATTTATGATGTGTAAGGCAGCAAAATGTAGTCAGAAGTAACTTAATAGTTTAACATTCAGTAACCATCGTTATGCCACTGGAATGAGTCTTTGACGAACTGGATTTGGAATAACTCCTGCTGGCCCAGATTCTCTTTCCCAGCAATGTGTCCCTCTGCCTGTTGGAAGAGGGCGTACCTCCTGAATCTTAGCCTGGGGCCAGAGCCCTCATCTTACCTGTTGAAAGGCTATGTGATGCTGACCCACAGTCTCCTTTCAGGCTCAGCTCACTAGGCCCCTGTTAAATCTTTCTTAACTTTCATGGCTGCCATCTCCTGCCCTGTATCACCCCCTGTATCCTGGGGTAGAGTATCCCATTGTGCTCAGGAGCAAGTGAAATCACCCTGAACAATTTTACCTTTTCCACATTCTTTGTGTTTTCTTTCCCTCTGCCTGGAATACCTTTTTTCCAACATCTTCCCCCACACCTCATCCCCCACTCTCTCACACATCTTTATCCTGGAAAACTCTCACTTTTTTCAGGTATCACTTAGATATCACTTCTTTGGGAAGCCCTCCCAGGCTGGCTTGGCCTCCCTTCCTGTATCCTTTCCTAGTTCCAGTACCATGTAATTTAGCTTTGGTCCCATTTATCATTCTGAATTAGAATTACCTGCCCATTTCTGATCTGTATGGGAACCTTCCTAGCTACTCCATAATATTGGAGGTCAGGGAGCAGGATTCACCATGATGTTTCTACCACTTGTCTTAGTGCTTCTACATAGTAATATCTCAGTAAATATTTGTTGAATGAATGAGCACACTGTTTGGAGCCAGCTTGTCCAAAATCTCCCAACTTCTGGAAGGTAGCCCTTCCTCTCCCACCAGACCACTGCCCTGCTGCAAGAGACATGTCCTATATCTGGTACTCCTACTTCTGCTCCTTCCTTTCAAGGTAAATCCAGCCATACCGGGGCCATGTCCTGACCATAATGAGGAGGTTTTCAGGAAGCAATAAAATGGGGACAGCCTTCAGGAGCTAATAGAAATGTGGGGACTGTCCAGAATAGAGAACACCCCCATTTGGCATTTTTATCATTTAGATCTCACTGCAATTGCAACAAAAATCTGGGACAGCTTTGTTAGATGCCATCACCGCATGGTCTAGATTTAGAACTGTGTATAACACATAAAGCACAGATTCCACCTATTTTTCTCTAAATAGAAAGAACAGGTTATAAAGTTGAAATTTTGCTTCTGTGGCAGAACCCCATGGTGCAATTTACTGCTCCTTATTTCTCTTGTACTATATTAAGAACAAACACGATTTATAGGGCATTTCCTGAAGCAGCACTTTTACATTTTAGTAACATTGCATATACTTGCTTTTGCTTGTACAGACAGAAATACATTCCTGCTTTCAATTCAATGCTGATAAACACACAAGCACACACATCTAAATATTGGCATAGATGCTGATTTTTTTTAAAAAATACGAACTTGGAATATTCCTGAAGTTTTAACATACTTAAGTAGCTCCAGATTTCTTTGTCTAATTGCCAACTAAAGAAATTGACTACTTGTTGCCATTAAAGGTTGATTAGCAATCCTATAGTTTACTGCCTATTTATCTAAGTGGAATTGATGCAGTAAAGTAGAAAAAGAGTGAATAAAAGGAGTTTTCTTCTTGAAGTGCTTGATTCTTTACCAAGCTTGGGAGCTTTTCCTGAGTGGTGACTTACTGATAAACTGATTGTTAGCTGCATTCTGTCGTTTGCTGTGGAGAACACATTTCCATCTGGTTTTCGAAAGGAATCCTTTGAGATCTACATGTGTGCATGAAATTATATGCAGAGAAAAAGGTATGTTCCCCTAGCCTTCGTCTTTTTTAATATAAATTCACTCAGAGGTTCTTATCACTCCCTGTCTGTTTAATTTCTACTTCAGCAGTGTGCTTCCTCTCACCCAACCTGCCCTCAGCCTTTGGCTTTCTGGAAATTAGTATGCAGTAATCAGAATGCAGCTGACCAAAAATTAAAACCCTGGAGATTTATTATGAGTTCATGGTCCCTCACTTTACTGGACTTTTAAAGAATACTGAAGTATCAGTATTTTAGAAATAAATATGAAAAGACCTCACATTTCTCTTAATTTCTAAATTCTCCTCCACTTTCATTTTATTTTGTTGGACTTCACTATTTATTTGGGAGAAATTTTTCTGTTCTTTTTGACTCTAACCTTCTAAGAATTGTTAAATTTGCAAGCAAAATTATGCAGAAAATGTAACCTTAAGGCAGAAAAATTAATAATAATGACAAGAAAAAGAATAATGCTTTAAATTGCCTACATTCAAATTCAAGAAGTAGAAGAATTGAACAGCAAGGATTTCTATTGATTTTGACATTTATTTTTTATTACAGCATGGTGTTCATTTATGGAGCTATATAAATCGCATAAGAATAATTGAAGAGCACATGTAAACCTGCTCCTTTGCCCCTTTTGGGTTTCCTCCCTCATGACTTAACCCGAATGTCAGGAAGCAGCTGTCAGTCATGAGTGGCAGTGTTTAATCACCTATTGTTTCTCCCACTAACCTGCCCCCTCAAAGCCCATCGCAGGTGGCCTTCATCAAAGGTAAGTAATGAGAACCACAGAGCTTTGTCATCAGTGATAATTAGGGTGACCATTTCATGTTTGGAAAATTTTAACATACATTTTAAAATGACAGAGTAAAAAAAATAGTCATCTTTTTGTTCCTTTGTAATTACAACTATAACCTCGACAAGGCAACCTGCAATGAGAGCATTCTTGCTCAAGAAGGGATATAAGAATAACTCTCTGGAGCTAACTCTTTTAAAACGACCTTGAATAATATCTGCATATGGCTTTTCCCGAAGTTAGTGAAATTTCCACATGTGTACTCAAGTACGGAGCAGTTTAGAATACATTCCCTTATCGGGAACTATTTCCCCTTCCCTTTGCCTATGAAATAAATGTTTTGTGCAAGAAGCATTATAACCCATGAATGTATCCATTAACTCCAGAGATACAAATGGAATGGGAAAAAGGAATGGGGAAAAAGTTAATATTTGCATTTATACAAAAAAATTTATGACTGTTATAATTACTGTTACTGTCTGTATAACTTCTGTTGTAAGCAGCAGTGTATTAGGTTGGTGCAAAAGTAATTGCGGTTTTTGCCATTAAAAGTAATGTCAAAAACCGCAATTACTTTTGCACCAACCTAATATTTCCTCTTGTAAAGAAGCAAAAGAAATATAATTTATTTTTTCCTTTTCCTAGTTCTGCTTATTACTTATCCACCATGGGCAGACAATACCATATTGATACTCTAACTCAGAAGAGCCACTCTTGGGTTACAGAATTTAAACAAGAATTAAATCAAGAATTAAAAAAAAAAACAGCTTTAATAATGTATCATCCTTATAGAGGAGGAAGTGATTCTGCAAATATTTGAAACGTTAACCTGAAAAACCATGAATCTTGTGGTATGTGGTCTTATAAACAAAACAAACAAAAACCCCAAAATACTCTGACTATAGAATTTCCATTGAGGTGAGAGAAAGTCAGACTGGGGAAAGGGTAAAGCTGAAAAGTCATATTGATGTTCATTCTTTGCCAAATGCACCACTCCCTTCCTGTTGTAGCTTCCTAATGCAGCCAGATGATCATAATATCTTCCAACAAGATCTAAACTAATCCCATGCTGACCATCGTTCCATTATTTCCTTACATAAATACAAGGATATAGGAAAGAGCAAATATTTTATGCAAGGTAGGTTATGTGGATCAAGTAGGAAAAAAGGAACAAATGCATATGCTTGAAAAATAGGCCTTTTGTGCCAATTAGACCCCAATTGTTGCTGTAGAAACTGTCCTATATTTTATAAAATATGAGTTAAAGAGTAGAAAATTGAAAATGGAGTGCTGAGTCATTTAATATATTTCATCTGGAAACTTTCACCAAAATTTGAGAGTTTTTTTGTTTTTTTGTTTTTTTTTTTCCCACACTCTCATAGCTTTTGGAGATTTAGCTGTAGCAGGTCATGGGCTAATTTATGTAAATGGAATTTGTACTCATACAAAAAAATGCTTTTTGCTTTTTAATAGCTGATCAGAAGATTACTCTTATTATGTGTAAAAGCATGAGTTACCCATTGATTACAAAGATACTGAATACTTATTCACTTACGATGCCAATATTTAAATGTTAATTCATTTAACCAATAAATATATAAATAACATTTTATGTGCATGGCATATGAAGTATTATAAGCACATTCAGAGCAAGGTATTAATTATTAGCATGTCTTTTACAGCGTAGTACTCTAGGATGTCCAATGAACTGAGAACCCCATAGGTCAATGATTCTAATCCCAGCTCTCTCACCTTGAGAGTCACTTAATTTATTTAAACTTTGGTGTTATTAAAGAACTAACATAAGCATAGTAAAGGGTTTCCAATTTCCCCCCTTGCCTTCTATGTGCCTTTTATTTGGGGTGGGGTGGGAGGGCAGCTAGCCACCTCTCCAGCCCCATAAATTTTGACCAGCCTATAAACAGCTGTCAGAAAATAATTTTCGGGTGGTGTTTGAGATTGTGCTAATAACCTCAGGCAAGGGGCATGGAAATGGGAAAGGGGCCCAACCTAAATTTCCATTAAAGTTGAAAACTGATGCCTAAGCCCAAACTACGAGGACTTTTTCCTATCACAGAAGTCAGCAAACTATATAGCCTGTGGGCCAAAGACCTGCACCAGGTTTTGTACATCTCAGAATTGAGAATGGTTTTTATACTTTTAAATGGATGGGGAAAAAATTAAAAAGAATAATATATTGTGATGTGTGAATATTATATAACATTTAAATTTCAGTACCTGTAAATAACGTTTTGTCAGAACACAGCCATACCTATTCATGTGCTGTGGATGGCTGCTTTCATGCTATAATGGCAGAGTTGAAGAGTTGCTGCAGAGTCCAAATGGTCAAATAACCTAAAACATTTGCTATCTGGCCTTTTACAGAAAGTTTCCTGATCCCTACCCTATGCTATAAAAACCCTAACCTTGTTTTAGTTGGGAGCCACCTGGTCATCATGTACTCCCTGATGCACATGTGCTGACAAAATCCTCCATGTGAGTCACTTAAATCATTCCCTTTTTCACAGTTTCTGTATGTATTGTAAGCATAAAATATATACAAGAAGGTGTTAATGTAAAGTTTAGTAACACTGTGTGAAGCACTAAAGAGAATGCTTGGCACAAAGGGACAATGTTAGCTACTACTGGTATTTAGTTGTATAATTAGTTATATGTTTATTGACTTAATAAACATATATTATGTTCTTTTTATTTATAGTTTATAGTCAGGGAACTAGTAGGTGCTAAGGAGCATGAAGATGACTCTGACACATTCTCAGACTCCAAGGTACTTAAACTCTGGAACATACCTAGATAACAACAAATGCAAAGTAGAATATTGAGTCATAAAGAATTGTAGATAAAGTATTATGAAACTTAGAAAGCAAGAGAGGGGGAGAAGGGAAGTCAGGGAAGGCCTCTAATCCCAGCTCTGTCACCGTGTATAGTCAGGTGTATAGTTGTGTAGTTGTATACATAGTTGTATAGTCAGGGAACTAGTAGAAGGGAAATCAGGGAAGGCCTCTAATCCCAGCTCTGTCACCTTGTATAGTCAGGTGTATAGTTGTATACATAGTTGTATAGTCAGGGAACTAGTAGGTGCTAACGAGCACAAAGATGACTCTGACACATTCTCAGACTCCGACACATTCTCAGACTCCAAGGTACTTAAACTCTAGAACATACCCAGATAAATATTTGAGCTGATCTTGTCCTTCACCTTGCTGCAACCACTCTTAAAGCCATAAAGTCTTCAAGCTTTCTCATGTCCAATACCTGAATATCCTTTATAATCTCAATTTCAAGTACTGCATCCTTAACTGCCACTTGTCTTTCCATATGGCTCCCTTTATTATTCCAATTTCAGAAATTTCTAGAGGCCTGTGATCCATTGATTCTTTATCTTTTCACTGTCACTTACTCTTTTATCTTTACTTTACTCCTACCAGCTTAAGAGTGTCATTCAAATTAGTTTCTTCCTTATAACCTCAGTTCCATCCATAACTAAACACAACTCCTAGTTTATGTGAGGCCTGCTCCCTTGCAGACCAACCTTTCTAGAGAAAAACACACAACCGTGCTGACTATTATCACTTTACATTGGTGATCACTAACTTCAAGGGATCCTTAGTGCTGCCCAGAAGCCATGGTATATTTCCTGAGTCCGTCATCAGCCTCTCTTCTCAAAACTCCACATATCTTCTCTATTGTCTCTCTCCGCTGATCTCCTTTCCTCTTATTTCATTAAAAATAGAAGCATCAGAAGAGAACTTCCAAAGATTTCACCAGCAGAACCATTTGGCCCCAAGCCTTTGTGCCTGCATTCTCTGTCTTCTCCTCATTACTCTGGGTGAACCACCCATGCTTCTACCTGAGGCCACCATGTTGTCACTAGATCCCATTCCCTTGTACTTACCCATGAGAACTACTCCACCAGTTCTCCCCTCTTCATGTTACACCATCAAAATGTCCCTCTCTACTAGATCTTTCCCACATATGTAAACATGGTTATTTCTTCCATCTATAATTTCTTTCTTCTTTGCCCTACTTCTCCCTTCAGCTACACCCCAATTTTTCTTTTGCCTTTTAGAGTAGAACTTTTCTAAACAGCTGTGAGGACTCTATCTCCAGTGCCTCTTCTCCCCTCTCTTGGACCACCCTCCCCAGTCAGGCTTTCACCCCACAACTCCCCTGAAACTGCTCTTTCAGCATCACCCATAACTACATCTTGCACATACAGAGGTCAGTTCTCATTCCTCATCCAATTTGACCTATTGGCATTTGACACAATCAGTTACTCCATTTTTCTTGAAACACTTTTTGTTTGCACTTGACTTTCAGGAGGCCATACCCCTCTAGGTTTTCACTTTCCTAACGGGCTGCTCTTTCTCTGCATCTTGTTTATTTCTCCTCATGTCCCTAACCTCTTAGAGTGTCATAAGGCTCAGACGCTGGATGTCTTTTCTTTCCTCTTCTCACTCCTTTAATGATTTAATCAGTCTTATGGCCTTAAATACCATCAATAGGCTGATAATTTTCACCTGGACCTCACCCTAGCGCTCCAGGCTCAGATGCAACAGATTATATCACTTAGATTCTAATAAGCATCTCAAATTTAAAGATCCAAAACAAATCCCAATTTTTCAGTTAATTCTCTTCCAGCACCTTTTCCCATCTCAGTAGATGGTAATAGTGTCCTTACAATTGCTTAGGACAAAAGGGTTTTTCTCTCATACTTTACATCTAATTCATCAGGATTACCTTGTTGGCTCCATATTCAAATTTGACCACTTACCCCCTTCTCCACCATTATCACTCTTTCTTTTGCCACAATAATCTCTCAATGGCATTATTTCATATCTTTCTTTGTCCTTTCCTCTGCCCTTGTTCCCTAAAGTTAATTTTCAACACAGCCAGCATGATCCTTTTAAAATTAAATTTAATCGTGTCACTCCTTAAAATCCTCCAATGGCTGGCCATTTTACTCAGAGTAAAAGTAGAATCCTGGCTGTGACTTGCAAGGCTGCTGTCATTCCTTCCCCCTCTCTCGTATGTCTCTGAATGTATCTTCTGCTACTCTTACTTCACTCCACTCTAGTCAGACACTGTCCACTTTGTGTCCTCAAATATTTACACTTTAAGGCCTTTGCACCGGCTGATGCCTGGCATTTTCTTCCCTCTGTTATCTGCATGCCTTGTTCCTTCACCTCATTGATCAAATGTCATCTCAGTAATTGCCCTGCCCTGCATGTGTTGGTAGAGAGAAAGGAATTTGTAGAGGAATCCCAGGGGTCTTTGTGGAGGTCCCACGTGGATCCTGGGCTGAAGGCTGGGCTCAGGGAGAACTCTCCTGTGGCTTAGCAGTAAGTGACTATGTACTATGGAGTTGAAAATGGAACAGCAGCACTGGAAGACTTTGGTGTTCCATCTTAGGCAGGTTAACATCTTCGCACCTTGTAATCACCTCCAACATCTAATGCAACATTAGAAAGGCTATGCCTTAGGTTTAGTACCATACCCTTCTCTGCAAAGCTTAAAAACATGTGTGTCAAGATTCCTTAGAAGGGGAGATAATCTTTCAAAGTTAAGTCTTGCCCTGTTAGAGGGGATTGAGAGACACCTTGACCTTTTTACACATCTGTCCTAGACAATGTCAAGGTGATCATCCAGTAATTAACTGCCTACTAGAATAAAATGAACACTCCTCAAAGGGAGAACACAGACTCCAGAACCTTTACAACATATCGTCTACCAAATCTAGGATTCAATCCAAAATTCTGTACATGTAAAGACATAGGAAAATGTGGCTAACAATAATGGAAAAGAGTTAATAGAAGGTGACTCTTAGGTGACCCAGAAGTAGGATTTAGCAGACAGACTTTAAAGAGCCTATGATAAATATGTTCAAAAAATTAAATAAATATATGTTCAAAGAAGTGTAGCATTAGGATATGGTTGATACAGTGGCTCACCAGTGTCATCCACTATCCATCCAACACTGTCATTTTTCTGCTTTGCTAATATATTGAGAACATATTTATAGCATGCCAGGAAAGATGGAAGATTTGAGAAAAAGAAGGAGGACTTAGTGGGCCACGGTCCTCCTGCAGACAGGTGGCAATCATAGAGTGGAAAATGTAGAATTTGTTTTGGAAAGGAGAGGAGAGAATTCTTCCTCTGAAGTGAAAGAGAAGGAGAAAATGAAAATATTTATCTTAATACAAAGGCTTATCTTAAATATATAGCTTAAGGCAGAAAGAATACTAATTGGGATGTCATATTGAATGAATTCAATCATGTGGGAGGCAATGAGGGGATAAAATTGAGGAAAATTTTTAAAAAATAGGATACAATTGTAAGGGAAGAGATACTGAGTCAGCAATAAATAAACTAGATTTTTGCTTTAATTTGAAGTTGTAACTTTCTTCTTAGGTATAGAATATATATTTCTGAAACATAAGCCTCCCCAGAGCCTGGATTAATTATATTTCTAATTTATTAGAAATATAATTTCTGTTCATCCAGGGCTAGATTATATTTCTTAAGAGCTGTTTGATTTCTACTCTAAATGAATTTGTCAATTCATTTATTTCATATATACATAATCTCACTTACTGTGTTTAAGAATCTCCAAAAATTATAAAAGAGAAACAGGAATTGGTAGAGATTAGTAAGAAGAAAGAAAAGAAACCAGGGAGTGGGCCTGATGAGATGGCAAAATTTGGTCTCCATGATCAATTGAGAAACAACATACACCAGAACTGAGCAGCAGAAATCAGCAAAGGCAACTGGAAGCCAGGTTTTAACTACTACAAAGAACTTTGTAACAATTAGACCTGTCCAAGTGGACTTTCTCCTATTATTAGTTAATGGAAATACTCAAGCAACAGATAGACATCATGTCTCTGTGTTACTTTAGAGGAAATTTATATTGTGAATGGTATTTAATAGACAGCCTCTAAGATCCCCTCTGATTCTACGATTCTATGATAACCTATTATAATAAGTCTACTTGGGGCATTTTTAAAAAAAAAACATGGAACCTAAACAAAATTATATTGATTTAATTTCTTTTTTCTCCACTTTTCTGTGATAATTGTTAATCTGCACCACCCATTTTTGGTAATATTGCTTTTTATATGGCTAATCCCAACCCTTTTTATTTTTTGTAATGAGAACAAGCTTTCTGAATTCATATTCAGTGATAAAAATGTTATGACAGAATCATAGGCTTATCAACTTAGAGCTGGACAAAGCCTTAAAACTCACACAGGCAGACCTCCACATTTTTCAGGATGAAAAAGTAAGTCCTAGAGAGGCTAAGTGTGCTACCCAAGTTCACGCTGCATAGAACCTCCCTGCATCCCATTCCAGAGCTGTCTCTACAGCATATGCTGCCTCCTGCCCATTTAAGTCAATTTAAATGAAGCTTTCTGCAGTGTTTTTATTTAAAATATGTAATTTATTTCAGTACTTTAGGATCATGTCAGATGACTAGGAGCATGCATCAATTTGTACCAAAATGAAATTTTATAATGCAGTCTAAAAATGCAATTTATTTTAGCAGTTTCCTCTTATACCCGGTTTAAAGATTTTTTAATGGATTTTTTTTAAAAGTTCCTTCTTATATTTTCACTGAAATGGAAATCAATGAAATCATAATACTTTGAAATAATGGTGTGGATGGAATGTTTTCATTTGCAATAGACTAATTAAATTACTTATTTTGTCATTATAACTTGCCTTTATATTAGCAAAATTGGCAGTCTGCCTCATTAAGCTGCATTTGAGAAGGGCATCTTCTTTTTTCTCATTTACTAATTCAGAATACAAGAATTCTCAGCATCATATCAACTTTTCCTGACATCGTCCACAGACCACTCTGGTGCCAGACGACGTGGTGCCACCGCAGCTAATCTGATTAAAGCTCAAAAGCTAAATAGTATCTGGTAATGCTAGATCAATACTAGCACTGGAAGGGTCAATTTGAGCATAAGCCCAATGTTTTCTCCTCCCATTGACTGATCATGGAGGCATAGATGATGGCCAAAAGTGACTGATTACTGGATAAATATTAAATCCATTATCAAGCCAGTGAAAGGCTGTGTGAAAATGTGAGTCACTCTAGCCCTGAGGGTCTTGGTTTTGTCATCTATAAACTGAGGGGATTGGACTATATGATCTCCAAGGATCTTCTAGTCTAAAATTATATTAATGAACCTACAATAGCCCCTGGGGTGTGCTGATAACCAGAAATTGTATGGGCAGCCGCCAAACAGCACACATAGCCAAATGGACTCTTGTATATTTCATTATTATTTAATCTCCTTTCTAAGGTTTCTACCCTTGCTTCAATCACCAGAGAAAATTGAGTATGTTGGGAATGAGCTTATGATGCCATATGGTGGAACTGAAGGGGGAAATGGCTGTTGTTTTCTAAATACACTGAGTGCAGTGGTTCTTCAAATTTTATGGTTAACCCTTTGAGAATATGATGAGAACTATAAATTGTCCCTTCCCAGAAAATTACACAACTATTCAAATTTTGCTTTAGCTTCTAGAGCTACCTGAATCTGTCTCCCTTTAAATATCCCTGGTTTCATGCATGGTCTTACATATGGTGGGGTTTTCATAGAGGTACCATAATATGATAGAAACAGGATGAGCACTGAATCAGATCTCCACTCTCTGTTACATAAAGCTGTGTGATATTAGGTAAGATGGTTAATCACTGTGAGTCTGTTTTCTTACCCACAAAATGGAAAGATAACTCCTTCATCACAGGATTGTGGGGTTATATGAGATAATATGTGTACATTGCCTAATACCGTGCTTGACACATAGGCATTCAACAAGTTTGTTTCTTACTTCTTTTCAAAAATGTGACTAGCTTATACTTTAGGTGAGGTTTTAGAAAGCAACTAATGAACTGTTTTAGAATCATAAAATGTTAAGTGTTGGAAGGTAGCAGTCTAATAGCCCATAACATCCTTAACCCTTATCATAACTTTCGCAACTTGAGATATTGGAGAGCTAGCATGAGGAATGGGCAGCATCTTCAGAGTCCCACCACCTCCTCTCTGGCATTCAGTGACCTTCTGTGGTCAGCTCTGCCTCCAATGCAGGGCTCCATCCAGACCAGGAATGACCTCAAGCACCAGCCTCCTCTCTTGCACTTGTCAAAGCCCATCTATCCTGTGTTTCCATCCCTCTATGCCTCACTCTCTCACCTACTTTGAGTTAAAGTGCTAACAATGAATAATAAAACACTCCTTACTGCATCTCCCTTTTAACTGCTGCCTTCAGTTCTTGTTATACAAAGAAATGACGAGCTGCAAGAAATGGCCTAACTGTTCATTTCTGAATTGTTGCTAATCTATCAGCTAGCTATGAGTATTCCTTCTTTCATATTTTGGGAAAAGAAGAATGATAATTGGTCAGCGCTCATACTGTATTACACATGTCTCTTCTTGTTGCTGTGTTAGGATGAAAATTAAAAAGGAAACAGGTTTAAAGTATTGATTATAAGAAATACTAGGTAAGGGCCCTCTTAGGAAATATATACTGTTTCCATCCTTTGTAGTTATTTTCTATTCCTCAAAGTCAGGAGGAAGAGCAACAATGGCAGAGTTAAACTGGGCAGATCTGAGCTGGCTACCCTTTTAGCTTTAGTGCTTCTTATTCCAAGAATAAGAATACCTTCTATACCAAATCTCTAAGAGAACTGAGTAAACCCGTATACCTGATACATCTACACTGCATTGTGGAGGAGTGGAAACTGCACAAATGGTGGCAATGAAAGCCATCCAAGAACTTGGGGTGTAGTATGAGTGCCTGAGCCACAGACAGACAAAGCCACAAGGCCAGTGAACCAGAGGAGGGAAGTCCCCTGCCCAATCATAGGTTGAGGAAGTGGGCATTCATGGTTGTTTGGCAGAAAGCTCACGATGTATATGTGGTGCACAAACTTAATGTTGCGAATGCATATCTGTACACAGGGAAAGATGATAAATTTTGTAAATAGATTTTTTTTGTAATCATTAAGTGTGTCCATAGATACTTGGATCATGAGAACTAGAACAGGGGAGGTTAATAATAAAAGTTTTTCTAGGAAAGATATCCAAGAAAGAAGTCTATATTTTCTGAAACTAGTGACCCGGAATTCGAGAAAGAGTATACTGATGTAGATACTGTACAAAAACCAGATTGCTTGTTCTACCTGGCTTCTGGATGCCATGGCCCACTCTCTCAGGCCCTCTGGAATTCTAAAGACCAACTGCAACTTGGCCAAATTGGCTGTTTGGTTGGTTCTACTTGTTCCCTGGATTCAGCAAATTGTTCCTCTGTTCAAAATCCCTACCTTATAAATAAAGAAGTAAGTACTCCAACTCTAGACGCTAGATTTATGCTACCCCGATTCTAGGAAGGGTGCTTGTGCCTTGTGTTCTCCATATCTGATTCTCTGCTCAGTTCTCTGGGATCTGTCATCTGCTTCACCCTTCCTCACCTCCAGGCCCAGAGCACTTGGGACACCCTATTCTTAACATCCTGCATAATGGTGGGAAGTGGTAGGTGCTAAGCACCTCTTATTTTTAGCTGTACATTAGCCCTTTTATTGGTGCTTCTTGTCATGGCAAGTTACAAACAACCCCACCTGAAGATTTTCATCTAACAGATTCCGGCTTCAGTGGAAATTGATCCCCTTTAAAATGGGTACCTTTTCTTATTGAAGCAAGTAGCTAGATTATTAATGCAAAAATAATTTTATCACATAGACTCATTTTTATCACTTCCATTCTTATCATTATTAAATTAGCCTTTAATAAATCTTTAGTTATTTGATTTTTTTCCCATACCTCCTGATAGTCCAATGTGTTTTGTGTCACGATTGCCATTTCTGAGATTCCCTGTCAAGTCAGAAGTGACTATGTTTTGGGCAAAGGCTGGCATTTTTGTATGTGTGTGCAGAGGCAAGACAATAATAAGATGCAATAAAATGTGAGAGCCAAGTGTTCTCTGCAGACATGAAAACAACAGGTACCAAAAAGTGTATCTTGAGGGCAACCAAACATATTTTTTGCAATCGAAACTGAATTTTCCCCCAAATATATTTGAACTTTGAACTAATATTTGAGTACTGAGTATGAACCAGAAGCTTAGCTTGGCCAACCACTTTAATAATATCAGAAATAGGTGTTCTGTAAACTTTTTAGTGCCTCTTGATCAATAAAAGTTAGAGCAAACATATTATTTGCAAAAAGCTGGTACTTGTCACTTACCACAAGTTCTTGGTGATATATATGTCTATGATGAAGAAAAATAGTGGCAAATTATTGTTCTTGAACCTGCATAAGTATTAATGTTGTTTTCTGTTCTTCGTAATTTGATGTACTTCTGATAATTTTTGAAAAATAAACCCACACATTGCATTTTAAAATAAAAAGTGACAATCAGCAATTGTTTTTTCTTGCTTCTCTCATGAACAGACAACTGATACAGAGAGTTAGCTAATGCCTCACTATTTAACTTAGCAAGTTTGAAGTGAAAAGAGAGAAGTTTTGACTCCATTTACTTCTCAAAACTAACTTTATATAATTTTATCTTAAATTTTTTGCCAAATGTTTCCTAATTTGTTAACCTTATCTCTGAATTCAAGCATTTTTCTCTTAGTCAAATTCAGGGCATCAACAAGCCTAAGAGAAGAGATACAAATACGTGATATATAGACAAGTTTTTCATCATTGAGTTTATGATAGCAAAGGTCTACAGGCAATCTAAATGTCATCAATAAAGAATGAGTTAAATAAATTTTTGGATATGGCATCGGTAGTTGACAGTATCATTAACTGAGAGAACAGAATATAGGAAGCAAATCTTAAAGCAGAGTGTGTGATGAATTCAGTTTGGGATCCTTGAGTTTTAGGTTCCTGTGGGATATTTGGGTGAAACTGTCTATCAAGCCATTGGCTATAAGATCAATTTCTGAGGTTGGAATTAGGTTTCAATGTGGGAGTCATGGACATATAAATGAGAGTTTATTCATAAGTCCAAAAGAGATCACCCAGGGACAGCATGCAGCAAGAGAAGAAAAATGAACCAGAGATAGGGTGCTGAAACACACCAAGAATGGATTGGCAGGGAAGAGATGCCCCAAAAGAAGTTTAGAAAATGCATTCAGAAAGGACAGAAAAGAACCAGGAAAGAGAGATGTCATGGAAGTCAAGGAGTAGAGGGAATAAGTAGCCAAATGTGTTAGGTATATTAGTAAGATGAAAATTAACAAATCTTCATTAGATTTGGTATGAAGGTCATTGGTAATCTTGGCCAGGGATTTTCACAGGAGTCCATCCTTTTGCTAGAACCCGTGTCCTCTTGCTTGCTTAAAAACTTGCCTCCTTCGGTTTTCCCATCATTCTCCTGCAACACAGCCTTTCTTTGACTGGATTATTGCCATCATAGTGAGCTTCTATCTTCAAACTTGACCCAGGCTCTCCCTCCAGCCACTACGTTCTATCTCTGCTTTCACAGTGAAGCTACTTGAAAGAAGTGTTTGTGTATGCTCTCCCTGCCATCTAGGATCCAATTCACTCATTAACCCACTGAAGGTTAAGATCTGCACCATTACCTCCCCCAGCTTTCTGCCAGTAGCCTTCAAGCAGCCAAACCCCACACACGTGTTTTAGACCTCTCAGCAGAGTTACACATCATCAACCACTTTCTCCATTTTGATACATTCTCTTCTCTTGTGACACCATAATCTTTTGGCACCCTTTCTGCCTTACTAACAATTCTTCCTGGCCGGGAGGTGGCTTAAACCTGTAATTCCAGCACTTTGGGAGGCTGAGGCCAGAAGATCTCTTGAGGCCAGGAGTTTGAGAACAACCTGGACAACACAGCAAGACCCCATCTCTACCAAAAAATAAAAATAAAAATTAGTTGGGTGTGGTGGCATGCACCTGTAGTCCCAGCTACTCAGGAGGCTGAGGCAACAGGATCACTTGAGCCCAGGAGTTCAAAGCTGCAGTGAGCTATGATCGTGTCACCGCATTCCAGCCTGGGTGACAGGGTGAGACCCTGTCTCAAAAAACAAAACAAACCCCAACTCTTGCTCTGTATTCTTTGCTGACTTCTTATCCTTTCTTCAACTTTCAAATATCAGTTTTCCTGGATTTTTCCCTGGAAACTCTTCTCCTTACTTTGTAAACTTTCCTCATAGGTGATCACATATGATACTGGACTTTCAAGGCATCCCATAGACTCTTAGGTTTACAACACTAGTCCAAGCTTTTCACTGAACATCTGATAGGCACATCCCTACTTAATGGAATGAACATGAAAAACTCTTACAAATAAGTATAAGAAGAAAAAAGAAAAAGAGACACCACATTAGGAAACTGAGAGAGCAGGAAAAGGTGAAAATGTCCAATAAGCACATGAACATCTATTCAACCTCACTCATAATCAAAAATCAAAACTAAATTTCACTGGGCAAGATGAAGATGAAATATAATACATATTATAATGAGGAATGTTGAAGAAATTTGCTCTTCTATGCAATATTGGGGGCAATAACTCTGCATTTAGAAGTACAGTTTGTAAATATGTATCAAAACGTAGATTATACGTGTCCTTTTCCACAATGTTACGACTTTCAGAAATGCATCCTGAAATAATTTCATAAATGCATGCTATGCAGACATGTTTTTCATCATTGAGCTTATAAGAACAAAGGTCTAGAGGCAATCTAAATGTCAATCAATAAAGAATGAGTTAAATAAATTATGTATTATCTGCATATAAGGATATCATACACATAGTAATGTGGCTCTACATTTATTTTTAGAAATAAGAGCAATACTATATTAAGTTTAAAAGGTAGTTTTTAAAATAATATTCATATTACAATCCTTTTAAAAAGTATTTGTTTAGACACACCTAGAAAAGCATCTGGAAAGAGACACGATATAAAGCTGATAGTGAGTCTTTTGGGGTAGTGTTATTGTGGGGACTCTTTATGTTCTTTATGCTTTATGTGATTGAGATACCATGGCTGTGTTATTAGATTTTACTCCCTTAATTATAAAAAAAAAAACTATCTCCTTGCAAATGAATATGGGTGTTACTTTTCAGTCCTTAATTACTATGATTGACATTTGACAATATGGGGTGGAGAGATCTCTCTTCATAATACATTTTCTCTTCTGACTCATTTTGAAAGGAGACCAGAGATGCTTTGTCACCCACTCCTTAGCTTTTCCCACTGCTGACTACATACCTTGTGGTTCCTAAATACCTTTATGGAACAACTTAATGCCCTTAATGCTATTTCACTTGGGGACTTTCGCTATCAGCAAGCTTCGTGTTTTGTTTTTCAGTTAGAAATCAATGATAGAAACTTTAAAAGAAATGAGCTTCCATCTAAAATAAGGTTGGCAGAAAAGTAGCCGAAAATAACACATTTCAAGGCTTTGAAGATTAGGAGATATGTGAGAAGTTCAAATAGCTTTTCTCTTATCTGGAGAACTGGATAATTCACTGCTTCACAAGCTAACAAGGGTTTTGTTTTTTTATTTTAACTGGATTTAATGAGAAATGATAACATATAAGAGTTCAGAGCATAGTGAAGATCTTTTTCTTATAAGTTTTTTTCCATTTTTGAATATTAAGATGGAGGCTATAATTTTCTGAACAAAAGTATATAATAAGTTAATAAAAATCTTGAAACATTTTACTTAAAAATATACCTGACAGGCCCAGAGTCCCAAAATAAAATGCTAATTTTAATAATTATTAAATGCTTATCTACTAAAAATAAAACAAAATTTTATTGTTTGAATATTTTGTAAACATGGGAGTCACTTAGAGTGCATGGGAGATATTGATTTCCCTATCCCTTATTTTCAGAACTAAATTGGCAATACTTAAAAGAAATCAAACTTAAATAAAGAACTTAAGGGAAACAGCAACTGAATGCCATTATATATTTATTTCAATCTCCTAGACTTTCTACATTTTCAAGCATATTACTAATAATATTCTGGTTATATTCATAAGCATAGAAAAATCTTCAAATGTCAAAGAAGATTGATTTGTATTCAATATATTTCCAAAGGAGAAAGGTGGTTTTTGATACCACATCTCCAATAAAAACTCATTCAACAAAGAGATTTCTGAATCAAAAATTTCATAGTTCATAGTCTCCCATGCATTCCAAATAATTGAGTTTTTAAGTTCCTTTTGCTTTTATCTTTATTGTTAAATATTATTGCTGTTTTATTAATACATTTTTAAAGGTAAATATATGTATAATATGAAAAAAATAAATATATTTGCAATATTCTAAGACATTTTCATTTCATTTTAAAGTGAGAGGAAGTACATCAGTACAACTTAATCAAAAGTATGTGCTATGAATTTTTTTTTTTTTCTTTTGAGACAGAGTCTCGCACTGTTAACCAGGCTGGAGTGCAATGGCACAGTCTCAGCTCACTGCAAGCTCCACCTCCTGGGTTCACGCCATTCTCCTGCCTCAGCCTCCCAAGTAGCTGGGACTACAGGTGCCTGCCACCACGCCTGGCTAATTTTTTGTATTTTTAGTAGAGATGGGATTTCACCATGTTAGCCAGGATGGTCTTGATCTCCTGAACTTGTGATCAGCCCTCCTCGACCTCCCAAAGTGCTGGGATTGCAGGCGTGAGCCACCGCGCCCAGCCGCTATGAAATATTTTTATAAGATGTTATAATAGTCTTTTCCTGAGACGAGATACAAAGTTGTCATTTCTTAGAGCAGAATTCCAGTTCAATTCATAGATTCAATATTATGAAAAGATTCTTTAGGTGATCTGTGGCCTCATTATTCAGATGAATAATCTGCAAAGTAGGATGTGCAAAATAGAGAAATTTCAATGCTTTGTCTTACTACACAAATTAATGATGCACGAACCTCACTTAATGAAATTGCATTGAAAACAATACTCATTATTTTCTGCTGCTGGTAGAGAAATTGTGTGAGAAGAGGGCTTGCTGAAAAGAGAGGGTCCAGTAGACAGTAAGTTCCACGAGGACACAGACTGTCTTCCTCATTCAGCATCATGCCTGTACTGAGGCCCTCCATAACTACTTGACAAATGAATAAATATGGAGGCAGAAACACTCTCCTGCAGATTTTTAACATGGAAGAAGCACATGGGGCCTGGAGGAGGCTTTGTCCTTCTGAAGCACTGCAAAAAGCAAAAATGTTGGAGGACATATCTAATGTAAGAATATTAATCAATAGTTAAGAATTTACACTCATTTAGCAATAAACTATACTGTAAATGGATTTGGGGAAAATGCTTATTGTTAAGTAAGACATGGGTGTATTTCCTCTGTGTTTGTAGTATACAAATTATTAAACCCTACTTCTCTCTTCTCCTCTCTCTGTGAAAAATAGTATAAATATCAACTTCAGTTCGTTCATATGACTAATTGTCACCACTCTCTTTAATATTCAGACCATACTTACAGAAAAAAATAGAAACCATCAAGTATATACTCAGCCAGCTTCCCTCTCATGCATCTAAAATTACCTTCCTGCTTACCCCTTAAACAAGAGATTCTTAGTCTCTTGCCCAGTTAACTCTTCTATTTGTGTGATTGTACCCAATCCCTCAACTTCCCATGATAGCATCTCATTAGTTAATTCTCATCTTTTCTTCAATTGTTTTTTCTTAAAAATCTCCTGTCTTTTACCAAAACCCTGAACTTTTCCCATTCTAAAGAACAGCCTTCTCTCAGTCCTATCTTTCATACCTACTGCTCTAACCCCTCATTTTTTTTCCTACCCAAATTCTTGAATAAGAGTCTGCACTGTTGCGCACTCCTCATCTTAGGCATTATTCAAGCCACTGAACTTGGTTTCTGCCCCTGTCATACTCGATGAGTTGCTCAGATAGCTGCTGTCACTATTGTCATCGTCACAGCCATCATCATTAGACTGATGTCACTGCAGCCATTGTTGTCTCCCTCAAATCAGTCTCACATATTGCATCTAGAGTGGAGATGCACTAATGTCATCATGCCATCATGCCTATTTTTAAACAGTTTAGGACCTACCTAATGTTGCACTCCTCTCCAGCTTCCTTTTTTGCCATTTTATATTCCAGCCAAAAAACAAAAACAAAAAACCACTTTAGGCTTCTTGAACAGATCATGCTTTCTCAACTCTGTCCCTTTGCAGGTGCTGGCCCTTTTGCCTAGAACACCTGCCTTCTCAGGTCAACCTAGCATTTAGCGTAGAGGATGGCTTCAAGTATTTGTTTTTATCTTTTAGATTAAAATAATCTGGGGTCTGATCACTTAGATTATTTAAAATTCTGGAAATGACAATGATAGCTATGGTTACTAGGACCCTATGACCTTTGTCTACAACTGCCAAAGAAAACTGTGCGTTCTAGTTAATACCCTGACTTCTCTCTTAAAAATCGATTGCTACCTTTTTATATTGATTATAAATATCACATCTTTAAACTAGTATCTTACTGTTAAAAGAGCAAAGTGAAAGAGTTGTTTACGAAGTCTTATAATTATTTTAAGCATTATTTATAGTTAAACTCATTGAAGAATTTTAGCGATTTTGTAATTTTTATACAGTAATTTTTATAGTCCATATCTCTGAGGAAAATGTGTGTTAAAAATTAGTTTCAAAAAATCCAAAACATTCCTAAAGTTTTTATAACTGTTGTTATGTTCATCAAAGCGATATATAGTTTGCCATATTAGAATAGATGATATAAGATTTATGACCAAATAATACTCAATTTTGCAGTTTTTATTCAATAAGAGAAACATTATGATATTGAATTTATTAAGATTCTTAGCATCAAAATATATGTCAACAAAATATAATTTTGTTACATGAACTATCATAATTTATCTGTATGTGGCATTTTGGATTATTAATTAGGCTGAATTCTTATGTGTAAAAACCATAATACACATTGGAATAACTCAACTTGATAACTTATTTTTGCATTTTTATTGTGACATAGCATAAGTTAAATAGAAATAAAAAATTCCATTTTAAAAATATAAAAACAATTTATTAGTGGAATTTTTTGCCATTAGTTGCTCTTGGTTAGTTATAATATTAGCTTCCTTTTTCAGATGTTTCATGAAACCTGTGCATTGTGGATTGATGCACGTGTTCCTCAGACATATTTCTATGTCTACATCTATATCTCTTCTGTATCTGTATATATGTATTTAGGGACTTCATCAAAAGCATCTAAAAATCTTAGCACTACACTTTCCAATAAACAAAAATGAATACATTGACGTACCACATTGATTTTAACTTGAGTGTTTAACAGCATAACCACCAAAGTGTTATCTCTATAAAACAACTGCTTAGTTTCAAAAGAGAACCCATTTCACCCTGTGTGGGGTACACGTGTCCTCTCGTTTGCTTAAAAGGATCAGTCAATAGATTTTAATTGAATTCCTACCATGTGTAAAACAGGATGATCTGTGGAGACACCAAACAGCGAGAGATAGCCCTGTGTTATGTATTTACAGTCTAGGAAGGGAAACATGATGTATATTTATAAAAAATCAACATTACAATGATGCCACATGAGTATTAAAAGAATTTAATTTAATTTATTATATAGAGGAAGAGATTGTTGGAAAGGCAACAGTGTCATCAATTATGAACACAAAAACTCATTCTGAGAAATCCTATGTGAAATGATTAATTGCTCATGTTTTTACTGGCTACAGGAAATGATTCCCATGTTACCTAGAACTGATGGCTAATTGGTCAATAACATGTAATAGTCTCTAGTTTATAAAGGGTATTGAGGAGAATCTGGGGAAACTGAAGCTAATCTGAAGGTACAAATCAATAACAACAATATTAATAGCTAACATTAACCATTACTACTGGTCAGACACTGTGATATGGCCCATGCATGTCTTATACAAGGAGAAAAAACTTTTTAGTGTCTCAAAATGAGAATCTGAGCCAAGGAATCATAAAGTTCCTTGCCCAAAGCCTCTGTATTAATGTTTGTTTTCCATATCATCTCCTCTTCAAACTCCATGTCTTTATTTCCTTTATTGTCTCTATAATTTCAAATAACCTGGAGCTAGCAATTCAGTTGGAAACAAAGAGCCTTATCAAATAGAAATCAACATGAGTAGGAGAGATCAGACCTTAGAAGATCAAAACCAGGGACTCCAGGTAGTTAAAAGAATATAGCAAGAGGTCAGAATACCCAACAGTTTTTAAATTGGGAGAAAATTACCTGGAGGCAAAGATCAAGAGCAGGACAAGGAGAAGGGGCAAAAAGAGCTTCAATTAAAGGGAGAGGGACACATTCCTAAGAGGTGCTCTGGCCCCAAGTGGCCGGCAAATGCTGAAGCCTGAGGACAAGACACTGTCACTCACCCCCAGGCCCATGGCTGCAAACACCTCTGTCATTTCTTTGCCTTCCTTGGGTCTCACTCCTACCCCAAACGTGTTGCACAGCATTGGGCTGGCCCTGCTAGTGTTTGTCACTATGCTGCTGTTTGTCATCACACTGCTGCTGATGGCTGTGAAGTTGATACTCTGAATGGAATCTGGGTTTTCTTTTTTTCAATCTAAATGTAGATTTATGTGAGAACTGGTAGAGACATAGGATCCCAGCAGGGAAATCCTGAGTCTTCAAGACCTGAAACAAGAAGGGAATCGTCACGCACTCCCCACAGAGTCAGATCAGCTCTCCAGAGGAGGGCATATGTGGGTAACAACAATCACCCCAGACACCATCTTTTATTTGTGAATAAGGAAAGGCAGTTGGGAGTCTCTGCATTTAGTGACTCATTTGATAAATTTACTGAAAGACAGACCATTTATATTTGGATTTCAGGTTCTTAATAACTTATTAAATAGAAACAAGCTGGGCATGGTGGGACACACCTGTAGTCCCAGCACTTTGGGAGGCCAAGGCAGGAGGATCCCTTGGGGTCAAGAGTTTGAGACCAGCCTGGGCAACATAGCGAGAGACCTCACCTTTACAATCAATCAATCTATCTATCTATCAATCAATAAGTAAGCCAAGTGTGGTAGCACATGCCTGTAGTCTCAGCTATTCAGGAGGATGAGGCAAGAGAATGACTTGTGCCCAGGAGCTTGAGGCCACAGTGAGCTATGTTCATGCCACTGCACTCCAGCCTGGGTGACAGAGTGAGACCCTTTTTATTAAAAAAAAAGAACAACAAGAAGAAGAAGAACTAATATACGTGACATATACAAATAAAGGGATTAAAGACAGATGTGGAGTGTGGACAAAAGTTATTGAATGTCCAGGACCATGATAACAAAAATACAGGGTTGCCTCAACCAGGGTATTCTTAGTATAAGTTTCTTGTTAGTTTTAATCAATTCTTGAGTTTCATTTAGCCTGTTATCTAACAGGAGTAGAGATGTACAAGCCAAATGGTGAACCCAGATTTTCTAGGTTCAAATGCTGGTTCTACTTCTAACTTTGTATAAGTTATTTAACCTCCCTGAACCTTAGTGTTCTTCTCTGTAAAATAGGGAGGAAAATAATAGTACCTACATCATAGGGTTATCATATGGATTAATGAGTTGCTATTTGTCAAGAGCTTAGAATAGTATCTACTATTTGGAAAGTGCCTCAGAAGTGTAAATTTTTTTCAAAATTTTTCTTATTTTTCTACGTTAAAAACCTGGGCTATGCCCTGCATCCCCTCTTTCCTTAGCCTACTGCCTCCATTTAACAAACACTGCTGATATACTTTGGCAGTGTCCCCATCCAAATCTTATCTTGAACTGTAGTTTCCATAATTCCCACATGTTGTGGGAGGGACCCGGTGGGAGATAATTGAATCATAGGGGCAGTTTCTCTCAAACTGTTCTTGTGGTAGTGAATAAGTCTCATGAGATCTGATGGTTTTATAAGGGGGAAACCCCTTTACCTGGTTCTCATTCTCTCTTGCTTGCCACCATATAAGAGGTGTCTTTTGCCTTCTGCCATGATTGCGAGGCCTCCCCAGCCATGTGAAACTATAAGTCCATTAAACCTTTTTTTTCTTTAATAATTTAACCAGCCTCAGGTATGTCTTTATAAGCAGTGTGAAAACAGATTAATACAGTAAATTGGTACTGGTAGAGTGGGACACTACTGTAAAGATACCTGAAAATGTGGAAGCAACTTTGCAACTGGGTAACAGGCAGAGGTTGGAACAGTTTGGAGGGCTCAGAAGAAGACAGGAAAATGTAGGAAAGTCTTCCTCGAGACTTGTTAAATGGCTTTGACCAAAATACTGATAATGATATGGACAATGAAATCCAGGCTGAGGTGGTCTCAGATGGAGATGAGAAACTTGTTGGCAACTGGAGTAAATGTGACTCTTGCTATGTTTTAGCAAAGAGATGGTGATATTTTGCCCCTGCCCTAGAGATGTGTGGAACTTTGAATTTGAAGGAGATGATTTAGGGTATCTGTCAGAAGAAATTTCTAAGCAGCAAAGCCTTTAAGAAGTGACTTGGGTGCTGGGTGCTGTTAAAAGCATTCAGTTTGTTTTTTTTTGTTTTTTTTTTTTGAGAGGGAGTCTTGCTCTGTCCTCCAGGCTGGAGTGCAGTGGCGCAATCTCGGCTCACTGCAAGCTCTGCCTCCCGGGTTCACGCCATTCTCCTGCCTCAGCCTCCCGGGTAGCTGGGACTACAGGCGCCCACCACCACGCCCAGCTAATTTTTTGTGTTTTTAGTAGAGACGAGGTTTCACTGTGTTAGCCAAGATGGTCTTGATGTCCTGACCTTGTGATCTGCCCACCTTGGCCTCCCAAAGTGCTGGGATTACAGGCGTGAGCCACTGCACCTGGCCACTGTGAAATATTTTTATAAGACATTATAAAAAGCATTCAGTTTTAAAAGGGAAACAGAGCATAAAAGTTTAGAAAAATTGCAGCCTGACGATGTGATAGAAAAGAAAAACCCATTTTCTGAGGAGAAATTTAAGCCAGCTGCATAAATTTGCATAAGTAATGAGGAGTCAAATGTTAATCACCAAGACAATGGGGAAAATGTCTCCTGGCATGTCAGAGACCTTTGCAGCAGCCCCTCCCAGCACAGGCCTGGAGGCTAGGAGGAAAAAATGATTTTGTGCTATGTGCAGCCTAGAGACTTGGTGCCCTGCATCCCAGCCACTCTAGTCATGGCTAAAAGAGGCCAAGGTACAGCTTGGGCTGTGGCTTCAGAGGGTGTAAGCCCCAAGCCTTGGCAGCTTCCACATGGTGTTGGGCCTGCATGTACACAGAAGTCAAGAATTGAGGTTTGGGAATCTCTGCCTAGATTTCAGAGGACGTATGTAAATGCCTGGATGTCTAGGCAGAAGTTTGCTGCAGGTAGGGGGTGGGCCTCACAGAGAACCTCTGTTAGGGCAGTGCATAAGGAAAATGGGTAGAGGCTCCCACACAGAGTTCCCACTGGGGCACTGCCTAGTGGAGCTGTGAGAAGAGGGCCACCATCCTCCAGACCCCAGCATGGTAGATCCACCAACAGCTGACCGTGCACCTGGAAAAGCCGCAGACACTCAGCGGTGTCTGTGGAAAAGCTGCAGGCCATGAAAGCAGCCTGGAGGGAGGCTGCACCCTGCAAAGCCACAGGGGTGGAGCTTCCCAAGACCATAGGAAGCCACCTCTTACATCAGTGTGACCTGGATGTGAAACATGGAGTCAATGGAGATCATTTTGGAGCTTTAAGATTTGACTGCCCTATTGGATTTCAGACTTGCATAGGGCCTTTAGCTCCTTTGTTTTAGCCAATTTCTCCCATTTAAAATGGGTATATTATTCAATGCCTGTACCCCCACTGTATCTAGCAGGTAACTAGCTTGCTTTTGATTTTACAGGCTCATATGTGGAAGTCACTAGCATTGTCTCAGATGAGACTTTGGATTGTGGACTTTTGAGTCAATGCTGAAATGAGTTAAGACCTTGGGGGACTGTTGGGAAGGCATGATTGGTTTTAAAATGTCAGGATGTAAGATTTGGGGAGGGGCCAGAGGTGGAATAATATGGTTTGGCTGTGTCCCTACCCAAATCTCATCTTGAATTTTAGCTCCCCTAATTCCAATGTTTTGTGGGAGGGATCCAGTGGGAGATAATTGAATCATGGCAGCAATTTCCCTCATACTGTTCTCGTGGTAGTGAGTAAGTCTCATGAGATCTGATGGTTTTATAAGGGGAAACCCCTTTCACTTGGTTCTCATGTTCTCTTGCCCATTGCCATGTAAGACATGCCTTTACCTTCCACCGTGATTGTGAGGCCTCCCCAGCCATGTGGAACTGTGAGTCCATTAAATTGAGTCCATTAAACCTCTTTTTCTTTGTAATTTTCCCACTCTCGGGTACGTCTTTATCAGCAGTGTGAAAAAGGACTAATACAACTGCCAATTCTGCCTCCTAAGCAGAACTTGACACCATCTATTTCTCTCTCTGGAAGGTCTGCTACCCTACTCAAGAGACTCAACTCTCTTTCTTGACTTGCAATAGCCTTTTCATTGGACTTTATAGCCTCAGCCTAGCACCCCTACGGGTATGAATCCCAATCCACAACTCAAGTGTCCAGAACAGATTATATTAATACTATTTTCCATAGCCCCAGCTATTTACTATTTTGAAGCCATGTTGAACCTGCCAGGATGGCCAGAAATTTAAACACATTCATTTGGGAGGTTCAGGGTCTTCCACAGTGCCAAATCTCAGGTGGGGCAGGGACAATAGAAAATCTGATCCTTGATGAACACTGGCTGCCAGGAGGCTCCACCACTGCAGTGCGCTTCATCCTGTTTTCCAGGACACAGAGCTCAGAGAGCCTCTGCACCATAATTCAGAACCCTCTCTCCTTTCTCTTATTTTTCTCTTCTCTCTCTTTTCTCCTCTCCTTTTAGGCCTCTCTCTTTTCTGCCTGGAGGACTGCCCTTCCTGCCTTGCATTTTCTCACACCTCCACATTCTCTTCCTGTTACCCATTGCACACAATCTCTAAATTGCTCTAAGGCAATTTTGGATCAAAAGAGCCAGAGAGAACATTTCTGTTTTTCACCTTGCCATATTCCTTACCTGAGGCAATGAGCAGAGGGCCTGTTGTCTGCTTAAATAGAGAATAGGGGAGAAAAACGAAACACAGGGAGAAAAAAATAGATGAATATCTGAAATACTATCTCACCATGCATTCAATATACAGAAGCCAAGCAGACTGGCTGCAAGACCTAAAACACTAATTGAATCTCGTTATTCCCTTGTGTGAACATTTTCGGTGGCTTCTAATTGTGCTGAGTGTCATGTCTGAACTTGGAGACCTAGTGTACAAGTTGAGGCAAGTCATTGCAAGCCCACAGCCTCCTCTGCTCTCCTGTCATTCTCTTTCTTTTTCCCAGTGTTGGGCCATATTAAAACTTACAGCCCTTCTGAGAAGGAATATGGTAGCTCTTCAGATTTAAATTACAGTGTTTGATAGTATTTGCATTCTTAAGATTCTCCCTACCCCACTCCAAACAAAACAAAACTAAGCAAAACTCAGTAGGAAACAGCGATTCTTTGGATCTTTGTTGACCAATACAAAGTACCTGTGTCTACTAAACACCTGAAATGTGCCGTAACTTCAGATTTTGAAGACTTACTATCCAAATACGCAAAATATCTTATTAATATTTTTATGATTACATGTTGAAATAATGTGTTTCATATATTGGGTTAAAGCAAGTAAATTAACATTAATTTCATGTGTTTCTTTTGAGATAGGGTCTCATTGTCTTGCCTAAGCTAAGGTACACTGGCACCACAATAGCTCACTGCAGCCTTGAACTCCAAACTCCTAGGCTCAGGAGGTCCTCCTGCCTCAGCTTCAGAGTAGCTGGGACTACAGACATACACTACAATACCCACCCACCTAAGTTTTAATTTTTTGTGGAGATGGGGTCTCATCTCCTGTGTTGCCCAGGCTGGTCTTGAATTCCTGGGCTCAAGCAATTCCCAAAGTGCTAGGATTACAGGCATGAGCCATCATGCCCAGCTACCTGTTTCTTTTAACTTAAAAAAAAAAATGTGGTTACCAGGAAATTTAAAATTGTGTATGTGGCTCACTTGCATTATAATTCTCTTGCATAGCATTGCTCCAAATTGCGACTACGCAGGAAGACAACCTGATCTATGAAAATACATAAAGGGCAGAACTTCTGTTCCCATCCTGTCCTCTGAAGACCCAAAGATGATGGTGCTTTGACATAAGCCTCAGATAGGATCAGCCTTAAATTGGAGTGACTTTATAGGTAGATGACTTTTTTTTTTTTCAAAAGAAGGCATTGCTTTTCATTTTTAAACACATTCTGTTCAGAGGCCCTTAAACATCTTGAAAGTTTGATTAAGAATTCTAGGTACCCCCACAATAATCCTCAAATAACATAAGTTTCTCTTGCAACCATCTAGAACTTTTGCTCATTCCCCCTCCACAGATGTTCAGGATATTCTTAAACAAATAGTGATAATCCTGCTTTTATTCCTGTGAATTATACATTCCCAGTCCTCCAATGTATAGCTTCTCTTTTGAGGGTCACCATAATTTCACAGTCAGGCAGTCAGCTGAGGGAGGAACAGAGCCACCTTAACCTTCAGCTAATGAAAAATTCTCAGTGGGCTAAATTCGTACAGAATTGAATCAGTACATTAACTCTAAAACCTCTGCAGGTTGTCTGAGACACAAACACCTAAGCAATAATCTGCATGAAGGCATAGAGACACTTACAGTGTTAGAGTACTAATGGATTTTTTTTTTTTAGATGAGCCTGAACAACTTTCTGGTTTTAAAAGATAGAGGAAATAAGACCTGGAGTAGTTAAGTGAATTGCCAGTTAGGGCTAAGGAAATAATTATAATTTATGGCTCTTAACTCTTTCAGTCAACAAATGCTGAGCTACCCACTGTGTGTGAGGTACCCTCCTAGGTGCTGGGATACAATAGATACCAGTTACAGTGCTTTCCTGTTATAACAGAAGACACAAGGAAAAGTTGACTTGAAGAGTAAAGACAATTTATTGTCATGTAACTGAGAAGTTAGGCTAGCATCAGACTACTCTTGATACAGTGGCTCAAATGATGGGATGACTGCCTTCGGTTCTCATTGCCACTTCTTCAGTGCTGGCTCCATTTCTGTGGGTCTCCTCCATTATTGTCACAATATAACCATCAGCAGCTCCTGGGGTTATGTGTTTTCAGATACCAGTCAAGCACAAAACAATTTGAAATTTATTCTTGCAGCTCTAATTTGCCCAAATTGGGTTGTGTGTTCAACCCTGAACCAATTGGTGTGGCCTGGAGATTAGATATGCCTACTGGCTTAAGCCAATCAGGGCCCACTACCAAAGACAAGAACGGAGTGAATTCCATCCAAACCACATGCTTGGAATTTTGAATACTGTAAGGAAGGGGGAAAGGGAATGTAAATGCTGAGAAGCAACAAAAAAATAAAATATAATTCTTTCCCTCAAGTGCTCACACTTGAGAGCTTTCCAATTCTCCTGTTGGTTTTTACACTCTGTGTCATGGAGCCCTAGATGTTCTCTAGTGGCATCTCAGGATTTGAGGGGATATGCATCACTATAGCCTCCAGCCCATTACCTCCAACTTTAACAGAGCTAGCCCTCTTTCATCTGTTCGACATATTGGGCTTCCATATGAGATTTTATTTGAAGAAAGTGCCTCACTGCTGAAGTACAGTGGAAAGCTGCTCTCCTACACATAATACTGTTGCAACACCAAAGTCACCTACATTTCTTTTTATACGTTACTTTTTCTTTGATTCAAGAATTTACCCCTATTTCTGTATTGGCTTTTCCCATGCTAATTTAATGGAATCAGAATGTCATGGAGGCATTTCCTGGAACTTAGGTTTTAGTGCTGAAAATTTCATTTCAGGGGTTTTCTCATGCTTCTGATATTTTGCTGATAGTAGTCATTTTGTAGATAGACTTTCTTCCCATTTTCTCCTTCATTTACTTACTCAAAACACTTGAGAATGATTTCTGTATCTGTAAGACTTCTAAACACTCAACTTTTTAGTCATGAGTAAGCAAGTGAAATTTTTTAATAAGCAAGTGACTATGTACCAGTGAGGTGCATTAGTGTAGACACTAAGCAAGTATAGTATGACTGTCCTTCCAATAATCTCACTGTTTATCTGGAATACAGTTATAGCTGATAGTATGAATATTAACACTTAACAAAAAAAGCAAACTTTTATTCAAGAGAAGACAAAATGTCTCTTCCTTCAGGTCAAAGTTTGCAGTATATTTGTTATGGTCATATACTTGGTGAATTCTTCACTTTCTCTGATAAATTTTTTTTTTTTTTTTTGAGACGGAGTCTCGCTCTGTCACCCAGGCTGGAGTGCAGTGGCGTGATCTTGGCTCACTGCAAGCTCTGCCTCCCAGGTTCACGCCATTCTCCTGCCTCAGCCTCCCGAGTAGCTGGGACTACAGGCGCCTGCCACCACGCCCGACTAATTTTTTGTATTTTTAGTAGAGACGGGGTTTCACCGTGTTAGCCAGGATGGTCTCGATCTTCTGACCTTGTGATCTGCCCGTCTCGACCTCCCAAAGTGCTGGGATTACAGGCCTGAGCCATCGTGCCCAGCCTCTGATAATTTTTTTAAAATCTCTTTCATATTCTAGTCAATGAAAATATAAATTTTTAAATCTATCACATTTGTCATTAGCTCTCAAAGAATTCAGATCTCTATTTGTATTCAATTTCCTCCCATCCCATTTCACCATCATGGGATAATTGGTTTATAAAAAATTTTTAATCCCTCTAAGTACTTTCAGAGAAGTACTTAGAGAATTCAGACTGTCCCCTAAAATTCAGTCTTAAGCAATGCATATCATAACTTTGTGTAGTGAGTCTATTATATCAATAGTTATTTACCCACTTAAAAAGCAAATGATTAAAAAGCATGAAAATAGATACAAATGCACAAATATTTCAGATCGGTATGGATTTATTTTTACATTAGTTATCTTTGTTTTTCATTTGGTGCAATATCCCCATTTAAGTTCCTTGGAAATAGACTCCATGAGAAATTTGTGTGTCTGGAATTTTGGGAAGTGTTTTGATAACAACAGCTGAAAGGAAATGAAAAAAAAATTTTGGACAGATGGAGAGGCTCATCTGTAACACTGTCATGACAGAGGCCCCAGGTTATCATGGGAACTCTTGACTTAGCTGGCTCCCCAGAGCTGTCCCAAATGGAGGCAAAGGGGCTTGGCCTTTGTATCCCACACTGACCAATCACTGGATGCACAACACCCCTGGGGAGGGGTCGTACCCTGAGCAAGGCAGTTTCCTTCAGCCAAGGGCAACACTCTTGTCTGCAACCAGCACTCTTAGCACTTGAGGAAATTAGCTCCTCAGTTCTAAAGAGGAGGGGCATCCATTACAGTGCAGGGTCCCCATCTTCATACCCAGAGAGGAGCCTTGAGGTGTAGAATGATAGTTATGTATCCCAGGATTTCCAAGGGGTTCTATTCTCTCTCATGCCTTGTTTGCCATTCACACAAGTTATTTCTAGTAACTTTAAATGCATGATTGAGTAAGGTAAAAGACATTTGTTGACACAATTAAAGTACAAGTAATAAATGGTAAATCGAATAAGAAAAACATGTAAGGGCCTAAAAGATTAATTATTAATTAGTGCATATGTGCTGAATCTCTATTAATAAAAGAAACATGGACAGGCCATGAATTTCTGGAGGTTGACTTTTTTAGGTATGTAGTCTCTTTCTTAAGTAGGGGAGAAAAGAGGAAATCACAAGGAAATTATTTCAAGTATTTCATTGGTTAAATTGCCTAGTCTTGGCAAAACTCTGAGAAACTGGGTAGCACTTTTGTTATCAGCAGAAACAACCAAAAGTATCACGGATATCTTCAAATAGCATATAAACAGAAAAGCATTAAAAATCAAATAGGGATAGATAGTTGGTATAAACAATGTCTTCCACCTAAAGTGTCTGCTACCAGACTGAAACAGCCAGTAATAATATGATACTATAGGCAATCCTTGCTTTTGCTCACTGCTGTGTTAACTGAAACTGGTATATATTGAAACCACAGAATGTAAGGACCATCTTGTTAACTTTTATTTCAATTATTGTAACTTTTATTTTCCTAAAATTATGCTTCTATCTTGAAAATAATTAAGTTGTCTGAATCATTAGACTGTAACTTCATGAAAGAAGAGACCTTGTCTGTTTTGACTGATTAATTTTATCCCTATAGCCTAATACAGTGACTGGTCCCACAGCAGACATGCAATAAATATTTGATGAATGAACGGCAGAACCATCAACCAAAGGAAGTAATTGTATAGCAGCAGCCTGGTGCCCATGACTGTCTGGTAAATATCTGAATTATTGCCAGATGAAATTTTTTTATTTTAATTTTATTTTTTATTTTTTTCTATTACTTATCAATTATACAACCTGGGTAAATTTAGCAAAACTAACATAACTTTATGTAAGAAACTGTTAGTGTTTGCTTCTTATTTAGAGATGCATAATTTTATAGCAATCTTTCATAATATTGTATTCTAAACAAAGATTAGTTGTTCTCTTATTTCCAACTAATTACTATAGATCTAGTTCCCAAAAGGATTCACATTCATATGTATGTATAATTAGTGGAGCCCATAGTGAATATTTTATATATATATATATATATATTTTTTTTTTCATTTTTTGAGATGGAATCTCGCTCTGTCACCCAGGCTGGAGTGCAGTGGCACCATCTCAGCTCACTGCAACTTCCGTCTCCTAGGTTCAAGTGAGTCTCCTGCCTCAGCCTCCTGAGTAGCAGGGACTTACAGGCATGCACCACCATGCCTGGCTAATTTTTGTATTTTTAGTAAAGACAGGGTTTTGCCATGTTGGCTGGGCTGGTCTCGAACTCCTGACCTCAGGTGACCCACCTGCCTCAGCCTCCCAAAGTGCTGGGATTATAGGTGTGAGCCACTGCGCCTGGCTTATATATTATTATTTTTAATAAAATAAGTTTAGGCTTTTAAATTTCATTAGAAAAATAATTTTCTGTTGACTTAAAAAAAATTCAAGTTTCTAACCCTACTCAATATTATTCATGCTTACATAGACTGGGATATCTAGTATGTAGAACAGAAAAAATATGGATATTAAATAAGGACTAGAAATGCAAATATGAGATGCAGCAATGCTCAGAGGCATGGAGAAAGCTGAATGATGACTAGAAAACAGAATGCTTAACCCCATGGAGTCTCTTAAATTTGTGTTTAACAGCAGACTTTTAAACATGAAGGAATAGCTTTTTATATTTATAAGAAATGCCCTGGTACCTTGAAACAGACAAATTTGTGATTTATAAATTGATTGTAGAAGATCTAGTGCTTTCTGCCAAATAACATTTCTGCCAATCACTCTTGTTTCTTGGACTAGTCTCAAACCTCAAATTCATGCATTTTCTGCTTTTTGGAGTTTATCTTATTCTTGGTTTCTCTCTCATTTCTCATAAAGATGCAATTTTCCGGTTTTCATCACTAAGGTACAAGTAAAGACCAGCCTAATATGTTGACAGCCATTGGGTTAACTCTTTCATTGCTTGAGTGGCTGGTATTCCCAATTCAAATTGACACCTCTACACAATTACTGAGCACCTCCCTCATGATTCCTTGTGTTAAATTCATGAAAGCTGAAGAACCACCGTGTTGCAACAAGATTAACAACAGTGTAAGCTTAACCTCAGAAGGATAGTTAGAAAGATAAGAAACAATAACCCACAGTTGAGTGAATTACCAGTTCCACCATGATGGCAAAATAAACAACATTAAGTGGCATTACAAAAATGACTTCATTTGGGTTGGGAACTTTCATTGAAAAGAAAAGAATATTAGAAAAGAAGTAAGTTTTGTTTAATCTCTTCTTTTCATTCTTTTTCCTGTTACCGTAATAAATGAAACCAGGAGTGGTGGAAGAATAGAGTTTACTTTCTCACTCAAAGTTGGTTTTTTCTGTTTGTTTCTTTGTTTTGTCTGTGTAGATAAAGTAACAGTTTGGCTAAAGGAGAAATCTTTTCTCTTTGAAGATTCTCCTTATTATGTTGGTAAAGCAGAACGAAACCCATATTCTTTTCGGTGACTACAAGTTGGTAAACAGTGCTCACCCTTACATTCAGAAGTTGTGTAAGGTCTAAACAAACGCGCCAATATAAAACTTGATTTTGAGTAGAAGACGGATTTCCTATAACTATTAAGAAGAGGAGGAGATTTTGTTCTTTTCTTCTCTTAATAGGAACACTGCTGTATAAGCGTTGCCTAAGGTATCATTAAAGCCACTTTTTATTTGCCTTAGCTTAAACGACTGGCAGACAAGCTTATTGTCTTTTAAAGCTGAACCGAGTACAAGAGCCAGTTGTAATAGGTCTGCTTTGAACATTGTTGTTGAAGCCCTCTTGATTATACGTTAAAGCTTGCAAAATGTATGTATAGTGCTTGATGGATTACAAAACCACATCTATATCTATTATCACTTTCGATCCTCAAAAAAACACTGTGACTTAAGCAAGGATGCTATCTGACAAATTACAAAACTCATGTGCCTCAGCAATGCCTGCAAGTTTCCAGTAATTTCCCTGGGTAATTTGGTTCATGGAACATTGCTCTGTGTCACATTTCCCTTTGTTAGTAATCATGGAAATAGTTGAATGCTGGACAAGCACTGTTCCTACAATGTTATATTAAGATGTTTTATTCACAGAGAATATAATATAGCTCATATACAAGCATTATGTGTGTAGAGTGCTGTATCCTGGGTTATAGCTGCTGAGAATTTCCAGGCTAGGTCCAGTGTATGAAAAATCTTATTCAGTTTGCCTGCATTCAAAGCCTGAAGATGTATCCTGCTCCACCATTTAAGCTTCAGTTTCAGTGGCGTCATGAGATTTGATTGAAACATCTTGCCTGAACCCTTTCCACGAAAATTTTTACCTTTATGTCAGTATAAAGCATAGTGTTTTTCCAGAAGATTTGGCACTAGTTTTACTAACCGGGTTTGGGTCCCACATGTATGCAGCTTTTCTTTCCCACCTGTATGCATAACGCCTGTCTAGTTTGTTGGTGGCTTCTGCTGGTGTGGGCAAAGCCTAGGACTCTGGGAGTCTGCTGTTTGTATGAGGTTTGCTTGATATTTTGCCTTGAAAACAAGTCACTGTCCCTGATTTCTATGTGTCAGAGCAATCTATCAGGCTTTCTAGCTTCTCAGCAGTCTACTGCTCTCCACAGTGTCCGTTGAAATTATGCTTCAATGTCCTTGTAGGACTGTATCTGTCCTCACAGCTTGTGGCTGTCCCCACACCAGCTCCCCAAACCACTTCTGCTTGGTTGTCCTGTTGTTGTCTATTCTTCTCACCTCTGGTGTTCCAGTGTGACAATCCATGCAAGTAGGCTGGCCACATACCAAGACATTATTCTTGATGATGATCCTGACTTTCCATTTAATGCTAAGCATTAACATCACAAGTACATAGGAAAACCAGATGTTTTTCTAACCTGTTTCTGTCTCATAACTGTGGGTTAGGATGTGCATTACCGTCCTATCTCTCTAAACCTTCATTTTATGTCAGAAGCATGATGCTGTATGGGGACTTTCCAATTTCCAGAAAAGCATATTTATCTTTTTAATCTACTTTCTTCTTGTATTTGTTCTGTGCAGTCTTAGGCAAGATGCTGCCTACATAGCATCAGCTATTCATTTCATGTTGTAATTGCAAACTGTAGATATGTAATTACTGATGCTTTTTCAATATAGATCTTCTACACTGAATAGTATCTAAAACCTAGATGCCACCTTGTGATTCACTGGTTGTATTGCTAATTAAAACTGGAATTCTGTAAGTTCCTAGTCAATTTCCATACAGTAACAATGTATGTTTTCAAATTTTACTACTGAAGGTAATATGTTATCATGAGATCAAATACTGTTTTGATTGTGGGTATACATCTGCTGTCTCCTCCTTGAAGTAAACTTAAGATAATAATGGAAGCAAATGTAAGGTGATCTTTCAGCCTTTTAATTTAAAAGCCCTCATAAGTGGTCACTTCTTTATTGGCCGAGTTTCCCAGCATTTGAGTTCTCTCTACCTGGGGAAGCTCCTTATCAGTTATAGATGGTAAGGAACAGATTTTTTTCTTTTTTTGGTCTTCCACAAAAATAACTATAAGGGAAACAGAGATGTCTTTGTCAATTAGCAACTGCTTAAGTAGTCAGCTGCAGCTACTAACTTTGGAGCACAGCTTGAAGGTACAGATACAGGGACAGTGACTTTAGGCCAAACCTTGAATTTTCATAAAGAAAACATCGTGCTCAAATATTTCACCTAACATTTATGTCTAAAAATGAGCTAGATATTTTAACATCCACCGTATTATTTAATCCTGAGAAGAACCTATGAAATACATTATTTTCTCCATGGTATAAATGAAGAAAATGAGCCTCAGAATGGTTTAGTTAACTGTCCAATTACACAGCTAGTAAGTGATATGGGCAGTGAATAACCTTATAGGTCCTGAACATTCTGTCCACTCTAGCCACCATGCCATCACTTCATTCCATATTAAATTTATTTGTACAAAATCATTACCATAAAGCTGCGATCCACAAACACCAATCTAAGAGAGATGGTATTGCTAAAAAATAATAGTGAATTAAATTAACTCAAGTTTTCTACCTACAGTTTCCAGTCTTGTAAAGGGAATTCAGATAGCAAAACCTGCAGAAACGTTTGTTAAAACCTTCTTTCCTTCTCTATCCCTGCTCTCTATAACCTCACTTTATCTGAGTCCTCTCACTTAAAACTCTTTCACAGACTCCTCTGTCCCTGTTGGAGCTTTTCTGTCTTCTACAAAAGGATAGTATTCTCCTCATCTTACCCTCTACTATTCTACCTATAATTCCACTTCTATCGCATTCTCACTATTCTAATTTGGCATCACAAAAGCCCAAAGAATCAGGCAGTAGAAGGACCCTCCTAGGAGTGTATTGGGGACAGCATAGGGGGATGACCCAAGTGGGCAAAGCCAGTACCCTCTTCAGTAGTCAGTGTAATAAGACAAACCTGGGAGTTGAACAACACAAGTCACATGGTCAAATACAAAGAAAAGGGGTAGAGAAAGACATCCCACCTTCTTATTGGGTCAAACTAAAAGGCACATAGCAGTGGACATGGATACTGGAAGAGGTAAAGAATTGGGGACATATGTCAACAGCTTTCCCTCAACAACAACAACAACAAAAACAAAATCTAGGAACACCTACATCTGGATTTAACAAATCCAGCACTTGCTTGGAAAATTAAGAACTGTGCTGTGCTATTCAATTCCACTTAAGTCCTAGAATCCCTGCTGCTGCTTACTTTAAAAACCCCCATGATAACCAATGAGTTATACTTGTAGGTTGAATTTGTCCAGCTCTTGCTAGAGTATCTTCCCTAGTTCTCATATGTGTCATGGTGGCCAAAAATATTTTATTTAAGAAGTCAGAGAAAGGGAGAATTTTAAGTATGATGCTGAGATCTCCTATACTGTCCACTCAGTTCAGTTCTGATGATTTCACTTCTGCATCATTTAGGTATTTTGAATAAAGCCAGGATAATAAACACAAAATCTCCGCAACATACAATAATATGCATTTATCTAGCTCATGGGTCTGTGGGCCACTTGGAGTGGGCTAATCTAGGCTGGGATAGGCTGAGGAGTTATGATGATCTTAGCTGGTTTGCTTCTGTGGATGAGGTCAGCTGGGGATTAGGCTGGACTCCACTGGGGCAGTTTAGTTTTGCTCTACATATCTCTCATCCTCCTCCTTGGATAAGCCAGTTAACCCAGAGAGGTTCTCACAATAGTGAAAGTGCTAGAGGGCAAATTCAATAGTGCAAGCGTTGCCCAAGCCTTTGGTTACATCATGCTCACTAATGTGAGCAACACAAGTCACATGGTCAAATCCAAAGAAAAGGGGTAAAGAAAGACATCCCACCTTCTTCTTTTTTTTTTTTTTTTTGAGACGGAGTCTCGCTCTGTCGCCCAGGCCGGACTGCGGACTGCAGTGGCGCAATCTCGGCTCACTGCAAGCTCCGCTTCCCGGGTTCACGCCATTCTCCTGCCTCAGCCTCCCGAGTAGCTGGGACTACAGGCGCCCGCCACCGCGCCCGGCTAATTTTTTGTATTTTTAGTAGAGATGGGGTTTCACCTTGTTAGCCAGGATGGTCTCGATCTCCTGACCTCATGATCCACCCGCCTCGGCCTAGACATCCCACCTTCTTATTGGGTCAAACTAAAAGGCACATAGCAGTGGGCATGGATAATGGAAGAGGTAAAGAATTGAAGACATCAATAAAATCTACCAGCATTGACTTATTTTTCTTGAGTATCCTCCTCTAAAAGTTATATAGTATACATTTAGGTAGTGTCAGCTCTAGATGCAGGTACCATCCATTCATTTACTCATTATTCATTTAACATATAATAATAATTTTTTACACAAGTGCTGTTTAATGGAAATACATCATGAGTCACATGAAATTTTAATATTTCTAATAGCCACATTTAGAAAAGGTAAAAAGAAACTGATAAAATTAAATTTAATAATATGCTTAATTAAATAAATCCAAAATATTATTATTTCAATATGTAATCAATATAAAAGTCATTAATCAGACTTTACATTATTTTTCCCTACTGTCCTAAAAATTCAATCAGATCCAACACCTCTCAGTTTGGACTAGTCACATTTCAAGTGCTGAACCAAAAACAGCTAGTAACTATTGTATTAGTGAAATTATAGACTACGAATTGAATTTGGTGCTGAAGATACCCGACACTTGCCCTATGGATAGTACAGTCTAGACATAAAGACAGAAAAAAATGACCCAAAGCTGTAAACAATTGTTGCTGATGTTATGATGGAACCAAACAGGATGGTACTATGGAGAATGACAGAAGGAGAATTAATTTAAATTGCATAGTCATTATATATCTTTCTGAGAAGTTCACATCTTAATGAAGATCTTTGGGAAGATTTTTGTGTTTACATCTCTTAGATCTTGTCATGCCACTGTACAGCATCACTTCTCCTTATTCTAACAGTTCTCTATTATACACCCCCACCACAAAACTCATCAAATTTTCCAATCTCCTAGCCGGGTTTAGTTGGAGACATTTCAACATACCTTTTCAAAATCTCTTATAAAAAGTCATCACTATGCTCCTAAGTCTGGAAACGAAGATGCAGTTTGTTGCAAAACCAATATAGCAAAGGGATATTACCTGAGATCTTATTACCAAGTGGATAAATTTCCTCATTATGACTTTGCCTGATAAGAGCCCAACATTTTATGATAAAAAAGTTGAATGGAAAAGTTGTTTTTCTCTGTGTTTATCTCCTTTATAAAAAACGTGAGTGGTAATAGAGAAAATACATAATGAATGTAGATAAAAGGGAGAACATTGCTTCAGAAGTAATACAAGGACTAACAGAAGCAGAGAATGGAAAAGGTGTGAGAAAAAAAGGAAACATTAACCGTATTAATCTGTTCTTAACCTGATTAAACTTGGAACTGCCCAAGAGAAAGTTTTGACTTTTCCATGCTAAACTATCCAAGCAAGTTTTATCAAAGAGGGTAATTTTACTAAAGCAATTATTGTCTATTGAATTTGAAAGCGTCCTGGCAAGAATAGGGAGATAAGGTATTTCTTTGTATTATAGTAAAAAAAAAAAAAAAAAAAAAACTGATTTTTCTTTAAATATATAAACATAGCTTAAAGAACTGAAAGAGCTTTCTTTTAAAAGGTATGAATCACCTTGTGATTTCATTTTTTAATCCTGTTCAGTTTATTACATGCCTTTTCATTAGTGAGTCATTGCTTTCGTTGTGTAACCCATTGATATCAAAACTACCTTGCTCGGTGTCCTCATGCTTCATTGTTCCTTGGGCAAAATGGCAGGTCCCAGGGATGGCACTTGGAATAACACTGTCAGCGAACCCAGAGCCCCTTTGACTTTTATTTCTGGTGTGATCAGTACTCACATCTAAATAGCAAACAGTTTAAATAGTTTTGGGGTGATATGGTACAAAAAGCAGCATACTGAATTTTAAGCTCCGAGATGCTGTTTTCACAAGATATTGCTGAAAACTACAGTTACGGCTCTGTGTTTTCATACTAGACACTTTAGAAAATGACTTTAATTACATAGAGAAGAGAGTCCAGATTACATGGCGAGCTTTTTTACACTTTAAATTACAAAAATATATTTGTGCATCTACTGCAGTTTTTCATGAAGGATTTACATCAGAACAGCAACACCAGCTTCGTGTTTAGCAACAAAGGACCCCTTCGAGTTAACTTTTCCAAATAATATTTTTTTTCCACCAGTGGATAAATACCAGATAGCTCCTCTCCTCTCCTTTCACATACTACATCTGACATTCTGGATTTTAACATTGAGATGTTTTGGGTCATTTCATTTCATTGAGATATTTTTAGATGGGATTAAAAACAAATTGAAAAGAGTCAAGCAGTAGTACAGCTAATGCCAAACCAGTGCTTTATGAATTGGTGCTTTATGAATGAAAAGCAGCTGTAATAGGGAGGCCATGATGAAGGCTGAAAACTACCACCACTACTACCACCACCCTTTGCCCCAGGTCAGGAAGCGTGCAGGGGACTTTGATTAAAGTTATAGAATGGGAAGTTTGGCAACAGAGACATCATCATTAACTCAGAGACAGAGAATGGTCCTGTGAAAAGGGAGAGCCTTCGTTAAATAGTAGTTAAAGTCATTTAGTAAAGACTAAAAAGATTGCCAGTGTAATAGAGAGTAAGCGGTGTGTGTGTGTGTGTGTGTGTGTGTATGTGTGTGCTGAAGCTCAAGAATTGATGTAAAACAATTTAAGCTGAATTCAGTGATGAGCTTTGTGCTGGCAAAGTATCTAAGAATCTTTATATCCCCCATGGCTTAGAACAAGGAAGTTATGCTATACGTTTTTGTTGGATGAACAAATGCATGAATGTTCCTAATTAAACAAATTTTAATTGATGCTGACCCAGAGAATATGGTTCACCTATTTCTGGATATTAAGCCCCTCCAAACAGAAAGGGGGATCTCAGAGTTAGGCAGTCTTTCAGATACAGCTCTCAGCATCCTGTCTGTGGGGATTTCACCTGTGCCTGCTGCAGTGTCTCATAGACCAGATGGAGGCCAACTGCATCCAACTGCAGAAAACGAGGCTAGAGTTAAGTATAGATGGCAAAACAGGTCTGTAGTTCTCATCTCCTAGTTTCAAACGCAACTCCTGTCTCCTAACTGTGGCTGAACAGAAAAGTGCAAAAGAGAGGAGACAGAGGTCTAACCCTTGTATGCTTATTGTTTACCTCATACATCTTTCCCTCCCCAAGGAAACCCCATCACAATTTCAAGATTAGGGGCAGGGCCACTTTTAGCCCCATTTGGCGCTTTTATGCAAATTGTTAAAATGTATCTCTCCCTCCTGGTGGATGCAGCTCATATCAGGGTGATGGATGGCAAGCAAAACGCATGTTTGATTCGAGCTGCTGAAAAATCATCCTCTCCACTAGGTACCCTGGTACATGAGCAGGCCTGTTTCTATGCCTTTTGCTAACTGAAAATTAATGATAACAGAATCCAAATCAAGGAGGATATTTTTATGTGTATAATGAGATTAAACAACTTTGCAAATTGAAGTCACTCAAGAAAGTGTAAAAGCTCACAAATTTGAAGTTTATAGTTGAAAGCTTGCCTGTGAGTTTTAAAAATAATCTTAATTTAATCTCTGATTACCTTCAGCATTTCTTTATGTCCAATATACGGAGTGCTTAGAAAAGTATGATCTGTCTTTGGAGAGCTCTCAAGCCTAACAGTGGAGAAAGTAAAAAATATTTAGAAACAGAAATGCACAAGGGATAATTACTAATTTGAAACTGACAACAAACCTAGATTTTATATATTATTCAGCCAAACAGTGGTACAGAGGAGCACTGGCAGAGCATGGAGTTGAAAAACAACATTATGTAGAATAACCTATTAATATGGTGGCGGGGGCTGTGGGGAACAAACTTGGTCCTCTCTCTTTTCTTCAGGGTACAGGTCTATAATATTCAACCTTGTCTATTATCCATCTCGCAAAATGAGTAGTTGGTGACATCTCAGGATATTTAGTCAGAAAATGCAAAGTATTAGACCAGCCCTCTCCCAATGATTCCTTTACACTTTCTTAAACCTTCTTTCTTCTATTACATATTGGGTACAATGTTTACTATTCAGGTGATGGGTATACTAGAAGCCCACACCCTACCATTATGCAATATATCCATGTAGCAAATCTGTACGTGTACATCCTGAAACTATAACAAAAAAAAATCTTTTTAAAGACACACAAAAAATATTTTTTTCCTATTCTTCTTTTTAACTTATCACATACTGGTAAAGTGATCCTCTAGCCAAGTAAGCAAACTATGCCACAGCCAATCTTCTACACTGATGCTCTTTCCTTTGGCCAAACCACCAGAAGTTCTGCTGGGCTGAGTTTGTGTGGTCCATAGAGACACTATTGAGCAATTTCTGGACCTTTCTGTAGAAAAGCAAGAGCCACCAACTGTTTCCTAGGAAAGCTCTTTTCCAATAATTCGATAGACATAGGTCTACATTTACTCATGGGAGAGTTTTAGTCATCTAATAAATAATCATCAAGCAGCGTCTTCAGTAAAATAAATCTTTGTCTCCTTTAAGCAGACTAAGTCTCAACATTTCTGTAGCAGTGAACTTTGTGTTCCCACTATCATGATTATCTTTTTGTATTTTGTATGTTTAAAGTAGATGAATTTTTAAAAGCTTAGGATTCTAAATTGCTATGTGTAAATAAGCACCTAATAACATTGTAATTAAATATTGATGAGAAGATACAAAATTGCTTTTAGAAAGTGTATATTCTGACAGTGCTTATATTTTATTTCTCTGCTTCTCTTTCCTCTACCAATCTTCTTTATTAATACTTTATCTAATTTGCACAAAAGGTATCGTGGTTTTCATTAAAAATATAGACCTGACTTACGTAGAAAACTACTATTAGATTCTAAATGAGAATCCAGATTAATGAACAAACTTTGCCTGTTTCTGTGTGTGTCTGTTAAGGAACTTTTCCCAGAAATTCCAGAATCATACACTCTTAGGCACTGAAGGTGCTTGGAGGACATGTATTCAGTGACTCTCAGCTCAGGTTCCATATTAAAATCACATGGGGAACTTCGGAGGCTCAGTTTCTCCACCCCAGACCAGTGGAACCAGAATCTGTGAGGATGGGGACTGGGCATTGGTATTTCTTTACACCCAGGTATAGTCTAAAGTGCAGCCAAACTTTAAAAACCTCTGGTTTAATCCAACCGCTTTTTATATGAATAGACAAAATAAAAATTGAGGAGGAAGAAATAACTTATCTCAGGCCATAGTAGAGCCTAGATTAGAAGCCACATCACCTAGCCCCAGTTAAGAGCTATTTTCATTAAAAAAAAAAAAAGTACTCGTATCTTGTTTTATTTTTGACTTATTTGAACTTTCCCTTGGTATTAACATTAACAGAAGAATTCTGTTTCTTAACTTTTCTGTGAAATGGATATTTTTGTCAACTAGAGAAATGATGCTGTACAATAGCATAAATTAACACATGGATGTTCTACATTTCCCAGTATTGTTTACCTCCTTGCCTTTCATCAAAAATACATTAGTCTTTGATTGTTGTAAAGAGTTTCAAAACATATTTTTAACTTTCATTTTATGTAAGTCAAGAAGATGTCGCAAATCATTTTAGCATATGTAGACTCATTTTTAAAGTCATCATAAAAAGTATGGGTAGCTCACTTTCAGTGTAACATTCTGAGAAAGTGGAACTGATAACATGGGCCCGGCGTCGGCAGTACTGAAGATGTAGATAGTTCAACATTTTCCAGTTCTTTGACATCTATCTTTTCTGTATGTTTATATCTATTGAGCCTATCAAAGTCTAAAATATTTCAATAGAGTATACAATTGCAGTACCGATTGTTACATGGCATAGGTTTTATCTTGTGGAGAGATGGAAAAGTGTATCTAAATGCATCATGCCTATGCTCAGAAGTAATGCAAATCTTCTGTCATGCTGGTACCAGAAATAAATGAAAACGATAGTAGATAAAGACTAGAAGTATTTTTCTCTTTTGCGCACACACAAAATATTGTGTATAGTGATCATCATCATGCTTTAAGCATCCACTATAAGCCAAACATTCTATTATCAGCAGAGAAATGTACCTGCAACAGACTCCTCCCCACCAAAAACAGCACAGAAAAATTCACCTGTTATTAATCAAAAACAAAATAAACAAGTGTACTTTAAAGGAGTTGGGAGTAAAGAAGAAACATTTAAATGAGAAAAAACATATAAGTATGAGGATATTCTGTGAATTATGAGTAAAGCTATATCCATTCACTCAATTTTTCAGCCTATTACAATTATTCAATAACGATATATTTACCTAATTGGATAGTTGACCTGAGTGTACCTATGTATAAGTTGATGTTATCTTATGTGAGTTGCATATGATTTGTACTAATTATCACTATAGTACAAAACATAGAGAAATTCATAAATGGCAGATGTCTTAATGAGCACTTTTTTAGAAGACCTGAAAAAAATGCCCATAGTAGGACCACAGAGTGAGGAAGATCAGGGTGTTGAACAAAGTAGACCAGGTGGCTCTCTATAATGAACCCCATAATAAATCTGCCCTTGTGGAAGGTACCACAGTTTAGGGTACAGATGTCTGAATTACCAACCTGAGAGTCTGGCTCAAGGAGGCACTCTCATTCTGGTCAGACTCATTAGGAGCTGAAGTTTCTGAACTGCAAGGTTGATTCATGAATGGGGACCACTCCTGACCACTACTGTTGCCAAAACATTGATATTCTTTGTGTCCCCTACCTGGACCACCTTTTCTGTCCTGTGAACTGATCAGTAAACATGGATGATTGCAAGGGATACACCATCCAGACAAAGGGAAATTTGTGGAATCATCTGAATAAGTGACTTCTGCCATTACCTGGAAGGTGTAGGATCCTGATCAACATGGTCCACTTCTGACTTCTGGATTTTCTCTTCCTTCTCAAAGCTGGTGGTGTTCAAACCACGTTCCAAAGACTCTAGGATTCCATGTAAGAATTGTTTTGTTGGAGGTGCATCCTCTTAAGAAGAAAAAAAATCCAAAATTTTAAGTGCTACTCTCATCTAGCCCTCCCCTTCCTGTATTAACAATTTTAGCTTCTCTAATCATATTCTAGTTCTGTATCCTTGTAATGACATTCTTTTTAGATCTCTTTAATGGAGTATTGGGAGTTCTCAGACTCTTCTGTCACTCATTTGTTGAGAAAATCACAGAAAGCTGATCATCTAGGGGTTACAATGTACGTGTATTTTTTTTTTTTACTTGTTTAGTTCTTATCATACAATATTATTTCTTTTGTTTCCTTGGGAAATTTTTTAAATTATGAGGAATAATTTTACTTTGTATTAATAGGAGCTATCATAGCGTATTCTAAATCTTTGAACTAGAGATTAATTTAAAAAGCTTTTTACCATTTTATGCAGTATTGGAGGAATACCTGTGTAAAGTATATATAAATGAGCAATCTCATACTCTTAGAAGAATTTTTGTTTCTTTTGGGGGCTTTTGTTGTTTGTTTTGTTTTGTTGAGACAGAGCTTTGCTCTGTCGCCCAGGCTGGAGTGCAGTGGCACAGTCTCAGCTCACTGCAACCTCCGTCTCCCAGGTTCAAGCGATTCTCCTGCCTCAGCCTCTGGAGTAGCTGGGACTACAGGTGCGTGCCACCACACCCGGCTAATTTTTATATTTTTAGTAGAGACAGGGTTTCACCATGTTGACCAGGCTAGTCTTGAATTCCTGACCTCAGGTGATCTGCCCACCTCAGTTTAGCCACCCCACCTGGCCCCAGAAAAAGAATTTTAAAAGAAATATAAAAGGTTTGTGCTATAATTTTAGAACATATATCAATTTTCATGCATGGAATAAACACAATTTTGTCAAAAGATCCAGAAATTATTAAATAAAACAAAAAAAGTTTAGCAAATAAAATATCCTACACATGAAAATTTGCTTTTTCCCCCAAGTACAGAAAAGAAGCATGTCAGAAAAGGCACAGCATAAGAAGTTATTCTTCCATCATTCCGTTAATCTTATTTTTTATTTATATACAGAAGAGCAAAATAAACAGTGCAGCTTCAACCTACCCGTTGGAGTTTATGTTTCAGGAAAAATGAAATCATGACTGACACTTTGGTGGAATTTCTTATTTTGCTTGAAAAGCAATTGAATATTAAATCATGATTCACTAGTTTCCTAAAATATCTTTTAGTACTCTAGGGGAAAAGTGTAAAATAGCTCACTCTCAGATTTTTAAGAGAACTATGTGTAGTCATTCTCAAAATGCATTTCATGCAAGAGGGCTCTTTTTCTTTTCTTTTTCATATATATATATATTATATATATTAATTTTACTAATATCCTAACAGATTTAATACCCTGTGAAAACTAGAAAGTATTTATAACTGAATAACAGGTATATAGAAACCCAAAGGCAATTACTTCTTGTATAACTATGCCTTAGGCAAGCTTCAAGTTGTTTTTTAGAGCCCGAAGATTAAGCCTACTCAGGAATTTTATTCAGGCACAAAATTTGCATCGTCTACCCTTACATTTCCTGCCTCTCTTCCTTTTGTATCTCTTCAATCCCAATTCTGCCTACCGTTCTCCAACTTGGAAAACATTATCTGGCTACAGCTAACACTGTTAGAAGCCCTGGAGAAGCAGGTATCCCTGTGTCTTCCTGTTTAACAAAATACATTCCCAGCCCAACTGTTTTCATTGCTTTTATGTTCCCTATGCATGTTTTCAATTTAGGCTACTCTGGGAAATATTTCTCTTATTTGGAATGATATTAGTATATAAAATAGGCTAGAATTTCATACCTACTTTTGAATCTCTGAAGATCCTTTTGTTCTTTTCAGGTAAATGTCCACTAACTAGGAATTAATTTGAACTTGGGGTAACTGTTTTCCAAAATAATCAGTCTCTAACTCAAAAGACTTCAGCTCTTAGTTATTAAATGTATTTTTTTCTATTTTTCAAGGATAAATGATGTCTAAAGAGAAATATAAAATATTTGAAAATATGACCATGAAAATAGCAAACATGCTTGAGTGTTTGTCCACAGAACTCAAGGTTTAGCTGAGGGTTTTTCTTGTCATGTAGAAAAGCAGCTTCTTTATAGTTAATCTGTGTAAATTCTGTAGAATTCTGATCAGACACAAATGTTCTATTTTTTACTACCTTTTTTTGGCAGAGTAATAATATATTTCTTCTGGGTCATTTCTAATCTTATAGAAAAGTGGTAAACTAGCCATTGTGAGAGAGAGAGAATCAACTTCAAGCTTTTGAAAAATATTCAGAGTTGAATTATTAGTATTGATAAAATCAAATACCTTCTGAACCCATACTATTTGCATGGCATTCTATTATAGGGTATGAAGTAATGTAAGACATATCCTTATCTTCAATATACTTATAAGTAATTCAGACAATAATATATAAAGGAAACATTTTTAACACAAGGTGCTTCATGATTTAAGAGTTACTGCAAAGTAATTGTTCATTCATTCAACAAATATTTGTTGAGTGCCTACTATGTATTAAAGACTCTGCTGAATGTTGGGTATCTAAAAATGAAAAAAAAAAAAAAGAGTGTCTGTCATCTAGGGAGATGAGGCTAGAGAGTTAGACAGGGATCAGATGATATGAGGTCACAGTAAAGTGTTATCTTTCTTTAGCCTGAGAACTGTGGAAAGGTATTAAAAGTTTTTACACAAGGGATTGGCACAATTAATTGTGTTTTTTTAAAAGATCACTCTAGATAGATGCCATGTGGAAAATATACTGGAGGGAAACAGACAAGGTTATGATGGTGGTAGAGGAGGAGAAAAAGAAGAGGAGGATACACAGAGAAAAGTAGTGAAGTAGGTTTGAAAATTATTTAGGAAGTAAAATCAAAAGGATCTGATGATTAGATAATGAACCTAAAGAAGAAAAGAAGGAACAAATCTGCTCTGATTCCTTTTTAAAGGGTTGAAGACTTGGGATTTTGGCTCATTCAACTGATGACTGATGGGGCTGTTTACAAAAAGAGAACACTGGATGAAGGCTGATTTAAGAGGAAGGTTTTTATGGATTTAGTTATAAACACATTCAGTTTGGAGAGTCTTCAAAACGTTGAAGTTCACATGTCAACTATTCAATTAGAAATAAAATATGGGTCAAGCATGGTGGCTTATGTCTGTAATCCTGGCACTGTGAGAGGCTGAGGTGGGTGGATTGCTTTTGTCCAGGAGTTTGAGACCAGCCTGGGCAACATAGAGAAACCTCATCTCTGCTAAAACTGCAATAAATAAATAAATATGGAAATAAGGGAAAAAGTGTTAAGCTAAAGATAAAATTTGAGAATCATCACCAAATGATTGGTCATAGACCTTCATGAGCTTTCTTATTAGTATATACAGTGGATAATAAAGTGGTTTCGATTTAGGATTCTCTCATTATGAATTAGAAGAATCTGGAAAGGTTTAATGGGGGAGGTGAGCTGAATCATGAAAAACTATAGAATATGGATAATACGAGAGATGAGTAAAATGAATGAAATTGGTAGGCACACGATAAAAATAGAAATAAATAGAAAAGATATTTTTAATTGAAAGTAATGTAAATACTAAGCCAAAGTGGCTTAATCAAAAAAGGAATCCCTAGATTCACATATAACTGAAATGTTTAGGGTATTCCTACTGCAAGCAAATCTCTCTCCAGGAGTGAAACAATAACAGAACCCAGTTCTTCTTTTTCTGTTTCTCAGCTCTGTTTCCTTGTTGTTCACCTAATTTCATGCAGGTTTTCCTCTCATGATCCCAAGATGGCTGCCAGTAGTTCCAGAGGCTGCATTTTACATGCTTATGTCCAGTAAGAAAAACAGAGCTTTTTTTTTTTTTTTTTTAAATAGAATAGGGCAACCAAAGCCTCAGAGTGGAGACCAATTGACCTAATAAGGTTATGTGCTCATTCCTATCATTGCAGGAAGAGGTTGAGATACACTGATTATCTTAAGAAAATTAGAGTGCAACTTTGGAGTGGGGATAAATCCACCCAGCAAACCACCTAGAGCGTTCAGAAAGGGATAGGAAATCTGGAAGCTTTCATATTATGGGGAGAATTAAATGCCAGGTTAAGGACCTTGGACTTTGTATTAGACCATTCTTGCATTGCTATAAAGAAATGCCTGAGACTGGGTAACTTATAAAGAAGAGAGGCTTAACTGGTTCATAGTTCTTCAGGCTTTTCCATAAGCATGGTGCTGGCATCTGCTGGGCTTCTAGGGAGGCCTCAGGAAGCTTACAGTCATGGCAGAAGGCAAAGGGGAGCAGGCACATCACATGGTGAAAGCAGGAGCAACCTTTTTCAAAGCTCGAAGATCTTGGTTTTTGGCTTATTCAGCTGATGACTGATAGTGCTATTTACAAAATGAGAGCACTGGAAGAAGGCTGTGTTTAAGAGGAAGGTTTTTATGGGTTTAGTTATGAACCCATAAAAGATGCCACACACTTTTAAATGACCATACCTCATGAGAACTATCACAAGAACAGTACCAAGGGGATGGTGCTAAAACCATTTATGAGAAACCCACCCCCATGATCCAGTCACCTCCCACCAGGCCCCACCTCCAACATTGGGGATTACAGTTCACCATAGGATTTGGGCAGGAACAAATATACAAACTACATCAAACTTAATTCAATAGACAAAGAGAGCTCTTTGTTTTGAAAAGAATAGGGATCCAATGAGATCAGTGCTTTAAGAAGTACGTCTTAGGGGCCGGGCGCGGTGGCTCGAGCCTGTAATCCCAGCACTTTGGGAGGCTGAGGCGGGCGGATCATGAGGTCAGGAGTTTGAAACCAGCCTGGCCAACATGGTGAAACCCTGTCTCTATTAAAAATACAAAAAAAAATAGCAGGGTGTGGTGGTGTATGCCTGTAATCCCAGCTACTTGGGAGGATGAGGCAGGAGAACACTTGAACCCAGAAGATGGGGGGTTGCAGTGAGCCGAGATCATGCCATTGCACTCCAGCCTGGGGTGGGACTCTGTCTCAAAAAAAAAAAAAAAGAGTCTTAAGGCAATTACAGAACATACTATAGCATCTAAGAAAAAAGAAATAGAGAAATCTATTAAAGAGTCTCTGCCAATACTTTAGGAAAAAGATGGTGAAAGCCTGAACTGTAGTTAAGGAAGAAATATTTATGAAGGGAAGATAGTAGTGAAGTGCTAAATGTGAAAAATAGTTCAGTAAAAAAGAATCCACAAGACTTTGTGAGATAAGAATAATGAACTTTGAGGTGAAACTTAAGTCTCTTACTGAGATTTTGAGTAATGTCATACATAGCTTTGTCACCGAGGCAAAGATGAGAGTCTTCCTTTTTCCTGCTATAATACTGGACCGTCTCCTTCCAAACCAAGCCCTGCGCTAGGCTTTCCATTCCATTCCATTCTGTTTTAATTCATTACCGTCATCTCCTGTCCCATTATTCTCCACATGCCCAAATCTCCTAGGAGTCAAAAAAAAAAAAAAAAAAAAAAAAGGCAAGTTCCAACCTCTGTCAGAATGAAGGCTGTTTTTGACTCTGCATCATGAAACCTTCTCCTTATTGGAGTTAAACAGTAGCTATCATTGCAACCGTTTCAGTGGCACTTACTTTTTAACACATTTTTTGTACATTTTGTCAACCAGAAATGCCTCTATCAGCAAGAAACGACAACTGAATGGTTTACACAGGTAGAATTTCAGGGAAAGCCATTAGTGCTATTTGTTAAGTTGCTCATCCTTCACAGGCCCTATATCTTTGTGTTTCTCTGGACTTCCATTGTCTTTTACATCATGGGGACAAGACAGCTGCTCTATCCCGAAAGCATCATGTCGTCATTCAAGGCAAGCAAATGTGTGAAAGAGAGAAGAGAAGCAGGAATCTGTTTATCAATAAAGCAATATTCTGGCAGGATTTCTTACCCAGCATACTTCTTATAGCTTATGAGCCCAAATGGGGAGCCAAAGTGGGGTCACATGACCACTCTTAGCAGTAAGGAAGAATCAGAAAGTGAACACTTGATTTTCTGTTCTCTATTTGTGAGAGGTGTAGCAAGAAAGAAGAGAGCTGGGCGCGGTGGTTGGCCAAGCAATAGAACCTTCTCTGAGAACTATTGTTATGCAGTGTACTCTGGGTTTGCATGTGTGTATGCTCTTGTCATCTTAGTTTTGACCATGTATTTATCTGTACATTTCATTTCCTCTGTTCTTTAGGAGAGTACTTGCATGGTTGATTACCAATTTTAAAAATAGATGTTTTCTTCTCTTTTTCTATCAGCCACTACCAACTTCTGCTTAACTCATCCAACAAAGATTCTAGAATTTTGGTTTTCCCGAATAGGCAACACATTTTGACTAAAAAGAATATTTTCTTGTTTATACCTAATTATCTTGGCAAGTACTACCCATGTGAAAGGAAATATAGCAAAATTACCAGATGATTCCATGGGGATTTAAAGTATCCCATTTTATCTTTTACGGGGGTGATAGAGCCTCATGTAAAGAAATATTTCCAAGAGACCTCATCAACCTGACTTAGAAATTCAGCTGCAAAATGTAGCACCTGCATATCAAAAATAAAATTAGTAATGATATCACCTGATGCAATGTGTAGAAAAAAATAGTCAATTAAAGCAATAGGAATTCAACCAGAATGCCCTGCAGGCAGCATCATGTAATTCTGACTTCACAATGACATGAAATTTTAAATGACAACTCTGCTAAATCAGGGAGCAGCAAACCCTGGCCAAGTTTAAATTTAGTAACACTGAAAATAACTTTCTCCATAGCAGATTCTCTATGAATTACAGGTGACCGACCACTTCTTTTTCTGTTCTGTTTAGAGATAATCAGATACTCACTGTCTTCAGCATTGGTGTCTTCTATTCTCAACGGCATTTCTGGTGGCCACCCCAGGAGTCTCCCTGACCTGTTTTAAAACCCTTGGAAATTAAGGAGAGAATCCACTACATATATTCCTTTGAAAGTTTCCACCATATATGTTCAAAAATTGCTGAATGAGCACAAGGATTTGAAGGTAAGCAAATTTAGGGGGTACCACCACACATATTTGCATAACTCTTAATGGCATCAAAAGTAATTATATATTTTAATAAAATATAAGAAAGGAAAAGAAACTATTAAATGTAAGAAAACTATCCATGTATGTGTAGTTCCACAGCAAAAAGGGGAAATAAATAAAACATAATGTTTAAAAATTGTTATCTGTCATGTAAATGTAAATACAAGAAGGGCAGAGTAGAAACCTTGATATTTGATAATCAGTATCACATTACAAAGCATTAACATACTGTGGTTCTCAAAGTTTAATGTGCATAGGAGTCACATGAAATTGGGAGGAGGGATCCTTAAAATGCTAATCCCTGGGGATATTTCACAGAAACGTAGATCCACTAGGAATGGGATGTGTCGTAAGAATGTGTATTTTTACATTTACCCACTCACAAGTTATCCTGATGCCTGTGAGTCTGAGGCCTTTGAGAAACACTGAAAGTGACATTCAATACAATCTAGTTCCCATTTTCAAACCTTATGCTAAACCTGAGCTTTTATGTTGGTTGTTTCCTATAGTCATAAGAATAAATAAGGAAGGGGTAATTTTGTTACAGAAGTGCTAAATTGATGCTCCCTTTTTGACTCCCCTAATTTGAGTTATTCCTTTTTAAAGTTCAGTATGATGGGCTAATTCCCAGGTGTCACTATCTCTCTTTCAGAGTGATAGCCCTGTCATTGTTCTCTGTAGCTATTGCTCTGTTTCGTGTAATGTTTCAATTATTTAGATATTTAGGGTTATTGTATCTAATTATAAGAAATTTCTAAAAGATGAAAATAATGAGTTGTTACTAGGTTTGGTGAAGTATTTCTAAATTTTGAGGATTGTGTCTTTTTCTCTTCATTTTGAAAGCTCAGACTTAGATTTTAAAAGAACAAATCTGCTTAATACCTCTTTCCATTACTTTTTTTCTTAGCAAATAAGAACTTATAAATCATGTGATACATTTACGGAAGTTTACATGTACATTTGGTGAATATCACTTTATTGTATTTCTGTTTCCTATATGTCATTTAGCAACTTCATTTTTATAATTTGTAATTTTAAGTTTACAAAAGGTTTTTTTTATTTCAGTGAAAGTGTTTAGTAGGGGCATATTCAGATCTTAAATTGTGATGTTAAAGGTTCAATAAGATATTATTTTTATAGTGAAGGCTGAAGTTTTTAATCAAAATCCTTTTATTGGATTTCAGGCTTATAGACATTTTTTGTCTCTATTAGTCTTTGTGTACACTTGTTCACATTATGTAGAATTTTTTATCCATAACGTATCAAAAGGCAACAATAAACCTTTCATCAAAAAGAAGTATATCTTAATAGTGCCAATTAGCACATATTAGCTATTAGTTTTACATGTAGAGAATTGAATATAGTCATTTGCATAAAATAATAGAGTACTTTTTTCAAGTAATCAAAATTAAAAATTTGCAGTATTGGATTAACTATAATAATGAAGTTTCACATGCACTTGTTATTAGAATTGTGCTCACTAGTAAGATTGTCATACCTGAACATAGCCTAAAATTTGTAGTTCACAAGTTTATCATTGGATAAAATCTCCAAATAAAATTTCATAAAGCTTTTAGTGTAAATCATCTGCAATATTTCAATTTCAGAGAAGCATACCTTTACTCATCTCTCTCTTTCTTTCTTTTTTTCTTATTACTTATTTTTTCTGGAAAAAGGAACAGGTAGAGAAAGAATGAATTGTGTCTTGAAGTGAATCATGTTCATTATCATTGGTGTATTTATCAGACTATGTTTTTAAGTTGCAGTTTCTTAAAGAAAACTTACAATGTAGTTTCAGGGAACCTGAGCAAGACAGTCTCAATACGCAGGAAGCAAAACATGCAACAGAAGAATAAATTACAGAAACTTTATAGAATCATAGAAACATAAAGTTTTAGAGCAGAAATGGACCATTTTGATCTTCTAGTCTGTCCCCTCATGTATAATCACATTTTCTCTTCATATAAAAGTCTCTTCATATAAAAGTTTCTCATATAAAAGTCTAACACAATGAGTAGTAAACAACAATCTGGTTAGGGATGACATCAACAAGGGGAAGTTAAGTGGGTGTTTTTCAATAATGATTTCTTCAATAAGAAAACTAAGGGGAAATTTTTCCTCCAAGATGAACATTGAAGATTTATAGATACCTAAGTACTTAAAATTGAATTTAAAATAATTTGTGTCCAATTAGATCGAAATAATTTTTAGGTATAATTCTTCATTTGTGGAATATTGTAGTGGTATGAAATTCTCCATGTTTTCTTCTTCATTAAACACTGATAATTTCAAATTATGACAATTAATTCCTTGGAAAGATTCTTTATTTCTTGTATCAAATAAGACAATGTACTTTCAAGAATTCTCTAACTATAATAGTTCCATTTGGAGGATAATGTTATATGTTTGGTTCCATTAGTGTTAATATGTCTTAATTCTCTGGTGTAACATACGTTTAGTTTCACCATTATTACAACCAGCTGCGGTTGGCCTACGATTTTGTTCATTCTGTCTGAATCCAAAGTAATTAGCTCTTTAGTTTAATGACAATATTTGTTAATGGGTTTTTAGGGCCAAATTCTGCTGTTCGAGAGTGGGTGGTATATTTGAAGATAAAACCTGGCCCTTATGTTGTAAGCATAAGCTGTGTAATTTTACTTCAAGATGATGGTTTACAGAGTTTGGGGTAGGAAAACTAAATGTGCATTTGTCTGAAGTTTCTCATTTTCAAGAAGCAGAAAATAAAAGTGACAGTTTATGTAGATGAACAGCAAACCCACTGAAAGTTCCCTGATACAGCTATCCTGCATGTGTTATTCTATAGCTAGAATATGGAACACAATGACAATTATCAAACAGGCTTTAGATACATTCTTTTATGTGACAGGACACACACTGAGTTTTTAAAGTGCAGTGCAACAGTTTTGATCATTGTATTTTTGAAGGATTTAGTGAAGTGGAAAGAATCCTTGCCTGGGAGTCACTAGGGTTCAAAGTCTGACTCAGCTTCCTAGTAGCGGCATGACCCTAAGAAAATATTTTCACCTTTGCCTGAACCTGTTTCTTCATCCTAAAATAAGACTTTTACACCAGATGATCCCAGAGGGTCTTACTGGCCCTAAAATGATAAGTCTAACTTGCTTTAAAAGAGCACTATAAAAGGATGGTAGGGAAGATGCAATGACTTGAGCTGACTGAACAAACAAAACAGCAAGTCTACTACTAGAAGGTACATGGGGATATTTTGGCCTTACAAACTTTCCTTCAATGCCTTGTTACTTTTATCCTAGAGTAGAGAAATATTTGAAGGGTTTTATGTAGAAGAGACTATAAGTCATGCTATTGGAAGTTTCAAGGAGATGAATTTTGGCAAAATTTGAAAAAACTTACAAAACTAGTAACAGTTGAGATACCCAACAATGAATAGGATGCCATGGTAGATAATGAATTCACCATCCCTTATGGTACCAAAGGTTTTATGACCTGCCCAACTGCCCTTCAAGGTGTAAAGGCTAGAGGCAAATTTTCTGAACATACTGGAACTTAGGAAATATTGTTATCAAGAGTCCATCTTGAAACAACCATTAGCAACTATTAGAGCCCTTCTTGAAGCAACTATTATCTATCCAGCCAATAAGTGACTATAGAAATTACTGCAAAAAAACTGATTGCAAGCATTGAATATTTAACTCTAGCACTAAATCTAAGATAAATATAGAGATTAGGGTGATGTAATAGAACATAAAAGTATAATGTCCTGACAATGTAAAACTAAAACAACTAACAAAAATTAGGAAAGACACAACAGAAAGAAGTCGGTGTGTGTGTGTGTGTGTGTGTATATATATATATGTATATATATATGTATAAAATAAGTTATTTGATTACTTTATTCTCAATATCAAGGAATCAATGAATATTTTTCAAACTCACAATCAAACTATAGAAGTATAAGCAGATTTAAGAGTACAAAAAAAGATATAAAGGAGCTATTGTTATTGCCCAGAAATAGCTGGTAAAAAATGGAAACAGAGAGAGAACTTTTCCTCTCACACATAATAGGAAAATAGTAAACATTCTAAAGAGATAAATTATCAAGGTTATGAGATTATAGAAATGATATAATTTATTATGTGAGCCTATAAACATTATGAATTAGAAGAAAATTTATATTTTGAAGTTACCCAAAATAGACCATATCATGAAAGATTTTCTCAAATCCTTTGTGACAGTATGTTTCTGTCATATCTTTCACATCAATAAATATAAAAAATACACTTATTTCTTTAAAATATTTTCAAATTGTATCGTAGCATAAAACCCAATTCTAAGTTATACAAGTATACAACCAATAGAAGCTAATTCAAAACTTTGAAAATGAAAGGATAGGCAAAGGTGTACTGGGAAAATGCTATCTAAAGAAATTAGGAATTAAAAATCTTAGTATCAGAAAACATAAAATTTCAGGGCCCAAAAGCATTTACTAACACAAAAGAGGGACTCTATAATAAATGCTGATGGGTATAATACATAATGAAGGTATATGATCTTGAATAAGTAATAGCTTTAAGAGCTACCATAGAAGTTTGTTCAGCAAATAAACTTCTGAAAACATCCCAAGAAATAGAAATAACCCATTTTTTAGGTGGTAGACTAAGTTTAAAAATTCAGCTCCTGTATTATGAAGCCAAATATTTATATTGAAATTTATTTTCAAGACAAAATATTTCTATATCAAAGATAATTAAAACTACTCATTAACCAAAAATTAGGTACTTAACCAGTCACTAAATTTTTTTCATTATCAACAAAAAGAGGTTCCACGTAGCTTCTCTTTTTGAAAAGAAAGCAAGCAAGCTTCCAATAAGGCTGTAAACGTATGCATAAAACTTTTTTGATTTGAAGAAAAATGGAATGTTTGGACTCCCCCTACCCTAAACAGCTATTCTAAACAGCAGGATATAATTCCAGAGTTTCTGCAGTCAAGAGGTTTCTGCTGAGCAGAAATTCTTCTTCAATTTAGGAATGCAGATGATAATAATTTTCCTATCCTTCTCGCAGCAGGTTTCCTGCCTTCATTTTGCAGACTCCTAAGCTCAGTTAAAAACAAATAGGGAATTTCAGTTCCAGGTAACACATTCTTCAAACATAGTCCCATTAACCCAACTTAGTTATCATGCAAAGCCGCTTAGCTTCACTAGTGAAATGGAATACAGTTGAATTGCCTTTCTAATGTAATACCCATTTGTGATAAATGCAAAGTGGTTTATGATGGCAAATTTTGTAGAGCATGAAAACTTATGAGAAAAGAAGCTTATATTTTCTAACCTAAAATTATGAAGAAATGTCATATATGTTGGCATGGGATACTCCTATTAAAATGAAAAAAATATTCAAAAATGAAAATTTAACACTTGGCCTTTATTATATATACCTCAGCAAAAAAAAAATTAAATCGAACTATTATATTTCACAGTAACATTTTTCCTACCTTGCACATTCTTTCTAATTTAAATGAAGTTTCTCTAGTTTAATTTCTTTCCTTCTACTAGATCTCAACCACGTGGCCCAAAATTTCCTTGTTTAGGAAAGTAAAGATTGCTCAAATACATCTTTTGTCTGCTGATACAAGAATAATCTTTTCTGTATAAATGCAACTTAAACTATCTAAACCACACATTACTACAGAGTAGGTCACTAAGACATTGGACTTATCCTTCAAATGAGTAAATTCTAGATGGTAGTTTCCTCAGGTTAGCTAAAATCATATTTGATAAGATGAGTGTCTTAGCTAACATTTTACAGCCACAAACCATTCTATCTTCATTCCTTGCTCAGGTAACTCACTTTGTTCTTCCATTCCTTGCTCTTCCTTCACGAGCAGGGTATATATACACTGTGCCATAGCAACCACATTTCTATCATGCGTCATCAACATAGCCAAATTTAATGACTGATTTTAATAATAGAAAAAGTAAGTTTCCAGCCAAGCTCAATATGAACTTTATAAATGATAGTGGCTTGATGTGAGTGTTCTGATGCAGGAGAGTTGTGCATTGTACAGTGATTTCAGCTGAGAATCAAGACCCATTCCTATATACATTGTAATTCAATGCATTCTTCATTTCTTCATTCATTCAACAAGCATTTGGTTAATAACTACTTTGTGGTAGGCTGTTCTAAGACTTGAGATACATCATTGAATGAAGCAGACGACAAGCTCTATTTTCATGGCCTTGTTGAGGCATGGCAGGCAATAAAAAACAATTATAACAAGTAAATGAATTATGTGGCATTATGGACTACAATAAGGTATAAAAGAAAGAAAACCTAAATAAAACATAAAATGGATAAGAAACAATATGACAAGATATGAGACGTGAGATCGGATCCTATACTTTGTTCCAGTTCTTCTGGCTGATGTTTTTCAATGTTCATTCTTGTTGTCTTAAAATCAGAATATGTGAATTAGATTTGGAGAGTGGAGTCTTTATTAAATGAGTGTTGCGCAAATTTTCTTTGTTTAATAATCAGCTTCTCTACATTTGATATTCATACTTGAGATACTTACAAGCTCTCCCCAAGCAATACTGTGGGATTTCCAAAAGGGTCAAACAATGAAGAATATTAAATTTAAATTTATTTTCTTTTTCCCGATAGTTTACAACCCATGGAGTAATTTTAAATTATTATAGTATCACTATAACTGTAATTCTTGTCAGTGATGTTAAGCAAAGCCTAATTAGTTTAAAAAGATGCAAACATCAGCTAAGAGTATGTTAACTTTTAGAATCTACCCGGATTTTAAAGGTATGTCATTATGGAACCATTAGATAAAATTCTTACTTGATTATCAGAAAAATGAGGACTGAACTTTACATTTGAATATATATTTTTAAATATTTTATGTATCTTTTTAAAATTATCCATTTTATAAGTACTTTTCAGTAAAATTTAGTAAATTTAGAACCCATGGAATAATTTTAAACTATTATAGTATCACTATAACTGTAATCCTGGTCAGTGATGTTAAGCAAAGCCTAATTAGTTCAAAAAGATTCAAATGTCAGGTAAGAGTATGTTAACTTTTAGAATTTACCTTGATTTTGAAGGTATGTCATTATGGAACCATTAGATAAAATTGTTACTTGATTATCAGAAAAATGAGGACTGAACTTTAAATTCGAATACATATTTTTATGTACTATATGTATTTTTTAATCACCTATAGTAATTTTTATAGGTAATTTTATTAAAAATGTAGGTAATTATAGTAAAATGATGCCACTTTTAGACTTATTTTTATGTTAATTACCATGTAAATTCTTACCTACCAGTCCTGTAGCATCACAGACTGATTGAGCTGGAAGTAATTTCAGAATTTCTAGTCCAACTGCCTTTGTTTGACAGGTGTGTGAAAACTGAGTTCCAGAGAGGGAAAGTAATTTGTCCAGGTTAGATGGTGTGTGCAAGTCCCTGTGCCAGTTAATAATAGAACTGAGTTGGAAAGGAAACCTATTCTTTTAAATCCCAACCTAGTATGTTTTTTTGTAATTGACTCTACTTGAGATTTTTCATTGCCTATTATCAAAATAATGTTTCCCTTAAAATTAAGGAGAATTGACCATATCTTTGCATTTCTTAAAGTTATCTAATTATTGAGTGTGCCTAAGCTCCCTGAAATAGCCTCAGTTGTTTAAAAACCTCTTCAGCACAACTGGAATTAGACTTTTAAAAAAATGAGAATGATCTTATCTACAGCCACACCACCCTGAACGTGTCCAATCTCATCAGATCTCAGAAGCTAAGCAGGGTCGGAGCTGTTTAGTATTTGGACAGAAGAATGATCTCTGGAGATTTTTTTTTCTTTGAAAAATAAATGAAATTATTTATGAAGCCATGAAATGACTTACCATATATTTATCAATATATGGCACAAATAAAATACAACTGTATTATTTTTCAATGAATTATGAAAGAAGAAAATACTAAGTAGTAAAGTGCTGAGCTTGGAAAATAACTTAAGTAACGTCTGTGCCCTGGGTTCCTCCGAGTCCTTAGGAAGTGATACAGAGTCATTTGAAAACTCTTTGAAACCTCATATGGGAAAATTACATAACTCACTGGAAAATTTCAGTAGATTTAATAGAGCAGAAAGTTAATATATTCAAAACACAAAGAAAAGTATAAAAGACTGTCTGCTAAGCCTAGGGAGTTTCATATGCAAAAAATTAAATAATTAAAGCAACATCAGTTATTTTCAAAGACAGTTCTGAGTTTAAGCATTATAATACATCATAAAAAATTATGCATTTGGTGCTTATAAATGGATTCTAAATTTCCTTGAAATGAAAGATAAAACCATGGCTTTATATAATGGCAAAATGAGGCTTTCTCATTGCACAGAATAGAATTTTCGTATGTATTTCCAGGCATACCATTTATTAAACCAATATAATTTAAATTGTAAGAAAATTTAAAAATATGTATAACTTTAGAGACAGGGCTCTAAATGGTTTGATAAAGAATGATTATGGAAGAAGCTGTAAACAACTAAAGTCCTGAAGACTTAATAAGTACTTTATGAACTTTTCAAGGTTTTCATGGTTTTTCTGGTAGTGAATGAAATAGAAAAATAAATAATTCAACCAGCTTTTACTTTGATTGTTGTACATTTTTGAATCATATAAAATTAAGAAGCTAAAAACTGGATCTTCTACCTGTTCCAGTACACATGGTACCATTCAATTAAAGTCTTCTATTGATAAGTAAAGCTCATTGAAAATCACAGTTTAAAACTACATCTGATTCTTATTAATGTGATGCCCAATTATTAGCATTCTCGCATTAGGCATTTTAGACTAATTGTTTATTATTTTCAATAATAACAAAAAATGCTTAAAAAATACAAAGCTAATATATTTCACCTTACCAATGAAAGAAAAACTGTGAAAATAACTAATTTACGCTTATTTTTGATGGCCTGAATTCATTTTGTCTGAAGCCCTTAGTGATGTCCTTGGAAATGTTTATCCCTCTCCTTTCCCTCTACCCCTTCCCCCATGAATATGTATGTGATTTAGAAGGCAACATTTTTTTTGCATATGCTTTTCCCAAAGGAACTTTATTTTTCATTTTTAATCACTTCATAGTTGAATTGTCCTCTGATCAACAAGGGGATTAGTGGGCCACACGTCCCCTCTACGTAAACCTATATGGTCCAAGAGTGTTGTATTTTGCCTCTTGGGCTGAGTAAAATCGAACCTACCTTTGCCTTTCGTTGTTTTTTCACACATTATGTAAATTGGTAAGAATAAAAATAATGTGATTGGAAGTACAGCTTGACAGACAATATAGTGTAATATAATATCCAAATACTTATGAGGTAGCAATAGTGCCTTGGGGCACCACATTTATTGTGAATGAGGATTTGCATTTACACATTTTTCTCTATGGTTTAGATTGCATACTAAATTGCTGTGGGAAAGTAGAACTGTTTTTAAAACATTCTGCTTAACCACTTTACGGGTAACAAAGAAATGCCAAATCCAGTTTCAATCTAATTTGGGAAGTAAAGTACAGAGGCACAAGAAGTCACATTACACAAGAGTTAATAATAAATAGAAATTTCTGTATGGATTGACATGACCGTTATAAATTATCCTTCTATATTTCATATCTAAATAAATTCAGTGTGTGCAGAAGTTTAAGCAAAAAAAAATAGATTTAAAAAGTTTTATTCATGATTTAACAGCAAGAGTATATTTCCTAATGATTTAGACTTTGGACATAAAAAAGTTACGTGTTTGATTCTGAACAGGGACCAAGTAATACAACTCTGATTCTAGGCCTACTCAGGGAATGGCATTTTTCATTTCTTTAGGCTATGCTGTTTAAATACCAGCTGTTTAAATACCAGTTCACTCCCAGCTCATCATAAAACCACATCATTCCTTCGAAACCTCGCACCTACTGATGAGCTTAGTAACCTTTCAACTAAGTTTTTCAGTTTTCCAAAAGAAGCAAAATTTTTAACATTGAGGTTTTGAGTGTTGTTTAGTTTCTGAAGAGAATTATTCATACCAATATATGTTTGTGTAAATATCAAAGACCTTTGTCATTGAAACCGGAACTGCTTAGTTGTTCAGGTAACAAAATGAAAACATTCTTTTCCATTTTGTTTTGCACCTTAGCACTGAGAGTCATCACTTACAGGAAACAATATATTTAAATTTGTATGTAGACCGGGCACGGCGGCTCACTCCTGTAATCCCAGCACTTTGGGAGGCCAAGGTGGACAGATCATCTGAGGTCAGGGGTTTGAGACCAGCCTGGCCGACATGACGAAACGCTGTCTCTTCTAAAAATACAAAACTTAACTGGGCATGGTAGCAGGCACCTGTAATCCCAGCTACTCAGGAGGCTGAGGCAGGAAAATCACTTGAACCTGGGAGGCGGAGGTTGCGGTGAGCCGAGATCATGCCACTGCCCTCCAGCCTGGGTGACAGAGCGACACTCTGTCTCAAAAAAAAGAAGAAAAGAAAAGAAGAAATACGTATGTAGTTTAGTGTTTGTTAGAATCATACAAGATGGTAACTTAAATATTTAGGCTAACACTAAACTCATTTTAATGCAAGGAGAGTGAGGGAAGTGAGTCCTACTTTTTCCAGGTTAGTGGTAGAGCCATCTGTGGCTGAGTTTTCTGATAACATACAAGGCAGTATAGAATAGTGATTATGAATGTGAGCTCTGGAATTGGATGGCCTAAATTCAAGTCCCCACTTCTGCTACTTACTAGCTGCGTGACCTTGGACACCTTCAGTTTGCTAAGTCTCAATTTCCTCATCTGTAAAATGCAGATGATAACATTGCCAACATCTTAGGACTATTGGAATTAAAAGAGATGTACTTTACATTGTAAACTACATTGTAAGGCTCAGTAGATATAGACTGTTCTCATTTGTGCTATTCCAAATGGTCTCTCTTGTTGTTCCAAAACGGAAATCTTGCCATGAACACTTTGAACTCCGATTGCTGCTTCATTTTCATTGTTTTCATTGACTTGAAAATGAAGAAACTGTTAATATACAACTTTATATAATTATATAACTATATATGAATAGTATATACATATGCATATGCATATATTGAGTTGTGAAAATATTCAAGTGAGATTGTTTAATAGAATACTTTTATTCTCAGGATAGTGGTTGCTTTAAACCTGCAGCTTTGGAAAAGGATTTAAATGGCAACCTAATGACTTTGTCATCATAACCACATAAAAGATCTGGCAAGATGTGTAAATTTGGCCATATGGGCATGGTTGGCAAGACCTTTGAGTTGAAATTGAACTCACCCAACAAGTTGTTTCATCAAAACATTGCCTGGAAATGTTTTTATCTTACTACATGGTGGTTGGCTTTCTAGCTAAATCCGTTAGTAAATGGAGAATGTGGCCAGTTAGAATAGTATGAAGCAGGAGATTCGGTTCATCCAAATTGTTGAGCAGCTGGAGCAAGTGAGTCATGTTCAACTGACACTGGACAGCTGTCCGTCAGCTCATAATCATGAGAAGAGCTTTATGAAAAAGCAGCTGGCTTCAGCACTGCAGCATCATCAGAGAAATGCAACTGCCTGAAATAACCCAAACTTTCCTCCCATCCTTGCCTACCCTGAGAGAGCTTTAACCTACTGTGGGCAGCCATGAAGTCCTTCCCCAACTAAAACCATGCAACCTTCCATCAAGGAAGGTATTCTTTAGGTGTCCTGCACTTTCAGTTTTCTTTTCCTTTTTTTTTTTTTTTTTTTTTTAAGGAGGACGATTCTGTTCTCTATCTCTGGGTTTTTTTCCTGAAGGTTTTCTGAGTCAGAATAAGAAGTTCATCAGAAACCATTTTGATGGAATAAACTAGCATGCCTTCACACATTAGCTCATTCTCTAGTTCACTTTTTTCAACTTCCTGTAGATAGTAAAGCAATGAATATGCAATGAGAGGATATGTGTGTCTATATGTATGTCTACTGTAGTGTAAACATGTTGATGAGTGGAATTGTTCTTTTAGCAAAGATTAAAAGTATCACTAGAATGCCTCCTGATTGCCAGCAATGAAGCTTTGTTTACTATTTTGGGACCACAGAGTATAAAAAAATTAACAGCCTGTATCATAACTGAAGTTGCATGCATTTATGATATGCTGGTTTTATTTGTGCATTGTTGCAATGGGCTTTGCCAGATTGCTGAGAAGAGACTGCTGCAAGTTAACAAGTCACAGGGCTGCCTGAATGATTTGATTTACTCCAGGGTCTAGCCAGTGCATTCAGCTTTATTTGTTAACCTAGCAGAACATTATTTATTAATGAGTTCTTCATGCTTTATTAAACCTAATGTCAAAACACCTCTCTGGGACCCTACTAGGCATGTTTCCTCTTTGTGGTAAGGTCTTCCAAAGAAAATGAAAAATTATGCAGCAGAGCCGCAGTTAAAACCCAATAGATACCAGTTCAATTGTCCTTGATCCTGTCAGATGGTATTTCTGAATCTTTGTGAAAGATCAGAATATGATGCAGTATGGAACTGAAATTAAAGAGTCCGCTCCTTTAGATGTCAGTAATTAGATCCCACCAAAATGAAACAAAGCTTCTGTGGCCCCAGAAGATGAGTGGACTCATCAGCGGTCACAGCTAACAAATTCAACAGGAGGTGAAAAGTACAGATGCAGTCTGTACAACAGTAATGAGGAGGTATAGGCTTATGCAGATATCATAGTGATTTGAGATTAATAACAATGTGAAATAACTAAACACAGCTGTGGCATAGGGGCAATAGACTCTATTCTGAATATACCACCGAGTCTGCTGGCATATAGCAGCAGGGGCCTGTGGGAAAGGAGAGGAAGCCTTGATGGCCAGGAGGACAACCAGTGGGTATGACAACATACAAAAGGCAAAAGGCATGGAACTGTCAGCTGAGGATTCTCCTGGCTTCCTGGGGGAGGGGTGGGACTCAATAAGGGCAGAAGGGTCATATCCATGGGGAAATCCAGGCAGCAGGGGGATATAAAAGGGTAGGTGAGTGTTGACACCCTGGTTTAAGGCATCATGACACACTCATCAATCACTTGTAGGGAGAACCAGAAATGGAACCAGCCAGGGTTCGGGGTCCCATGCAAGAAGACTCGATTTCTCTGTCCTGAGTTTTTTGTTGCTGTTGTTTCTTGTTTGTTTGTTTGTTTTTGAGACAGAGTCTCGCTCTGTCACCCAGGCTGGAGTGCAGTGGCGTGACCTCGGCTCACTGGAAGCTCCGCCTCCCGGATTCATGCCATTCTCCTGCCTCAGCCTCCCGAGAAGCTGAGACTACAGGGGCCCGCCACGACGCCTGGCTAATTTTTTGTATTTTTTAGTAGAGACGGGGTTTCACCATGTTAGCCAGGATGGTCTCGATCTCCTGACCTCGTGATCTGCCCGCCTCGGCCTCCCAAACTGCTGGGATTACAGGCATGAGCCACCGCGCCTGGCCCTGAGTTTTTATCAGGAAACTACAGGACAGAAACTAAGGTTTAGAAATAATAGGGAGTAATTACTCTATCTCAGCAGTCTGTGCAAGTGTCCAGGACCTATCCCTGTCACAGGATACATGAGGTCTATTGGTAGTGAGGTCCAACAGCAAGTCATGCTAGATGCTGGGACTGAGGCTGTATCTGCCCTTTCTATTGGCCACCAGGTTTCCGTGTGCCATGATTAGCTTAAGAGTTGGAAGCATCAGTGATTCTTGTTCTGGGGCCTAGAGAAATTGGGCTCAGAAATAGTGTCTGAAAAGAGAGCTGTCTATTTTATAATTTCTCAGTCTTGCTCTCTACCTTTTGTAACAGCTAAAATTCTGTGTGGCATACAACTCAGTATTTAATTATGCAGATTTTGTTACTGTCCTTTCTAATTGTTTCTGACGTGCAGTTAAGGAGTAATTATGAGCTCCTATCATGTGCTGGACACATTGGGAATTAAAAACGTGTCTCAGTTACAAATCTTACGGGAAACTTACAACAGAGTGAGGAAATATACATGTCCAAATGTAAGGCTATTATAAGTTAAAAAGTTGTCAAGGTCATGAAAGAGTAAAAAAGGCTGGGGAACTGATACAGTTTGAAGGAGACTAAGGAGATGTGACAATTAAATGCAATGTGGGATCCTGAATTGGCTCCTGGACGAGAAAAAGTACGTTGCTGGAAAAACTGGGGAAATTCAAATAAACTGGAATGTTTAGTTAAAAGTTATGCAAGATACTAACATTGGGAGAAGCTAGTTAAAGGGTATAACAGGAACTCTGCAACTTGTCTGTAAGTCTACATTTATTTCAGATTAAAAGTTTGAAAAGTGATAAATGCTATAGGGAAGATGCAGATGACTATCTTTGGATGTTTGAGAAAGAAAGCTTTACTTCAGTTGGCGAAATAAAGCTTCATAAAGAGGCAGTTAGATATCCAAAGGTAAGATAAGAGACATTTCCTGGGACAGAAAACAGAGTGAATGAAGGCTTAAAATCAGGAAAAGGGAGAACTTCTCTAGGAAAGAAAAACAGAATAAGTAAAATGAAGAGCATTGTAGGCCTTGAGGAAGAACTTAAGATACAATTTATAGGTATAGAGAGAGGCGAGAACATGTAGAAAGATTAGTAAGCAATTTGATTTGCTAGAGTTCACCATATGTGAACTGAGACTGAGTGGGGATCAAAGATGGACTGGGGATCGTAGAGATAAAATAGTGAAAGATTTTGAATACCAAGTTAGGAGTTTTTCATGCCTCTCCTATGCAGCAAGATATCCCTGCACGTGTTTTACCTTGTCCTCTAGGAGACTATGGATGAGTATGATAAAACTGGGATTGTACCTTATCTTGAGATACCTGGGGACAGGTATACAGGAGGAAATATCTTAAATTGGAATGTTACAAAGAAAAGGGAGGAAGCTGCAGAGAATGCTTTAATCTGAAAGCCAGAAGACAATACTGTACCTGGGAGAAAGGTTAAAAGTGATAACAGACAGGAGGAAGGGAAATACTAGACCGAGAAAGGCAGAGTCCCTGGTGAAGCCCACCCTCAAGTCTGGACCCACAGCCCAGAGTGAGAACATGCCTTCCTGTTTTCCTGCCCAATGTTGCCCTTTCCAAAACTAGCTTTGCCTGCCCTGCCCACCCCCCCACCCCCGCCGCCATCCTGTACCCATAAAAACCCCAGGCTCTACTGGCAGCAGAGCAGCAAAGAAGGAGAGAAGAGGAGAGGAGAGGAAAGGAGAGGAGAGGAGAAGAGAAGCAGCCGGATGTCAGAAAGAAGAAACAGCTTGACTTCAGAAGGATGGCTTGACGGCAGGACTTCGAAGAAGAGTTCAACCAGGGATGGCCGAACTCCAGGGGAAGGCCACATTCCCAATCCATCCCCTTTCTAGCTCTCCATCCCGCTGAGAGCCACTTTCATCGGCAATAAAATCCTCTGCATTTACCATCTTCAATTCATTCGTGTGACCTGATTCTTCCTGTATGCTGAACGAGAGCTCAGGATACAGAAGGCTGTCACATTGAGCTGTTAAACACTTAAGCCATTTGCAGACAGCAAAGCTAAAAGTCCTGTCAGCACCCAGAAGCACTCGACCTAGCCCCTGCATCCACTCACCTGCATTCTCCCCCTCCCATGAGGGGTTGAGGGTTGCAGGCTGAGTACACAAACCACCCCTTTCTCGAGTCCCTTGAAGGGGTCAAGGGAGCTATCCCATTTCAAAAGAACTTACTAACTAGAGTGAAGGCTCTTACTAACCTACTGAAACAGGCAAGTTAAGAGTGTTGTAAACACAGGCAATATATTTAGAGTTAACTGCTTTAAATGTTTTCAAGAGATAAAATGGAGAGAGCTTTCTTTGATAGAATTGCAAAAGTAAATATGTCTAAGTTAAAAAGAGGACTATTAAAATGCTAAATAATACTGGGAATTATCTAAATATATAAAAGCATTTATGGTCTAATTAATGCTTTTTTTAGTAGGGAATAGTAAACTGCAACTGATGTTTTGTTTTCTCCACCAGGATCTATAGAATATGAATGTTGGCATCATGGTGTTAGGGTTCAAAAGGAGGAATGATAAATTGGAGGAGTGCTCATTACTCTGGGGCAGCAAGTGAGAAAAGAGCAATGAAACATCAACATCACCATGTATCCATACATCTCCCAACTGAATGGTAGAAGCTCTCTGTAGAGAAAATATATTAGGAATTTGGAATATCCATCATCACTATGACTACAACTTTGCAGAAGGCCAGCCTGCCCTTGTTGAAGAAAGCTCTGTGTATCCTAGAGAGGAGACTCCCTGTGGTGATAATGATCCTATTAACTCCCAGTCAGTGTCTACTAAGGAGCCTGGTTATAAGTGAACAGCATTATCTGTTAGCAAGCAGGGACTCCATTAACACAAACCCCTTTAATCGGGGATCCAGGAGAGGCCGTTATAGACCACACCCACAGCCATGCTTGAAATATTGGACTCTGGTTGCCAGTTCTCACAAAATCATTCCAAAGTGTGACAATATGTCTTTCTATCATATTTCCCACGCTGTTGCAGAACAATGTGGGGCACATAACATGTGCACATGTTATGTTACTTGAGGATATTTTTCCCATTCATTATGTTTTAGGCATTAGCAATTACCTTACATGATCTTTCAATAATTCCAAAGCTTCTGAGTATTCAGAGTCTATTTTGAATTCTATTTGATTCTTCTTGCTTAGTCTGTTATGCCAAGTATTTTCTGTTCCACTATAGTATCATAAGTGGAAACAATTTTCTGGTCCTTCTGTGTAATTCAGGAATATATTAATGAAAGCTGGTTTTAATACATTTTTCCCTGATATTTATAAAGTTAAATGCTTGTCTTAGTAAATGGAGTCTTTATATTAATAGAATATGGCATAATTTTAGGAAATATATTCATGAGTCTCATAAAAAATTCCTAAAGTTACTAAAAAGAAAAATCATTTATATAGCCATCATATAAAATGTTTGTATAATTTCATCTTTAATTTTATTATTTTGAAATGGCTTTTAGAATGAGTCATAGGAACCAGTGGCTCTCTGGAAATAAAACTTACAGATGTCATGAAACTGAGGAATAACTCACACAATGGAAGTTAGGATCAAGACTGAGAAAGATCTGTATTGTCTACAAAACTGGGCTAAATCCGAGGAAATAAGATGAAGTGGAAATAAATGTAAAGTCCCATTCTCCAATTAAAAATTTAAAAAGTAAATTGGGAGGAACTTAGAAAGAAAAACATATATGAAAGATTCTGGGCATTCATTTAATAATTAACTCAGTATGAGTTAGAGATGTGATGTAATTGCCTAAAAGCTCATATGATATTAGATTATATTTGTAATAAGAATGTGTCCAGCATGACAACCTGTCTTACTCTAGGTTGGTCACATCTGCAGCCATGCCTAAAATAGTACATTATGTTTTGAAAGCTGCACTTTACTAAAGCAGAGACAAAATGTGTTCAGAGTACGACACCTAGGATTATAAAAGGGTTGAGGAGTAACCTGAAGGAATGGGAACCTTTGGCCTGGAGGAGGTAAGATATAGTGCGGGACTGAAAACTGTCTTCAATATTTGAAGGCTGACTTGGAGAATATGGAATTTAGACATAGGATAAAAGAGGGAGGAAAGTGTGGAATGGTATGTAAATCTTGTCTCAATTTACGTAGAAATTTTATAACTATGACCAAGATGTCTGGCAAGTAGCAGTTGTCCCTGAATTGGGCAAAGGCCAATCACTGCTCATTGCAAATGCTGAGCGAGCTATATCTAAATGCAGTTGGTCTGAGGGAACAGAGCGCCTTGTCCTTGGTACCTTCTAAACCTAGATGTGAATGACACAGAAGTGTCCCAGACCTTAACTGGGTATAGTACATGCTCTTATGGACTATAATGCTGTTATGGTCCATTTGTCTCTTGGAATTGTAACAAAATATCAGTTTTGCGTTCATAGTAAGCCATTTAATGCAGCCCCTGTTAATCCAGTTCATATTAGTTGATGTTCACATTGCCGCTGCTTAAGCTGGAGAATTGCTAACAGTTTTCTTGTCCATTTTTTTCAGAAACCAGAGCAGCTGCTACAATAGCTAAAATAAGCTAAAATCCCTTAAGACATGAATTGTGATCACAGATTTTTTAATGCATTTTTTGTTCATATAATTGAGGTGCAAGTCTACAAGAGGCTTTTGCTTTCAAATTATGTAATGAAAATGTAGAATATACCTAGAGGGGCACACAGATGAATGGAGCTACAAAATCACTACTGCTCATATGGAATTTTTATTTCCTAATTTCAGTTTGTAATTACTACTAATAATGAATATTTTGTCTAAGTGTTTTTGCAACATTTCCATTTTATTTCATCTGGTTGATTTACAATAGAGTATTTACATTTTTTGCCTTGGATGACATATCAATTTTGTTACTTTGGCCTTTGACAGAAAAATCAAAGGCTATGAACAACCTGGTATGGTGTCAAAATTCTATTTGAGTAATAATTTTAATAGATTTTTTTAAAAAGCCCAAGATACATTGAAAGTTCACCTTATGCTATTGCCTGAGAATTTTCTCTTTCTATATTACCCTGAAAGGAGAACAAACTTGAAGTTTATGCTACTGTGCAGCAACATACACAAGCATTCATATGTGTGTGTTTGTATTTTCACTCCCTTTCTTCCCTCTCCTCCTTCTCCCATTTCTTTTTTCCCCCTTCTGACTTCCAGTCATTCACCCAAGATATTTGAGGTTGTATTCTTTAACTGATATGGGCTATTTATTTCTAACCAACTTAAATTAATAATTGCATGCCAGTTTCTACTATAAGGGATAGCAAAATAAAAATTGGAACAGTTACAAGTAATTTTCATCTTCTGCTTAATGGCTTTCTTTTTATTAAAATAAGCATCCAGAATTTGAATACCAAATCATTTATTCTAACACTGCTTAATGAGTTGGTGAGAAGATAAGCAATACTCAATAGAAAAGCTGAAAGAATACAGGAAGCAAAAATGTAGGAAGAAGAAACTTTAAAAAAAAGAGAAAATTGGGTCAGAGGAAAATAATCTTGAAAATTATGCACAGGAACATTGTTAAAAAAAGAAGGTATAAAAAATACACAAGTTTTTTTTTCAGTAATAAAAAAGGAATTCAAAATGCACATTTTTTAAAAATTTAAAATATATAATTAGTAATTTCCAAAACAAAAACAGTGCCAAAATTTAGCATATACTTAATGAAACTTTGCTTAATTGAATTGAATTGACTGTAGAGAATGTACAGTCTCACTGGCAATGCAGAATGTAAAAAAGAACATTATACCCATTTTAGTTTGGCAATGATGAAGTGATTCTGAAAACCTGTACAGCCCAGATTCCACAGCCCCCACACCTCATAATTCCAATTTAACTAAACTAAAATCTGTTCTTTACATGCCAGCAATTGTTATGATCCCTTGTGGATTTAATTCCTATCCTTCTTGTTTGGCTTTGGCTACATTCATTGTATTCATTGTCCAGGAGTATTTAGTGAGCTTATAGTATAGCCCTATAAGCACTATATTTGGGAATAAACACATAACCCAAGACAAACCCTAAACTTTAAAATAGCTGCATCATGATTTACAATGAACAAAACACCTTGCATAAAATTGTATAAAGACTAGTTAAAGCAGGCATTATCATCGCCTTCTCAAAATTGAGAGAGCTAAAGCTTAGAGACATCAAAAGACTCATCCAGGGTCACTGAGTAAGTAAAGGAGACAAGAATGTTTCTTTCCTACAATGCAATACCAACAAACGTATCTATAGCTTTTATTAGTCTATGGACCAGTCAGATTCAGAGTCAACACGGCAATTTGAAAGGATGGGGTCTCCTGGTGGGTTGCACACTCGCCCCTGCAATGATCCTCTCTTCAGTTCTCATAAGCAATATGATTCTTTGTACTATTCTCCCCCAGCTAGGAAGCATTTGGCCTTGATCTTATTGGTGGTCATGAAGATTAAATGATACCATTGGCATTTAGTACTCAGGGTCAAGGGACAATAATTGTCTGGGTGAATGACCAGTGCCCACAATGAAGAGTTCTTCAACCCCAAATGTGGACAGTGCCTATGTTGAAAGCATGTTAGAGGTGAATTACAAATAGTGAATTATGATGTGTTTTTAAAAATTAGGCCCTCATAAACTAAAATTGATGATTATCAGAATTTATTGAGAATGTGCCTAAGAATGGGCCACCAACACTCAGAAGCTCCCGCACATCCACACAAAACATTGGGGTGTCCCCAGTTTTTAGAAGAAGCATTATCAGTGTCTCAATGATTAAGTTTTCAGTTGGCTAGGGTTTTTAATTGCTACTATTTCTAGTTTTAATTCATCATTATCTACTTAGGTTATTATGAATTATTTGGTTAACCGTGAAGTATTTAGTGATCCCTACTTTTGTGAGTGATATTTTTGGCCTAACTTAGAGTAACTATACTGTAGTAAGACATGGGATGTATTGTGGTTCAAAGAGGGATCCCTCATACTTCCATCACTAGAGTAGATATATGCACAAACTTCCCTCAGAATTACACAGCATAGTATGATATAGAGTAGTATAGTACAGCACAGTATAAGACATATGGTATAGAATGGTATAATTGTATTACATAGTAGTAAGGTATGTTAATAGTATAATAGTACTATAGATAGTACAATATAATACAGCAACAGTATAATATAGTTAGTAAGGTATTATGTATCACCAAGATTTTTTTTCATTGGAAAGGTGTAAAAGACAAATGGGTGGTGGAGGCAGGGGAGTCTTTTGTCCAACCAAAGTCAGTTAAAGGAGAGAGAGTGAGAGAGAGAGCCTGAGTTATAGAGCAGGATAATCTGAGTTTGGACTTCTCGCTGAGAATGCTTGGCATGAAACAGTAGGGATGAGCCTTCTTCACCATGACTGTCTTTAGGGGAATCCACTAGGCTGCTTTAATGCTGCTCTTTATGCTTCTCTATTTATAATGAAGTGCTGTGAGACCCTGTAGCAGAGATAGTATTGTTTTTTGTTTCAATATCAACTGGTACTTTTTCTCTACAATGAAAAATGTTTTGTCCATAATATATATCACCTCGTCTCTGGTTTTATTGTTGAAAACCACCTGACTTGCGCTCCTTTTCTTTTCAACATTTTTTATTAAGAAAATATTTGGAAGGAAGCAATAATACTAAATTGCAGAATTACAAAAGGGCAGCTTATACAGCTAAATTTTAAGATACTCTGAGGGACAAAGAAATAAAGCCACTGATGCTGGGTAAGAAAAATGTGTGACAATGGAAGTATGCAATGTGATTTACTTGGCTGGCTACCATGTAGGAGGAATAAATTCTATAATCTTGCCAAAACCTAAGGGAAATGTGAATTGAATAGCAATAAATAACCTTATTGGAAACAGTTGAATGTGATATACTGTATCCTCTAGCCTTAATACATGAAAATTTCTCATTGATTGCAGCATCAGACTCAAGTAGACTGAAGATGGGGCAATTTTTAATGTACTCCACAATGTCCCTTCTGTTCCCTGCCACAACCTTCTCAAACTTGATGAGTTAGAAGGTCAGGTTAATCTATGTATGCAACTCCAGGCTTTTTGGCCTCTTTCAGGATTAAATAAAACTTATAGAAAATGTTTTTCTCTGTTCCTTTCATTTTGTTGTTCAGAAGCCATTCTATGTTTATAAATACTGTATGTTTAGTAACATTTTAATTTCTCTTATTCGACTAATGTTTTAAAGGTATGACCACTTTAGAACATTTTCTTATTCAACCCTCACAGTATTGCTGTGAGCTAAAAGAGAGTATTATTTTTCTTGCATGTTTACAGTTGAGAACATTCAGGCTTAGAGTGTTATGTGACTTGCTCAATCATATGTAGCAAGTAAGTGGCCAATCTGGGGCCAGATATCTGGTTTCTGCATCCCAAAACTGAGTTAATAAGAATTTTTTCATGTGAATGATTATAATTTATGATAGTTTTATTTCTGCTGAAATGTCTAGTTATACCATATTTTTATTACTGAGCAATGTTATAGATGAATAAGATGCAATTTGCTAGCTTCATTCAGACAGTTTCTCACTTATTTTAAAAATGTGAGTATCTATCTGTTTTGTGCATCAGGAGGAAAAAAGAAAAAGAGATACAAAAACTGCCCTCAAGGAGTTTACAGTCTAGAGGGGAAGCAAATAAATAAATGTGTTCACTGCAATACCATAACAATTTGTGTAGTACAATAAAAAATACATTTGGTCTTTGTCCTTCCTCCACCCCCAATAAAGCTCCTAAAAACTGTTCGAATTTCCTGAGTGATAAGGGTGTCTTTTCGTCTGTTAATTAGATGACTCAAGAGTGAAGAGGGAGCAGGAAGGTCTAGAAAAATGGAATAGAAATAGAGAACCCAGAAATAAATGCAGGAATTAGAGCAGGGGTCCCCAACCCCCTGGTACTGGTCCATAGCCTGTTACAAACCAGGCCACACAGCAGGAGGTGAATCGTAGGGTTGGGGGTTTGGGGTGGGAAAGTGAACATTACCTCCTGAGCTCCACCTCCTGTCAGATCAGTGGCAGCATTAGATTCTTATAGAAGCATGAACACTATTGTGAACTGCACGTGTGAGGGATCTAAGTTGCCTGTTCTGTATGAGAATCTAATGCCTGATGATCTGAAGTAGAACAGTTTCATCCCAAAACCATCCCCAACCACTACCCCGAGTCCATAAAAAAATTGGTCCTTTTCACAAAAGAGGTCCCTGCTGCCAAAAAGGTTGAGGACTACCAAACTAGAGAGTTAACCCTTTCAGCCCCACCAGTTGATGTCCAGGGAGCGGGGAAGGGCTGGTGATTGAGTTAAATCATCAATGACCAATGATCTCATCAATCATGCCTATGAAATGTAACTTCAATTAAAAACTTTGAGACTTCAAGACTAAGAGTCCTTCCAGAATGGTGGACATGTTGATACATTGGGAGGGCAGAGTAACTGGAGAGGGAATGGAAGCTCTGTGCTCCCTAACTCCCTATATCTTCCCCTATGCCTCTCTTCCATTTGGTGTCTCCTGAGTTGCATCCTTAATAATAGGCTGGTTATTGTAAGTACAGTGTAGTGTTTTCCTGAGTTCCATGAGTCATTCTAGCAAATAATTATACCTAATAGGCTGGTTATTGGAACCTCTAAATTTGTAACCAAGTCAGACAGAAATCTAGGTAGCCAGAGGACCCAGGACTTGAAACTGCATCTGAAGTGGGACATCCTTGTGGAACTGAGCCCTTAACGTGTGGGATCTGCACGAATTCTACGTAGTTAGTATCAAAATTGAATTAAATTGTTGGAAACCTAGTTTGTGTTAGAAAACTGTAGAATTGGGTGTTGTTTGGAAAAAACAAACGGCAGTGTTCACTATGCCCTCAAGAAAAGGCCGTGAGCATGGTTCAAGGCATATGGAGTGTGCATGGCCAGTATGATACCCTTTTGATTACCATGTATTCATGTTTCTACCAGGCATGTTGTGTACTTATCAAGAGCTGGTAGAATTTGGTCCCAAACTATTTGTGCCAATAGTATTCTCGGGATAGCTGTATATTTTAGTTAAATGTTTAACAGGTTTTAGAAATATAAGTACAAAATGAAAGGGTAGTTTCTATGAAAATCAAGTAAATTCTTTGGAAAGACTCAATAAAGGCAAGTTACAAAAAAATTCTATCAAAGTGGACAAGACAACTCAAATATTAAAGAAAAAATAATTCTGGAAAGTTTAAAAATAAAGTGTGTGTTTTATACTATAAAAGTAAATCTTATAGTGTAAAATTACCCAAAAAAATACTTTAAAACATACTTAGAGCTTTTTAAAAATATATGTAAATATGAATTACCAGTACAGAAGTTTTAGATTTAAAAAATGCATCAACCCTAAAAATTCGTCAGAGATGTCTATAGTATTATTTTGAAGATATGAAACTGGAATTTGTAGATGGTAAAATATAGGTTGTGACTTAGTAAGGAAGAAAATAAAAGAGTACCAATCACCAGTCCTACATTCAAAGAAAAGGCCTTGATTTTCCTTTAAAAGATGATTTCATAATGCATGTTGGGACCTAGAAACTGATACCTCAAAGTGTGGCATTTTGACATGCTGAACTGAAGAAGCCTCAAGGTCATTCTGACCTTCTATCCCACCACTGTCTCTCCCAAAGCCCTTATCTGCCTCAGATCCAGACCTATGAAAAGGAACAATTGTTATTTTTCCCTTCCCTGTAAGACCAAGAATGTAACCACACCTGAACAAAGCTTTTCACAGGAAAATGTACAAGCTAATCTCTGTTCCCTGATGCATTCATTCTCCCTAGTAATTCCTTCCACAGAATTCCTCTTCTCTCCATGGCCATAACCTATTTTGCCAGGATGGTATACACGCTTCCGAACCCTGTTGGAGGGTAGGGAATCACTCTGTGGTTCTCCCTATGTATACATTAATAAATTTGTATGCCTTTTCTTTAATTGTAACTGCCCAATGGGTTCCTCTTGCCTGCTGCACAGAAAATCCAATCACACTAAGACAGTGGTGTTGTGGTAGAGAAAACATTTAATTATTGCTAAGCCAGCCATGCAGGACAGGAGACATTTCTCAAATCTGCCTCCCAAAAGCTCGGAGCCTAGGATTTGTAAGGATAATTTGGCAGAGAGAGGCTAGGGAATGGGTGCAGTTGATGGTTGGGGATGAAATCAGAAGAGTGTTTAAACTGTCTTTGTGTGCTGAGTCAGTTTCAGGGGAGGGGGAGTAGTCACAGGACCAGTTGACTTCATTCCTTGGTATGACTTAGTTCCTTGCTGTGCATTTGGGCTGTCATCAGAATGCAAAAGTCTGAAAAATATCTCAAAGACCAATCTTAGACACTATTTGACAATAATGATGTTATCTATAGGAGCGACTGGGGAAGTTACAAATCTTGTGACCTCCCGAAGATGGCCATCATCATCTAATTATGCCTACATCTTAGTAGAATTCAGGGTTCCCACATAATCCTAACCTTGTGGCCTTTCATCAGTCTTACAAAGGCGGTTCAGTCTCCAAGCAAGGAGGGAGTTAATTTCAGGAAGGAACTGTTACCATCTTTGTGTTAAAGCTAACCAAGGCAGATAGCTTGTGAGGTTAGAAGCCAGATGGAGTCCCTTAGGTTAGATTTCTGTCACTGTTATAATTTTTAAAACTACAAAGGCAGTTTCACAGTTAATCTGTCTTTTGTGAGTTCAGCAAGCCTTCAGAGGGAAAAGGGGAGGTTTCCCTTGGCCCCTACATCTTTTAAGTTAACGTGAAATGTACATGTTTTAAGTTAACGTGAAATGTACAAATGTACAAAGTATTAATTGTCAATTTCCCACTTTAGCCACTTTCGCAGTTAACTAACCACCAGTTCTGATTACAAAACAAGAGAGTTGGCCATGCCTCAACTATTCTGTTTTTGGTTAAAATTTTTGAAGTTATCGCCTGAAAGCCTAGAAGATAATGTTCAAAATTTAAATTATTTGCAACACCATTTTGTCAGAAGGGAATTATGACTTCAGTTTTCATTTGAGGAGAGTTAATCAAATTTTAGTGAGTATATTACTCTCATATTTATTTTGAAATAAAAAGCATAGCCCTCAAATTTTTCTCTTTTCTTCTAAATTATTTATAGAACAATAGAGCTCTCTGAATCTACCAAATGTCTGCTTCATTACTCTTCCTCCAGGCTGGCTTCCCCTAACTATTCTAGACTATGTAGGAATGTGCTCTAGGCTCATGATTTCCTAAGAGAGGATTTTGTGACTTTGCTCATTTACCTGTAAATGAACCTGACAGCCAACCTATTGAGATTTTAATTTTCCATGCATCAAACCCTAGTCTCACCTGCTGCTAGTTTCAAACTCCACTTGTTTAATTTGTTCAAATATTCATTGACTATTTCTATGTAACAGGAACTCTCTGGGCACTTGAGATACAAAGATTCCTGCCTTCATGGTACTTATATTTTAGAGGGGAGGGGAGAAGATAATCAGAAAATAGCAATAAATACAACAGGAAAATTAATGAGTATATTAGAAAACAGTACAATGGGAGGAAGGCAGCAGGATAAGTGGGGTCAGGAGGACCAAGGATTGGAGAATGGGGTTGCAGGATTTTTAAAAATTTTTTATAGAGACGAGGTCTTGGCTGTGTTGCCCAGGCTAGTGTCAAACGCCTGGTCTCAAGCAACCCTGCTCCTCAACCTCTCAAAGTGCTAGGATTACAGGTGTGACTCATTTTCCCCGGCCTTTTGAAATTTTTTTTTAAACTTTTTTGTAGAGGTTGCAGTTTTAAATAGGGTGGTCAAGATAGCCTCTGATGTGATTTGGCTGTGTCCCCACCCAAATCTCATCTTGAATTGTAGTTCTCATACTCCCCATGTGTCATGGGAGAGACCCGGTGGGAGGTAATTGAATCATGGGGGCAGCTGCCCCCATGCTGCTATTCTTGTGATAGTGAGTGATTTCTCACAGATCTGATGGTTTTATAAGGGGCTTTTCTCCCTTTTGCTCAGCACCTCTTGCTGCCACCATGTAAAGAAGGACATGTTTGCTTCCCCTTCTGCCTGATTGTAAGTTTCCTGAGGTCTCCCCAGCCATGCTGAACTGTGAGTCTTTCCTTTATAAATTACCTCTTTCCTTTATAAATTACCTTTATAAATAAACCTCTTTCCTTTATAAATTATCCAGTCTCAGGTATGTCTTTATTAGCAGCCTGAGAACGGACCAATACAGCCTCATTGAGAAGCTGACGTTTAGGCAAAGTCTTGAAGAACGTGAGGAATGCAGCCATGTGGGGGAATATCACAGAGGGAGCAGTGACCCTAAGGTGAAAGGTGCCTAGCATATATGAACAGCAAGGAAGAGAGTGTGCCTGGATGAGGTCAGAGAGAGAACTATTAAAAGAACAGTTTGACTGCCCTTCTAAAGATGGCAGGACAAGAGAGGGACCAATGGTAAAAGCAGGGAGACTAGTAAACGACTATTGGAATAACAAGTAGGAGATTATGATTTCCCACTCCTGAGTGATAGCAGACGAGATGAGGAGTGGCCAGTTCTAGACATGTTTAGAAGATAGACCCAGCAAGATTTCTTTACTATAGGTAAAAAAGAGAGGTCAAGGATGACTCCAAGGTTTTTGTACCTGACAACTAGAAGAATTGAGTTGCCGTCAAGTGAAATAGAGGAGATAGTTTGAGGAGCAGGTTTATGGAGAAAGATCAAATTTAGTACTGGACATATCAAGCTGGGATTTTTATTAGACATCCAAGTAGAAATGTCAAGTCAGCAATTGCACGTATGAGTCCAAAGTTCAGAAGAATTGTTATCAGCTTATAGACTGCTCTGTTCGTAGAGGAGCTGATGATCAGCCAGTCTTCTCAACTGGAGTTTCACAATAGAGTTAAGCCTGCTTGCCTTAAAACATCTCTTGTATCTAATAAATTAAGTTATATCTTATATGTACAAAATAGTACTGGTTATGGAGCATCCTTGAGAGAATTGATGAATCATTTTTTGTGCGTTCTCTGAGGTGCTGATGAGGAAGTGCAAATGAGAAATGTTGCTTGCATGCCTAAAGAAACTTGTTATTTTGTCTCTTTTTCAGTCAAATTTTCTTAATTCTCATTCTTAAGATAATTAGAATCTTAAAAATATTTGAAACCATCTTATAAAACCTTAAATAGAATACTATAAATCATTGTTTCTCAAAATGTGCACAGTTTTAATTGGTGTTTGCAAAAAGGCATGTGTTTGGGGGTTGGGGGCTGGGGGAGCTCAAACATGTATAGTATTTTGAAAGAAAAATTAAAATTAAATCTTTTCCCAACCCAGAAATCCCCTCCACAAAGGTATAGAACAAGAAAGTACTTTTATTATTGAATATGCATTAAACCAAAATGTGATGCTCGTTACAGGCAATTCACTGTGATATCCACTAAGATTTTTCAAAGACAAAAAGGAATCTCACCACCTTGTATAACCGAGCATTTACAAACCCATTATATACATGTTTTCAAAATAAACAATAACTAGTTCTCAAATGAGAGGACTTGCTAACACCTTTTGTCACACATAGTGTGACACTATGGGGTGATCATCTGTGTTTGCTTATTGTCTTTAACCAGAGGAAAAACAAACCTCATTTTGTTTTTGTTTTTGTTTTTGTTTTTAGTTGAAGTTTCACTCTTGTTTTCCAAGCTGGAGTTCAATGGTGCAATCTTAGCTCACTGCAACCTCCACCTCCAGGGTTCAAGGGATTCTCCTGCCTCAGCCTCCCAAGTAGCTGGGATTACAGGCACGTGCTACCACGCCCAGCTAATTTTGTTTTAGTAGAGATGGGGTTTCACTATGTTGGTCAGGCTGGTTTCGAACTCCTGACCTCAGGTGATCTGCCCCTCCACCCCCTTAGCCTCCCAAAGTGCTGGGAACACAGGCGTGAGCCACCGTGCCCTGCCCAAACCTCATATCTTTACAACAGGAGGTAGCTTTGCAAATTGGAGCAAGGTGCCCATTGAAGTTAAGCTACTTGCCACAAAACTGGAAGATAGAGGTGCTATCTTTTTTGGTGTTTGCATTTCAAAAAGATGACTCTCATGTCCTTAAGAAAAACATTTTTGAGACATAAAGCTGACAAAAGGCCTATCTAGCTCTCAAAAGGTTTATAGACATTTTTTAAAAAGAAGTATTTATTATTTATTAATACAATGGTAAATTTTCTAAAGTAGATGTTCTTTAAAAAATAAAAGAGGGGAGAAAAGTATCTGTTCCCTTATTTTCAACAGGAGGATTCTCTTATTTTTAATTTTTATTTGTCCTTACAATAGTTAACTCTGGTTGTAAAATAAGATAAACATTTTTTTACTGTAGGACTTCTCAGAGCTCTTAATGTGCTTGTGTGCATTATCAAATACCAAAGGAGAAATATGTTTTGCAACATTTCTCAAACTTATTTGGGCATAGAATATTTTTTTTAATGGAGCATTTCATAGGAACAATATTCCACAAATTCACACACTGGAAAAAGCCACATTGACCAAACAGGGACCTAATTCCAGAAAGAGCAGAGTATTTATTTTGTTCCAGTACATTATCCTGTGCTGGCATCCTTTACGGCCATAAAAACTTAAGTCATTTTTGCAGTCAAATTTGTAGTTTCTTATTGTTTTCCCTGTTTATTTTGGTACATGGTATGCTATTTTAATGTCTCTAGTTTTATATTTGGTTAAAACATAAACATTATATATTTCTATTTTATCACTTTCATAATAATGGCATCAATATTTTATGACTTTCATATTTTTACCCCTACCACTATTCCCTCAGTTCTACTTCTAGACAGTTGCCCTATGTCTTGGAAGTGCCTTGGTATCTATTTGAAAATCATATGTGATATTTTAAGTTTGTAAAATGTTTGTGATTCTAAAAGTAACCTTTTATAGGCCAATTCACTGCTCGAGGGCACTGAGTCTCTAGGTAGCTACACCTGGGAATAGAGGTGTGTGTGTGTATATGTCATAAACAGATGTTTGGTCATCATGAGAATTAGGCATACAACCTGTGATTATCTAATGCATTTATTAAAAAAAAAACTTGTACTAAGTAGCAGATATTTCCATTAATCTCTCATTTCTACTTATAACCACATGATTTACAAAGTAAAGTCCACAATCAGTATAGAATGCTTCCAACTATGCACAATTATTTCTTTAGTTTATTTAATTGTACATTGAATTTTGTGAATTTACAGAGTTTTCTCAGAATTTCTTCATACAACCTGGTGAATCACTTTCTGTGTCAGCTCTGCCGATGTGTAGAACAGAAGGTGCTAATTGCACCTTAAACCTATTCCCTATTTTTCTGCATTAACTCTGATTGTTCCTTTGGGTTGATCTTGGAAATTCTGATGACTATGTGCCTGGGGAATGATCGAATTGTATAATATCTTGCAGGGGTTCTCTGTTTCTTGTATTTCTATGTTGACCTCTCTAGCAAAATTGGGAACATTTTCATTGATTATATTCTCAAATATGTTTTCCAAGTTGCTTACTCTGTCTTCTCTCTCCAGAATGCCAGAGTCATAGATTTGGTTACTTTGTATAATCCCATATATCTCAAAGGCTTCGTTCATTTTTTAAAGATTCCTTTTTCTTTATTTTTGTCTGACTGGGTTGATTTGAAGGATCAGTCTTTGAGCTCTGAAATTTTTTCTTCTGCTTGGCCTAGTCTGTTGGTAAGGCTTCCAACTGTATTTTGAAATTCCTCTAGTGAACTTTTCAATTCCAAAAGTTCAATTTGCTTCTTTCTTAATATGGCTATGTTATCTTTCAAATCTTGGATCACTTTTCTGGCTTCCTTGGATTGGATTTCAACTTTCTCTTGGATCTCCTTGAGCTTCCTTGCCATCCAGATTCTGAATTCCATGTCCATCAACTCAGACATTTCAATCTGGTTAGGATCCATTGCTAGGGAGCTAGTGTGATCCTTTGGAGGTAACAAAACACTCTGACTTTTTGAATTGCTGGAGTTCTTGTGCTGATTTTTTCTCATCTAAGGGAGCTGGCATTTCTACCTTTTTGAAATAATGTCCTTTGCAGCAACATAGATACAGCTGGAGGCCATTATCCCAAGCAAATTAGCACAGAAACATAAAACCAAATATGACATATTCTCATTTATAAGTGGAAGCTAAATCTTGAGTACACACAAACAAAGATGGGAACAGTAGATGCTGAGGACTCCAAAAGGAGGGAGGGAGGGAGTGGGCAAAGGCTGAAAAACTTCCTGTTGGGTACTATATTCACTGTCTAAGTGTTGGGATCAATAGAAGCCCAAACCTCAGCATTATACAATATACCCTTGTAACAAACCTGCATATCTACCCCAGAATCTAAATAAAAATGGAAATTAAAATAAATATATATACAATGAGATTTTTTAAATTTGACAAATGATTATAAAATTCAACTGGAGGATAAATATGTAAGAATAGTTGGAAAACGTTTTAGACTACAATGAATTATTGTAGAGTATATGGGAAGTCATCAAAACCTAAGAGATATTAAAATGTTTTTAAGGTGCAGTTATTAAATTTGTATGGGACTGACAACAAAACAAACAAATATCAATAATACAGAATATATAGTCTTGAACAGGACCAAATATGTGCAAGAACTTGGTAAGTGATTTTGTGGCAGTTCATTCATTTATTTGTCTATTCAAAAAATAAAGTACTCATTAAAAACAACAAAAAAAAAAAAAGAAAGAAAGAAAGAAAAAACACTGTTCCATGGAATAGAGAGGTCTCTTCTCATTTTAACAAAAATGGCTGGTTCTTGACCAACTGGTTGGAGCCCTGGGGCCTTGGGCTGTCTCCATCCTGAAGCTAAACCTATCTTGTCTTTTCAAGGCAACAGCTACCAAAAAGACAGCACTGCATCTTTACTTCTTTACCCTTCAATAGCATTCTTTCCTCAATCATTGCTCTTTTCACCCAATGTTTATTTTTTTTTCCATTTACAAACTTGCCTGGACTTTAGTTTCTCCTTCCTAATAACACCAAATCCCCTCCTTTAAAAACAAAATCTTTCAAAACTACATTAAACGAAACAGTAACTTCAAAAAATAATCATATAGCTTATTATCATCACACATTGTAAATTCCATATCAAGTGACTCTTACTTCCTAGGCTAAGACTCTACTTCTATGGAATTTTAGGTCTTTTTTTTTTTTTTGTGGAGCTCCAGCCTGGCTAAGAGGTGCTTACAATGATGCTAATAATTGAGTTTTAGGCAAGTAATGAAGGAGACTTCACGAGGGCCGCTCCCTGTTTATTTGGTTTTGTCATTAGAATTTGGGCAGTACATTATCTGTTTGCCCTTTCAAAGAGTAAACACAAAGAAATTAAGTAAGCTAAAAGAACCTACTATAAGGTTGTAATATCTCATTCTTTTACAAAAGCCCCACTCAGCGGAAGGACGGGTATGGAAAGATCTTTTTGCTTTTTTGCTCAACTCCGTCTCCCTGCACCCCAATTCATAGGCAAAACAGAAAATCCTAAGAACAAACTGGCAAAGCTACAGAATATAGACCCCCATACTAATTTCCCTGATTTAATGTAGATCTTACTGTTACAGTCTCGCCAATGCATCACAATGTAGCAGTGTCTCATTGTGAAGTACCACCCGGAGTTCTTCATCTCACAACCAAGAGAATTAAGAAGTGTGGACACAAAGGGTGAGGTTGGAGCGAAAGTTTAATAAGTGAAAGAAGAAAGCTCTCTGTCATGGAGAGGGGGCCCAGAAGAGGGTTGCTGTTTTTACAGTTGAACGCAAAGGCTTTTATAAGAAACTGAAGAGGGCTGGGCGTCTCATTTGCATAAGCCACGAATTTCTGGTAGCTCCACTCCTGTTCTCCTAGTGTGCATACAGGCCCTTAGCTTGAGTTACTCCATATTGCTTTGCTCCCCTTACTGTGCATGTATTAGAGGATGGAATTTTCCATTGAGGGCATGTCTTAGACAAGGCCTTCTGTACAAGTTCCCTTATCTGTGCCTGCAGGCTGATTTTTCAGGCTATTCTTTTGTTTGAAAGAATTCAACCAAGGACCCACCCTAACTGCCTGCTTGACCACTTTCCCTCTTTCTCCTCTCTCCAACTGAAGTTCACTCTTATCCTTCCTGAGGACATACACCTATAAATTCTATTTCTTCCATTTATCTACCTAATTGCATATTTATTAACAAATGATATTATCAGTTCTGCCCCACAGTGTGATTTCTCCCCTCTCAGCATAGGCCAGAGGCCATGAGCCCACAGGATTATAAAACAGATAGAATCCTGGTCCTGGACACAGGTGTATTTAGTGTGGCTTGTGCAATGCTTTAACAATTTTTTTTTTTAATTTGCATTCCTTTACTGTGGAAGGCACACTCCAAGCCTGACCTCACCACTCTTTATTGGCTTACAACAGCTGAATGCACACATTTACCTGCTTAGTGACATGGGCAGTGGGTCTGGTCTCTCTATAGCTCCTCAGTTTGACTCATATTCATATATCTCATTTTCTCCAGCATACAGGATTTATTTGCCTCTAGCTGCAACTTCCCTTCACCAAAATGATCATTTTTCCCTTTCTCAGATGGCCTGACCTAGAAAACTAGAAAAGATCTCTTGACTGTGGAACTTGGTCATCTCTGGGGAACTAGCTCCCTCTAAATCTGCTGACATCATCCAAACAGCAGTTCCTTAGTGGCTCTCTGGATTTAATAATGACTTGAAACTCTCGGGTAAAGTGGTGGAATGTGTAATCTAAATATCAAGGTTATGTGTCCTGCCCACTTTCTTTGTATCTTTCAGTGGTATCTATTGAAGCAGGTCAGCTGAAGAATGACAAGGTTCATACAAGTGGAAAGGAGAGCTTTATTTCTCATAAAGAGTTGCAGCCTGCAAGGTGGCTATTCTGATAGGCTGGGAGGCACGGCCTCTGGCCAGATGCCAGAAACAGACTGCTTTGAGGGTGGGACAAATAGGACAGGGTTTTATGCTGAATGAGATGGCCAAATATACATATTCAATAAACTATAGGAGGAGTCATAAATATTCATGAAAGGAGAGACCTGCCCATGTGCAACTGAGCTTCATGCCTCTCCATGGGACCCATGTTCTAAAATTGGCAGCATTAGCATGATCCAGGGGTAGAATTTTCCACACTCTGATGTCAAAGGGTAAAGCAGGGGACACGAAAACCCTCACTGTGTATCCTCCACAGACTAGCCTGAACCACTCCATGGTGAGTGCTCCTTTATCAAGAAGAAATGCTGGTTGGCTGTTGTGCCAAAACCACAAAAGGGAGGGCCAGCAATCAGGCAGTTGGTTGAAATAGCAGTGGAGTCTTTTGAAAGGGCTGGTTTCTGTTTAGCCCTTACATAAGAAAGCCTAAAGGCAGTTAACAAAGAGACTACAACGTGACAAAGTGTGTCCGACCTCCCATCCTGTCATGGCCAGGAACTCAGTTTCCAGAGTTTCTCTGATGTCCCTTTGGCCAACAGTTCGTTCATCCAGTTGGAGGGGGGCTTAGAATTTTATTTTTATTTACGAAGTGATCATAATTATTTAATATTATTCAGCTAAAGGGAGCTAGCTTTTAGGAAATTAATTTCTTCAGGTCTTTCTTGCATCCAAATGCCCAGATTTAGTCAATGCAAAAGATATCTGTGTTCAAATCAGTTGAAATTAGAGGATTGATTTCTGAGTTTTCCAGCACGAATGATAACTTGTTTCTTTCAATATGATTCTCTTCTCTTCAAAAGATAAACTTCATGTATCTTGATGAATACATGTCTCCTCCTAAAGTATGTACATAAGGTACCTAGTGACAGTATGTTCCTTGCACTTATTTTTATAGGCCCATTTATCAACTTACTTCATAATTTAGGAGACCTGAATGCTTAGATGGGCTGTGAAACAGCTATTCAGACATCATTCAGAATATATGACTTGGAAGCTGCCCCCAGGAATAGATTTCTGATTTGTAGAAGAGAGTACCTGTCCAAAGGAATGTATAACCATAATCTAATATTGCTTATTGTTAGTGTGAAGACACATGTGGAGGAAATTTCACTCATAATAGTAATATTGATTACTCAAGAAGTAGTTGTCTTTGGGGGATAATAATACTGATAGTTAACATTTTTAAGTGTTTATTATGTGCCAGGCATTACAGTACTATTTCATTTAACCCTTAAAAACCCTACAGTTTAGGTACTGTTTCTTTTCCTATTATATAGATAAGGAAATTAAGGCACAAAGAAATTAATAACGAATTTGTTCAAGGTCAGTGCCAGGGTTCATACCAGGGAGAATGATGCCAAAGTTTAGTGTCTTAACCTTCATGTGACACTGCTGCATATACATGCTTCTACCACAGCCATTGTAGTCCCCAAACACACCAAACTCTGTGTTCTGCGAGGTTTTCTCTTTATCAATAATAAACTTTACTCACCAGGTCCATCTTTTGGCTTGCTACATATCCTTCAAAATATGGTTCCTATATCACCTCATGTATGAGGACTTCCCTGACTTTTCTAAGCAGAATTATAGCTCTTCTTTTCTTCAGCTCCCATAACACTGTGTGTGTGTCTGTCTGTCTGTGTGTTTGTTCATATGTTTGTCTTCCACCAGTGCTGCTTATGAAGCAGGTAGCTTTCATCTCCAGGGTTCCACCCATTAGTGATTAATAGAAGTTTGCTAATTGAAAGTGCTCCATGAATGAGTTAACAAGATATTAACCACTTAGTCCTGGTTTGATAAAGACTGCTGTGATGATAGCATGACAGAACCTGAAGAAGAAGAAAAAAATCCCACAGATATACACCCATGCTCTGATTAAGTTAAACTTTTAAAAAGGTGGGGGCAGGTGGGAGAAATGAAAAAAACACTTAGATTATAATAACCTTCTATGAAATGCATGGATATAGCAGTTGGAGAAAATAGTAAAATCACTTTCTGTTGCATAGAAGCTCGTAATATGACATCTTTCAGAGAAACTGTGGTAGTCTATATATATTTTGACTGACGTTACAGTATCTTATTTCTTTTTACTTTATACCCCTAGGGTAGAAGCTATGACTCTGGGACCAATTTTCCCCAAATTGTATAGTTCTGAGGTCTCTAGCTGAATAATCTGTGGCTCTCCCTCTGAGTCTTCTAAATTTTCCAAAATGGAGTGCCACCCTTTTTCCTGGGTCTTGCCTTTTTAATTGACACTTTAGAATTACAGGACAGTTGGCTCTTGTCTTGTAATTTTGACAAGACAAAGCCTTGTTTTGTAAAGTTTGAATGTATCATTATTCAAATTCCTTCAAAAAAACCTGGGTGGAAGAGGTGATTAAAATAAAATTTAAAAAAGCTAGGCAAAACAAAGTTGAATGCACCTTAAATAGACAGGTTTGGCCTTGTACTCTTGCCTCTTAACAGCTTTGTAATGTTGAGAAAGATACCTCTCTGTGAGAGAGTTCTCTAATCTGTGAAATGGGATGATAGGTATCTATATCTTATAGTTATTAAGAAGATTAAATGAGTTCTGTTTGCAAAGTGCTTAGAACACTCAACCATCATCAAGTTACTTAGAAATCTATATGCATACATTAAATCTCAACAAAAATGCTTTCAAAAATTATTATAATTCCATGCCCTCCACTTAATGAAAGTGATAGAAAACCCTGTGAAAAACATTTCTCCATGTTTTAAAACCCTGGTTCAAAATAACATCCATTTTGTTGCTTAATTTCATTATGTTGTTTCTTATATAAGGATTGCATGACACATTCAATTTTAAAGTTAGTAACAGAAAAATATTTTCTCTCTTGAAGAACAGATAACTGTTTCTATAAAATATTAAAATTTATATGTTACCTTTGGCTTTGGGGAATAATTTGCCAACAGAATTCAAGGTAACAACCTTTGGAGGAAACTGAAATTTAAATGCCGTGTTGGGGAGATACATATGTCTTCATGATCAATTAAATGAAAATAGGGTTAAATTTTGATTGCAGAAACTAAGGAATCTAATCAAGCGGTCTGCCTCAAAGATGGTCAATAGAATCTAGAGTGGAGGTGGGCCAGGAGGACCACGGTGGACAGGGCCAAACATTTCCTCAGAAAATAGTTCCCTCCACACACAGCCCAGAGTAACTGTCAAGCCCCAGCTTCGGACACTGCAAGGCACCGATGATATGGATATTTGACTTTGCCTGAGGATTATCCTCACTCAACTTAATGCTGAAACAGAAATGAAGATAAAGTCTCTGCCACTTAGCCAGCATCCATTGTTTCGTTTTCAAAGCCTAGGAATTACCTGCCTCACCACTGCTTCTCATAGAATTTGATTCTCATGTCATCTTTCCCTGGCCCTAACGTGACATTTATTTCAGAACAAATAAGTATAGTTTGTAGTTACCTGTTCAACTATTTCTCTAATAAAGCAAGCGGCCTATTTTCATGTGTTTTTTCTTCAAGCTGAGTTAAAAGTCTACTTGTATATATTGTGTTAATAGCCAATAAGGCAGAATTGAGTGACAATAATTATACATTTAAGTATATTTTCATTTTATAGTAATTACTCTGTAATTGAAAATAAGGAGAGAGATCAAAAGAGAGAGAGAGAGCACACACATACGTGGAATACACATTGTGAAGAACTTCCCATAAGAGGAAAAACTGTCAGGATATATGCAGTGGGATCCTTTTGTGAGTCTATGTTTTTCTTTGTCCCATATTTTCTATGCTTAATATTATTAGACCACCATTAAGTCTGTACCAAGGACACATGTCAACAGTTGAAGTCATTTTCTCTTTGGCCACAGCTGCAGTTTCAGGTTATTCATGATGACCCTGTATTCAAAGGGCTGCAATAAAGTGACCTTCACCCCCCAATAATCTATTCAAATAACTAATATACATGTTAAGTGGAAACCAGGACAGATGGCAATATCAGCCAGAGAAGCTCTTGTCATTGTTGGAGTCTGGTATTCTGTTTCAGTCTACATGGTGCATTCATGCCAAAAAGTTATCTTCACAATAGCGAAGTTCTAAAAGACCAAGAACTCCATGCAGAGCTTTATGTTAAGATAGCAAAGAATATGTAATATCTTAATATTGGGAGAAATATACATAGGACCCATACAGAGACTTTGCTTAATTGTTGAAACTTATTCACATAAGGAGAATGAAAAGAATTATATATGGTGATGATTCTTTCACTCAGTTGACAAATACGTATCAGGGACCTTCTAAATCCTTGGCACTGCACTCTGTTCTGAGGATGTCATCATAAGCAAGGTAGTCATGGTGCCTTAACTACCTTCCAACCCCCAGTGAAATGACTTTTAAAGGGTTTATTTTTTTAAAAGGCACACACATGTAAAGCCAAAATGCATGCACTAGGAGACAATAACAACAAATCATTTAAGCTGGAAAGCAGATGTAATCATGGAAATGAATTTTTGGAAACCCCAGAATGTTGAATTCTAAAACCAGAAGTGGAGAAAGTCCAGGTGCAATCCAGTTTCCACCAAAGGACTTCCAGAAAGCTCAGGAAATGGCCTCACTGTGTGTCTCTGGAACTGTGAAGCAAGGGTAAGCTTAGTAACAGGAAGATTGATTAAGAGCAACTAGACACCCCCCATCTCCCACTCCTCCATGTAGCTGGGAAACTGAAGTTTTGTTCCATGACTAGAGAAAAACAGAGTCAATGAACTTGGAATAATTAGGCAGAAGAGTAAACAAAGTACCAAACTGAAAATAGTGCATTTAACTAAGAGTTTAGCTACAGAATGTTGAGACTCACAGCTTTCTTCCTCACTGGACTTAGAGAATCCTGGCAATCACATTTCTTGAGGAAGGATACTCAATCAGTTTTCTTTGGGGAATTTGGTCAGTTCAAAATGAAAAACCTAAGGATACTAAGATCAGGGATTCCCTAAGGAAACAGCCCAGCCAGATCACCCTGGAATGAGAGCACAATTGACCCATTTCTTGCACACTCACAAGTTCTTTATTCAAAAATGAGGAGATAACAGTGGATCAACACATGCTTCAGGAAGGCATCTAATTTGACAAACAAAACCAGACCGAAACACCTTGCAGGAAACAGAGACTATGTGAAGAGATAAGATACTGCCTCAGTGGAAAAAGAGTATGGTATAAAAGAGGCACATTCAGAAAACAAAAGAAAAATATGCATGGAAATTAAAATTATAATAGAGGAAATGGAAAACTAAATATAAGATAAAAGTAAAGATATAGTTGAGGCATTTTTCCAGCAAATATAGCAAAATAATAAAGAGATGGAAAATAGCAGAGATTTTTAAAAATTAGTCCAAGGATCCTATTTCTGAATAATAAGAATTCTCCAGTATGAGATTTTTTTTAATGGAGGAGAAAAATCATCAAAGGAATATTCTCAGAATTAGAGAACAAGAGCTTCCCAACTGAGAGGACCATGAAGTGCCCAGCACACTGAATAAAAATAGACCACATTTATTAGGAAATTTTACAACACTGAGGACAAAGAAAAATCTTAACGAATTCTAGAGCAAAAATTCAGATTTCATAAAGTGGATAAAGTATCAAATCATGTCAGACTTCTCAATAGCAATACAAGGTAAATTCAGAAGAAAAAATATTTCTAACCTAAATCTATACTAAATGGTATTATTGATCATTTCAGAAGGTAGACATATCTCACAATATCATGTTTTTATATACATAAGATTCAGAAAATTTTGCCTTATATACACCCTTTCTCAAGAAGCCCTTACAGGATGTACTTCACCAAGCAGGAGAGAAACAGCAACAAAACAAATAGAATATATATGATTTAAGGAATCAAGAAACATGAGATTTAATCCAAGAGAAAGCATGGAGAATCCTAGGATGATGTCTGTGCACCAGCTAGTTTTGAATGGAAACAGGCAGAAGGCTCTAAGAGATTTCTCCAAAAGAGGGAAATTAACAGAAAACCTAATGCTATGTGACTCAGATGAGAATGGTACTACATGGCAATAATACTGTAATAATAATAGTTATAATAATCACTACTGACCCAATTATACTGAGAGAATAGGATGACAGAAAGTGCTTCCGTGGTAAGTGTAGGGAGAGTGTGAAAAAGAACGAAAGCCTTTTCCTCCAAGAGTGACACCAATAATCAATGCCTAAAGCCAAAATTTCAAGACCTACTTGAAAGTAATAAAAGCATGATATTAATAAAGATAATAAAAAAATGCCACAATATTCAGCTAGAAGAATTTAAGTAGTTGCTTCTGGGGAGCTGAAAATGGTGTTGGAGGAGACAGGGAGCTCCTGTTTTCCATAATAAGCCCTGTAGCTCTGTCTCTTTAAGATACGTTCATTTGTTACCTTGAAAAAATAGAGACCAAATGTTTTTAAAACCTTGCTTAGACTTAGTTGTCTGGGAGTTTACACCCCAACAGTGAGACAGATATGATACAGTTATATAAACATGTAACTATCAATTGTGCTAAATGCTATGGCAGAAATTTTTTGTTCAAAATTGTATGATCCCCTATAAAAAGAGATGTGGCTTAGTGTAGAGGGAGGCCAAAAAAATTTTCCCTGAGAGAGTGACATCCTGGTACCTTATGGGATAAGTGTCGACTTACCCCATCTGAGCCTTCAGCTTCTATGGCATCTGCTATGCTGTGTTAGTTAGCTCGGGCTGCCATAACAAAGTACAGGCGTACCTCGGAGATATTGCAGGTTCTGTTGCAGACCACCATGATAAAGTGAGTCACATGAATTTTTTTGGCTTTCCAGTACATATAAAAGTTAAGTTTACACAATGCCATGGTCTATTGAATGTGTAATAGCAGTATGTCTAAAAAATGTACATACTTTAATTAAAGGTAATCTATTGCTAACGATCATCTGCACCTTCAGTGAGTCCTAATCTTTTTGCTGGTGGAGGGTCTTGCCTTGAGGTTGATGATGGCTGACTGGTCAGGTCTGTGGTCGCTGAAGGTTGGGTGGCTGTGGCAATTTCTTAAAATAAGACAACAGTAAACTTGGCCACATCGATCGACTCTTCCTTTCATGAAAGATTTATCTGTAGCATGTGATGCTATTTGATACACCTTTTAACCAGGGTAGAACTTCTTTCAAAACTCAAGTCAGTCTTCTCAACCCCTGCTGCTGCTTTGTCAACTAGGTTTATGTAATGTTCTAAAACCTTTATTGTCATCTCAACAATGTTCACAGCATCTTCAGCAAGAGCAAATTTCATCTCAAAAATCCACTTTCTTTGCTCATTCATAAGAAGCAACTCCTCATCCGTTCAAGTTTGATCATGAAATTGCATCAATTAAGTCACATCTTCAGGCTCCACTTCTGTTTCTAGTGCTTCTGCTAATTTCCACCATAACTGCAGTTACTTCCTCTGCTGAAGTCTTGAACCCCTCAAAGTCATCCATGAGGGTTGGAATCAACTTCTTGCAAACTCTCATTAATGTTGATATTTTGAACTCCTCCCATGTATCATGAATGTTCTCAATGGCATTTGTAATGGTGACTACTTTCCAGAAGATTTCTAATTTATTTTGCCCAGATTCATCAGAGGAATCACTGTCTATGGCAGCTATAGCCTTATGAAATGTATTTCTTAGTTAATAAGACTGGAAAGTCAAAATAACACCTTGATCTATGGACTGCAGAATGAATGTTGTGTTAGCAGGCATGAAAACAAGATTAACCTCCTTGTATATCACCATCAGAACTCTTGGGTGACTAGGTGTATTATCAATGAGCAGTGATCTTTTGGAAGGAATCTTTTTTTCTGAGCAGTAAATCTCAACAGTGGTCTTAAAACACTTAGTGAACAATGCTATAAACAGATGTGCTGTCATCCAGGCTTTGTTGTTCCATTTATAGAGCTCAGGCAGAGTAGATTTGGCATAATTCTCAAGGGCTCTAATATGTTCAGAATAGTAAATGGACATTGGCTTCAGTATAAAGTCATCAGCTACTATGGCTTCAAAATAAAGTCATTAGCCCCTAATACGAGAGGCAGTCTAGTCTTTGAAGTTTTGAAGCCAGGCATTGTTTTCTCTCTAACTATGAAAATCCTAGATGGCATCTTTTTCCAATAGAAGGTTGTCTTGTCTACATTTAAAATTTATTGTTTAGCATAGCTACCTTCGTTAATTATCTTAGCTAGGTCTTCTGGATAATTTGCTGCCGCCTCTATATCAACATTTGCTGCTTCACCTTGAATTTTATGTTATGGAGAGACCTTCTGTTTTTAAACCTAATGAACCAACCTCTGCTAGCTTTAAACTCCTCTCCTGCAGCTTCTTCACGTCTCTCAGCCTTCATAGAATTAAACAGTTAGGACCTTTCTCTAGATTAGTCTTTAACTTAGGGGAAGGTTGTGGCTGGTTTGATCTTCTCTCCTGACTAAATCAAACTTTCTCCATATTGGCAATAAGGCTGTTTCACTTTCTTATTATTCATGAGTTCACCAGAGTAGCAATTTTTAATTTCCTTGAAGAACTTTTTGCTTTGCTTGCACAACTTGGCTAATTGTTTGGTGGAAGAGGCCTAGTTGTTGACCTCTCTTGGCTTTTGACATGTCTTTCTCGTTAAGTTTAATCATTTTTAGCTTTTGATTTAAAGTGAAAGATATGACTCTTTCACTTGAATACTTAGAGGCCACTGTAGGGTTATTAAGTGGTCTAATTTTAATACTAATGTGTCTCGCAGAATAGGGAGGCCCAAGGAGAGGAAGCGAGATAGGGGGAATGGCCAGTGATTGGAGCAGTCAGAATACCCAACATTTATTGATTAAGTTCTCTGCCTTATATCAGTATGGTTCATGGTTCCCCAAAATAATTACAGTAGTAACATCAAAGATCACAGATCACAGCTTGGGGCAAAATAGGGAGACCCTGTCTCTACTAATAAAAATTAGTTTGGCAAAGTAATGTGTGCCTTTAGCCCCAGCTGCTCAGGAGGCTGAAGCAGAAGAATCTCTTGAGCCTTGGAGTTTGAGGCTGCGTGAGCTGGGATTGCACTACTGCATTCCAGCCTCAGTGACAGATCAAGACCCTTTCTCAAAAAAAAAAAAAAAAGAAAGAAAGAAAAAGACACTGATTATTATAACAGATATATTAATAATGAAAAAGCTTGAAATATTATGAGAATTACCAAATTATGACACAGAGACATGAAGTGAGCACCTGCTGTTAGAAAAATGGCACAGTAAACTTGCTTGATGGAGGGTTGCCATGAACCTTCAATTTGTAAAAAATGCACTATCTGTGGAGTGCAATAAAGTGAAGCAGAATAAAGCAAGGTATGACTGTACCATAAACTGGGTGGCTTAGACAACAAACATTTATTTCTCACATTTCTGGAAGCTGAAAGTCCAAGATCAGGGTGCCAGCAGGGTCAGGTTCTTAGTGAGGTCCGTCATCCTGGTTTTTGGACTTCTTGCTGTGTCTTCACATGGCAGAAGGAGGGAGAGAAAGCTCTCTGGGGGAATTTTTATGAGGGTACTAATTCTATTCATGAGGGCTCCACTCTCGTGACCTAATTATTTTCCCCAAAGCTCAACGCATTTTATCAGGGGCTAGGATTTCAACATATGAGTTTGGGGGAGGGGCACATTCAGTCCATGACATTCTACCCTTTTCCCCTCAAAACTCATGCCTATTTCATATACAAAATACATTCATTTCATCCCAGCAGCCCCAGAACTCTTAACTTTTTCCAGCTTCAACTCCTAAGTCTAAAGTCCAGGACATCATCTAAATATCATCTAAGTCTGATTTGGGTGAGTCTCAAGGAATGATTCATCTTGAGGCAAAATTCTTCTCCAGCTATGAACCCGTAAAACCAAATATGTTATGTGCTTCCAAAATACAATAATGGGACAGGCACAGGATACACATTCCCATTTCAAAAGACAGAAATGGGGAAGAAAGGGATGATGAGTCCCAAGCAAGTCCAAAACCTATTAAGGCAAACTCCATAAGACTTTAAGGCTGGAGAATAATCATCTTTAGCTCTATACTCTGCCCTCCAGACCCACTGGGTCAGCAGTCCCACCTTTCGGCCCCACCGGGGTAGCAATCCTGTCCCCATGGTTCTACCTGGCAGGGAGTGAGCCTCCACAGCTTCGGACAGAGATCTTATTGCCTATTGAAAACAAGGCAATGGCCCCTCATTTTGAAACCAGGGAAGCAGCCCTGATAATTTCTAAATCGCTTTTGGCCTCATTCTTCCCTTGAAAAATAGACCCTGTTCATAGTGAAAAATCTCTATGGTCACATCCTGTGAAATCCCAGAAGTCTGATGCCTTCCTTCATTTTTTTCCATCTCTTTCTCTTTTAGTTCAGATTGGCAGTTGCTTTGCTGGGGTAGTTAATTAAGTCCATGGTTCATACCCATACTAATCTCCTTACTGAACAGTCTCTTGGCCATATCTACAGTACTGTCTTCTGAACATGGTTTCTCATTTTTTGCCATATGGATGAGCTGAGAATTTTCCAAATCACTTAGTTCTAGTTCCTTTTTGCTTAATAATTCTGTCTTCAAGTCATTTTTCTCTATTACATTTTACTATAAGCAGTCAGGAGCAACCAAACCACTGCTTAAACACTTTGCTTAGAAATCTTCTCAGCTAGATAGAGGCGGGAGAATGGCATGAACCCAGGAGGCGGAGCTTGCAGTGAGCCGAGACTGTGCCCCACTGCACTCTAGCCTGGGCGACAGAGCGAGACTCCGTCTCAAAAAAAAAAAAAAAAAAAAAAAAAAGAAAGGAAAAAGAAAAGAAATCTTCTCAGCTAAATATCCTATAAATATCCTATTTCATTACTTGCAAATTCTACCTTCCACAAGGCACTAGAACATGAACACAATTTAGGCAAGTTCTTTGCTGCTTTACAACAAAGCTCACTTATTTTCCATTGTTTAATAAGATATTCCTCATTTTCAGTTGAGACCTCATCAGAATGGCCATTTTTACTATCTGTGTTTCTACTAACACTCTGTACATGATTATCTGTGTATTCTCTAATAAGATGGAAACTTCCTCTACATCTCTCCTTTTTCCTTCCTGAGCACTCATCAGAATCTCCTTTAAAAATCCCTTTATGATCATCTCAGTTTCTTAGAGCAAGCACTTCAGAATTCTTCCTACCTCTACTTATTACCCAATGCCCACTTCACTTCCACATTTGTAGGTGTTTGTTACAATAGCACTTCACTTCTTGGTACCAGTTTCTGTGTTAGTCAGGACTCTCCAGAGACACAGAACCAATAGGAGATTATATATGTATATAAAATGAGGAATTGGCTGTATTAGTCCATTTTCATGCTGCTAATAAAGACATACCTGAGACTGGGCAATTTACAAAAGAAAGAGGTTTAATAGATTCCTAGTTCCACATGGCTGGAGAGGCCTCACAATCATGGTAGAAGGCAAAGGCACATCTCACATGGCAGCAGACAAGAGAAGAAAATGAGAGCCAGGCAAAAGGGGTTTCCCTTTATACAACTATTAGATCTCATGAGACTTATTCACTACCATAAGAATAGTGTGATGGAGACTGCCCCTGTGGTTCAATTAGCTCCCACTGTGTCCCTTTCACAACTCGAGAGAATTATGGGAGCTACAATTCAAGATGAGATTTAGGTGGGAACACAGCTAAAGCATATCATTGGCTTATGAGATTATGGAGGTTGAGAAGTCCCATGATCTGCCATTTGCAACCACAGACCCAGGAAAGCCAGTGATGTAATCCCAGTTTGAGTCCAAAGGCCTGAGAACTAGAGGAGCCAATGGTGTAAATCTCAGTCCAAGGGTAGAAGATGAACAATATCCTAGCTCAAGCAGGCAGGCAAGAAGGGGACAAATCCTCTCCTACTCAATTTTTGTTCTATTCAGACCCTTAACTAATTGGATAATGTTAACCCACACTGAGTAGGGCCATCCGTTTTACTGAGTTCACCAATTCAAATGTGAGTCTCATCTGGGAAGACCCTCACACACATACCTAGAAATTATATTTCACCTGGGTATCATTTGGCTTAGTCAAGGTGACAGTAAATCACAGGCTGGTATAACTGGAGGATGCCACCTGGAATGTGCTGTTTAATAATAATGACAAGCTTAGCCCCTGTAACCACATGTAGGATAATATTCACCTGGGATAACCTTTACTGTCTTTGTTCATGGAGACTAATTCCACTGATTCTACTGCAGGAATAACCACCTAGAATTACAGACTGGGAGAACCTAAAGGTCTTCAGTGCTCTAATCTTCCTATACGCTCCTTTTGCAGACAGGAAAACTTAGCCTCCAGGAGGTTTAGTAATCTGCTTAACGTATCAGAGCTATTTAATTCTAGGGCCAAAGCAAGAACTCGAATCTTCAGGTTTATTTTCTATGACTATTCTCTAGAATTTTTTCCTCTTAACCTGACCTTTTAAAGAAAGTAATTATCTCAGCATTGCCCAACAACAGAAAACTTTAAATTTCTTTTTTCAATGATGAAAGAAAACATTGCAAAAAATGATTACTTTTTCTACTTGAGTATTCCGTTATTGTCTAAATGTGGAACCTGATAGCAGCTTAGGGATGATCAATCTCTTCTTTACAAAATAAGTAGTTTATATTTTATATTCATAAATAATTATGTGAAACACTAACAGTAATAACTTGTTACAATATTTCCAAGAATTCCTATAAATATGGCAATATATATGACTTGCATACATTCTCAATCTGTTTTAAATAGTGGCTTTGCATTTACTATGAATGCTTATATTTTAATAGTTTTAATCTTATGTTAAAAAACACATTATCATATCTTAAAATATAAAGCTAAGGAAACATATAAGGAAATATCTCTCCTTCAGAAAACTTTGCAATTCAAGATAGTCTACGTGTGTGTGCGTGCGTACACACACACACACACACACATACTCACATACACACACTTCCCTAAGTTCCCTGAAAAAAGAATATTCATGAGTCAGGAAGTCTATTTTTGCCAGAAAACAAAGCACTCTTTTAAAAGGTTCATACTGCTGCAGCAGAACTCCTTGACATTTTAGTAATGTCTAAAATGGCCAAATCTACAACATTTTGAAATCTTGGCATAGGTCATGATACCATGTACTCTGGTGTTCTTCAGGATTTCCTACCACACCAATAGCAGCTTAATACAAGGTTAGAGAACAAGGCTGTTGTTACTAACAAGAGCATGTAACAGGCGTTATTTTTTTCTTTGTGATAAGGAAGCTTTATAATAACTAGGTCAGACTATATTTCTGATTTTGAGATTCAATTTGGAAAATTCCAAGAAATACTTATAATATCCCAAAGAATAATTTAGAGTTGTGTAAACTTAGTGGTTCATTGTCTCTTCAGAACAGGAATTCTCAGTTATATGTAAGAAAATAACATATAGATGTAATGACCATTGGAAAATATATTAAGCCACATTGTATCTATGAAATTTCATTATGGGCAACATCAGATATCCATGGTTTGGGTGATTCAGGAAAACAATAACTTAAAAATATATATTTTGTGATTGTCACAATGTTCCCCGGGTCACACAGATAGAAAGAGGGATCGGATTCAAGTTTGTCACCTTGAGTCTGTGTTCTCCTCTGCAATGCTAACTCTGATAATGTGATGGCCAGGATGAAGATCTGGAAAGATCAAGAAATCCCTGAGGAACTACTTTTGGAAAAGTGCATCAGAAGAATAACTTGACTACAGGGAGAGTTTTAACAGTTCTTCAAATCCAATACACATTTAACCTAGATATGCACATTGAATCTCTAAATTACTGAGGTCAAAATATTGCAAGAACCCTGCTAAGGTGGCAAAAGTTACTGCAGCAAGTGTGACAGTGAATCATGCAATTAAAGCACAGAAACTGAACGTGTTTGGTTGTTATTGTCCTTGATAGGTTAGCTCTGAGGGATACCTGCTATGAACTGAATTGTGTACCCCAAAATTCATATGTTAAAACCATACCTCAGCAATGTATTTGGAGATAGAGCTTTTAGGAAGTAATTAAGGTTCAATGAAGTCATGAGGATGTGGTCCTAATCTGATAGATTGGCAGCTGTATTGGAATAAAGATAGAAATGTCTCCACAATCATACACCAAGGTAAGGCCATGGAAGCACACAGTGAAAAAGCACACAAGTTCAAGTCCCACGATAGGCCGTCTGCAGGCTGAGAAGCCGGGAAGCCAGCAGTGGCTCAGTCCAAGTCCCAAAACCTCAAAAGCAGGGAAGCTGACAGTGCAGCCTTCAGTCTGTGGCTGAAGGCCTGAGAGCCCCTAGCTACCACTGGTGTAAGCCCAAGAACTTGTGGGTATTAGGAAGAGGGCCCTCATCAGAACCAAACCATGCTGGCACCTTGATCTTGGACTTTCAAGCCTCCAGAATGATGAGAAAATAAATGCCTATTGTTTAAGCCACCCAATCTATGGCATTTTGTTATGGCAGCCCAAGCAGAGAAAGACCTCACCAGCGTGACATACATTGGGAGATAGGAGTGTTGAAGCAATATTTGCCTTATGTGCAGTATAGGATCCCCATGTCCAGAGTTAGAGAGCAGTATTGTGATGGTTAATATTAAGTGTCAACTTGATTGGATTGAAGGATGCAAAGTATTGTTTCTGGATATATCTGGGTGTTTCTGGGTGTTGCCAGAGGAGATTAATATTTGAGTCAGTGGACTGAGAGAGGAAGACCCACCTTCAGGAAGCCCCATCCTCAATGTGGGTGGGCACCATCCGATCGGCTGCCAGCACAACTAGAAAAAGCAGGCAGAAGAAGGTGGAAGAAGATGACTTGCTGAGTCTTCTGGCCTTCATCTTTCTCTTCTGCTGGATGCTTCCTGCCCTCAAACATCAGACTCCACGTTCTTCAGCTTTTGGACTCTTGGACTTACACCAGTGGTATGCTAGGGGCTCTCCGGCCTTCAGCCACAGACTGAAGGCTGCACTGTCAGTTTCCCTGCTTTTGAGGTTTTGGGACTTGGACTGAGCCACTACTGGCTTCCTGGCTTCTCAGCCTGCAGATGGTCTATCGTGGGACTTGAACTTGTGTTTGTGTGAGTCAATTCTCCTTAATAAACTCCCTTTCCTATTAGTTCCATTCCTCTAAAAAAAAAAAAAAAAAAAAAACCCTGACTAATACAAGGGTTTACAAGAGACCAAGGTTCAAAATCCAAGGAAATTTTGAGGCTGTGGAACAGAGTCATTGACTAAGCAGTATTGAACCAGTATTTAGCATAGTAAGTAAATTTGGAATTAAACTAGGTTAACTTCCTTCTACAAGTTGCAAGATTTTAATTAAGCTGCTTAACTCCCTCATTGTAACTTGGGTACTTTATGAATCCTACCACAGAGATAATAATGCCTTTGTCACATAGTTGTTGTGAGGATTAAATGATTAAATATTAAATGATTAGTATTTAGCACAGTGTCTGGCATATGCTCACATCTCAGTGAATTGGTAACTACATACAGCTGCCAAAGTTAGAGAATGTGAGGTCTGAATTGCATTTGTTTATTCATACCCCAAATAATTATTGCTTGCTTACTATCTGCCAGGCAAGATTTTAGGTGCTAAAGATACAGCAGTGAGCAAAACAGAAAAACAAAACTGTTTAAAAACCTACCTTCATGGAGCTTACATTCTGGAGTTCTGAGGGTAATGACAAAATCAGGAGTTGGCAGGCTCCCAGCTATGTACCATATCCTAAAAGGTCTTGCTCTGGGCAACTCATACAGTCCTTGACTGGGAGTGGCTACCTATATGGAAAAAGAGACAAAGAAAATGTATGCTGTCAAATAGCTTGTCACATATATGGTATTACTGTTTTCCTTTTTTTTCAAAAATGCATGAAGGACTCTTGACATGGCATTTTGTTAAAAGCTACTTGTCACCCTTCTTTTTTTTTTTAACCCCCTCAAGCCAACTTTTCCCAACTCCAGGAAGAACCAGGAAGAGAAGCTATCACCCTTATTTTCTAAAGGCTTCCTTCTCCCTCATCTCTCCCCTTTGAAAAGAAAGCTTTATATAAAGCCAGCTTCCTTAGCCTAAACAGAAGTATACCTTGATCTGTTCATTGTCGTGCAATGTTTTGCTTGCTCTCTTGAACCTTGTCTCTGAAAGATTTCAGCCTAACACAAAAGAAAACAGGTGTTAAAACACTTTGGGGAATTAAAACTTCACAATGACACATTTCTGAGAGGGCCCCTGCCCAGTTGCACACTCGTTTTCTTAACTTTCATGGAAGCCTGTCTAGGGCAGCTCTGGGAACCTTTTAGTGTTCCTATGTGTGTATTCTCCCTTGTCACCATTCATCTTTCCTTTGGATTAAGAAGGCAAGTTAAAGTAGTGAACTTTTGCTGCATAAATAATTAGAGACTAGATTTTGCTTTGTTTTGTGGCCATTTACTATGTACTTTGTGATGTTTGTCATTCTTTTCTAACCCATGTGCAGGGCTGATAGGTAAATGGATTTGGTTGTGAATAATAAACCAGTTTTCACATCTAAAACCCATTCACCAAGAGATGTCTCTGTGGTGAGAGTGTGGCAAAACAGGTTGTTCTTTTGTTGCTTTAGAAATATGCCTGATTTTCCTGTATTATTTTGGGGTAACCTTTGTTCATATATATAGAATCCAATCAGAGCAGCTAAGGGAAGCATTGGTATCAGTTGCCTATCCTTGTATGCTTAAAGAAAAGAAAGCCAAAAACTGTTAAGAGCAAGTCTTTTAGCAAAATATCAATGAATAAGCAATTTTGATAAATAAATAATCAGTAGAAACAATGCTGAATGCTGAAAGCAAACTGCACTTATTCCAAAAAATTTTCATGTTTAAACACAGTTTTGAATTCCTTTTCCTCTTCTCATATAAATGCATAAACATACTACTTTTTCTCAGCTATGAAAAAACATTCTTATTTCAGTAAATTTCCTTCTCTTAGGTTTACTATATGGATCATGGAAAAGGTATAATTTTACAGAGTTTGTTGCTTTTCATGTACATTTATAAGTTTATAGTACCAAATAAATATAGCCTTTCAAATAACAAACAAACTCTTACAAAAGGAAATTCTTCCTTCATAACTAGAACACCTCTCACAGGACTAAGTCTTTTGTTAGTAAGATAAATTCCAGAAATGGATTTCAGAATAAAGACCTCAGTGTTTGTTTTTATTCTTGTGAAACCAATAAAGTGCTGACAAAGAGTGCTATAATATGCCATCATACTTTAGAAATAAGGCACATTTAAGAAGGTTCTTTATTGCCTTCTGAGAGTTGGATATTGCTAACCTTAGCCACACTACCACAGAAGATGCTTTGCTTTGCATTAGCAAAAGCAGGGTGGTTGATCCATTTGAGCGCCACTTGATTACATACACACTTAAAAAATGTCAAGACTTTAGGAACACTAGAGTGATTATCATTCTGTGGCATTATGTTCCCATAGGTTTAAGTCTGAAATATACTGAATTTAAAGGAGGAAAAGGTATGGCTATCGTAATGTATGTTTCCATTGTTCTTCATATCATTTATTTCCTAACAAATTGCAACCCATCTCAAAAGGCCTAACTATTTCAAGGGTTATTCTTGTGGATAAAAAAAATGCAAGATTATTTTGATACATACTTGCCTTCTTGAATCTGGATGTCAAAATGTATGATACTACCCATTCAAACTACGGTAGAACTGCATTGCAATTCTGAGGACAGGAGAGGGAAATGGGATAGGGAAATACAAACTAATTTTCAAGCCCTGGTGAAAGGACTAAGAATGTGAAGGAAATGCAGGTTGCACAGATGACTGAAAACAGGAAATGGGTAGGGAGTTTGTTGCTAAAATGCTCTGCTTAAGAGCTCTTAGGGCTTAAGAGCAGGATTCCCAACTCTGGCTGCAGAATCACCTGGGGAACAGACCAGTCTTGGGAGTGACTCTCATCTAAGCTAAGGCCACATAAAAGAACGGGTATATAGGACATAAAAATAGATTTATACCCCAGAGCCTTTCTCTATGCTTTTTAGAACACCTATACTGTATGTGTTCAACAATTATACCTTGCCTTGTTTTTGGGGGATAGCGTGGGGTGAAGAGGTAGTTTTTTTTAGAATCATTTACCCTGAGTAGGCATTCAGTAAATGCTTTGTTGCCAATCTGACTCCACTTCCAGCCGCAACCCCATGGAGTTGAGTTGAATGACATCTAAACCTGTAGGTAAGCATGCATGTATACATAACCCTTGTTGTGAATGAAAAGCAAAATTAGTTCTTTCAAAAATGTTAGCTTGGCTCTGATTAGAGATAAAAATAAAAACTATAGGTTTCTGCCAATGATACAAGTGGCTTTTTCCTACAAGGTACCCATTTTTATTTTCGACAGCATTTGTCTTTCTTGAGAAAGTCCTTCATTCAAGGACCACATTGCAACCGTGGATCATTTATGTATAACTTAGTAGATGATAGACATTGGAAATTACCGTGACAGGTGTTTTCACATTGTTTCTGATGATCTGAGAAAAAGCACATTGCCAGAAAAGAGTGTGGAGAACTCAAATTCCTCAGAATCAATTTGAAACAGTCTTTTGAAATAAGAACTGCTTTAAAGAAGCATTTTGGAAAGGGGTGGGGGTGGGGAGAACAGTTCTTGAGATGAAAATACAGTTCAGTAAAACAAATTTATTTATTGATGGAGACTATACACTGTGCTTTAATTTATTCATCATTATTATTGCCTTGAAATTGTTTTTTGTTACCATTCATATAATGGCCTCAGGAGGCCCAGAAGAGAGCCAATGAAAACAATTCTGTGGGTGTTACTAGTGAAATATTTCATTATACTTCAAGATAAGACATAAGAATATACTAAAGAGACAAAGGAATACCAAAAGCTGAAGACTAAAAAATACAGAGAAAGAATGTCTTTTTTATACAATGGCCCATCAGTGCTAGCACTAATCTGTAAAACCAGTAGCAGTTGTATTAAGTAATTTATGTGGGAATAACAATTGTTTTTATATTACTTTTGCTGTGGACGATAACATTCTGTAAGCTCGTCATATTTTTAATCTTGACTTAAGAAAAATACTGCTGTGGCAATTATTAAAATAAGAGTTCCATTTATCTTTGTGCAAGTAGCTTCTTCTCTTCCTCCTGTGTCCTCCTCCCTCACGTGCCCTCCCCTACCTGACTCCATTCCTCCTCCCCCTTAGCCAAAGGCATTTGTGAAATATAGAAGCAGTTATGTCATGCTGTTATTTTGGGTATTCTTAATAAATGCTTACTGTATTTCAGAGGTGGTCTGAGGAGGTCAGCTAATGCAATTTCACTTTGATTACTTATTTGAATTTTGGATGCAAAGAACCCTGAACCAATTCCCTGAATCTGTCATAATCATAATTTAGTTATCTACAGCTGCTTCATTAGATTTAAGTCTCTTTCAAGAGGATATTGATTATTCCAGTTCTTTATTATATAATAACAATATTCATAAGATGCCCTGTTCTCCATCTTCATTTGCTTGACCCACTAATGGGTACTGGTTTCAAATTTTCTTTTCCAGTCACAACATCCCCTTTAAAGTTCGGTGATTATAGTGACACAGCCATATCAAGTAACACCTTTAGCTACTTCAGGTGTTATACATTGGATTTTATAAATTCTGCCCCTTTCAATACATCAATACACCTTTGCTGTTACCATTAGAAGTCTGTATCTTAAACTCAAATCTTAGCATGGCATTCCAGAGCTTAACATCCTTCAATGCTCCTATTATCTACCTTGCACTTTTCTTTTTTCTTTTTTTGACAGTCTCGCTCTGTCACCAGGCTGGAGTGCAGTGGCATGATCTTGGATCACTGCAACCTCCACCTCCCGGGTTCAAGCAATCCTCCTGCCTCTGCCTCTTGAGTAGCTGGGACTACAGATGCAAGCCACCATGCCCAGCTAATTTTTGTATTTTTAGTAGAGATGGGGTTTCACCATGTTAGGCAGGATGGTCTCCATCTCTTGACCTCGTGATCTGCCTGCCTCGGCCTCCCAAAGTGCTGGGATTACAGGAGTGAGCCACCGTGCCCGGCCTGCATTTTGCTTTATAGAGATAGGTGGTATGAGAAAAGTCTTAAACCAAAACGAGAAACTTGTTCCAGCTAAATGAAATAACCAAATGGGAACATTAGTGTTAACCCATATCGACTTTGGTAAGTAATTTTTTAAAATGTGGTTATATTTGACAGTTTGTATTATTGCCAAAAAGAAAAAAGAAACACATTCATCATGTATGAACTTCTCACTTAAATGATTCATTAATCTTTTTAAAGGAGTTTTTTTGAGAGCATCTAGAATATTCCAAGCAGTGGTCTAAGCTGTGGAGATTAACAGTAAAAAAAATAGACATTGTCTTAGCCCTTATGCTGCTTACACTCTGGTGGGGGTACAGGCCAGTAAAGAGATAATTGCATCACTCTGTGATAGGGACTTTGATTGGAGAGAACAGGGTTGTAAGGATCTAGAGAAAGGGCACCTGGAAAAAGAACTGCCAGAAAAATCTTCCTGAGGAAAGTGACATCCAAGCTGAGACTGAAGAGGAGAAATTAGCCAGGCTGATTAGGATAGTGATCTAGGCAGAGGAGCAAAGCCCAGAGTATTCAAGGCATTGAAAGCAGCTCTGGATGAATGAATGGGCCAGGCAGGGTAGAGTGGGAACAGATGAAGCTGGGGAGCAATTAGGACCCCAGTCACGCAAGGTCACAATCAGGGGGAGGGGCAGTTTGGGGGAGCCAGAGAGGTCTTTGAAGTGTTGACTTGAGGTGCCTATAGGTATCCAAGCAAGATTTCCAATAGGCAGAGTCTGCATTGCCAATAAACAAAGCATTTGATTTTGTTTTTGGGTTTTTTGTTGGTTTGCTTGTTTTTGTTTTTGTTTTGTTTTGTTTGAGATGGAGTCTTGCTCTGTTGCCCAGGCTGGAATGCAGTGGTGTGATCTTGGCTCACTGCCACCTCTGCCTCCCGGGTTCAAGTGATTCTCCTGCCTCAGCCTCCTAAAGAGCTGGGACTACAGGTACCCGCGACTACGTCCAAGTAATTTTTATATTTTTAGTAGAGACAGGGTTTCACCATGTTGGCCAGGCTGGTCTTGAACTCCTGACCTCAGATGATCCACCTGCCTCAGCCTCCCAAAGTGCTGGGATTACAGGCATGAGCCACCGTGCCCAGCCAGCACTTGATTTTGAAATTTACAATTTAGTAGCTAAATTTAATTAAGAAGTAGCTCAATTTCTTGAGATTCCTTGGCGAGTTCATTAGAAATTTCTTTGACTTATCTCTTATTACTAATTTATAATTCACTTAGTTCTATATCTGTAGCTCCCTTTCTCAACAAATTTCAGAATTATGTGCTTAAAAATATTTTATTGATGAGTTAAGTAATTACTCATTTTTAATTTCTTTGTACTTTTTTCAACTATAAGTTGACATAATTTAAAATGTTGTGGCCTGCCATAAGAAGTGCAAAATCGAGAATATAAAATAGATTGTAGCATTACATTAAAAGAGTGGATTCTGTGGAAGTTTAATTCCCCATGCTTGTCAAAAGTTGTTAAAACATTGCTAGCCCTTTTTGAATGTAAAATGTGGGCAGACATGTACTAATATATCAAAAAATGACACTTTGTCAAAGAAGGCTTTCATGGAAGAATGTTCTGAATAAAATGTTTTCTTTTAAAAAGAACCCGACCTGTTTAACATTCCAAAGCAAACACAAAAGAACACAAAATACCTGAACTCACTGCCAGTCACAACAGTTAGTTTCATTTACCCTTTAATACTTTTTTTTATATTCCAAAAATTGTTCCCCAAAAGAATTATCAGTTTTATTTCATGATAACCCTGGCTTGAAGTAAAATAAAAGTAGCTCTGACCCTCCTCAAAATGGATTCTTTTCAGACTTACTAGCACTTCTAATAGTATGATGATGATATAGGTGGCTATGTCTACTGTTAGACTCAATGTAATTATATGTGAAGCAACAATTCCCTTATCTATTAGGAACACTTGCTGCAGTTAACTGCATTTCACTGTCTGACAGATGAAATGCAGAATTAAAATCTCAAACTAGTTTCTCAAAGTTTTCTTTTCCCCCCAGTCATTTAAAAATCTTTTAGCCTAGGGGAAGATGGTAGCTGGAAAAGAATGGGAAACCAGATGGCATTTAAAGGCCTTAGCAAGATTTACAAAGCAGATGTGCCTGTATTTTTACCTATTCTAGCTCCTCAAACGGGTCTTCTCTGCTATAATTGCTTTGCAATGGTTCCAATCCTTTGAACCTTCTGAGGATGTCCAGAGTTACGATAATGTTTGATAGTTGAAATGTTAAACTGAAAATCAATAGATAATTGGCTTTGATTACTACCTAATACTGTCTAATCTAAATAGGAGGAATATTTGTATGTGTTACTCATATTCTTTGCAGAAAACACACTGAAGCCTAGCTCTTGAGCGGGGATATCGTTCATTGGAAGAAACAGAAACAGATGGCAGTTGTGGTAATTGAGATACAGTGTAGCTTAAAGGCATCCTGGAATGCCACCTAATAATGGTAGTGTGAAAAGGAAAGAAATATTCTGCACAACTTACTTGATGTGTAAGCTGAGTCTGATTTTACAGCTTTATAGCCTGCTCACAATTAAAATGCCCCAAGGGTTATTGGTGGTGTTGGGGGTAGAGATTGTGCAAAGTTTTGAGCTAATGTTAGAGAATGATGGGAACAAATCTCCCCAACCATAGAGGTTTGTTGGAGAATAGAAAGCCCTGGTTTTAATAAAATATTAGAGAATTCTGCATATATTAATATTTGTATAAAAGGACACTAAGATTGGGGGCAACAGGTTTTAATTACTAATAGTCAAGCCAAATGTGTTACCTTTACCTTTTCTTTAATTTACACTATTACTGCAAGGGAGAACTATTTTGTTGTTGTTTGTGGTGGTGGTGGAAGTGGGGGTTACAAGCATCTCACAGTTGAGAATGCCTTCCTAGCCCTCTGAGATGGGAGCTGAAGACAGTAAGGGGCAGCACTGTGGATTTAGGCTTTGAGTCTTGCCTCCGTAACTTACGAATTATAAGTATGAATTACGTATTCCTTAGTCTTTCCAAGCCTCACTTCATTCATCTGTAAAATGGGCTGAATACAACTTTATTAAGCATTTAGTTCAGTGCCGAACACATATTCAGTACCTAATAAATTATAGCAATCATCATCAATAGACAAATGTGCACAGCTTAGAAGTTTTTCCCACCAAGCACACTAAGGATTGTAGGACATTCATGGATATAGTTTTTTACTGCACCAGGAAACCCCATCCAAATGGATGCAGGAGTGTTTCAGAATATCCTCAGAATCTATAGACCAGGAAACATTGTTGTACATCACTACCCACTATTTAAACTGTTTGTTTAAATACAAGTTAAAAGCAGAACTTTTGCTTGAAAACACCTTCTGGCCACATTTATTGGACTGACTCATAAGAAATTTTATCACACTGATTGTTACACACTTATAAATCATTTGCTAAAAGCAGTGGTTTCTCCTAAATGTATTAAGGCCAAAATTAATTTCTTAAACTTACATCGCTTTAAAGTTTAAACAATCATATCCTTAGCTATGAACTATTATTTCCTGGAAGGTTAAAGTATATATCCTATGTGCAAAGGAAATGTCAAGGACATATCAATATTTGATTTCATTACACATTAGCTATGCCAGAGACCCTGCAGTCCTACCTAATGTAAACAGCTCACTAGGAGTCCACAATAGAAACCAACAAAAGATGCAAATCGATCCTGCTATATTTTAATATTAAAATTTTACAGCACTTTTTGAACTATTTTATAAATTAATTAATTTCAAAATGGATGAGGCAGTAACATTGAACTTTAGCTAATTATGTTTAAATTAAATATAAGCATTTAAAATAACCATTTTAATTAAATACAAGGTGCAGGCAGCTAATCATTAAAAGTGGAATTGGTAACTTGAGATTTATCATCCTGAAACCACTTGTACCACATTTCTAATGAGTTCTTTCCTCTACTTAAATGAAGGACTAAATTTATTTCCCCAACGTGGCAGCTAGTAAAAGATAACTCTTTCTCAGGTCATGGTTGTCAGTTTGATGTTGAATCAGAGTAAAGAAATCTGTTTTGGTATACTCGCTTTGATCCGAAACAGTATTTACTATTTGCTAATCCATTTCCAACTGACAGTACTGTAGTTCTACAGACACCTAAGAAAAGCCCTAGTAACTGAAACAGCATTTACTACTGCAACAGAAAATAGTTACATTTTGTAAAGGAAATTGATCCTTTTTATAGAGGAGACTCCAAGGAATAAAATCTAAATAATTTTGTGATTAAATTTTTAAAAAATTACATTACAACTTCAAGATTGAGGAATAACACTCAAAAAATCATTTTATAAATTATGGATATATATACTCTATATTTACATTTGTAACAATATACATATGTACATACATATATAAATTTGTATTTTTTAAAAAAAATCATCAGCTAGTTTTTCTAGTGCAATGTAATTATCATTTAGCATAAACTCTGACACTTAATAAATGTTTGTAAAGTAAGTGAATAAATAACTGATAAATTTTATAAAATGTCTTTTAAAGGGCTCTCTCTTAAAATCATTTTTTGTTAGCTCTTACCTTCTACTTTAACCTTCTCCATTGAAAGAGCTGATAAAGCTGAAGTGTATCTACTCACAGCTTTGAAGATTGTGTGTTTTTCCCTTATCTGTTGCTTTCCTGTATTCTAGAATTAGTACAAATGTTAAGAATCTAAAAGAGAGCATAACCTCTGGTGACTGAAAGGGCAATTTAAAGGCAAGTTTGCATGTTTTGTTCCTTGAACTAAATACCTGCAATTACTGATTGTCACATTTTTCTTCTGTTGTAAAAACTGAACTAATTGAAGGTATTACCCTTAGGGGACAAGCTCTACAGTATAATGAATGTTGAGTGCCCTCTTGAGTTTAGCATTTTAATTATTTATAATTATAATGATTTCTGTTTATTTGAGAACTTTGGAAATAATTCTAGTTTATCAAACAAATTGAGAAACAGAGTAGTTGAGGCTTTATTTTGTTATGTTTCATACTGAGGTCAGCAGGCTTATGGATATGCCAAGAAGTTCTCACAAGCAAAGGAGCCAGTTTTCTGGGCATGACTGATATGTGCCATGTTCTAAAATAGCTGGATGTGTTTTTTTCTACTCTCTCTCTGATTTCTCTAGAACGATGTGGGCAATATTGGGGTTGTGAGGTGAAGAGTTGACAAGAACTCAACTGGAAGAAATTGGAAATAATTTATGAAAGTATGTTAATCAGAGAGGAGACACAGTAGACTCAGTAGCTGGCTATTAGCCAAGTGTATACATTTTTAACACCTTTTTCTTTACTTGAAAGAGATTGTCTGTGTGTGTGTGTGTGTTGTACCCTAAATATATTTGCATATAATAGATCCAAGTAAAAGATGGGTTTCTAGGCCATTATGGACCAAAATAATCTTTTTGTCAACTGCAATTGAATATATATTAGTGAAATGATGTATTAGGGTCCTACAATCTGTTTAGATGTCATATACACTCTTAACAGCAGCCTGAAAGAGTAATTAAATATTACTTTTAAAAAAGAGCTTGGCATTGCAGTCTGTTTCATTTTTCTCATCTCTTTCTTTTTTTTCATCCCACTAATACAACACTTTAGTTTTAGAGCCAAACATGTACTCTGCAGCTAGAGAATTAGAATTACTGGTAGCTTACATTCAATTTAGGAAGAAGCAGCAACTGCATAATACATCCAAATAGTAGCAAAGGTAAGAATGATTGATATAAATAATCATATAGCTATCAACAGGTCTGGAGATACACAATACATAACATTTTAAAGGAGAATAACTTTAACCATTCTCACCTAAAATTCTCAGCAGCCAGATCAGAAACAAGGTTCTGCTATACAAATGTTATTTAAAAGTCTATGTGGGTAGCTCCCCATTTCCTAGCCCATCTCTGATCAAGGGAAATTAACAATTACATATTCCAGGGTTAAGCTCAAATGTGATTTCTGCTCTTCCCCTGCAAATTGTTCAATAAAGGACTGGAAGTACTGTGAAAAAAGAAAGAGAGAAAGAAATGTTCTTATCATCCACAATATACTTCTCCTTCCAACAGCAAATCTAACCACAGCTGGGAAAAAGCAGCAAAAACAAACAAACAAAAAGACTTAATTGGAAAATCACTTTGCCTCCTTGTCCACCCCCAGGTGCTAAAGCAAGGGATAAACCAAAAGGACAGCCAGTAGGTGAGGAGAGGCCATGGAATACCCGCCAACAAGATAATCATCGCTGGAATAATAGGGACCTGTCTGAATGTAGGTATGTGTGCCGAAGACTTCTACGTGCTCTCGCAGTCCATTATCTGGCATTCCCTACTTTCATCCGTGTTATATACCTGCCATCTCATCACTCACAGCCACTCGGAATCCCCTGGTGGCCCTCCAGCAGGAGGTCTTTCTCCTCTCTTGAGCTTCTAAAACACTGTACAAAATCACTTTAAACTGCTTCCTGCCTCAGTATTGCCCACATAGAAACCTTCCCCGTCAATGAAATGGATTCTTTTTTAAAAATTTTTTTTATTGATTTTCTTTTGCGTGTGTTGTTTTTTGTTTGTGTGTGTGTTTGTTTTTGTCAAGCTGAAGTTATCATGAAACTGATTCTTATTTCCTAAACACAGAGATCCTTTGTCTTTGCTGTTCCTATTATCTGAAATATCTTTCCCAACTACTCTTTGATAGTTTTAGGTCTGTTTACTCTCGAACGCCAAACAAACTCAAAGGTCACCCACATCACAACAATCTTGCCGATTTCCTCATCCCCATTATTTCCTTTCTTCCAGACTTCTGTAGAACTTGTTGTATACCTCCTCTGACATTTGTTTGACAAGTTCTATCGTGCTTTTTATCCATATGTGCATATATCCTGTGTCCTTGCTATAACAACTGTTTCTTTCTGGAAAAGACAGGATCTGTTGTGTTTTTGTATACCAGAACCCAAGAAGAGGGGAAACCAGCATGTCACCAGCTGCTGTGATGGAGTCAGGTAGCACAGGGAAGTGGCTCAGAGCAGGGACTCTGGAGCTAGACTGCCTGCGTTTGAGATCCTGCTCAGCCAATTACTAGCTGGGTGATCTTGGCAAGGTTTTTTGTTAAAACTGTTATGCCTTAATATCTTTAAAATAGGGATAATAATACTATGCATCTCATTGAGTTGTTGTGATTAAATGAGTTGATTAGAACAGTATCTGACACACATTAAACACTCAAAATTATTGCCTACTTACTACTGTGTCTACAGTAATATCCCATCTTAATTTTCTCCATAATGCTATAAAACATATGCATTGTTCCCATCCTCAAAACAGGAACACTGTGTCCCTGGATAAAAATACTAAAGGAAGCAGAATCAGAACTAAAGTTTCTGGTCTTAAACCCTAGGCTGTATCATTCTGAATATTGTCTCACACACATGTGCGCAGTGACCAGTTGCTATTGATAACAATAACATTTATTCCTCTCCAGCCACACACAGTGGCATGTGCCTGTAGTCCCAGCTGCTCAGGAGACTGAGGCAGGAGAATGGCTTGAGCCCAGGAATTTAAGGCCGCAATGAGCTATGATCGCACCACTGCACTTCAGTGTGGGTGACAAAGTGAGACCCTGTCTCAAGAAGAAAACAAATTATTCTTTTCTGTTCTTATAGTTTTAAACTAAAGTATGCTGAGATTTCACTGTTTTATATTAAAAAATAATCAGAAGATGAAATGTTTCCACTTAACTGTAAATACCTTTTTTTAGTGAGCTAATTCAAATTGGATGGAGTCAAACTACTTTTTTTCAGTCTGACTCAGAGGCTAAAATGCAACTCAACAAGTATTTTATGTTCTGGGGCACTGAAGGAAAAGGAGGGAGAAAAACAAAATGGTTATTCCTACCCTAGGGTATTTTAAATCTAGGTGACTCAGTAATGGAAACACAGCAGAAACATCGAACACAATTTAACCTCTCATTCCTAGGTTCACTGTGAGATTGGTCCTTTTACGGTCCCTCCCTCACCCTGTGTAATAGTGCAGGTTGGATACAGTATCATTATCTATAAAAAAATAACATTTTAGGATTTGGTGGAATATGCCATTTAAAAGTAAGCTATACAATTTATATGAAGTAGTTTTAAAATTATTTTATTCTATTTGAAATTGTTTTGGAGAATTTACAAAGACCTTGGCTAAATGGAGCATGCCAGCCACTCTTGGAATCTCTTTATTGTCTAGAAAATCATTAAGTCTTGTTCTTGTCACTTGCAAAGTTCCTTGGCTGCTGCTATTTCTTTGTGCATGTGAAGTACTGAGCACTGTGCTGGGATGTGGCAGATGACTGATAAATCCTTAGATTATTGGTAAATATTTTACCACCCTACTGATGATACATTAAGTTTACTGTGCCTCCCAGCCCAACACCGAAGTCCAGAGTAGCTTCATAGACTCTCAGTAGACCTAAGGAAACTACCTTTAGGTGAAGATGACCAAGAGTAGGGATTAGAAGGATGAAAGATGACCAAGAGTAGGGATTAGAAGGATGAGCAGTTTTGAACACTTAACCTTATTCTAGGTATTTTTACTTTATTATTTTTATTTATTTATTTTTTAAAGTTTTTTAGAGATGGGGTCTTGCTGTGTTACCCAGGATGGTCTTGAACTCCTGTCCTCAAGGGATCCTCCCGCGTCAGCCTCCCAAGTAGCTGGATTATAGGCAGGAGCCAGCGTGCCTGGCTTAGGTTTTTAACTTTACATACATCATTTCATGTAATCCTCAAATAACTCTATGAAGTAGGCATTGTTGTCCCCATTTACCAACAAGGAAGCTAAAATCCAGAGAGTTTAACTAATATGTTTAAAAATCACAGAGCTGGTGAGAAAGAATTTCCGGCGCAAGTCTAATCCAAAGACCAAACCAATGATGTAGCAGTCATGGGGGTGAAGTGAGCGCGAGGTTCAGTGTCCTGAGGTAGGTACTCTGACACTGACGTCAAGTTGCCTCAGGCATATTATAGAATTTCTTCATGCTTCAATTTTCTCATCTCACATGACATTACTATGAAGATCAAGATATTTTATTTGTGAAATAGCTTTGAAATGATTAGAGGTGCTATAAATATTAATTATAGTTGTGAGTTTGGTAAATATAAACATTGAAACCAAACATCCCCAAAGGATTTGAAAACCCTGGCAGGCGATGGGGAAGAAGTGGAAGTAATAAAATGAAACAAAGACCAAAGATGTAGAAAGCCCATGCTCATGCAGGGATTCTGGGAGCAAATCTAGACAAGATTGCCCCTAGTGACCTAGCGCTGATGCTGACCCGATGCTGTGCAGTTCTCAGTTACTAAGTGGCAGTTACCCTTACATGTTAGATCATGTTTTAAAATGTAGGTATAATGGCCATAATCACTAAACCAAGGATTGGACATAGGACAAAACATTAAATATCAGAACTGTTGCATATGGAGCCCTGTACCTTGTATAAGGAACAGTTGTATGGCAAGCTCTTCATCTGGAGCATTAAGAATAATACTATCCATCCATACATCATTTTAAAAGTACATCCCAGCATCCCTGAAACACCCCAGGAACCTCAATGGGATACAGCCCAGTGCTTCTTGGAACAATCTCTTTAACAGTTTTTCAGAGGAATTAATGGTACTTTAAGTTATGGCTGATGACTGGTTTTGACCTTGTAGATGTTGAAGGGAAGTAAATGTATTTGATGAGTTATTAAGCACATGCTTCAGTTATTATGATAGTAAAAATGGCTCAGTCTTATAAAACTGTGAGGTGCTTTCTGTTTCTTAGCACTTAATTGCATTCCTACCGAGTTTAGATAATGTCATTAATCTCAGCATGTGACATAGTATATTTATTTAAATTTAAGAAAATTACCCAAATTTCTTTCTATTCTTTTGTTTAGACTTATATACGTTTATTTCAGAATTACTTACTCCAGATGTTTTAAGAATTGTATTTTAACCCAAATGAGAACAGGCAACTTAACCAATACTTTAGACGGTATTTTAGAAGTCAAAAAGAAGTTAAGAAACCAGTTTTAGATGTCCTTTGTCAAAGCCTGCCTAGAGGAGGCCTCTGCTTCCAAGATATACTGCTGAGATGGAGAATCTATGATCAATTGCTGAATTTCATCTGGCCAATTTCAACTGTCAAGTATTTCTAAAAATATAGGCCTGTGACAATAACACATTGGACTTTGTTCATAGCCTCCTTAGTATTTGCAGTTTATCATTATTGTTAATTATTAAGCATTTTGATGGCAGAATGGGTTGCAAGAATAATGATCACAGTCACACAGCAACAAATGGCTAATTTGGGGGTATAGTCCTCAGTTTCAAAGGTATTTTGTAAACTGTAAGGTATTTTGTAAAGGTATTTTCTAAACTATACAAATATTATTTATAGGAATAATTTTTATAATACCAAATTATGTTTTTATGCAAGATAGTGAAATAGCAAAAAAAATCCTACATATTTTACTTTAAAAGTATTCATCAGCATGTGTTCTTTGACATATAACAGGATGTCTGTGAGAAGACTCATGAGAATTATAATAATATCTGCTCTTAATAAAGTACCAGCTGTATGCCAGACACTTTAAAATGGATCATTCTTAGTCTTCAGAACATTAGTTCAAGGAGATTTTGTTGTCTTCTTATACAGCTGAGAAAACTGCAGCTAAGATAGGTTCATAAGTAGATTAGTAAACTAATAAATGGTAGAACCACAATTCAAACCCAGATCTTTTAGACCCCTCTGCCCATGCTCTTTAACTATAAGAGAGGCTAGGAGTGAAAAAGAAAAACTCTCAAATAGAAACAATGATCGACAGATACATTAATTAATTAGTTAAGTAATAGTAGCTACCATTTATTAACAGGCCAGGTACTGGGTTAGCTGCCTTAGAGACCTTAAGTTCATTATCCTAGTAAACAGCTCAAAAGAGTTCATTCATCTCAGATTTTTCAAATAAATTAGAAATTAATATTCTCATTTGCCTTATGAGAGGTTTAACGTTCAAAGACATTGAGTAACTGACACAAAATGGCACACCTAGAGAAGAGCAGATCTAAGTTACCAATTCAGGTCTTGTCAAGTTCTAAAAATCCATATTCTTTCCACTAAATAATATTATATGCTAAAACATATGTCTTATTTATACAATAAAGACTCTGGACTACTGCGTACTTACCTTTTTTTCTTTTAACTTATTCTTGGGACGATTTCAGTTTTATTTAAAACTTACCGAGCTTTATGATATTCAGGAACTTTCAGATAGTTAGTATTAGCCCGACGAATATGGACTAGTTTGTGTTTATTCTAATGCTGCCCATGATTTCTGAGTCAGATTTTTACATTATAAATCTCATGTGCTCAATTTGTATTTCATAGTCTACAATTTCACTAAGAACTTTAAAAACGAAAGAGAATTTATTAAACTCAGGAAAACTGCCTCACATATGTAAATTGCTGCTCTGAAATACCACAAGTCACAAATACAACTGAATAGCTTTCATCCTAATCATATAAGAAGCCTAGAACAGCATTTTGCATTCATTCATTAAACAAGTGTCCATTGATGGCCAACTATTTTTATAGCGTTGTGCTGGGGACATTGGCAGATAATAATTCAAAACCCCCCGCCCTCAAAGAACTTTACAAATTAATTAAGGAGAAAAGGCAGGGTAACCATTAAGTAACAAAAGCCAAAGTTACGTAATATTGCAACTGTGAAATAAATCATGCTTAAAAAAAAGAGTGCTCCAACTTCATGGCTGGAGGTGCTGACTATGGGTTGAAGTGGTCAGAAGGACTCCAGAAAGGAAGGTAACTGGGTCAGCAGAGAGGATGGACAGCACTGGTCAGGCAGGTGCATGTGGTGCAAGTGGCCAGGAAGCAGATTCATTTATTGTTCTGAAGGTTTGTGCAAGGGAACTGGAAAAGACTGGAAAAGGAGGTGAGGCCAGACAGCCAAAGGCTTTGATTTTAGCTAAAGACTCTGGCCTGTGGCCTCCAAGTGATAGGGAGTCATTGTACACTTTTGAGCAGGGGAGTGACATCATTAAAGTAGTCCTTTAAAAAAGATTAATCTGGCAGGACTAGGCAGGATGGATTGGTGGAAAAAGAACAGGAGCAAAGAAACTACTGCAATAATTCAGGTATAAGGTGATGAGGTTCTGGGCAGAAGTGATAACAGGAACAGAAGGAAAGAAATTAATGTAAGAGATAGTTCAAAGGAAGACGTGACAGAAGGTGATGACTAGATGTGGGAGGAGAACAGACAAAATACACTAATTTTAAATCCTATTTGGAAACTTTTATAGTTTATAAAATGTATGGAGTTCACGAGACATTATATATAATATTCCTGGCCTGAGATGCCACTGGATCCAAGGAAGATGTTGCTTTTACTCGACGTAGCACTTCTTTTAGCAAAATCTAAAGGACACTGCTGCATTTTAAGAGATAATAAATTCTATTATAAAAATTACTGAGAGAATAATTTTATCTTTATGTCACAATAATAATAACTGCAGATACAGAATGGCAGCACAATTAGATGAAAATTCAACTAAAAAATGATGTTTCATTTACCTCCAAAATTCTATTTTATTAATTTAGATTTCTAAATTAATTTTCTACCAAATTGGCTTTTTAAAATGTGAATTGATTAAGTCTAGATTTGATTATTTTCACAAATATGTTAATATGATTTTCCAGTAACTTGGGGGTTTTTGTGTCTTCATTTTAGGAATAATTCCATTGTCTTCAAAATATATTTGTATAATAATTACGTTACTTTCCAAGTGGAAAAATGCAGCCATAGAGAAAGTGATTTTATGATTTATCCAAAGTAGGGTGAGAGGTCAAGAATCTCTTCCTATGGGTCCAGTGGACTGTATATTAATAGATAAAAAAGATTAGAAAACAAGTAATATCATTTTTGATTGCTTATACTTAGTGAAAATATTGAGTGCCAGGCAAATGCAACCTTCTTCCCTAACACATACACACATACACGCCATTGCATTTTATATATATATATATATATATATATATATATATATATATATATATATATATATAAAACTTCAGGAAGCAACTGTCGTTTTAGAATTACTTAGATGCTGTTTTTAATGCATCAGGTAAAACATATCATGGCTTCTAATATTAATTCATTCTCCACTTAGCATTGTTAAAAATATTTATGATCTAGTATAGAGCAAAACATATTGTTATCCATTTTCCCCAGCTTTGATATAAAAGCATTCTTCAGTTGTTTCCTAAGGAGGAATGTTGTCAAAGTTTGATGGTAATTTATGTTGTCAGTCCATTAAGTTGATTTTATGGCAGCCAACACAACTATTGTCCATTTATGAGAAACCCGAGGACCAATCTAGGTCTCCACGAAGGCCGTTTGATATCTGCCCTCTCATATCGCTGACCTTGAGGGGAGTTGGGTTTGGTAATTTATGGCAAACACCATCTAGGAAGACCCATTTGCAAGATTCACTGTCATTTAGTTCTAAATGATCATTGCTGAGTCCAGAGACAATCTGAGCTCCTGACAGAGCAATCCCATAAAAAATATTGCCTACCCACCCAGGTGTCCTTTCCAATTATCTGGAGTAGAAATTAATACTTTTAAAAGCTGCTAGTTTTTGAAAGGTTATTACAATTTATTCCAGTGGTTTCTTTTGCACATTATGATGAATTAGTTTATTACACCATTATTTTCCATGTCAGCTTTTTAGAAGATTGAACCATAATGTTGAAACATTAGTGTGAATGGCAAACATACTATTTTATAGCTGAGTAACATATTTCTTTGAGAAAAATGTGTTCAGTTTTTAATAACAGGTAATTTTATGTTTATGTTCCCTAATGCTGTTGTCAGATATTATTTATTTCTTTTTGGTAAGAACTAGAGAACTTTCTTTTAAAATGTTAATGGTGCATTAGACAGATTTTAGAGTCATAGTAAGGATATATTACTGAAAAATAGAAAATATAAATTGTAAGTGTTTTTCCCTGAAAGCTAATACTTTCTAAGGTTTTCTTGACACTGATTTAATATATAGTTACTTCCAGGGAGAATCATACTTCTGTCTCAATATTTTCTCTAAATGTAGTTGGGGGAGGGGGAATTTCTAATTCATTTTTCTGAGATCTCAAGTTTTTCTTTAATGAAACTTCCTTATCTTAAATGACTGGCTTCATATGTCATTTGGAAGTATTTTGTAAAATAATATGAATTAGCACTTTGATAGAGATTTTTTTTTAGTCGTTCTCCATTCAATGTCTACTAGGATACTGAGAAAGTATTAGTAATTTCCTATTTAACCAGGTATTAAAAATAATCATGGTGTCAACAAAGATTGATAAGAAGTATTCTAAAGAGTACCCTGTATACTATCTTCATTCATACAGCAAATGCACGCCTATTGCTGCCAGGCATCATACAACTATGTGGAGTTGAGACACATCCATAACAACATTCTAGAAATGCAATCTTTTTATTCCTGTCACAATTATTTTTATTCCTACAGTTTTTAAAAATGCAATGCAGCTTTACAAAATTCTGAATCTTGTGTAAATTGAGCATGTAAACAAATGCAGTCACACTTTACAAGTTTTACATTTGCTACCTCCAATACAGCAAGTACTTGCCAAAGGAAATACTGATTTTTGTTTTCTCATCAAACATATTTGTTTCTTTAGCAAATGTTTGCAATACTGAAGTATTTGTTTTTATTGATCTATGACTGGAACAAATGTTAGTTTTAGCAGAATTAAGATTCAAGGCATTTCACAAATTTTTCCCATTGTGCCAGAAAATTTTTTGATAATGTCTTAGGCTTAAATGAGTTCCAAGGTTTCTTTTCAAATTTATATTGAAATCTAACATACACACAGAAAAATGTATACATTGTAAGTGTATAGCTCACTGGATTTTCACAAGGTGAGCCCGCCTGTGTAACTAGCACTTGGATCAAGAAACAGAAATCACCAGCATCCAACAAACACTTCTGTGTCCCCTTCCAGTTGTCACCTCCCAGCCCTTAATAACCATTCTCCTGACTCATGACACTGTAGATTAGATTTTCCTGTTTTTATGAACACAGTATAAACATAGTCATAACTTGGCATAATGTTTTTGACATTTATTTTCTTGGCTGTTTGTAGTTATACTTTGTTCTCATTGTCGCACAGTACATTCCATTGTTTAAATATATTTTACTTACCCAGCCTACTATTGATGATCACTGCTTTGATTCTAGTTTGGGGTTATTGAAAAAAATGCTACTATGAGCATTATTATACATGGCCTTTGGCAAAATATGAAAGCACCTCTGTTGGGTCTATTCCAAGGAGTGGAATGGCTGGGCCACAGAATAAATAGAAGTTCAGCTTTCATAGATATGGCCAACAAGTTTTCATGAGTTACTGGTAGTCTCACAGTTACTAGTTATGTTCTTTGGACTTCAGGATTAGACATAACTGGGAAGAATTGGGTAAATAATTTCTAGGTTTCTCTCAGGCCTAAAATTCTGTAATTCAGCCCTTCTTTACAATGGAGAGCATTGGCATAGATTTCAACAAAAGGCAGATAATGAGAATCTGCTATTTGGTTTTCTACTATATTTCTCTATTTGCATTTGCATCTGGATTTGACTGTTAATAAACCTGTGAAGTCACATTTTATGATAAATAAATGAAATTACAGCATTGAATGCAGAAAAGCTGAAAAGATTTTTGGTTTGCCCAATTATATGCTTCCCTGTAATACAGAACATTTTTTGCCAGGCTGATGGTAATAACTAGCTTAATGCAATGCCTTCTCTTCAGGGTTCCTGGTTATTCTCACTGGAGCAGAGCAGGAATTGTGTGTATGCATGGTATTTTGCAAAGAACAAGTCCTCAATACATTTTGGTTGAACATATTTATCCATTTTGTCAAATGGTTTTTTATGAGCTTTGGGGATTGCATAGAATCCTAGCTCTGCCAACTGACTTTTGCCAAATGCTTCATCTCCCTCAGCCTCATTTTCTTTGTCTGCTATGTGGAAAAAATAATAGTCCCTGCCTCCCAGATCACTGTGAGAACAAAATGACATAACACACATGAAGCACTTCACACATGTTAATAATAATAAATAAAGTCTACCCGTGATAAATACTCAGTAACTATTGGGTGGTGTTATAGATGTTTTTTCAATTTTAAGATGAGTATTCTTCCAACCTCTGCCTAAGATACTAAAGATTCTGCTGCTCATAATTTATGCATAGACAGACATGTTATATAATCAACTAGAATCTGACAATTAGATTTTATTCTTTCTTTTATTAATATTTCCACAAATATTTATTGAGTACCTTCTACATGCTATGCACTATGTAAGACACAGGGATTCCACCAGAAATAGTTCAGACACTGTCCACAGGCATACAAAGCTGTCGAGGCTTGCAAGTCCACAGACAGTTACAGTGCCATGGGACCAGGCATGAAGGGAGGATCCAGACACAATGAGTTTGCACAGTGGAGGCGCTGCTTCACTTCAGGAAGGTTTCCTGAAAGAAGTGACAGCTCCATTGACAGCTGATGGATGCAAAGGAGTTAATCAGGTTAGGGAGGAGTGGGGTTGTACAGGAACAAGAATGCAATAGGCAGAGGAGGCAGCATTAGAGAACAGAAAGATTTCAAGAAAGCCTGAAGCTTAGAAGCCTAAGTATGGGAGGTGAGGGGAGAAGGAAAAGTGTCAGAAAGGAAGGGGTAATGCTAAAAAAGCAAGCATTAAGGTTGTATAGACTGGACTCTTGGACTTTGGACTTTATCCTGAGGGTAATTAGAAGCCACTGATGGTTTCATTACTTTTTAATTTATAAATTAAAGTATGATTGGCAAATAAAAATTTTATATATTTGTGGTCTGTGTAATATTTTGATATATGTATACATTGTGAAATGATTAAATCAAGCTAATTAACTTATCACCTCACATACTTATCATTTATTGTTATAAGAACATTTAAGGTCTACTTTCTTAGCAATTTTTGAGTGTACAGTACACTATTATTAACCATAGTCACCACACTGTGTAATAAATCTCCCAAACTTATTTCTCCTATCTAACTGAAACTTTGTACCATTTGACCAACATCTTTCCATCCCCCTGCAACTCCCAGCCCCTGGCAACAATGATTATACTCTCAGAATAAGCCATTAAATGGATTTAAATGTGAATGTCTTGATCAGATTTGTATATTAGGAACAAAGTAAAGAATGAATTGGATGGGAATGAGACAGGAGGCAGGAAGACCAGTTAAGAGGCTGGGGCAGTAAACAGAGTAGAAGGTTACACTGGTCTGAATTCAGGTCTCAGCAGTGGGAACAGGGAGAAGAGGATGGGTAGAAAGTAGAAAGTATCACACTCGGAAATCTAGGATGGTACCTGTAATTCCATCCTGGACAATGGGGTGGATAGTCATGGAAGGAAAAGATGCAGAAGGAAGAGAAGGTGAGGGGTGGAAGACAGTGCATTTCACTGGGCATGTTAAGGTTGAAGTGCCTGTTATTATCTAACTGCAGAAGACATGTAAGTGTTGAATAAATAGCGTTGAGTTCAGGTGAGAAACCTTTTATGAAGATGTAAATAACATGGTAATTACAGCATCCTTGGACACAGGACAGGTTGCTTAAGCAGAGCTTGGAGTGAGAGGAGAAAGGCCTAGAACAGAGCCCTGAGGAAAAGCCATATTTAAGATAATAAGTGGAAGAAGAGAAACCTCAAAGAACACCGAGAAGGAATAGCTACAGAGATGGTAGGGAAATGTGAAGAGGGGGTTATCATGATGACCACTGAGATGAAATGTTTCTAGAAGAAGGGAATGAAAGGTCAATAGTGCCAGAGGCTGCCAAGATGTGAAATAAACTGGATATCGAGAAGTGTTAACACCAGATTTGTCAAAAAGGAGATCTGTGGCAACTCTGCTTAGAAGAGGCTGGCTTTGAGCAAACCAGGGTACAAATAATAAGTGGAACCACAACTAAAAGTTGATGAAATTCCAGGTAAATGTGATTCTTCAATAGCACACTACATAACTGTATATTTAAGAGAGTTACACTATCCGTTGTCTGTTAAATACATATTTTTAAACTTAAGCACAACTACAAAATACATACCAGTTTTGATCACAACAGGTTTTCCATCACTGTTTTGACATTTACCTTTGAATCATGCAAACGTTCTTTAGAAGAATATGAATTTTATGCCCTAATCCAATTGTTAGAAATTTGCCTCATGGTGAACCTCAGCTGAGGAGTCTGAAGAACCAGGAATGGGATGAGGGAGAAAATCCTCTTTGGAGAAATTCCTTTTGGAGATTTTTTGTTAATTTGGGAAAGAATAGGATGTGGAAGCTTAGTGTAGAGGGATTCCACATGGAAGGAAAGGTCCTGTCCTTGCGTGTACAGAGTCAAACTCAGAGAATAGACTCCTTGGAAGAAAAGTCGGTGATTCATTATTGTGAGTTAAGAGAAGACATGCTATAAATCACAAGCAGGAGAAACACCGGTTCTGGTTTCTCTGCCCTGTTTCACTGTTGAAAATTAATTTTCCTCAGGATTTGTTTTTTTCCTGGTGGCTGTTACTTACAGTATGGTCCACCCAGACTAGCTTATTCATTTCTACAGGCAGTTCCTGTTGGTGCACTAAGGTAGAAGCCTAGCAAATTAGTTTAGGGGGTTGTAGGAACTCTATGTGAAAGCACTGCTTCCATTTCAATCTATAAATACAGGGTGTGTTTATTACCACATTTCACACCAAGCCCAAGCCAGGTCAGTACGTGACGTTTGTGTTTAGAAGAGATTCGAAGGGATAGTGTTTGGGTAATTTTCCATTAAAAAATATACATTATGTCACTTAGGTGTATGATATAATGGGTTCCTTCTTGAACTCTGCATCTTCACAGAGTGGTTTTGTTGCTTAAAGGGTAGATGAGGTCGACACTCTAATTATATCTGTTTTATAGAAAGGTAAAGTCAGAATCTGAGAAATTAAGTCATTTGCCTAAGTAGGCATCTGGTAAGTAACAAGACCTGGATTCAAAACCAGATTTTTTTCACAGCAGCCTGGTGGAACTAGAGTAGCATGCTTGTCTTTTTTTCTTTTTTTCTCTTTTTTCCAAGTTTTGAATAGAATCCATTGGCTTGATTAACAGAAGACTAATATTTTGTTTTCTAATTCTACCACGGACTTCACTTTACTCTCTATTCTTTTTCTTCTTTCTTCTTTATATTTATTCGTGTCCTATTATTTATATCTCTACAGGCCACTTAAAACTGGCATGGGGATGAATAAGAGGACACTTTATTAAGTCACAAGATAATATTGTCATTAACAAAATTTGTATCATAATAAAATACAATATGTAAGAAGTAGAGTTAAACACATTAGCATTAAGCCTGAGAGATATTGTTCTACAAGATAATTAGCATAAATTTGTTCAACAAATACGTCTCAAGCACCTCCTACTCTAAGGGTGCCTCTCCGTGCTGGGTCAATGGCAGTGCACAGAATGCATGGCCTGCCCTCCCAGAGCGGACATTCCAGCTGGGGGTGGGGTGGTGGAGGGGAGACAGGCAGTAAATGCATATGTAACCAGAGCAATCGGGAAAGATAAGGCAAAGTCAAATGGATAGAAGATGCCCAGATGATGGGAGGAGAGAGGCTGCCTTCTTATGTATGGCAGTCAGGGAAGACTTATCAGTGAGATGACATTTGACAAAGGCCACAGGAAGCAAACCCTGCCCACATCTGCGTGAAGCACATCCCAGGAAGGAGCAACATGACCAGAAAATGCCAGAGGCAGGAACTTGCTACATGTTTATGTGCCCCTCCTCCTGCCTTCCCCCAAGCAAAGTAAGCAGATGAAGTGGGTGAGGGGAAGGGAGAATGGCAAGAGACTAAATAAGATGTGATGGGGTGCAGTAGTCTGACTTGTACAGGCTGGTACAAGCCCCTCAAGGATTTATTCAAATATGTCACAGTTACAATGAATATTGTTTTGATACATCTAATCTAAGTCTTTTTTTTAAACTGATTTCAAAAACAACAGACATGGAGTCTTGCTATGTTGCCCAGGTTGGTTTCAAACCCCTGGGCTAAAGCAACTTGCCTGCCTCAGCCTTCCAAAGTGCTGGGATTACAGGTGTGAGCCACCACACTCAGTCTCAATCCAAATTTTACCACCTTGCTTCTCTTTTGGGTTCCCTTTTCAGCTCTAAATAGTGCCAGCTGGAATATTGAGCAGGATCAGAAAATAAGCATGCTTTCACTCACCTCGCCTTCCCACTGAGGCAGGCAGCAATAATTGATCACAGACTTCTCTAGTCACACTGCAAAAAGTCAGAGCTGGCCAAGAAATGAACCATTCCAGACATAACCTTGAATACTCAGACATCTCCTTTCCCTTCTTACCTCTCCTTCGTTAATAGACTGCAGTCCCAAGAGCCAAACCTTCAGCATCTGGATTTGCCTTTGCTTCTGCCCACTTGTCTGAGACCCAGGAACTAAAACTTCCTGTGATCCTCTCTGCTCCCCACGAAACCCTCTCCTGCTCCTGTGCACATTCAGTCCCCCTGAGCCCCCTTGATAACCCTTCCCTGCTCACCACTGTGCAGTTGAAGGGACGTGAACAGCGAAGAGCTAAAAGCAAAATAATCTTGACCTTTCTGCATCTTAGTTTCCTCATCTGCAAAATGGGCCTCACCATGCCCAGCCTGCAGGATTGTTGTGAGTACTAAGATAGTAGTTATTAATAAGGTGACTATAGCTGACACCACTGAGTCCTTGATCTCATCAGAGGAAAAGAGAGGAGAAAAGAGGGCCCCAGGAACTTGAAACAGAAAAAACCAAGGTGAAAATTACTTACGTTTTTTACTGGCCTCCTAGTTTCACCACACTGCCACTTCTATCATACCTCACTGAGCACAGAAGAGCAAATGAATGAGATAAGACAGAATATGATAATCCAGGACAGAAATTTCATCTCTCCACCAATATGGTGCAACGGGAGTCTGCCCCATTGAGAAAATGAATACGAAGATGAGCATGAAGCAAATATTGCCATGGAGAGAGGATATGATTTTTCAGCAGGTAGGTGGGAAAAAGGAGTGGATCAGTGCAAATATAGAAACAGGCCACTTATAAAATTAGGAAATATAACGAAATCCCAATAGAACATGTAAATATTTCCACCTATACCTATTGTTATTTAATGGGGATTACTGGACATTATTCAATTAGCTATCCTGGAGCAGGGCTGACCTGGGTTTAGGACCTGGCACTCCCGCACCAGCATGGAACATACAAAAGGAGATATCCCAGCTGTTGGTACTGTGAGGAAGTCTAAACCAGGAGACAGAGCCCAGGATCCAAACGGCAGCTCTGCCCCCATTAACAGTACCGTGGGCATCAGGCAGTAAAAGGGTGTTTCAGTGAACAAGTTAAATACTGCAACTGGGAATATTCAAGCTGATAGGTAAAGTCTCAACCATTGGGTGGGGATCAGTGGCAAGACTTCAACTCCTTGTAGAGTCAAGAGGGGTGTGAGGGCTGAGAGAAAGACTAGGACTAGCCCAAAGCAAAATAAAGAGCATGAAAATTATTAGGCAGATCCCCAGGCAGATTCAGTTAACAAAACTGGGAGCCAATCATTCAAGATAAGGAAGATTTGGAATCACAGCTCAAAGCACAGGCCAAAGCCTCTAGCAGCAAAGGCTTCATGGGTGCTGAACTTTTACATCCCTCGCAGTAGAGACAGGGCCTGACTGCTCAAGGGGCAGGCCACTTGGGATCGCACTTACACTGGGAGGTTGGACCACAGGAAGAGAAAATGTGTCCAGGCGGAGAACTGAGCCAGCGCTGGCCCCTCTAACTTGACAAACTCTCAGCAAAATCCACTTTAGCCTCGACTTTCCTGAGCTGTAAGATGAAATTCTGAGAAGAAAGATGAGAAAAGCAAATCTGTAGAGTTGCCGGGAGCTTTCACACTCCTCCTTCTTTATAAAAACCAGTTTCTGCTTAGCTCAGGTAGTAACAGAATTATTTCTAATTACCTAAAATTTCTCCTCTAACTGGATTTCAGCAGGAAATGATATCCTCAAAAGCTTAAATTTCTGGAGTGAAAAATGTAAAAAGTTAAGAAGGTAGGAGTGTTAACAGTTAATGGATTATCAGAGTGGTATGTGCAGCATAGATGTGTACACTGAAACAAAGAAGTGTGAATTTGCAAGGAATAATTCTTTTTCTTTAAAAATAGAAAATGCATGCTAATATTGAGAATAGAAACTGAAATTTATTTTGCATAAGAAACATAAATTTATGGCCTGGCACGGTGGCTCATGGCTTTAATCCCAGCACTTTGGGAGGCCGAAGTGCGTCGATCACGAGGTCAGGAGTTCGAGACCATCCTGGCTAACAAGATGAAACCCCGTCTCTACTAAAAAATTCGCCGGGCATGGTGGCACGCGCCTGTAGTCCCAGCTACCCAGGAGGCTGAGGCAAAAGAATCGCTTGAAGCCGGGAGGCAGAGTTTGCAGTGAACCGAGATCACGCCACCGTACTCCAGCCTAGGCGACAGACCCTCCGTCTCAAAAATTAAAAAAAATAAAATAAAATAAACATAATTTTGAAATTGTCACCATATAATTAACCTAGCCACAAAGAATAGGCAATAAGAGCATAGCTGAATGTATTGAATTGAAAAATAATGACCTTGAAAACACTGGCACAGGAATTTATATTTTTCTATTTTAATTTATAGCTTGTGAAGTGTTGATATAATTTTCTACATTTTACATAATTTGGGAGTGTCTTCTTTCAAAGGAGCTTTAAATATATTGGAATTTATTGGGCAACTGCTAACTCAGAAGCAAGTGGTTGTCCATCTATTGGCTTCCAGAGAGAGGTTGCACTGGTTCATTTAGGCAACTGGAATCCCATTTACCAGAAAGCTAATCAACAAGATGGCTAGTTACATTTATGAGTATTTCTTTTAGAGGCATTTAGTTTCAATCCCACAGATGGTAGCTGCAGACCATTAGTTTCTGAGCCAAGCTTTTCAGTGTCCTATTGTACTTAGCAAGATTGCTATGCAGCAACACAATTATTCCAAATTCAGCAAGAGTCAGCGGGCCTAAAACAAAGCTATGCCATAACAATTTAATCCCAGCTCACCTTCCCCTTTGCTGGATAAATAATCAAACACCTGCTGAATTCTGTTCCATATAATGAGAACATCTTAGCAACAAAGATCAAAGAACACTGACATTTGATCTCTAAGTAGAACCCCATTATAAAAAAGGATTTTTATTACGTGGTGTCGGATAGCTATTTTGTGGGTCAGATAATGCTGGGACAAATAAACAATACCAAAAAATCCTAACTCAACATGATTAATTTGTAAGGCATGGGTCATTCCTTTGCCTCAGCATCAACATTTTTGAGTGCTTCATTCTATCAGAGTCAGCCATCTTTTGAATGACTTGTAAAACAGTCATTTAAAATGTACAGGGGCAAGCGAATATGTGCTTTCTGGTTTTTTATTCATGCTTTAAAAAAAGCAGTAAAAATGCAAGGTGAAAGGATATTAAGGATGTTTATCTTTCTAGTTGCACTAGAATTCCCACTTTCAAGAACAAGCAAAATAGTTTGAGCTTTGAAAATGTCCAAAACACACGTTTTCCAATGTAATTCACATAAGACAATTTGACGATTCCTTCTGGGGTTTCTTTTCATGCTTGCAGTGAATAAATAAATATGAGTACAAATGATAAGGCTTTCTTTCAGGATTTTATTATAATTGCTGAATACATCTCCTACACTCAGGCATTAACTCCTTCTCTGAATCTTTTTTAAAAAATATTGCATGTATGCTATAGAATGCAAATCCTCCTTTCCTTCTCCCATCACACCCAGACAGCTTGTGAAACCCCATATTCTTCATAAAACCTCTCTTGAATGAAAATGACATAGGGCTTTCACCTCCAGTCCTTCATATAAAGGTCTAATTGAAGCAGCTTTCCCCAGATTCTCTTCTCTGTAAAGGGCACTTGTACTATTTCTCATATATGAAGTAAATACTTATTTTGATGTATTTAGTCAAAAGGGCAGCTGGGCCTCTATACGTTTGCTTATGAGATTGCCTGTCTTAGGAAACTTTAATAAGTCAAACATTGAACAACAATCCTTTGGCACTGTGTGCCACTGGAACTTAATAGAGCTCAATGGTGTTTTTTATATTAGCGGTTGTGTGAACGTAGGCTATGTGACATCTAGATCTGTGTGAATACCACAGTGTGCACAAATAACAGTACAGATTAAAAACAAACTTAACAGGACATCCAAAGCCATTAATTGTATTGAAAGTATTCTTAAATTAAAACCATTTATGTGACAATATTGAGCAGAAGACTAGTTTTCAGTAAGAATATTTAATGGTCATCAAGAAAAACATAGTCATTTCCTACTCCCTATAGAATACAAATTCTTGTATTTAAAATTAACACTAGCCAAAAGTACCAGAGCATCCTCCTAACATGAATAGCCTCACTTATCTTTTGGCTAAATGTTAATCTAACCAACAAAGGGAAACTCTTTTAAGCCTGTCTCTTCTTGATATGACAGGATGCAGAATTACCACAATTTTGGACAGTATTTTAAATCATTCAGGACTACTTTTGAATAGTTGATAAAAACTAAACTTTTGTATATGTGTATTACACTTTTTTCCATGTAATATCAAAGTGGTGATATACCTCAGATTTAAAATTTGTGCTGACCTAAGAAATTTTTTTTTAATTTTTAAAATTTTACTTGAAGTTCCAGGACACATGTGCAGAATGTGCAGGCTTGTTACATGTGCCATGGTGGTTTGCTGCACCTATCAACCCACCATCTAAGTTTTAAGCCCCACATGCATTAGGTATTTGTCCTAATGCTCTCCCTCCCCTGCCCCCCACCTGCCAACAGGCCCCAGTGTGTGATGTTCCCCTCCCTGTGTCTATGTGTTCTCATTGTTCAACTCCCACTTATGAGTGAGAACATGTGGTGTTTGGTTTTCTGTTCCTGTGTTAGTTTGCTGAAAATGATGGCTTCCAGCTTCATCCATGTCCCTGCAAAGGACATGAACTCATCCTTTTTTATGGCTGCATAGTATTCCATGGTGTACATTTGCCACATTTTCTTTATCCAGTCTATCATTGATGGGCATTTGGGTTGGTTTCAAGTCTTTGCTATTGTAAATAGTGCTTCAATAAACATGTGTGTGCATGTGTCTTTATAGTAGAATGATTTGTAACCCTTTGGGTATATACCCAGTAATGGGATTGCTGAGTCAAATGGTATTTCTGGTTCTAGATCCTTGAGGAATCGCCACACTGTCTTCCACAATGGTTGAACTAATTTACACTCCCACCAACAGTGTAAAAATGTTTCTATTTCTCCACAGCCTCACCAGCATCTGTTGTTTCCTGACTTTTTAATAATCACCATTTTAACTGGTGTGAGATGGTATCTCACTGTGGTTTTGATTTGCATTTCTCTAATGATCAGTGATGATGAGCTTTCTTTCATGTTTGTTTGCCACATAAATGTCTTCTTTTGAGAAATGTCTGTTCATATCCTTTGCCCACTTTTTGATGGGGTTGTTTTTCTTGTAAATTTTTTAAGTTCCTTGTAGATTCTGGATATTACGACTGTCAGATGGGTAGATTGCAAAAATTTTCTCCCATTCTATAGGTTGCCTTTTCACTCTAATGCTAGTTTCTTTTGCCATGCAGAAGCTCTTTAGTTTAATTAGATCTTATTTGTCAATTATGGCTTTTGTTTCAATTGCTTTTGGTGTTTTAGTCATGAAGTCGGCATCCCTATGTCCTGAATGGTATTGCCTACGTTTTCTTCTAGGGTTTTATTATTTATTTTTTGAGACAGAGTTTCACTCTCATTGCCCAGGATGGAGTACAGTGGCGCGATCTTGGCTCTCTGCAACCTCCACCTCCTGGGTTCAAGCGATTCTCCTGCCCCAGCCTCCTGAGTAGCTGGGATTACAGGTGTCCGCCACCACACCCAGTTAATTTTTTTGTATTTTTAATAGAGACAGGGTTTCACCATGTTGGCCAGGCTGGTCTCGAACTCCTGACCTCAGGTGATCCACCCGCCTTGGCTTCCCAAAGTGCTGGGATTACAGGCATAAGCCACTGTGCCTGGCCTCTTCTAGGGTTTTTATGGTTTGGGGTTTTACATTAAGTCTTTAATCCATGTTGAGTTAATTTTTGTATAAGGTGTAAGGAAGGGGTCCAGTTTCACTTTTCTGCATATGGCTAGCCAGTTTTCCCAGTACCATTTATTAAATAGGGAATTCTTTTCCCATTGCTTGTTTTTGTCAGGTTTGTCAAAGATCAGATGGTTGTAGATGTGTGGTGTTATTTCTGAGGTCTCTGTTCTGTTCCATTGGCTGCAGACCTAAGAATTTATAATGTCTAGAAAAATGATCTTATGGTACCTAGAAATGAAATTTCCAATTCAAATTATTCTAGAAGTAATGATTTTCTTATATCAAATCATTCTGAAATTATAATTTTATGCATTCGGATGAAGGAGGATATATATGCTGCAACAGAGATCAAAAGTGACAGAAGCTTACCTCTAAGAGAAGTTTATTTCTCTGCCAGGTGCGGTGGCTCATGGCTGTAATCCCAGCACTTTGGGAGGCCAAGGTGGGAGAATCACTTGAGGTCAGGAGTTCAAGACCAGCCTGGCCAACATGGTAAAACCCTGTCTCTACTAAAAATACAAAAATTAGCGAAGTGTGGTGGTGCCTGCTTGTAGTCCCAGCTACTCGGGAGGCTGAGGCAGGAGGATCACTTGAGCCTAGGAGGCAGAGGTTGCAGTGAGCTGAGATTGTGCCACTGTACTCCAGCCTGGGTGACAGAGCGAGACTCCAAAACATCTCCGCCACCCCTCAAAAAAGGAAGTTTATTTCTCATGACCTAACAATTCAGAATGAGTAGTCCAGATTGGTAGGTTGGTTCTGCTGCACTAGGTTATTCCAAGACCCTATTCTTCTGTGTTTCAATCAACTTCATCTTCATGGTTGAAGTGAGGTCACTGCCATGCCAGTGTCCCTATGCATGGAGGAGCAGAAATGAAGGGCAAACAACCCTCTTAAGTGATGTGGAAGTTGCACACATCACTTCAGCTCACGTTCTATCAGTGAGAATTCAGTCACATGGCCACATTTAGCTGCAAGGGAGGCTGGAAAATAGTCTGTGGCATCCTCATCTGAGTTCGTACCCCAAATAGCCAAATAACTATGTGTTTTCAAAATCCCACTCAGTCTTTGCATCCAGCACAAAGTCATGTGCTGGCTTTTCCAACAAGAGCTGAGATAGCTCTTTTGTGCTGGTAATGTGTAAACAGTTAAGATTCTTGACTTTGCCCACAGAGTCCCCCTATATAGTGTTAGTGTAGTAATAGGATAATGCAGTATAATCTCCCATTCAGAAAAGAAAGAAAGGGAAACACATAGTAGTCCCTGATCCATACCAGTGATGAAAGCCTGCTGCTCAGTGTATTCAGCTGTTCTTGCATGCCATAAAGAAATACCTGCAACTGGGTAATTTATAAAGAAAAGAGGTTTAATGGCTCATAGTTCTGCAGGCACAAGCATGGCAGCTTCCCAGGAGGCCTCGGAGCTGTTACTCATGGCAGAGGGTAAAGCGGGAGCAGGAATATCACATGGCAGAAGCAGGAGTGAGGGAATGGGGGAAGGTGCCATACACTTTTAAATGACCAAATCACATGAGACCTCATCAAATATTGCAAAGACGCACCAAGCCATGAGGGATCCACCCCCATGATGCAAACATATCCCACCAGTCCCCACTTCCACTGTTGGGAATTTCAGTTCAACATGAGATTTGGGCAGGAGTGAATATACAAACCGTATCACTTAGGAACAGCCTCCCTGCCCTTCTAGGGGTTGATGCCCTCTGCTTAGACCCTGGTGGACATTCTTGGCCATTGGCCTCCATGGCTTCTAACTTTCCTCTCTGGAGGTTCTTCCTTGCCCATATTCTCCTTAGCCACATGTGAGGTGAGACAGAGAGAAACACTCCTTTGGGGACCTCGTTTAGGGATTGAACAATCACAGGACTTTATGGGCCAGACTTCTACTTTCTTTAACGATATGATTCTCTCAGAACTTAGTCAATTTAGGTCAGCCAACTGTATCTTCTGTAAGGGAGGAACAAAGTTGACTACCTTTAAAAAACAAAAAGTACTCTTTCACAGTGCTCGCAGATTTCTATTTCAAATATTCTATTTAGCTGTCTTTATGGTTGGCCGTTAGGATAAAGCTCTCTACTCTCAAAGATTGCTTCTTGTAGAACTGTGGTTTACAGAGAAGAGACATATCTAGAAGCAACTGGACTCTGTAATTTTTTTTAATTTTAGTAGAAATGCTAAAGGTGATTTTATTTCTAAATCAGACTATTTTTTTCTATTGAAAATTATGAGAGTTTGGACCCATTTAGTTAGCCAGTCTCCAGTAGCAATCCATTCCATCACAACATTAGGAAAATGTACTTTCCTTTCAGATGTCCATTGGTTTAAAGGTGATGCGACATCTCAAGGGTATCAGTTCAATTAAGATCACTTACCACAAATTCTTTAAATTCAGCTATGATAGATACAGCACTGCTGTGAGAAATTATCCTCCCAAAGCTGAGGGCTGTGGCTTAGGGGCAGACAGCTGTGTTCCTGATGAGTGAGGAAGGCCCCTGCTTCCCACAGCACCCCCACACGAGCCCTGCCTCCCACTGCAGTTCGCAGCAGCTCAAGACTCAACTCTCACTTCTGCATCTGCTGTCTTTGTTTGCTTTGGTGTCCTTGACCCTGCCTGCTCCACGTACCTGGCCACTCTCATTGAACCTTTATGGTTTTGACATCTGTCATTTTCTGCCCATGTAAACTACCCTGGCCACTCTCTCCAGACTCCCTCCTTCTAATCAGGCAGGCTTTGTGTCCCCATGTGAACATTCCTGTCATTCCTCTGGTTTGGGGACCTGTCTCTCCCAAACCCGACATTCTCATTTCATTTCAGGCTTGCCATAAACCAGGGCTCAGATAAGCCAGGCTTACTGCTGGGACCACTGCAAATAATACCTGAGATGAAACTCGAAGCACACTAAACCATTTTGAGAAAGAATCTTTCACAATAAAGAAACTCTATTCCTGGAGAGATGATGAAATTTCAGTGTGAGGTGTTTTGTTTTTTGTTTTGTTTTAGCAAGGCAGTCTTTGAGCTGTGTGAGATAGGACTGGAATGTGCTATCAGGACCAACCTAGAAGTACAAAGCTAAGCCCTGCCTCCGGGGCTTGTAGGAATGTGGACAGAATACCAGAACCTAGTTGGTATACAGGGTATGAAGTCAGGTTCAAATGCCAAGAAGTAAGGGTCAGGTCAGCAGCAAAAATCAACAGAGAGTGGAGGAACTGGAGTGAAGTTGGAGCACAAGTGAGAGTAATTTCCGTGAGCATCAGCTGAGATGTTTGAATGGCCCAGGCTCTGCAGACACAGGTATGTCACTACCCGGCCAAGGCTCCCACTGTTCAGGTCCCAACTAACAGCAGAGCAACAAGTTAGGCAGACATAAACGTTTACTGAATAGCTGTTATATATCAGGCACTGCCACAGGAGCTATACAAACGTTACTCATTTAATTCTAACAACTGTACTTTGAAGTAGGTATCAACTCAGCCTTTTACAGATGAGGAAACTGTAACATGGTTCAGATGACCTAGCTAGTAAGTGTCAGAGCTAAGATTAGTGCCCAGTTCTACCTAATGCCAATGGCTTTGCCTTTCCTGTCCAGCAGGGGTTAAAATATGTTTAAAACAATCTATGGATTTTTGGGACCTGCTACCTCCAGTTTCCATGTTTCTGCTTATGTCCTGTAGATGCATTTATTTGAGAACTAACTTCTGGATAGAAGTTTCAAGATTAAATGCTCATGTTTGGTCATATGGTAGGAACTTTTGGAGAGTTTAATTTTAGGCTGTGTGGGACCATTATGCAACTTATCAAAGACCGTCCCAAAGCTGAAAGAGTTTTCTTTCTTTGTGATGTAACTAAAAATGTCTTTATCGGGCTCTGATTTTATTTGTGAAATTTCAATCTTTGAACAATGACTGGTGGGAAATCCAGTTAATAATGTGAACTCTTCGCTAAATGTATCGGTCATAGGTCATCCAAAGGTGATGAGAAGTCTGCCAATGTTTGGGAATGCTGCATGCTTGTCTCTGTACAGTCCAAAACAGAGTGAAGTTTTTCAGCCTAAAAACACAGGAAAGCAGCTCTCCTATATTCATCAATCTGGTCAGGGGCAGTTCTGTGACAGTCTGCTCAGGCTACAGAGTAGAGTGGTGAACACAGTTGCCACTGGGAACTCTGGGACTGCATTTACACTGCCTGCTGGTTTCCCACTCACTTAAAACCTCAACATAAAAAATAGAGATGAGTCTCTTAAGTAAAAATTGTTTTATTTGAGAATAATATACAAGAAGTAGGACTGCAATCTGGGACATATATACAGACCAGATTGGCCTCTGGAGTGTCCACAGAATAAAGGAAAAGGTTAGAGTTTATTGGGAAAGGCGGAGGCTATGCGTTGGTTTTGGAAGAAAGCTTATTGGTGCTGGCAGCAACAAAAGAGCTGGTGAGTTCTGACTGGCGAGTGTCAATAGTTATTAGGTAGGACTTGTAATCCTGGAGTTACAGTTAGGCCCTTGTAGTTTTGGACTGGGCTTGTGAGACTGTGTCAGGCACATGTTCTTGTATAAGCAGCTAGCTGTCCTTATGCTGCAAACTGTCCTTGTGTGACCCATGTAATAAGCTGCAGTTTGGAAAAATTTCTTCTGATGGCTCCTGTTATCAAGAAAATCATGTGTGAGATCCCTCCGTTCATGATCCTCCTTGGCGCCATTTGCCCGGGTTTGACACAAGTGACTCTATTTTGAATCTTACAACTTTCACACCCCAAATGCTAGTATTGGAATAGTAATGATACTACATATCTAATCACCTCCTATTCTGCAATGGACATGCACAACTTCCTAAAAAGAACACAAATCCAGAAGAGGAATTAGACAATGGTTATATATAGTGATCTCCCACTGAACACGACATATGTGTTATTAACAATGATAATCATTATTATGCTAGACATTTTGCAGTACTTATTATGTGCCAGGCATTATTCTCATACTTTATGGATATTAACTCATTTAACCTTTACAACAGTCTCATGAAGTAGATATTATTATTCTTCCAATATTACATCTTCCAAGATGAGAAAACCAAGGCATAGAACAGTTAAGTAATTTGCCCAAGGCCACATGTCCAGTGAAAAGCAACCACTGAAATTATGCTTCCTGTTTGAAAGAACTGACGATAAGGCAGATTTAATGAGTGACAAGTACTTTGGAGTCAGTAAAGGGAAAAGAGAGAGCGTGATAAACTTACCTATAGTGTTTAGTCTAAGTTACCCCACTCTTCACTGTGGCCACCGTCCACCACTTGTAGCTCTTCTCCAAAAGCCTGAACATTTTTCCCCGTTAATGTGTTTAGGCAAAGATAATTGCTGTGGTACTAAGGCAGGAATTGGTGAGTGAGGTGAGAAGATAACTTTTACTTAGTAGCAGTCCAGAAGAAATGACAACATTCTTCACAGCACTCCTCCCTTAAGCTTCCCTATCCCCTATAAATGGATAGACATACAGGAAAACCTTGGTATGGGACTATTTGTGTAGAGCTCATGAAGACTAGATTGATTAAGGGAAGTTATGTTAGCTTCTCTTATGAGACTTTGAAATCGTTTTATTATGCAGAATGCTTTCTGTAAATGGCATTTACCTGTAAGAGGAAAAAGATGATTATATCTATTGATTATATAATTATTCATCTTTACAAACATTTTGCAAAGATTATCACATTTAAATTCTGTCTGGCTCACAAGGCTTGTGTTATCCTCACCCACCCTCGCAGTAACTGCTCCCTCCTTTCTCCCAGCCACGCTTACCTCCCATGACTCACTCGTGAGCCTGCCACGTGACCGTATTCAGAGCTTCCACATGGAACAGGTTAAAATGAAAAGGAAGATTGTTGACATCACTTTCTGATGTTACTTTATTTTACTCGTTCCTTTCATTGGTTTACCAATCCCAAACTGTAAACCTTATTTGACCCAGGACTTTTTCCATGTTTTAAACGTTCATTACAATTGCACAGCTCCTATAAATGCATGCTCCTCATATCCCTGTCTAAAGAATTCTATACAGAGATGGGAAGTTGTTATCCTTGAAATAATCAGACAGTGATGCTCCAAGCAGGAAAGCTTAAGAAATAGGGATGATAAAGGAGACAGTACACAAATGGAAAAATTTAAAGGCAGGGCATTATTTTGTGAGAGAGAGAAGAGAGACAAACTGGAAACCAAGAAATATCATGAATATTACAAACAACCAGCTGTAGGAAATGAGGAAAAAAAAATGAGATGGAACATGAAGCAGGGAAGCATTTGTTTTATTCAAATAGATAAGGATCTGAGAGCCATTCGCATGGCAGGCTTGTATGCAAAATACACACACACACACACACACACACACACACACACACACACACACACAAACTATCATCTTAGATAGAGCAGAAAGCTGACAAAGTGGCAAGATGCTGAGAACACTGGCAGTCCCAAGCCCATGTCTGTAGGACAGGAGCCAATGGGCAGGAAGGGCACGCTCACCTTCTCAGCCTCGCCTTCCAAACAGCCCCTACTGCCTTGTCACATTCCAACTGAGTTTCATGCATTTGGTATTGTACATATTGTTAAAATGAAAATTAAAACTGTCATACTTGGGTGACTCAGGCACATTTATAATTTATCACCTTTCTTTATAGTTAAAAAGAACAACCAGGGAAATGCAGCTTAGCTCTCACTCACAAACTCTCAGCACTACATAAAGCATGCTTGAGCCTCATAAGACAGATATACTGCACACATTTAGCATATTTCTTTCTCCCCTTATGGAACTTTTTCTTACCCCTCGTATGCTTAGCTTTAAATATATTCAGAAGCTATAAATATTACATGGAATTTTGAGATCTGAAAAATGACTTCTTCATTGCTGATATACTGATATGCTGAAGAACAAATTTAGTATCCATATTTACATGATAAAAGTTTTCAGTTAATACACTGGACTGTTTTTAGCCATCCATGGCAATGCTGTGATTACATTTCAATCGTTGAGTGAAGGAGAGAAAAGGATCCAATTTAGAATGAACCCAGGTTTCTGGGTAAGTGGAGATTTGCTGAATTTGTAGGGGCAGGAAGAGACACAGGTCTCCAGTGGTAAAGTTAAGTATATTTTAATGAGGCACTGTAGCCAGAGGTGTCCTCTTGATATTTAAAGTATGTATAATGCACTCATTTGGAAAATGCCATTTTATTTCCCTCTGAATAAAAATAATAGTTACTACTTATTGAGTACTTGATTTGTTACAGGCATTGTTTCTCACTCTATCTTATTTAATCCTTATAACAACCTTGTGGGTATATTTCTTCAATTTACAGATGAGGAAACTGAAGCAGAAAGAAATAAAATAACTTGCTAAAAAAAAATTACATAACTAGTAAATGCAAAGAACTGCCAGGCTCCAAGATCTTGCCTTTGCCTCTGCCCTGTACTGCTTCCAACTTGAAAAATAACAAACTAGCCATTTTTGACAGAACAGTCACGTTTCTCCCTTGTGGCTCAATCTCAGAGCAGCCCTCTCTGCATTCCTCGTGCTCCTCTGCCCAGCGTGCTCTTCTGTGTACCGTTGGAGCAGATCTGAACATGACACTAATGCCCTGTGTTGGATTCACAGCCAAGGTGAGGGTAGAAAAGAGTCAGCAAGGTCCAGTGCTTTCTAAGCCTTTATTTATTATACAAATGATCTTAGAACACTATAACAAGCAAGGAAGGGGTGGACCTTAGAGAACTTCTGATTCATCTCAAACATGTAATGCATCTCAAATTTCAGCCAGTCACACAACATCTTCGTGATTTTGGCCAGATCTACCAACCACTTTTACAATTATTTAATACACCGTTTAAATAAACTTTTTAACACTTTTTAAATGCATTTATGTTAAAAAAAATTTATATCACTATTATAAATGGCAAGCCAGTATCACTTTTCATAAATTAAAGATAACCATAAAAATGTACAAAAATAACATTATGAAATTCTAGTCTAATATTGCCAAACTCTTTGAAATTGATAGCCAGTATAGATTAGACATTATTTAAGAGGTGTGAAAGATACTGTAGCATCAAACTGAGACTTTTCCCCTTGAATAAATAGAAGGATTGAAAAAGAAGTAGAAGAAAATCACTCTTTCCTCAGGTAGTTCAGTGTTATTTAATGCCATGTCTGTGCATTACTGATAGTCATCTCTAGTGTAGCCAGTGGTTTGTATCCATCACTCAGGAAAGTCTAGGGAATAGCTATTTCCCTCATTGAAAAGAACAAAGACTAAGGGCCAGAAAGGTGAAATGTTTACATGTCTGATACCCGACATCTAGCATTTAGTAGATGCATTAACATCTTAAATGAGTGAATAAATGAGGTATTTGGAAATATTTGCACTTTAAAATCAAATATGGCTTCTAATTTTGTAACTGCCATTTCCTGCCAGTATGACCAGAACCCAGGTGGTCTCTTGACTCCCAACAATGTTCTTGTTCATGCCACATACTGCTCCACAAGTTGAAGATGATGCATAAATGGTAGTTGAGAGCTAGATGCAGATTCTATGACAGGTCCAAGTTCTACAAGGCAAAACCTAGCACAGAGTTGGGAATCTAGCATGTATTAAATAAGTAATAGGGGATAAATCTTTAAATAGATAGACAGGAATCTTGTTGTCTCCTTCCTTCTGAATTTAGCAATTAAGTTCAACTTCTGTTTACTGAGAATACCTATGTTTCCAGCGCTATTCATATAGAGTAGAATCAGATAAATGGGTCTACTCATGCTGAATTACCCGGATGAAGTGATCAACAAACGCACACTCTGCCTCCTCCCTCATCTTTTTTTTTTTTGAACTTTTGTCCCTAATGTCATTTGCGAGAGTGTAAAATTCTGAGTTCTTCAGACTTTTCCAACCGCTCTTCCCACCTACTTCAATCTCTTCAACCACAGTAGCCCAAGAGTGGCCACCATTAGGCTATGATGTTAATCATCCCAGATGGCCTGACTGTTCAACACCAAAGATCAGGGTTAGCTGGAAACCAAACACTCCTTCAGTCACTGCAGTGAGAACAATATAAGCACATCTGAAAGGAGAGTGGGGAGAAGATCAAGGCAACAGGGCAAAGATATTCCTGTGGGACTGAATGGTGCTGCTGTTGGCAAAGTGCACTCCTGCTATAGATTGAATATTTTTGTCCCTTCAGCATTTTTATGTTGAAATCCTAACTCCAAGGTGAGGACATTAGGGGGTGGGGCATTCTGAAGCCCTAATGAATGGGATCTGTAGCTTTACAAAAAGAGATCTGGGAGAGCTCCCTTGCCCCTTCCAAGTGAGGATGAAGCAAGAAGATGCCTTCTGTGAACTAGGAAGCAAGCGCTCACCAGACACTGAATCTACCAAGCCTCCAAAACTAAGAAATACATTTCTGTTGTTTATAAGCTACCCAGTCCACATTATTTTGTTATAGCAGCTTGCAGGGACTAAGACAACTCACCATTACTATCTTTGGTGGAATTCACATTCATGTATTCCATTCCAAGAGCAGGAGCTTGAAGAAATGTTTGCCATAAATTACAACTCAGGATTTTTTACCAGGGGAGCCACGTAGATGGGTCCGGTACAAAGGACTGTCAAGTGTCATATTTTCAGCCATTCCGAGAGATGCTAGGAAGGAAACTAAAGTGTATATATAAGATATTCCTGCATGGTTACCTGCTCATTCCAACTCAGCTTCTCCTAACGCTGGGTTCTGTTTTTATGTGGCCTCTTCAGACATCAAGACCTTTTGCCCACATTTCCACCATTCCATCATTTAAGTAGCAACTGCTCTAACAGTAATAACAGGAAAAATCTTACTAACCCAAATATATTTTGCTTTTAATTATGCTAGTACCATAGTAGACATCTTTTTTAGAGAACAAAATTAATCCAAAAGCCGTTTTGTGAAGATAATGATTTTTTCAAGTCAACAGATGAAGGCAATATCCATCACTTTATGAGATCAGTGACTGTCCTTTTCCCAGCACCTAGAACTATCATGGCATATAGATGTTCAATAAGTACTTGTTCAATGAATGAATGTAAATTTGGACATATAATGGACTAAGGAATCAGAAATGGGTGCTAATTTAATTACTACTACTTCTCCATCTGACCAATGTGACTTCAGACAAGGTACCCAACTCTCAGAGCCTCCTTTTTTTTTTAATCTATAAAATGCTAGTGCTATTTTTAAGATTAGGATTAAGTATTTAGAGTACCTAGCTCATAACAGGGATTTAATAAGTGGTAGCTCTTTTTATTATACTTATAAGTGGATCTATTTGGGGATATTGAAGAAGTCTGAAAACTCCTTTAATTTCAAAGACCTAACAATCAGTGCCACCAATTAGTCATCAGTGCCACCAACAAGGCACAGCGTTGGATGCCAGAGGAGACATCAGAAGCAGGAAATGGGAAGAGTGGAAGAGATGAAGTAGGAATAAATGAATGGATAGGAAAGGCAGGCAAAGAAGGGGAGCTCAGTGGAGGAGCAGTGACTTGCCATGAATCCCTGCCTTGTTAGCACTTGGCACAGTGGGACCTATCCACATAAGAAATCGCATTTCCTTTCCTCAAGAGTCCACTGAGACTTCAGGAGAGACACAACTTGACAACTTTTGAATGGACACCTGAAAAAGGTCCTCTTATTTTCTGCCACTGTTTTGTGTTTCATTCTTTTGTTTGGCCAACTTAATATTAACTATTTCAATTTAGCAGATATTTCAGGAGCAACACCAAGTTCAAAACCCAGTTCTTGGCACCCAAGCAATGATATACTAAATATTTTTCACCTGAGACTACAGAAGATCTTACATCCCTGTGATGTCTATAGGTGTGTATTTCTCTTACCACCTTGACAAAATTAAGTGGCTTTCTCATATGCAAGGAGAATTATGCTTTCTAGTATCCAAGTGTTAAAGCCAGCATACTGTTACTTTTGTACTTTGAAACTATAAATGGGATATGGTTTGCGGGGGGGAGAAGAAATTGGAATTGGTCTCATTAAGGGAGAAAAATCTTTTCCTGATAACCTATTCAAGAAGAGATAATTCTCAGGTTTCCACTTTGGATACTGCCATTATCCAGAAAGTCATCGAAACAAGATTGCTATGATACATTATATTGTCATATCCACATATCCATTTAGGAAAAAAACACATTGGCAATAGTTCTTCAGCAGAATTCATTATATTCTCTGAATGAATCAGATTGGGAGGGCAAAATATCAAAAAATGATATTCTCTCCAAAAGTAATTTTTCATAAAAACACCAGGACTTTTGGCACTCTGTAAATATTGTTTTTGTAACAATTATAATTAAAAGAGCCAAAAGGAGGTCAGAAAAATGTAGAGCCCAGTGAAAAATGTCCCAATGCCTTACTCCATGAAAATGTCTAGAATGATTTAAAGTATTGGGAATATGCAAATGAATGAATATTCCACAACAGCCTCCACTTGAACAAAACAAGGCTTTTGAATTGGCATAAGTTCCTTGAATAGTATTCTGAAGTGAGTCTATGCCAAAAATATAAAATAAGAGCAGCACATTAAAGTAGCCAACAGTCAAACAGACAAACTGGCCCTTCGGGGGAGACTGAAGGATTTCAAGTTAATGCCCAATTCACTTCAATACAACAAAAACATGTTAACTTCTAAGGTGCTATGAGAGATACAGGGTGTATTAGTCTGTTCTCATGCTGCTAATAAAGATATATCCGAGACTGGGTAATTTATAAAGGAAAGAGGTTTAATTGACTCACAGCTCCACATGGCTGGGGAGGCCTCACAATCATGGCTGAAGACAAATGAAGAGCAAAGTCACATCCTACATGGCAGCAGCCAACAGAGTGTGTGCAGGGGAACTGCTCTTTATAAAACCATTAGATCTCATGAGACTTATTCACTATCACAAGAACAGCATGGGAAAGACCTGCCCCCATGATTTAATTACTCCCACTGGGTCCGTCCCATGACACGTGGGACTTACTGAAGCTACAATTCAAGATGAGATTTAGGTGGGGACACAGCCAAACCATATCAAAGGGGGATGTAGCCTGATTCCTGTTTTGTGAGGTTTGTAATCTAATGAGTTAGACAGCTACCCTTGCAATTACAACACAAGGCAGGATTTATTCATTCATTCAACCAGTATGCACTGAGCACCCACTGTGTGTCCGTCTGTGTTCTGAGTGCTAGACATAAAGCAGAACACAAGGATCTCTGCCTTCCTGGTATGGGATTCTAACATGTGGATTGTTGAAATGACCATGAGTGATATGGAGGAAAACAAAGCAGACAAGGGGGATGCAACCTGGGCTCCAGTGATAAAGCCCAGGGGAGTAGGAGTCCTCACTGAGAAGGTGGCATTTGAATAAAGACCTGAAGGAGGTGAGTGAGTCATTAGGGTGGCTGGGGAAGAGCCTTCCAGGCAGAGTTGAAAGAGCAAGGACAGAATAAACACTATGCCTGGCATGTGCAAGAAACAGCAATAAATAAACGTCACGGGAAGAAGAAATTAATCTTGACTGTGGAATAGGAGAAAACATCACAGAAAAAGATGACATCTGACCTAAATCTTGAAACCGTGCCCTGGGTGGAGAGGGAGGATGGTGACATGCAGAGTGAGCAGATGAGCCAGGAGCAGAGTGAGAACAAGACACAGGTCAGCTGTGCTGGCACCCGCCTGTCTGTTCCAGCTCCGGTTCTGTGGGTTACTGGTGTTCATTACTTCATCAACAGCTCCCTGCTGTTTCTTTTTGCCATTCACATCCTCATCTACCTCTTGGTTTTTTCCCTGCCTGGGGAGTGCTAAGGTCATCACCCCTTCTTCCTCCTGTCTCTGGGCATAGTCCCTGCCCCCAGAAAACCCTGTTTTCTCACCTGACTTAACGTATATATCAGTTACCCCCAGGTCAGTATCTCAGTCACAATCTAATCAATAGTGCTGTGAATTATGGAAGGAATGATCAGGGTGTAGGAAACATTTGCAACCACCTATAGGAAGAGCAACTGTCAACAGTGGGACCTCTGCAGCCTGCAGGTATCTGCAGTGGCTCTGAAGAAAGAGCTCATGGTGTCCTCTCCACATTATCTATTTGCCAGTTTAGGCCTCTGTATGTCTCATGCCCCTTCCACCCTGGTTCACCAATCTAGAAGTCATTTATAGAGAAAACCAGCGTCACCAAGTTCACCCATGTCTCTCTCCACCTGCTCCCCTGGTGTTTCTGAGCCTCCTTACCCTGTGCAACCCTTGTGCCGTGGCACCCGCATGGTAAGCATGGATGGCAGACTTGGAAGCTGTGGCAGTAACGTGGGCTTAAGATCACTTTAGAGGATTCCACACTGAAATGCACACAAAATTTCAGGACACTGGAGGAAAAGAGAGAAATTCACAGAGGCTGGGGTCAAAGAGGAATGCATACAGGGTAGGGGCTAAGGCATCTCCCCTCAGCCCTGGCAGTCCCAGCATAGAAGGAGCTAGATAGGAATGATGCTTTCCAGCAGCCCTTGTTGCACACTAGAATCACCTGAGGAGCTTTTAAAAAACTGATTCTCCATCCCTAATTAAATGGGAATCTCTGGGGTAAGGCCCGAGCAGGTATTTCCTTGACAATTCCACGTGCGGCTTAGGCTGAGAACAACTGAGCTAGAATCAAAGCTGCCTTCTTCTCACTGCAGGTCCTGCTTCCTGTGCAGCTCTATGCAAAAAATTCTGCCTACCTGGGAAGGACTCCCCCTTTAGCCTCTCTGCCACTCCTGTATCTCCAAAATGGGGTTTCAACCAGACAGTTCTTTAGAGGAGAGGAAAATAGATGGCTAAGTGTTAGAACCTTGGGTCAGACCTTGGATCCAAGCCAGCAGTGCAACCTTGGGCAAATTATTTAACCTCCCCTGACCTCATTTTCTTCACCTGTAACCAGATGGCAATAATCATACGCTCCTCATGGGGTTGTGATGACTCCATGATATCATAAGTGCAGAGCCCCTCACATAGTGCCTGGCACACAGTAGGAGGCTGCTATTTGCTGTCAGTGTTGTGTGTCTTAACCTGGCTTATGCAAGTCCTTACCCTGCCCTCCAGACACAAGGCTTGCCAGTTTCTTGACTCAATGTACTCTCAAACTTGAATTGTTTTAAATTTCTCTCTCCTCCTCCTCCTCCTTTTTCTCTCCAGCCACCGCCTCCCACTACCGCTCCCCGCCGCCCTCTCTTTCTGTCTCTCTCTCTCTCTCATGCTCCCACATACACTCTGTGGTGTCTATCACATCCCAGTCTTGCTCCCTCTGCCTGGCCTGGCCTCTCTCTGTCCTTCCAGGCATGGACCCCTATGCATGCTCAAGATTCATCTTATAATCACCTCCCTGGAAACTGTCCTGAACAAGCCCCTGCACCCTATCTCAACCAGAATCCTCTCCTCTGTGCTACTGAAATGTCCTGCACATATTTCTAACTCTGCATTTACCACATTATATTCTATCTGTGCATGTAGCTCTTGCCCCCACTACAAATGAGCATCTTAAAATGCATTATTTTTCTTATATTTTTGGTGCTTAAAACAATGTCTGGTACACAATAAGCACTCAATAAATGCTGACTGACTGAATAAATGCTCTAAAATATCTTTCCCAGTGGCATATTAAGACATCTAGTCCCCTCCTCTTAGCCTAAAATTTATACCATTGGCATCATTTCCATGGGTTAAACAAGGAAAACACCACCACTGTATAGATTCTCTATGCAAATCTAGCTAAAGTGCAACTGTGTATATACGTGCACACACAAACACATGATACTACAGAGGAGCAAGGACTATCTACTGCAGCCATTCTCATCACCTCCCTATCCATTGGTGTCCTCTGAGGAACAGTGGGGTCATGGGCTAGAGAAACTCTCAGGTTCTCTCCAATCCTGGAACTTCGTGGAGGCAGGCTCAGGTCTTTGGGAAGTTCAAAGAAGCTGACTCTGAGGGAGGAAAACGGAGAACTGGACAGGGCAGTGAGGAACCAGGCCCATTGTCATCCCTTGATGGGCAGAAGACAAGATGGGAATGATGAGATCTGTGCAAGAACATCATTCAGGAAGGGCAGATCTAGATGCAGGATCTAGAGGAAATGGAGAGGGAGGTGACAAATAGGGGGTAAGAGGAGGATGAGATCTTCTCACAGCAAGCACCATGGAAGGGTTTGGAGTGGGGGAAAGATGAAATCAGAGGGTTGGTTGGGGATCAAGTTGACAAAAATAGAATGCGGATAAGAGAACAAGGAGGACAGAACAATGAAAATGTTGTGTAAGACACATTAACATTAGCCCTGAAAATCTCCCGGAAGAAAGTCAAAACTCAAGTCCTCTGAATTCAGACCGGCTTGAAAGAGCCTGGGCTTCTGGTGGTGAATGGGACAGGAGCCTCAAGGTCCAGCCGTTAGCCTCCCCTTCAGACCTACTAAAACCCAGCCTTCGTTCACAGTAGGTACATGCACGTTGTTTGGTGAAGACCTTATTCAATACTCACAGAGATGGTAACTATTTATAAGCCTGCCCTTTCCCCCCTTATATCTGGCCAAAACCTTTGTTTCACTTGGACCAGGCAATCTCCATCACTTCAGGCCATAACGCTGTTCTGTTTGCTGTTGCTCTTAGATTATAGGTAAACAGTACGGAAAATGCTATTTGTGACCAGGAGCACATTTCTGGAAAATGCCTGCCCTGCTGGTATTTGGCTGAATTTTGAATAGCTCTCTTTCTGACTACCTTGGCCAGCCAAATGGTATGCAAACAAGAGGGTGAGCTTTACTCATTCCCAACATTTATATGGCGTGATAAGACATGACAAACTTTATAGGAAATTATGCATAAATTTATATCAAAAATTGATGCATTGGTTGTCTGAAAACAAAATCGCATTTGCTGATAAGCTCTAATTTATTGTGGGAACAAGCAATAAAATGAAGGTTTCCTTTGGCAAAGTTTTACTGGAAATTCATAAAATCATGCAAGTGTACTGATTACAAATCAGCTGTCTATACCATACCATGCACAGATATGATCATTGCACAATACTTATCTTTCTCATTTTGTCACTTTTGGCACCAGTTTGTGTTTGAGAACCTCTCAACTATGATATAAGCTATGAGAATATTGAAAAAGGGAATCATTAATATGCAAAAAACAAATTAAAATTTAGGGTGCAAATAAGATAACAATTCAAAAGATTTATAAGGTAAAATATTGAAAAATTAAATTGAAGGAAAAACATATTAAATGATAATGAGAGAGGAATTTCCAAATGGAAGCATATACCACAATCACTCCCTTGGCACCAGTGAAAGGGCACATTGGAATATTAAACGCCCACATGGTTACAAGCAAGGCTTATTGTGACCACTGATAATGAATGTTACTAATCAGACAGAGAGGTACAGAAACAATAGTAAATAATGATTTCACAGAAGTAAAATTTGTGGATTTTTTATTTTTACATAAAAAGAAACGTAATCAGATAAAGATACCAAGTAGGTCTCTGACTTCTTAGGCCCAAGAGCAAAGTCTACAATAGATAGTTTCAAAATTCAGTTTCCTGAAAGAAGTATTTTAAGAAATTTTTTTAAATTTCAAATTGTCCCCCTTCTCCAACTTTTTAATCATGATATAACACCATGTTCCCTAAGAAGTTTAAGGACACTTTTTTCTCTATATGGCATATTCTTTTACAAGACATCTTTTAAGATCTAATATTCTATGTATTTTTACACTGTGAAAAACTATTGTCAAAAGGAGGAAATACTTTGCAGTTTTTTACTTCCTAAATTTATAGGAAAAGTCACTTTTTAAAAGTTTACTTTTATAACATTTTAAGAAAGCAATAAAACCCACATTTCCTCCCTTGTATTCTACTTTATGAATTCTCTCCTGAAATATGATCTACTTAAATTTCACTTACCTCCTTTTTTTTTCCTTTTGATAATCTGTAGTAGATATTTGCATTAGATTGCTCCTGAAATGTATGACAATTGGAACATTAAAATGGTTCCACCTCCATTTCCAAAAATTACTCATGCAACTTTGATGCATCTGCAAAGTTAGGCATTCAGTGATGATGCTTGCCTGACTTTTAATGTGAAACATTTGAGTGCAAAGTTAGATTTTTCTATTTATTTATTTTTTAGAGACAGGATCTTGCTTTGTTGCCCAGGCTGGAGTGCAGTGGCATGATCATAGTTCACTGCAGCCTTGAGTTCCTGGATTTAAGCAAACCTCCCTGCCTCAACCTCCTGAGTAGCTAGGACTACAAGGGTGCACCACCATGCTCAGCTAATTTTAAAATTTTTTTTGTAATATGGCTGGGCACGGTGGCTCACACCTGTAATCCCAGCACTTTGGGAGGCCAAGGTGGGCGGATCACATGGTCAGGAGATCGAGACTATCCTGGCTAACACGGTGAAACCCCGTCTCTACTAAGAATACAAAAAATTAGCCAGGTGTGGTGGCAGGCGCCTGTAGTCCCAGCTACTCAGGAGGCTGAGGCAGGAGAATGGTGTGAACCCAGGAGGCGGAGCTTGCAGTGAGCCGAGATTGCGCCACTGTACTCCAGCCTGGGCAACAGAGCAAGACTCCGTCTCAAAAAGAAAAAAAAATTGTAACAACAGGGTCTGTATTTCCCAGGCTGATCTCAAACTCCTGGCCTCAAGCAATACTCCTGCCTTGGCCTCCCAAAGCACTGGGATTACAGGCATGAGCCACCATCTCCCACCCCAGATTTTTCTATAAACTAGCAATTGCATAGGTAACTTTAGAAGTACATTTGAAAAATTCGATAACAACATTAAACAAGCTTTTTATTCATTGTGAAATGCTTTCAGTAGTGACTGAAAGTTACTTTTCTCTCTCATTGTGTAAAACTAACACAGTGCAACTCAATAGAATGTTTTAGGATGATGAAAATGTGCTATATATGTGGTGCTTGATAAGGGAGGTGCTGGTCACATTGAACAGTTGAAGGTTGTTAGTTTAACCACGGAATTAATTTTAAAATTCTTATTTAATTGTGATTACTTTAAATTTAAATAGCCAAATATGGCTAGTGGCTACCATACTGGACAACACAGAACCAATAGATGTGGCTTGTTATCTATATACTTCGTTTCATTGAGATGGAACCTTTGTTTGTATTTTCATTTACCCCATGTGCGCCTCAATTTTCTTACCTAGATGAAGGTGTAGACTACGTGATTTCTAATATTGTTTACAGCTGAAACTTGTCTGACTCTCCTCTTTATCCCAAAATATCACATTCTTTAAAACCAGCTTTATCACAGATCTAAACATCAAATCTAATAATATGAACCTTTAATATCTGTAAGAATTATCCTATATGTTTGAGTTTTATACAAAATCTTTGAAGTCAACATTATCATACTACTTTTCACAAAGGTGGCAGAAAACATTTTCTCTGAAGGTATCTTTGCACGATTGCAATTACATAAAAAATACTAGCAAAACCTTCTACTTAATAGCTCACCTAACCTTCCTTTCTCTCTTCTCTCCACCCCAGAGAATTTTCGGTGATGTTACTGAGCTCTCCTAACAATAGCAAGCATAATGCTTCATTTGTTTGGCATCCCACCCTCTGCTAGATGTTATATTAAGATTCTTGGCTGGGCGCGGTGGCTCACACCTGTAATCCCAGCACTTTGGGAGGCCAAGGCAGGCGGATCACGAGGTCAGGAGATCGAGACCATCCTGGCTAACACGATGAAACCCTGTCTCTACTAAAAATACAAAAAATTAGCTGGGTGTGGTGGTGGGCACCTGTAGTCCCAGCTACTCTGGAGGCCCAGGCAGGAGAATGGTGTGAACCCAGGAGGCGGAGCTTGCAGTGAGCCAAGATTGTGCCACTGCACTGCAGCCTGGGCAACAGAGCAAGACTCCGTCTCAAAAAAAAAAAAAAAAAAAAAAGGTTCTTGTTGCAGGTGTGTGTCTCAATTGTCTTTGCATCTCCAGCTCCTGGGAAGGAAGATGCCTGGCCAGTGATGAGACCAATATACCAATGATGTTAATTAACATTTACTAAGAGCTCATTATGTACCAAGCATTGTGCTAAAGGATTTATATTCTCACTTCTCACTCACAACATCTATGAGGTAGATACTATTACAGTCTCTGTTTAATAAATGTATGATAAATGGACAAATAAACAATCCAGAAACTTGGCTTTTTCTTTTCCTGGAGTTTGACTTGTGCATTACAGAAAGATGAAGAGAATTTATCAGCAGCTTTTTCTACAATGACAAGCCTTAGCAGCAGTTTTTCTTCACTGCAAAATATGTGTGTCTACCTAATATTTTTAACAACTAAGGGTTCAAAGAGCAACACTGAGAGCTATAAGGAACCAGATTTATTCATTGACATTCACACTGGACTGGAGCTCATTGCTTACTCTCTTTTTCTGTACCTTTTACTCTCAGCAGTTGTCTTAATCACTTGGCATGCTCCTAAGCTGGTTCAGTACTCTCAATTAAATTACAAGATGAAAATACAAGTTGTAAAATCTACAGGTTTATTTTGTTTTGATTTGTTTTACTTTTTTAAATCTCTTAGACTAATGTGTGCCTATTGAGTAGTGTTTATTTTTTAATGAAAACCTGCTTACACATCATTAATTTTTCTCTGAGATCGTTTCTACTAGTGTGTAAGATTCGTGAAGGCAGGAACTTTGGCTTGCTCATCCCTGCGTATATCCCCAGGCCTTGGAAAAGTGCCTGACATGTAGACAGGCAATCAACATTAGTTACATAAATAATGACCGAAGTTCTAAATATTTACATGGCTGCACTATGTTCCTCTGCCTCACTTTTTTTTGGTGCAATTTTGCCACCTTTAAAAAAGGTTATTATTTACACAAAGTAATTGTATTTACATAAAATAATCAGAACATGGAACAAAAACGCAGCATACAAAATTGAAAGTTAAAAATTCTTAAAATGTCAGTTATTTAAGTAGATTCAGATGTGATCACAGAAACTTTTCAGTGGTTAACCAGAGGTGTATATCAGAATTATCTGGAGGAGTTCTTTAAAACTATAGAGGCTCAGGTCTTTGTTCAAGAGATGCTGATTTAGTGAGTTCAGGGTATAGTCTGAAAATCCACGTTTTCATAGAGAATCTCAAGTGATTGTCTTTTACTTTTTCCTTTTTCAGGCAGCTGTATGGTTGTATTAGAGGAAGCAGGCTATAAATATGCACACATATATATTTATTTTATATATATATAAATTTCTCCATATATATGAATAAGTTTCTCTATACATATGTCTCTCTCTCTCTATATATAAGTCTCTCTCTCTCTCTCTCTATATATATATATATATTTGTCCTTTTTGACTGAATGATTTCACTTAGCATAATGTATTCAAGATTCATCCATGTTGTAGCATGTGTCAGAATTTCCTTCTTTTTTAAGGCTGAGTGAATATTTCATTTGTATGTATAGATTACATTTTGTTGATTAATTCATCTCTTGATGGACACTTGTATGCCTGGCTTCTTTCAGTAGGCATAGTGCTTTAAGATTCACCCCTTTTATGGCTTGTATCTGTGGTTATTTGCCCAGGTAATTTTGATAGTTCTCAAACTCTGCTAGCCATATGAATGCTGAAATGCCCAAACTTGGAATCAAAATTGTTTTGGGTTAAATATGTGTGTATTCTTTCCTTCTCTGGTTGATTCTTGACCAGTTAGGTTACTATTTGTTTCTCAGTGGTAAGAAATTTGTATCACTCTTGAGGCATGTTCCATGACAAGGGCAAGGAATGGATCATGGTAATAACTTACAGTTGTATAGCACTGACCATTGACAGTACTCAAGTACTCATTTTCATGCCTATTTCCAGCATCATCTACATCAAAGGCAATTCCTAAGAAATTGGTAATTAAGTAGAATTTTCTTCCAATAACGGAGGAATTTGTTTTTTGTTTTTGTTTTTAATAGAGATGGGGTTTCACCATGTTGGCCAGGCTAGTCTCGAACTCCTGACCTCAAATGATCAGCCCACCTCGGCTTCCCAAAATGCTGGGGTTACAGGCATGAGGGTATTTCTATTTTAAAGAGGTTTCTAGAGGATTGGAGAACTCGCAGGACTAAAAGATGTCATTTTATGCTTTGTGTCATATAACCCTCTTATCAACATCTTATAATGACCTCTTATATATCATTATCCCCACCTTACCTATGAGAAAGCCTAGACCATGAAGGATTAAGTAGTAATGTGCTTAAGGGTCGCACAGTTGGCAAGTGGTAAAACCATCATTTGAACCTAATTCTTCTGATCCAGTTTCACTGCTCATGGCTTCCTGTGCATCTGTTTGAAAGGTACAAGGATGGCTCCCATGACAGAAATTAACTCACCCACCAGCCCAGCAGGGTGCCTGAAATGCCTGAAGTAAATTGACATCTTTTGGTCCTGAGAGTTCTCCAATCCTCTAGAAACCCCTTTAAAATGGAAATACTCTACAGATGAGTTGCAGTGACAGCAAATTCACCCAGGGGGAATCAGTTTATAGCAATAAAAACAACAGCCACTTATTGAACCTGCTCTTACATACATTAGATACCTCACTTCATTCTCAAAATAATCTTTTGAGGTCAGCATTATTATCCCCATGTAACAAATGAATAAACAGTCCCAAGAATGCTTAAGTAATTTCTTCAAAATTACACTGCACATAGCTGGAGGATCCTGTTTCTTAATCTCAAATCTGCATATGTGTATAGATAGTGCTTTTCATACCACCTCTTACCAGACTTTTTTCCAATAAGATGCTGAACAGGGGAGATGAAAGGTTGGGACACCTTGAGGCAAATGGCTGGGAAAAGGAGTCAAGTTGGACTTCGTGTATAAGTGTGTCTGGAGCTGGCTTGAATTACTATTTATGAATGACTAGCTATAAAAAAAAGTTATAAAGTCCTCTCTGTTTTTTTATTTTCACTCTTTTTAAAAACATCTCCCTCTACAATGAATTCTTTGCTTGCGTAGAATGTGTATTTGGCACTTTTTTCTTGGTCTATCCAGGGAGTATTTTTGAAATGTTGTTTCTTACTGAGCGCCCTAAGGAACTGATGATATTAATCGTGGTGAAGAAAGAACAAGAATATAAGATTCACGCTGCTCTTTGATTAAAGCTTCTTAGATAGAATTTTACCTCAAGAGCTTTGTTGTCTCAATGGCCTCCTATAGGTATTTTTCTGAGCGGTCTCTGAGGGTTTTGTTTCCTAGTTCCCTGTAATACTGCCTGTCAGCTTCCATGCTGCATGTATTTCACTTCAAAAGAGAGCCTGGATAATTTGCCTATTTCTGCATTTTAGAGCAGAGTCAAACAATGCCAAATGGGCTATCACGTGTTGACAAGAAGTCAGCAGGAAAGGCTAGTCAGGTAATCATCAAGTTGATATATTTGAGACACTGTGCGATGATTTCAGCTTTGCATCAACTAAGTACTCTCCCTGCACAGTGGGTATCTATTAATCAGGTGGAGTTCAACTCAGGGTCCCAGTTATGCTGTTTGTTGTCTTAGTGCCTTAAATAGGAATATGTGATATAAGGCTCCATTATAGGAGTAAAACTCTACCTAACTACCAATTTCTTAAGAATTGCTTTTGATGTAGATGATGCCGGAAATAGAGTGCCTTTTGATCCTTCTGAATATTTAAGAACCTTCATAAAAAAGATAAAAATTTAGAAAACTAGTTTACTAGAATTCAATGACTCTTTTGCTGAACCAAAATAGTTTTATATATTTACAACTATTTTTGATATATTGCCCTACATTTTGCAAATAATTTTCTCAGAATATTCAAACATTTTTAAGTGACCTTTACTATGTACCTTTTGAATTTTAAGCCTTGGTAAGGAAATTTCTACTGAAAAACATAAAAGTTTTTAAGTTGTATATGCTTTTCCTAATTGAAAGGCATATGTTAGATTGCTCTTGATATGTGATGCTAGAAAGCTCAAATTGTAATTCTTTCTAAAAATATTTCTACTTCAGAAGTGTTTTGTATTTAAAAAAAATCATTTAATTTATTGAACATATTTTATTTTACATATTTCAGTGGAAAATCACATCTTCCAGAGAAAAAATCAATGATATTTTATTTGCTTTCCCCAGACTGAGTTTAATGACAACCCAAGATATATAAACTTATATCCTGGCTGCTTTTCTTAAGAGATTTCCAGCAAAAGTAGCCACCTAGGCAAATTGCTTATGCCACACAACTAGACTCACCCCATGGATCAAGCTTTGAAACATTGCATCTTACTGCTCATTTTATAGAATATTTTCTTTATTACCATCAAGCAGTTTTCTGGAGAGAAATATAACAAATGACCCAAAACAATGTAAACCTGAAAATCGATAGCTGATTGTTAATAATACGATCTAAAAGAGAGATTTCAGTTACTTTGTCTCATGGACCAAGAAAGCAGGATAATAATGTTAAATCCTTTGTGTATTTTTTTTCCTCTGGTTATCAAGGTTTATTTTCATTAGCTGGTCCCATTTGATTAAAAAAAAAAAAAAAGAGCTAATCCTGGACAGAGCTGCTTACCAAAAAACTGAACCATAGTAATGGAAAAGTATTAATATAAACTAGGATATTTCCAAAATGTATTCACCTAAATGTCTGTTTGATATAGGCAAAAATAAAAACAAAACACAAAAACCTCACGTATTATTTTAGTCACATATGTGGTTGGGCGCCAGGGAATGGGTGTGGTTAGTTGAAGCCCCTGTAGAATAAGAAGCTATAGACTGAGAGAAATGAAAGAAATTGATAAGCTGCCTTGGGAGTTTCAGTCTGGCCAAAATGCATCCTTGGCACACCCTGCATTCCAGGGTTCCATATTCCCTCTGAGGTCCAGGGCAGGTCTGACCTGGGTTGGGACTCAGGAGCTGGGATTGTATGGGGTTGTCAGCCCAGTCATTTAGTGCAACATCAGGAAGAACAGGGGTCTAAGGTATCAGGTCCATGGTGGTTGTCAGTCACAGCAAGAGCTGGACAGAAAGGCAGGGACTGCAATGGGAAAAATCAAAGCTAGGGAGTTCAGAAGCATTCCAGAGGCAACTTGAAACCACGGGAGGAAGATCTTTATGGCAAGATACCTCTTGGTGGAAGGGAGATGTTAAGGGCACTGCCAGCTTTGACCTCAGCCTTAGAAAGTGGATGTGATAATGATCATGGTAAAGATCAGTGAAAGAGCTGGTATCCTTATATAATTCTTGAAAAAAGAAATACATGGAGCAACAGTGAATTCTCCTCCGTAGTACATCCTGAGAAGTTCACAGGGTTGTAAAATCTTGGAAGAAAAAAAAATTATCTTGGAGTTACCAAATACCCCAACATATGCAAAGAATTATTAAATTTCCAAAGTAACATTTATACTTGCAAGTGAGTATGTGTTCCATACAGAGTACATGTTAGCCAAAGATTCATAGCTATAGGACCCACTTGTCTGGAAGGCAGGCTGAATTTCTGAACTAGGCATGAAGCAGGTCAAGTCATGGATTAGCATGCTGAATGGGATTGTGGATCTATATGCTTGCATTCAAAAAGTGACTTGATTGGAAAGGAGACCTTATGTTAGGAAAGACAAAAAATGGACCTTGAATGTGTGGCTTAAAAGTTGGGATTTTATTTAATTGGACAATTATTCATTTTTATTTTCATTTTCTTGATACTTTTTAAAGAATTATCCTCTTGGGTATATACTTTGTTCAGTTTTTAGTCAGACATCTCTTAATTGCTTTTGGACATTCAAATTCTGAAGTGGGAAAACCTCAAGCGATTTAGTGTTGGCTTAGTTTTCTCATTTCTACAATGAATGTCTTGGGCTAGAAGATATTTGAGGTCTCTTCCAACTTTGAGTGTTGAGCCTGGGCAGTGTAAAAACAATCTGTATGGCTGGGCGCGATGGCTCACGCCTGTAATCCCAGCACTTTGGGAGGTCAAGGTGGGCAGATCACCTGAGGTTGGGAGTTTTAGACCAGCCTGACCAACATGGAGAAACCCCGTCTCTACTAAAAATACAAAATTAGCCCGGTGCGGTGGCGCATGCCTGTAATCCCAGCTACTCGGAAAGGCTGAGGCAGGAGAATCGCTTGAACCCAGGAGGTGGAGTTTGCGGTGAGCTGAGATTGCACCATTGCACTCCAGCCTAGGCAACAAGAGTGAAACTCCGTCTCAAACAAACAAACAAACAAACAAACAAAAACTATCTGTATATACACTTGACATTGAAATAAGAGAAAAGTTTTCACTGGCTTAATGATTCAGTATCCAACAATAAATATCACTGCAGATTGGAAGTTCAGAGTATCAAATGTTACAATCTTGTTTAAAACAATAATGTTATGACCTACAAGTCATCCCTGTGTTCCTTGCTTCTGTCCTCACACTTTACCTATAACACACACACTCCTCCAAGGTAGGGAAGGTGGACGTGGTGGAGGCATAGTTGGTTCTTCACACTGCAGTGTATTTGTAACATATGTTAACAGAAGGGTAGGTTTCACATCCTAGGTGAATTATTCTCTTCCAATCTTGAATTAACAAGGATTGCTATGAATGTAAGAGGGAAAATCATTGAAATAAAAATACCTAATGCCACAATTGTTCCAAACTAAATGTAATCTACCACCCTGTTGAAAATTTAGAATTCCAGAGATTTTCTAACTGGATGCCATAAATACCTTCTCTCTTGGCTCAGAATTCCCTGGGAGTTCTGAAACTTAGCCCCACCCCATGAGGGTAGAGTTTATGTTATTCACACTTGTGTCTCCAGACCCAGACAAAATCTACTGAAAAGTAGGATCTCACTAAATTGTGTGATAGGTGAATTAATGAATGCTTATGTGAATGATGAAATGTTTACGCACAGCCCCCAAAGGTCAGCCTCAAAGGATGATATGGGTATCCTGCAGAGTGGCTCCTGAGGGCTCCAGGTACCAAAGCATGACTCTAAGGGCTCATCACACATTCTGGAAACTGTCAGCTTAGCAAGGCTGGCTAAGCAGAGTGACAGACAATCCCAGCTGGACCTTCCCTTCAAGTATTATGCAAGACAGGTTCATCCCCAGGGACAGGGGGTGATGTCTGGACTGGGTCAGGGAAGAGCCCCAGTCTCGACAAGGAGCGAAGCAAGGGCATAGAAGGTAGCAGCGCCTGGCATCTAGCACCCAGGTGGGGCCTGGGACAGGACTTCCAGCAGGAAGAAGGTAGGACACGCTGTCAGAACTAAGATCTAATATTCATTAACTCCTTATCACCCAAAATTGTATTCCCACCTCCAAAATGTTATTTTTAACTTTTGCTAAAAATAAACAAATATACAGATAAATAAATAAAAATAAACATTCAATTTGTTTTATGGCAGATATGCTAAGGAATGATGTGATAATAACAAAATATTGGAGACAACTTAAATATTCAAATACAGTGGTTGTTTTTTTAAAAATATGGGAAGCCATGCACTAATACTATACAACTATGTTAAATTATTTGTAAATATTCTTTTAACATGTGATTAAGTGAAAAAATAAGGTAATAAATACTAGTATTGTATTTTTTATAAAAAGAAAATTTTATTTATCTACAAAGAAAAGGGTTTGGAAAGTCACAAACCAAGATATTACCAATTTTTTTGTTAGGTAATTAGATTATACATTTTTCCTTTTTTTGCTTATTAAGAAATTTAAATTTTTCTTTAATGCAAAAAATATGTAAAAGAATTAACAGGCAGTAAATTTGTCCTTGATGCACTGCATTACAGAAAGAACTCTGAGTGGAATAAATATCACCTGTCTTTTGGACGTCCTAGGAGTTGAGTTGACACTGTGGTGGTTGCTTGTGTTAGGTGGAGTGAGCAATATCACAGAAACCTCCCACGTGGAGATTTCTATTGTATTTGAAAAGCTTAGAACACTGTTATGTGATGTATAAACTGTGGGTCAGAACAGTGATACAAAAATAATAAGAGTACTTTTGCTTCAAGAAATCCAACTTAATTTAAAGTGACTGGATTCCGATTTATAAGCCTGAGGTACATTAGAGTTTGAAAGTTTTTTGTTTCCTTTCAAATGTACATTAATATTTGGCTCAATGCTCATAGGGAAGCAATTCAGCACCAAAGGTGCAATTATTCTTCCAGAATGCTAAAATCAATTTAGCTGTTTGGCTTATAATAAATGCTGAGTTATATTCTCAGATGCCAAAATTCCTCCAATTATAGGTGTACATTACTGGGACTTCTGAAAAAAGAAATATGTAAGACCTCCCTTTTTAATTCGTGGAATTCAAGCCCTAAAGAAAAAGAACAAAATCCTCTTAAAAATAAGAAATTTCTACCCTCACCTATACATTTGTAAAACCAATTTGATCGCTGCTTGTATTTTTAGAGAGGATTTTGTTATTTTTCTCTAAGAGTATCCTTTTTTTCTCTGTTAAGTATTTTTAGACTCTGCTGAAAAGCAACTTTATATCTTCCATGTGACTTACTAGAAAGGTTCTCAAATCATAGCCTATAAATCATTAATGTCCCCTGATTTTCTATAACTATTTTCCAATTGAACTGAAAAAAATGACCAAAATAATCACATAAAGAAGTATTTTTTGTGTGTGAGATAAATCTGTTGTTCATTTTACACACACACACACAAACATTTTTAAAATGTAAAAACAGTATATGTAATCTCAAAGTTAGATATGAAAGGCATCAAAGTATGGTTGAAAGAATACAGACATTGAAATCATAGAAGATTGACTTTCTGTCATAGTTTGGACAATTACTGTATAAATGTAGGGCTAAATTACTTCATTTCTCTGTACCTCAGTTTCTCCTGTTTACTCCTATCTAGAGGCTTATAGTTAGGGGAAAAAAATCAGGTAAAGGTACAGTCATAATCACTAATGAATACTAAATATTTAATAAATGCTACTGGGGGCTTGTCTGTTCATTGTTTATTTGGGGTTTTTTTTGTTGTTTTTTGTTTTGTTTTGTTTTGTTTTGTTTGAGACAGCATCTCGCTCTATCACCCAGGCTAGAGTGCAATGGCACGATCTCGGCTCACTACAACCTCTGCCTCCCAGGTTCAAGTGATTCTCCTGCCTCAGCCTCCTGAGTAGCTGGGATTACAGGCACATGTCACCACACCTGGGTAATTTTTGTATTTTTGGTAGAGACGGGGTTTCATCACGTTGGCCAGGCCGGTCTCGAACTCCTGACCTTGAGATCCACCCACCTTGGCCTCCCAAAGTGCTGGGATTACTTCTTTATTGTTTATCTCTCTTGCTTTACTGTAAATTTCCTGAGGGCAGGACCGATGTCCTCTTTGAACCCCAACATTTTGACATAATTTCTAACTCCCAGTAGTTACTCGATAAACATTTGTTGAATGAATTGGTGAAGCATGTAGTATCCAGCAAAGATTGAGGGCTCCTAATCAGGATTATTTGTGACATTATTGTAATTGAATATGCTAAATCTTCCCATCCTGCCAGAGTTCCAAACCCTTTTAAAATTTATAATTAGGATATCACAAATATCTCTTCTCTAAATCTTTCATATTCGCTTCTCTAAAAGCTAGAGTGCAATTCTGTGTGCAGTGCTCTCCCTATGTTGGTTGCTACTTAATCTCCTAGGTTTTTCATGTTGTCCTTAACATTACACAGTTCTTCCTTATTGAGGCAGTTTAATTTCAATTTGCAGTTCCCCTCACTGCCTCCCCAACTTTTGAAAGACCACATTGTTGGTTTTAAAAGAAAGGTCACATTATTTTCTGGAAGTCAAGAATTTATCAGATTCTGCCATTTTATCAGAACAAAAGTTCTGTCATCTATCAAATGGATGAGTCTCCCAATGGTGGTCCAACCACCATGCCAGTGTTGCCATCTGTGTAAGGAAAGACTTTGGCTGACTCACCCCTATGAAATAACTTCTCTACTGTCTTGTTTATCGTCCCTCAGGCACTTTGCATTCTACTTTTCCCTTTAGGTTTGTGGGCATCCATTCACTGTGTGCCTCTTCTTATGCTTTGCTATTCTTACTCCTTTAGTGCCTTCGTTCTTTTTGAATCAGGTGAATTGTCTCATAGGGACAGTACATGTTATGCTTTGATTACAAACAACCCTGCAATCTAAGTGGTTTATAATATATGTTTTTCTCTTTCTCATGCTACATATCCATCATGGCTTGGGTACTCCTGTGTTCCTCTTGGTCTTAGTCCAGGACCAGACAAACAGAACAGCCACTATCTGGAGCATTCCCAGACACCAGACATGGTGGCAGAGAGAAAGAGACCCACATTTCACACCAACTGTTAAAGCTCTCACCTAGAGGTAACATGTGCCATTTCTGCTCATGTTTTATTGGTCAGAATAGTCCTATTCTACTCCTGTCTTCTAAAGGGGATGGAGAAATACTCTCCTACCACCTGTCAGAAAGAAGAACTGTAAACATCTTGTGAAGAGATTAATGACTGAGACATATACCTTTCTATCAATTCATTTTGGTCATGAGGCCTGTCCCACCTGTGGGAGCTCATATTTACTTCCATGTTTTAAACTTTCAAATTTACTTTATTTGTTCACTATATATTCTTGAGTAGAGAAATGAGAATAGGTAGTCAAGATAATGGTAAATAATGGTAATAACCCCATATAATTGCTTTCTTATATATAGATTGTTTATAATGCAGTTAACTCCCATCCTTAAGAAATACATAAAGTGTTTGAGAATCACTGGTCTCCAAGAAAGAACATCAGACTCTTAAAGACAAAACACAGATTTGCCCTTGTGTCTCTTCTTTGTATTACCTGCCTGACTATATATAGATCAGTGGCTCCTTTCTATATGCCATTTTTTTTCCGCTGAAAATTATACCTAGCTGTGACTTATGTGGAAGTGGCTAAGCTGGCAATAATTGTATAGATGTCCATACATGCCCCCTCAGAATCTCAATGGTACCTCAAGGTCATCTGCCTTGAGGACTGGTAAATCTGGTCATAATGTGGATAATTTACAACTGGAGAAATAAAGGAGTTCTCCTTGCTATGCAAAGAAGGCCTCTTTGAATGTTGGTGTCGGCATTAATTCCCTTTATGATGTGAGGCAAATCACTTAATTGCTAGGTGTCTTCTTTTTCTGATCCAAGGATAATATTAACATACCTCTCTAGGTCCTTGTGAAGCATAATATATAGAATTGATTGCAAAGGCATTTTCAGAATATGAGACACTATAGAGACATTTGTTGCACTCTGAATTCCCTACGTTGCCCACAGTGCCACTCCTAGAGGTAGATGTCTGGATAGGGAGTGAATATTTGAGGGAAGGGGTAGTTATACAGGGCAGAGATGTCTATTTCTGAATTCCCAATTAGCCTAAGTCAGTAATCTACGTTGTGGATTATATCTGGCCTGCTTGATGCACTGATCTTCCTCCTTTAGGCATTTTTCTGGTTTCTTTTTACTTGGCAGAGGAGATAAAATTCAAATTGGTCTTTTTTGCCTGGTATAGTATCTCTAGGAAGAAGTTAGATTGGATGGCCAATTTATAAACAATACTGACAGTTTGGGTTTAGGGTTAGAGTAATAGCATACTTGTTTAGCATTTAACTCTTTTGAAGTGCTTTCACATCATGGATCATTTTACCTGAGACTTGCCATAACTTTGTAAGCTGGGTATTACCCTAATTTACAGAAGAGAAGACTGAGGTTCAAAAGATTCCATATGTTGCCCAATGTCACCACACTAAGAAATGACAAATTCAAACCCATATTTTCTGATTTTGCGTGGAGAAATATTTTGTTCCATTATTCCAGGCTACCTCTGTGTTTTCTAGCAGAGATAAGTGATGCCCAGATATAAACCATGATCACATGGAGCCAAGACAGGGTTGAATGAAAAATTAGCCCAAAGGAACTTATTATTTGCAGTCAAATTCAAGATATTTTGCCTAGAAAGTAAAAGGAATGAGCTATTTCTTCAACATTAATTTTAGTATTCTAATGAATTAAAATTAATTCAGTTAATTAATTAGTTATTTTCCACCAGAGGATTCAGCCGGAATGGGGAGGGGGAGGAATTTTGAATTCCTGGTAAAAATGATGACTTGATTTCTTGATGATGATATTAGCCAATGACTCAACTTCCATCTCCCCTTCCCCTATAATAATAGGAATAAGGAGAGTTGATTTTCATGCATTCATTATTCAGTTACTACCCTTTGCCAAGAAGCGTTAGTCTAATGGATGAAGGGAGGGGGAGAACAAATAAGTAAACAGATTATTATAATACAGTAAGTGCTAAAATGTAACAAAGGATGGCACCAAACCCAAAAGGAAGGGCAGCAATTAAGGTGAAGTAAGCCATTACTTAAACTCATTAAGTAAGAGTTAGGTCAGTGGTGGGGGAAAATGGAGATCTAGCTGTTAGGGCAGAAGTTCCATTAGTTCTGGATGGCAAGAGGATGGGGAAGGAGGTGGGAAGTGGAAGGCGAAGGGCAAAGTAAAAGGTAAGCAAGGGTTAAACCTTGAAAGATATCTATGGCCTGCTAAGAAATTTAACTTTATTCTTAATGCTCTTGGAGATACTGCTGAAACTTATAAAAATAGAAAGGTCTGTGGGGTAAATGGATTTGGAGACCTAGTAAGTTTGTCAGCTGACTCAAAAACACTTCAGGCTGTTAGTAAAATCCAAGCAAGAAAAGACCAGGTAAAGAGAGGTTATGGTCTTTGCTGCACATCATTTAGCCCATAACCTAGGCAAACTAGAACTGGGGTCTCCTAATTCTTAGGCTGGCATTTCTTTCTCCCATCCCACATTGCCTTCCCATCTCTTTGGCATTTTTTTCCTTTAGAGAATTGTATTCCTTTTGGAATATATGCTGAGATGCTAGAATATCTTTAAAGGTAATCTCATTCTCCATTAAAAACAGATATTTATCATGGTGATGTTAACATTTAGACAGTTCTTACCAGCAGTCTCATTCGTGTGATCTCATTTGGTTTTCTTCTGAGAACGCCAAAGTCTTTTTACTCCTGTGGGTAAAAATAAAGATACCCTAAATTTCTCTGGTGGAATACTTTAAACTTCAAGCAGTGCCTTTTCTTTATATTGTAGTTTGGAGAATAGAGCAAAAAAAATTGTTTTATTTTATGCTTTAGTATCAAAAAATAACTGCTCATTGTTAATGAGAATTATAGGGCCAGTTCAACTGCAGTGATAAGTTCAGGGCATAAAAGATCATATATCAACATGACCTCACTAACCTTCTCTGTACTAAATGACAAACTGCTAGGAATAGCCTTTGGATCAGGCCACAGAGACACTAAAATACTTACCCTTCACCACAGAACTGTATTGAACTCTATCTGTCATTTACCACCGTCAATCATAGAAGCCTGCTTGGATGCTAAACAGGATTTCAAACAAAAAATAAAAAGAAAGAGAACTTCCTTCAAATAGTTCAACTTCTGATTTTATTTAGTGTCTTTCTGGACATTTGAAATAATGTGGGGAAGGATCACAGCAAGTTAGCCATGTTTTTTGCATTTGTGGAGGGATTGTGTATAAGGGAAAGAGCAAGATTTTCGGGCCAGTGGGATTCAATCTGGCATCTATGCTTCTTTCCCCTTCCATAAGAGGTTAACACTATGTCATTGTTATAATGATAGGACAGATATGTGACATTATTCTTTTCTTTATAGCAGGACTAGACCAAGCTAACAGAGACTTGGTTAGCTTTTTAAGAGAAAGAGACTCATGTAATTTAGCCAAAAGGTTCTGAGACTGCTAACTTCATGCTAGACATACTTGCTGCAAAAACTTATTCCCCAAAATTCAACTAAATGCCATTGTTTCTTGTTTGTAAATGTGTCTATGAGAGACTTTTATAGTTTTCTTAGAAAATCAGAATTAAAAAAAATTATCTTCAGGAAAATGAACATACCCTTCAACCACCATCAACCACTCTAAAATTCATGTGTTACTTTCATGCCTTTTTCATGTGAGACAGAAATATATGGGATGGCATAAAAAATAAAATATATCCTCATATAGGTTTTATTATTATCCTCATAATTTGCCAACTGGGAATTACTGAGATTCCACATTGTACATAGCATTTATGCACTTGATTTCGGGACCAGGACTCTGGTCGCTGCAGAAAAAATACTGAACCATATGAACACTGTCCTTGCATTTATAAAGCTTATGAAGATAATATCAAAGGTGATTTGCTGAGTGAATTAATGAAATCACATAACCTTTGTGTTCACATAACCTTTTAACACAAAAAGAGTGCATTTTCCTATGACTGAGTCTAAATTACAGCAAAGCAACTGATCAATACGATTTTTTTAAAAAGTAACTTGCAGTTTCAACTGCAGCATTTTCTTTAAATATTTTTGTCCTCTAAGTAATATATATTGCTTCATTTAGATATTATACTATGATTAATTTAGTCAAGAAAGGAAAAATCAAAACATAAATATTGTGCCAATCATAAAAACATATGTGTAATAATAACAAAATAGACCTAATATCTGCACATAATCAGATTTTAAAGAGCAGTTTTGTAAGTAGGAAAAATGTGTGACTCTATATTGCCAATGACTGAGGCCTCCCAGCATTCCTGTTTTTGCAAATCATGCTGTAAGAGATCACATAATTATATGATCCTATTGGATCTTCAGTAGCTAAGACTCTGTTGAAAAGTTCTGAGAGTTCTTATGTCATTACCATCAAGAAAACTTTAGTAACATCCTATTCTGTAAATCAGAAATGGGAGGGATTATTCCTCCACTTACTGCTAACACTTAAAAGTAACAGCACAATGGATAAAGTAGAAGGTGAGTGCATTGCTAGGCATGGAGGAAAGGAAGGCCTCAGTGAGGCAAGAAATATTTGTGACTCCATAGAAAATACATCAGTGAGTCAAACTAGTCATAGAGAACCTGCTACATGTTTGGCACTATAGTGGTTTAAAGAACTATAAATTGTTTCCACCACCCAGGTTATTCCATTTTAGTCTCAGAAACCAAAGCAATGCATGTGTAACAAATGCAGAGAAAGCCCACAACTTGTCATTGTAATGGCAGAACAAAAATTAAAATATAAGCACTCTCAGTTAGGTATAAACTATTCATTTGAGGTAATTATCACTGTCACTAATCCTGTCACAGAATCAAAGTAGAAACAAAGAAAGATGGGTAGGTACTGCAGCTGGCCAGCCTGATTTCTAATGATAACAATGTAATGATACACAGGCATCCTACTTTCATACTACTTCCAAGGACAAGTAAATGATCACATAAAAAAAAAAGACTTTGACAGTTATCTTGCCCAAATCTTTCTTCAACCAAGTTAACTCTGGAGTGTTAACTTATAGACTAGCGTAAGAGTAGTCATTAAAAAAATTATTGAAACACTATATGCCAGGCATTCTGGTGGGGGCAGGCAGATAATAAATGGATGGTGTTTTAGCTAATGGATCAGTGAGAGTTTGGATACTGATATACGCTATGAGTAATTTAATAGATCAACTTTAGGCTTGCTTGGCTAGCATTAATGAAGTCTTCTTAGAAGAGGTGACACTCGAATTGAAACATCAATGGAAAGAAGGCAGCCATCCATTGAAGGAGAGGAAGATCATTCCAAGCAGAAGGAATAGCAAATACAACTCTCCTGGGTGGAAACAAGCCTGTTTAATGTGAGGGAGAGAAAGGGGGCCAGTGTGACTGGAGTAAATGAAGGGAAAAGTTGTAATAAGGCTGGAGTAAACAGGTGTCCAGTTACATATATTTTCGTAGCGCATGCTAGAGTTTAGATTTTTTACTGGTTGCAGTGGAGATAATTTTGAAGATTATGGGTGAAGAAATAGTTTAATCTACACTTTAGAAAAAATTACTAAGGCCATAGAACAGTGGAGAGTGAAGATAGAAAGGTTATTGCATCCATCCAGGTGAGAGATGAAGAAGAACTGGACCAAGCTGTAGCAGTCTCATCTCTAGATGACAGAAGTAACTGGACTCAGGGCATCTATGGTGTAGAGACAACAGGAATTACCAGTGCCTTTGGATATGGCATTTGAGGGGGAAAGTGGAATTAAGACTTCAGCATATTTTGCCTGAGCTACTAAGTGTTACTGCCATTAGGGAGGCCCCTGAGATGTCAAGAGGGGTGGGATCCAGGACTCAATGGAAGAGATGGGCTTTCAATTGGCTCATGGACAGTTCATCTACTACTATAACATGTGGAAGACAGAACACCTGTGCACCAATAGAAACATTAGGAAAATGGCAGGAACATGTGGTATTTTCCAATTATTTATCATTGTTTTTTCGGTAAAGTAAGAAGCATAAGCTAAGAGTTAATTGAGGAAAGGCAGTGATGGAGATTTGAGGAAAGAAAAGTTGTAAAATAATTATCTTGGAGGAGAAGGAGAAGTGTGGTAAGATAGTCTGGAAAAGTCAAGAGGCCAATTTTGACATGTAGCCATATTTAAAGTGAGGTCAACTAGCATGGTGGTATGCTTTTTGCAATAATCAACTCTGTAGATGCTGGCAGAGAGTAAGTAGATAGTTGAATTTAACCGTGGGCATTAGTTTTCTATTGCTTTTATAACATACTCAGACTTAGTGGCTTAGGGAACACAAATTGATTACCTTGCTACAGGTCAGAAGTCCAAACTGGATATTACTGGGCTAAATTCAAGAAGTCAGCAGGGCTGCATTCCTTCTGGAGGCACTAAGGAAGAATCCATTTCTTTGCCTTTTCCAGCTTCTGGAGCTCATCTCTTGGCTTTGTTGATCCCTTGCATCTTCAATGCCAGCAATGGCTGCCATACCTCTGCTTCTCCCTCCTCTGCCTCCCATGAGATTACACTGGGCCCACCTGGATAATGCAGGACAATCTCTCCATCTCAATGCCAGCTATTACCAACCTTCATTCCATCTGCAACTTTAATTCCCCTTCGCCATATAATCTGACATATTCACACATCCAGGGATTAGCTCGTGGCATCTTTAGGTAGCCATTATTCTGCCCAGCTCACCATGGTTGAGGTTTTGCCAAATGAAGAGAATGGAAAAGAGTGACAGTGTTTATGAGGGATAATTATACAGCGGAACCATGGACTCCAAGCCAAGGAGAAAGTGAGGTTATGAGAAGGACGGCAAGGAGGAAACACACTAGTCATGTAAAGGAGTGATGGGTCTCAAGGAGGTCAGAAAATTTCTGGAGTGGAGTACTGGAATCAGTGAACTGGATGAATAGGACGTGACGGTTGAGGCAGGAGGTTTCAAAATAGGATTTCAGAGATGTAAAGTTGTTGGAGATGGCAAGGTTTTATGAGTTTTGAAACTGAAAAACCCAAGAAAATGAGTAACAAGTCATTTTCCTCTAAAATAAGTCAAATACCTAGCATTGGCCCCAAGGTTATGGTAAGGTTCTAGGGTGCTTATTTTTTAATAGAATATGCACAGTTTATTGATTCCTGAAAAGTAAACCCAGCTTCACATTCTGTTTCTGGCCCCTAGACCTCTATGGAGAGGAAGTTATTCCCCAGCACTAGTTATGTGAGAAGTAGGGAGTGCAGTGCATAGAGAGGGAGTTCTGTCACCCAGGGAGGCAGAGGCCAAAAGACCTAGGCAGGAGACCCATGCTCTGTGTGAGGAAGATAGGACATTCTGTTTGGGGACTACTAAATGGCTTAGAAAATGATATGCAAATGTTTCCACTAAAGTGTGGTAGAGTTATCTGTGATGTCTTTATGGCACCTAGGGAACATTTAGCATTTAATTTGCTAAGGATGTTCCTATTTTGAACTTAAAACTGTTTCAAGATGTATTTTGCAATACAAATATGTGCCATCTCATTGCACTGTTCATTGAAAGATTTCTCTCTAGTGTACTATGCCCAGAAAGCATTGAATTAGTTATGCTCCATTGAAACCAGTACAAAATGGACTGAGAAGTTTATAGTTTCTATGTCAGATTATTAAAATAACATTTTCTTCCAGGCCCATGCATATACTTTTTTCCAAAGCAGTAAAAAACGATAGTTTACTAAAAATAAGAGGTCAGGTTTGCATATTCTCTATACTTTGGGGGTGAATATGAGTTGGATATGAAATCCAAATAAAACTAGAGGATAGATTAAATGGTGCATGATGTATTCCAAGGTCAAGAATTAATTAAATGTAATTTTCACAGTGATATTCTTAGAAAATAGGAAATTGCCCTATGCTTTTTGAAGAGAATGAAATTTGGTTGTTTAATTGTTAGAAAATAGTACACTATACATATTTTAAATATTTTGTCAAACTAATTGAAGCCACTACATTATAGAATATGCAAAAACAAGTTGCAGTTTTTAAAAATTCATGTGATTAATTCCATGACACTTTTAATAGCCTCACCTGTCTCATCCCACATCATGCCCTTCATTTACTCTCTTATATCCACTCTCCCCAAACCCTTCTTTCAACTTTTCAATTTTCTAAATATCCTATAAAGCCTAGCTCTTCCACAGAAAGTCCTTTGACTGTAAGACCCAAACACTATTCATTTCTGATTTCTTTTGGCCTTGGGTTTAGTACCACCATTCCAAAGCAAATGGCCTCTACTGGCTAGTTTTCACATTTAACAATTTGAGGTTTGTAAGGACAAAACTGAATTCTTACATGGCTCTTCTCATCCCTACAGAACCAGCCTGGTCCTGGGCACAGAGTCATGCTCAAAAGCATGTTTCATTGATTGATTTAATGGATAATTAATGCATGTCTCAACTCACCACCCAACCTCCAGCACACTCTAGCTGCCTTTTAATAAACATCTAGTATGAAATTCATTTTGTGATGGCAGTGGTGACAGTGGCAGGGAAATAAAATAATGTATAGACTCTAGGCCACAGTTACATATTTCATCAACAACAACAATTTTAATTACTTTTTGACAGATTAATTTGAAGTAGGCTAAGGGAAAATCAAACCAATTCTCTAATAAGCCCTCATCTATCAAAAAGTCATCCCAAGAGGTGAATATTTTGTATGTAAATGTGTGTATATGTAAATGGCATCACTGTAGTCCATCGTTTCTGGGTCCCTGCCCTTGAGGAGCTTACAGTAATTCTGGTTTGAAGAATGACATGGCATGTTGAGAGAGAAATCATTATATTATGTCCATTTGACCATTATATAAGTCCAGCTAAGTTGGGATTTTTGTTTATGTTTTCTGCAGTTTCTCCTAAAAGGTAAGCACCATGAAGGCAAAGACTATGTCTGCACTGTCCCTTGTTGTAGCCTTCATAGCTAACACAATGCTTGCATATAGTAGGCAATAAATAAATATTAAATTAAGGCAGAATTGCTATTTGACATAAAGAAGACTGGGGAGTGAGAAAGGGAAGGCAGTCAGTACGCTCTAAGACTGCAAAGGTAGCACACACTGTGGTAACATGGTGTATTATCTACACCTCTCATGAACAGCAGCCATGGACCAGGTCCTCCCAGAAAGGAGAGCGATGAGGGTCCAGGGATATCCATTACCCAGGAAGCAAGACATGGCCAGAGAGGAAGGGAAGGAGTGCTGTGCTGCAGCCAGACAGCTGGAGCTCATGAACACCAAGTATCTGTTAAGACTGGCCCCGGGGAAGTCCAGCCTTGGCTCCAGAGCTACTGGATTTTGGCAAGGAAGGTTTTTAAATTCTTGGTCCCACTGAACAGGCAGATGGAGGTGAGCTTCCCCAGCCAAACTGGGCTCCTGAGCTGTGGATCTGAAGGTAGAGCCCCTAGGGGATTTCACCCTGAGGAAGAGTCCTCAATGGTCAGCAATTTTGCTCTTGGTATGAAAAAATAATACATAAATGCATATATATATATATACACACACACATATAGATACAAACACCTTCCGCTTAAACCTTTAATCAGTGCAAGGGTTGCTTCTGTTAGGAGAGTAGTGGAAGACTTTCAGATACATTTTTTTTTTTCTTGAGACAGGGTTTCACTTTGTCACCCAGGCTGGAGTGCAGTGGCACAAACACAGGTCACTGCAGCCTTGACCTCCCAGGCTTAAGCAGTCCTCCTGGCTCAGCCTCCTGAGTAGCTTGGACTACAAGCGCCTGCCACCACATCTGGCTAACTTTTGTATTTTTGGTAGAGATGGGGTTTTGCCATGTTGCCCAGGCTGGTCTCCAACTCCTGAGCTCAAGCCATCCACCAGCCTCAGTCTCCCAAAGTGCTGAGATTACAGGAGTGAGCCACTGTGCTTGACCAGTTACATTTTTAACAGCTTTATTAAGGTAGACTTGACATATAATAAATGGCACATATTTTAATTGTACAATTTGATAAGTTTTGACATATGTATATACCTGTCACTACAGTCAAGATAATGAACATATCCATCACCCTTTCCCCCTAAAATGTCCTTATGCCTCTTTGTTATCTATTTGTGCCAGTTAATGTTTTATTACTTCTCAGCTCCAAATGCATTTTTTGCCTGCTCCATGAAAATGGACCTAGGTCCTTTAAATATTTTCCCTTTGGAGCTGTCAGCATGTTGAGCTTTGTCGGTAGAGGGCGCCGGAGAGATATTACCAGAGGAAAGGGTTTCCCTTCTGGGTTCCAGTGTGTGCACTGGACAGGCTCTTCTAGGGGCCGGCATCACCAGGTGGCCACAAGCTCCCTGCAATACGTCCTCGGGCATTTTCATAGGTGAGTGCCTCTGATGAGACACGTTCTATGAACAGCTCCTCTGGCACCCTAGAAAGTGGATTTCAAGCAACTTACACCAGTGCTGCAGCCAGTTCCTTTGCTGTCTAGTTCTGTATTTCAACCTTATTGAGGCGGTGGCAGAGGGGCGAGGAGTGGGACTTTTTCTCGGGTGCTCTGCCTCAGCATTCAAAAGCGTAGCTGCTCCTTATAGCTGCTATTCCTGTAGAGTTCTCTTTACCCCTGGTTGCTCCAATCCCTTGTTATAGTTAGTAATTCTTTATATTTTCTCTGTTTTAATTACTGTACAGATTCCCTCTCTTGACTGGACCCAGACTGTATCTACCTTCTCATATATCTATATTTACATGCACACACGCACACACATCTGTTTATATCTGTATACCTATATCTGCCTTCCCATGTGAATTTCCCTATGAATTTTAGAACTCCTATCAATTTCTACCCAAAAAAGCCTACTGGAATATTGAGTAGAATTACACTGAATCTATAAATTAATATAAGGAGAAATGACAGCTTGGCAATATTGTGTTTTCTAACCCATAAACAAGTTATACTGCTCCATTTATACATGCATCTTTAATTTCTCTCGATAATGCTTTTTAATTATCAGTGTACAGGTTTTGCATATTCTTTGTCAAATTTATTTCCTAAATACTTCACACATTTATGTTACTGCAATGACATTGAAATTCATATTGATCACTGCTAGTATATAGAAATACAGCTGAGTTTATATGCTCAACTTGTATTCTGCAACCTCACTAACTTATTCTAGTAGCATTTTTATAAATTCCATCAGTCTTTCTATGTAATCATGTCATCTGCAAACAAAGACAGTTTTACCACTCCCTATCCAATCTGTCTTTTCTTTTTCTTGCCCATCGCACTGGCTGGAACTTTCAAAACAATGTTGAGTAGAAGTGGTAAGAACAGACGTTGTCTTCTTCCTGATTTTAGGAGGAAAGCATTAAGTCTTATTAAGTATGATGTTAGCTGCAGGTTTTTTGGTGATGATCTCTATCAGATCAAGGAAATTCCCTTCAATTTCTCATTTGCTGAGAGTTTTCATCAGAAATGGACGTTGGATTTTCTCAGATGCTTTTTTAGCATCTACTAAGGTGATCATATGGTTTTTCTTTTTTAGTCTGTTACTCTGATAAGTTACACTATTTGATTTTCAAATGTAAAACCATCCTTGGGATAAACTCCACTTGTTCATGATGAATTATTTTTTAAATGTTTTTCTATTTTTCTTCTCAAAAAGTTAGAATATAAAACTTTTGGGAAGGGGAAAAAACAGCGAGGAAAATATGCTGATGCCTTCTTAATCTCTTACTCAATTTTAGTAAGTAATTTGAGCTTTGGGGAAGAATAGAATCTATGTTTGCTTCCCATTACTTCTCAGTATCATTTCCAACCCAAGTCTTTTTGTTCAGTTTCTGAGATGGGCTTAATGAATTTTTTTAAATATACCATTTGTTGGTCTTCTAATTTTAGCATCAGAAACAAAGTCTGAGATGTGATAAAATACATAACAATCTTATAGAACTTATATCTTACCTGGTAACTTTTCTCCAATAGAACTAATATTCAGGTAGTTTTTCCTTGTTAATTATTTTCTAGGAATAGATGATTGTATGTGTTCTCAGAACCTTGTCTTGATTTTCAACTTTTATACATTGTACCTTGCATTTCATAATTACCTTGAATAAGTGATTTCAGTAATGGTATAAGCTTCAGCTCTAAACCAGCAAGGAAGTTTTTTCAAAAGGAAAGTTTTAACTTCATGTTAAATATTCTCCCAACTTCTAGACAGTCATTTTACTATAGTTGCCACAAATCAATACCTTATTTTCATGTACTGCATAAAAGTTGTTATAGATGTATTTTTTAAAGTATGGATATGTGCCCATTATATGTAGTTTTTACTCTGTACTGTTATTTACAGAAAAGTACAAATAGAATATATTGTAAGTGGGAAAGGCAGAATTTCTTTTTTGTAGGTCTTTTTTGTTCAATTCAAATCAAGGAACATTTATGGAATGCTAACTCTACACAGCGTTCTTTTGTTAATAGTATTTCTTAATTTGTTATCCTTTTCCTAAGTGACAGTATTTTATCATTTTATTCGATAGGTCTATTTTAACAGAGAGATGGCTACTCTTAGATTAGTCATATGATGGATGATAATGTAATTTATTTCATTCAAGTAGGGATAGTTCGTGCATTTCTGGGAATCTCATTATCTTGAAAACTTTGCCCTATTATCTTCTTCTTTTCATGAAATTACCTCCTTAGCTTAATTACAAGTGTAGTGTTTTCCCACAGGCAATATAATATCTACTTACCCTAAATACCCCAAAGTAAAGAACACTTGGAGCATTAAGTAAAACTGATTTGTTGAGCCCAAATCGAAAACAACATTACAGCTTACTGGTTAATCAATGTAAATTTCACTAATGCCACAAGGAGTCAAATCCATTTGTAAAAGAACATGTGTGCAATCTATTTCATAAACTTGTATCATATGCAATGTTAATTTGATCTAAGGTAGTTCTGTGAGACAAAAAGAATATTACCCCAAAATGCTCTATTTAATCATTGTATAACAAGAGTTATGCCCAGTTATGGCAGGAGATGTGCACAGAGCTATGTAGAAACGTTTATTGACACAGAAAACAGCAGTTTATAAATTTGATCAGTTAGTTATTATAGCAAATTTATAGTGCACTTATCCTAAGGAAAATCTACTCATTAGTGACCACAAGAATAAGAAGTCCCCACTTTTTACCAAATTTAATTCTTGAAAATTGTTTCTAAGGTGACAACAATATTTCTCCACAGGCAGAAAATGTTACTGTGGTTACATTTCCCGATCAAATAAATATTTGGTATCAAATAAATAAAAAATATAATCAATATTATATCACAGTAGCAAAGATACAACAAATATAAACTTCTTCCTTGAGATAAAATGGTAAAATTATCCTGCCAATCATATAAAACAGCACCGATTAACTAATTACTTGCTCCTTAAGAGGTCAAAAATCCCACTCCCTGTACACATAATTCCTAACAGTGCTACTCTACTGTGTGGTTACCTAAAGTAGCATACTAGCTGAAACATGCTTTGGCTAAAATTTTACTGACATTTCTTTGGCTTAGAATTTAGGAGGATTTGGAGGGATTATATATCACTTTTCAGCGCTCCTGAAGCTGTCCATAGACATTTGAGCTGCTGCCTTCTTTTTCCTAATGTATTTTTCCTCTAGCAAGCAAAAGTGTTCATTCATAATTATTCCTTTGACCTTAAAACCGCCTCAAATAAGGTAGGCACTGGTTACTCAGTGGTTCTATTGACAGCTATGAGAGTAGTTTACACTTTACTGGGAGATCATAGGAAAAAAAAAATCACCAGGTCATTAGCACAAACTTTTTTTTTTCCTTTTTCTGTGGATGTTTGAAAGTGCTCTTGTAAACCGCAAAGATGACTGGTATCCCAGAGCACAGGTACCTGCTTCAAAATCTGTCAAAGTTTTAAGTGGATGGACAAAGGTGGTAAAAATTGAGGTTTGGGTGTTCACTGAGCCTGAACTGAGGAAAATGATACACAACGCTACAAAAAATGAGTCTCGTGACATAACCCTTAATCCATGGGTAACTTGAACCAAAAGTATTCTCCTTCTTCTGTATATTTGTTCTCAACCCCCAATTCCTCATAACTTTCTAAGTAAGTAGGGTGAAAAGAAAGTCAGGGCTGCCTAGGGAAGCTACATTTGCTTCTCAAGGCTTGCACCTGCATATTTCATGCCCGACATGTTGCTGAACACAACCGAGTAAAGTGCCAGAATAAAATCAGCTCTGTCCACGTGGTACCAGGAATGCTGCTGAAATGAAGGTAAGTATAGGATTCCACAGGATCTAAGACAGTCCAGGGAACTGGGACCAATTGTGGGAAACCTCAAAGCTGAGCATATTTGAAGAAAATGCAGAGTAAAATGGCTATGGGCTGCCGGGAGGCCTGGATTTGAGATACCAAGCACCACTGATATAAACACTGATGCTCAGAAAAAGAAATGATGAGTGTGTATTTGTGTCCCTTGAGACCTAATTTAATTTATAATTATTCACCAGAGATAAGAGGCAAGGTATGTCTACTTGCTGGATATCTGAATTTACACAGTTCTCTAGTCATTAGTATTTTTTACAAATATACCACTCAGACTAGGGGTCAGAGGATCTGGGTTTAATTCCAAGACCTGTCACTTATCTGTCATGATTTTTGTAGCTTATAAAGATCTCTACAGTTTAAACATTTTTTTTAAAAGTCTAGCACTCCCCCTCCCTGGATAACAGAATTGTTTTAAATACCAAAAGGAATGAAATACTTAAGAGTGCTTTGAAAATTAGAACAATAGGCCGGGCACAGTGGCTCACGCCTGTAATTCCAGCACTTTGGGAGGCCGAGATGGGCGGATCACGAGGTCAGGAGATCGAGACCATCCTGGCTAACAAGGTGAAACCCTGTCTCTACTAAAAATACAAAAAAAAAAAAAAAAATTAGCCAGGTGTGGTGGCAGGTGCTTGTAGTCCCAGCTACTCGGGAGGCCGAAGCAGGAGGATGGCGTGAACCTGGGAGGTGGAGCTTGCAGTGAGCCGCCACTGCACTCCAGCCTGGGAGACAGACACTCCGTCTCAAAAAAAAAAAAAAAAAGAAGAAGAAAAAGAAAGAAAGAAAATTAGAACAATAAAGAATACAGTTAGGCTTGAGGCCAGGAGTTTCAGACAGGCAACAGAGTCAGACCCTGTCTCTATAAAAAAAAAATTAATTTAAAAAAAGAAAGAGAAAGAAAGGAATATAGTCAATCAACAAGAAATGTATTGCTGACTATGTTCTCTGAAGTCAACTAGCTGATGTTCATGAGCTTTTCCATCATGTCTTGTAATCATCTATACAATTATTTAGTTAATATTTTTTCTTAAATCAACTCATTTTTCCCCTTTTGCACCCACATTACTCTTATCATAAAACATAATATTCATAAAATCAGAGGTTGATGTGTTTATCATTTTTTTTAAGCTTTTAAGAGTCAAGGTCTTGCTCTGTTGCCCAGGCTGGAGTGCAGTGGTGCGATAATAATCTCTAATTCCTGAGCTCAAACGATCTTCCTGCCTCAGCCTCCCAATAATTTAATACGTACTAAAATGAATTCATACTTATTAAAAGTTTTTAAAAGTTCTGTATATCATGCCTCAATAAACACTGCTAGGGAAGAAGAAGGCCTTAAAATGCAGGCAAGTAGCTGAGACTGAACAGGGTAAGAAACAGAAGCCATAAAAGGGTTGAACAATTGTTATTTGATCCTTTTTCAGATAGCATCACTCTCCTCTTTAAAAGTACAGTATTGATTTTTAACTTAAGGTGAGTTAGAAATTTATTTTGAAAATTCTCTTTTTCAAAAAAAAATTCTTTACAGTCACTAAAGTCATCTGGAAGTGTAGAATCTGAAGAAAAATTTTTATTTGAGGTTTAAAATTTTATCTTGGTCTGGAAACTTCTGTTTTGTCAAAGGAAGGGGTGATATTGGCACATTCTGGAGTTCAGAATTTTTCTGTAATGCGTGCTTAAAAAGCCAGATTTTAAACTTTTTACACAGCCCTACCTGTGGCTCAGCATGTTAGCATTATGATGTATTTTAAGGATGGAGTTTGAACTAAGATTATAGTGTGTGATTTTTGGCATAGGCAAACAATCCAATAAACTGAGCGTTCAAAAAAGGAAAACAAAGACCATGTAAATCTCTTCAAGCCAGAATGTCTACCTCTTGCTTCCTTGGGTAGAGCTACTGTGGTCCAAGTTTATTACCTTTAAGTTATCCCTGTCTGTACCCTCCTCAATCATGGCACAATTCTCCCTGGGCATCTAAGGCATTGGGGACCCATCATGGTAATGTTCAAAAGGTCTAGAACACCAGTCCTCCTGCTCCAGATGGGGGAAAGTAGACAAACAACAGTGAGCTCCTCCAGATCCACAAATCAGCTCCCATTTCAGTGCCGAATGACAGAGATTCCGGAACCAGCTTACGTTCTGGGAATGGCAAAGACCTCAGGTAGAAAGAACTATGTGCAACCATTTCCAAGCCAGGAGTGCAGTAACATATTGAATGGTTAGGCAGTAGAGGCAACTCTGCAGTTAATACACATTCTTTAAACTTTTATTTTAGGTTCATGAGTACATGTACAGGTTTGTAATATAGGTAAATTGTGTGTCACAGAGGTTTGGTATACAGATTTCACCACCCAGATAACTAAGTATAGTACCTGATAGGTAGTTTTTAGATCCTCACCCTTCTCCCATCCTTCACCCTCAAGTAGGCCCCAGTGTCTCTTGTTCTCATCTTTGTGTCCAAGTGCACTCAATGTTTAGCTACTACTTATAAGTGAGAACATGTGGTATTTGGTTTTCTGTTCCTGAGTTGGTTTGCTTAGGATAATGACCTCCATGTCCATCCATGTTGCCACAAAGGACATGATCTCATTATTTTTTATAGCTGCATAGCATTCCATGGTGTACATGTACCACATTTTCTTTACCCAGTCTACCGTTGATGGGAATTTAGGTTGATTCCATGCCTTTACTATTGTGAATACTGCTGTGATGAACACACGTGTGCATGTGTCTTTATGGCAGAATAATTTCTATTCCTTTGGATATGTACCCAATAATGGGATTGCTGGGTCAAATGATAATTCTGTTTTAAGTTGTTTGAGAAATTGCCAAACTACTTTCCACAATGGCAGAACTGATTTACATTCCCATCAGCAGTATATAAGCACTCCCTTTTCTCTGCAGCCTCACTAGCATCATACACAGTTTTCTTTATTGAAAATATTTTTGGAGCTTTTGATATACCCACAGGCACTGTAAATCAACAAAAGGGGCACTCTGTCCTCAATTACATCATTCTTCAAAATTTTTTAACCACGTGGTGCTTTTTTAGGAGCATGTGAGGAGAATAACATCCCAGGAGAGTCCTACTCTAAAAAGATACTGCTGTTTGGGACAATATAGATATAATGCAATATCATATAGGAAGTTGTCTTTTTGTATATTTTTAAAACATGTTACTTTTGTGCTTTGGAGTTGCCCTAAATAAATATGTTGTAAACCTTTGTGAGTATCTGCTTATTCGGCTTAATAACCCTTTTGTGGCTTTTGAATAATGTAAGAATTTGATTCATTATTTAGAAATCTGAGTTGCTGCAGCAATGAACCAGATATTACATTTAATCGAGACTGCCAATACTGCACAGATTGCCAGCCTCACAGGACATCAGACCTAACTGAACTTTCCTGCTAGTTTTAGAAAAAAAGACAGAAAAATAATTCACTTCCAAAAGTTAGAGAAAACACTTTGCCAATTACTAGTGACCCTTGATGTGACTTTTAATTTATAGAAAGGCCCAGATTAATTGTTTTCAAACCAAAAGCTATGACTCTTAGCTAGCACTTTAATTTTACACAAATCTTCTCCTCCATCTTGACTGTGAGATCGTACCTATAGAGTGATAAGCCTTCTAATGATGCCTGGCATAGTGTCAGCTTTTGAAGCCATATACTGTGTATGTTTTGGAACTAAATATTTCTTCTTTCCATTGACTCTTGACCCCCTTAGAACAACTGTCACCTTCTTCAAATGCTTTCACTAAGTAAAAAGTCAATTGGCTGTAAGTGGTGATGAAGAAAATGTCGTGTGATTAATGCTACAGTTTAGGCTGTTGTGATTAGTCACAGGAAAAACAGTTAAACTTCCTCCCCCAAGAAACATGGTATGTTAACGGCAAATGGCCTGCCTCAAGCCCAATAGGAAGAAATAGTTGGGCAGTGTTAAAAGCTGCCTATTGATTTGTGCCCCGACTGAAAGCCATGTGCTGATGTAAATGAAAATGTGTCAAGAGTTGATATCGATTTTTTTTTTAAATCAGACCATCTCTGGGGAAATACTGCTAGCCATACTACTGCTCGTCTATGAGTGAAATAAGGTTCCTTTCCACAAGACTACACATGTCCAGACATCAAATTTTTCTCTTTAACCGAGGTGTGGTAGGATGCCTCTCTATCGTCTGCAATCTCTGCGTGGAGAACGTGACCCAGAGACTATAAAGATTGTCTTGATGAAAGACATGTATGTGGGGAAGGGTGTGAGCTCATGCCACCTATCTACACATTGGTCTGTTTGTGTATGGTTCGTAACACACATGTAGGCTTCAGCTAGGAATTGTCATCCTATGTCTCCTAGAATAAATCATTGTAGAAGAATAAATTTATTTTTAGAAAATTCTATCCAGAGAGAACCACAATATAGGATAAAAGGTAAAACATATTAGAATATGAACCATGAAGTTGGGGTCTTTCTTTTCCTTCAGACTGTAGGAAAACTAGCCACATTTTTTTCCATTTCTTAGGAGTTATTCCCTGAGCTGTACCTTATTCATAGACTGCAGTGCTTGTAAATATTGACTAACTATATATGAAAAGGCCAAGAGTCATAATAATCATGCAGCTTTGGGTCATATCTGTGGGGATTTCAGCTGCCTAGGTAAGGCTGCACTCCTGATTCAGCTGGGATAAAGCATGGACGCTAATATTAGGCTATTAGAATGGAAAATTAGTGTGGAAGAGGAGAGGGGTCATCACCTAGCAATATATGTGGATTATTTGGAATCAACTACTGGGATTAGAGAAAATCCTAATAAACTAATAAGGGATATGGTCTTTCCCTCCATGCTAGCTTAGAGAGCTGAATCCACTTAGTTTGATTTATTGGCCTTAGGTACAGACACATGATGAAAACTTCACTTTGCAAATTGATTAACTTTTTGTTGATTACTCAATGACTTTTGCAGTACTCTAAATTTTATGATCTGTGTGCCTTGTGCTCCAGATTAAAGGAAAAACAATGATCTGAAATAGACCTTAGGGAATAGGAATTACTATGATGAGACAATTTTATACTGAAAGTTCTGCATTAAAATTTAGGAATCTGTAACAAAAACTTTCAGAAGACAGTTTGTTACTAGTAACTGGGAAGACAAATGAGGTCTTACAAATGATCTAAGTAGATGGAACTTTTCAATTAGGGCTGCTGCCTTAAAATCCTTAAAATTAACTTGTACTTCTTAAAACAGGTGTAGCTTGCTGGCCCTGTAATTTGACTAACAAGCTAAGGCTTATGGCTGACCCTCTAGTGTATTCCTAAGGTGGCTATTTTCTGCAGCATGGAAGAGCAGCCCTTTCTGCAACATGGAAGACTAGCGCTGACTCAGAGATCTTTGCCTATCTATCAGGAGTTCTAGACCAGCTCTTGACTGCTCCACCTCACATCATTTCTTGTATTGTTATTTAACTTCGGGTATATATTTATTATCTCCAACAGGACATTAAACTCAATAAAAACATGCATTATAGTTCATTGTGTTGGCACCAGTGCATAAATTCATAACTGCTCAAGGAAAAAATACACAAATATATGTACATACATGTACACATATATGTGTGTATGTACATATTTTTAATGCAAGATGAGCTAGCCTTCCTATGACATTAAATTATTTAATCACTTTTTACACTGAAATCAAAAAAATACACACCAATGGCTTTACACAGTTATTTATTCTAAGATGAATGCAAATTACCTCAGAAGATATTATCCAGAATAACAATAAATGTTTATTCTTTCTTCTTACGGTTTATATAGCTGCTTAATATGCCCATTCATCAAGTATTTCCTAGTTGTCTTTCACGCTCAAGCATATAAATATATAATTTCAAATATATAATCATTTTCAAATATATAATTTAATATTATATATTAAAATATATATTTGATAGTGATAAATATATACATATCATACATATATATGTACTTGAGGAAAAATAATTTGAGAGTGGCCATAAAGTCTGAAAATATAGACAATATTAATTTATCATCTATATTTAATATAATATTAATACATTATTTGTTATATGTTTTGTTTCCAGGTTTGGTGACCACTCAGTGTTTGCAAATATATTGTAAAGGTATATACATTTAACAAATTAACTGATCTTCTGATTTTAACTTCAGTTACCAGGTTGAAGGTTTTTCTTTACTTGCTTTTTTTGTTTTAAATAAAAGAAAGCAAATGATTTTAGGAAGAGAATTGTCACAGCCAAAAACTTCCAGGTTAAGCAAAAGATCATAATAACTTTATCTTACCAACTACCTTGAATGTTCTAAAGTATGTTCTTCACTCGCTTAGTAAAACGTCTGAATTAGAAAGCTTATATTACCATTTAATTCCCAGCCTTTCCTTTCTGGGGCCACCCTCACTTTTCCAAGTACTATACTAGTGAAAGAAGTAGAGAAGTAAATGTCTGTACATGAGTCATGCATTTGTCTTTTGATTGTAGAGAAGAAAAAGAAAATACATATCTACACATATAAACCTAAAAATAAGAATGAATTATTTGCCAGCCCACAAAATTTTTCACTACTCCATTTTTGTCCTTTAGGGGTAGAGTTAGTTAAAAATCTGTTTTTTAAATTTTGGTTTGGAATTAATAGGCTGAGATGGGAAACCAGAAAATAATGAGAATATATACTATACTTTGATTTTTTTTAAAAAAGGAAAGAATAAGGAAGTAGAGCTCAGGAAAATTACCTTCTTTTCTCATTCCCTAAATCTTCTATCCCCAAAATAATTTTGATTACTTCAATTCAAAGTGCTCATATTTTCCAGAGCACAAAATAGACTCCAAATATAGTTCTATACAGAATTTTATATATTTATGCCACAACATTTGACAATCATAGAAAAATATAAGAAATATGCAACACGGAATTCTTATAATTGGAACATATTTGAAAGCATGGAAACAAACATAAATTACAATATACAATATAAAGGATGCTAAATACCCAATATTTCCTTCCCTGGTAATAATGCTTTTGTTTTAATATGTTTTAATGTTCCTAGGAAAAGTTGTTAAACAAGTTTTGCATTTTGCATATCTTAGAACAGTAAATGAAATATACCCTAATAAGTTACCTTTTTTCATAAGTATATCCACATAGGACCAAGCCTTTTAATGAATTCCTTTAACTGGTAATATATTAGTATTTACAATTTAAAAGCTTTATTCTGTATATTCTGTTGAATAAGGTTAAACAACCTAATATCCAATTATATATATGTATAGAGATACATATTTCATATCTATAAATAATTATCTATTAATTGATGGAATAATTCAGGTGGCAAAAATTTTAAACATTTTGTTTTGTATTACTCAGGAAGAAAAGTAATCAGGAAACTAGAGGAAGCTCTTTTTTTCCCCTTTTTATTACACCAAAGAAATTGAGTGCAATGAAGCACATTATTCCTTTCTTTATCAGGTGCATATTTACATTTGCATTTCTAAATTATTTACCATAAATACATTTTTAACACTAGAAAACCTTAAAATAATAAAGTTCCATTTTTCAGGCTTTGTACAAACATGCAAATGTTAATATGACTAAGGAATATACTTTAAATTACAGAGCATTTTTATTCATTATTCTATTACCCCTGCTGTGATAGTCAGGCCTCCCACCTATGGAATATTAGAGAGCCCCCTAGTGGCACTTATATGCCTATTAAATTTCCAAACGAAGAATAAAGTTAGTTACTTTCCTTACTAACTGCTAGGACCAGTTTTGATACCTAAACATATTTGGTTGACTTTTTTCCCCAATTTTTAAACCCAAGTTGACTTCCCTTTATGTACCACACAAATTGTGCACGTTTATGGCATCAAAAATGTAATAATAACATCATCTCTGGTTATTCAAATGCTCAGTTGCTAAACATCTCTCTTCATTTTTTCTCACCTGGTAACCTTTCCAGTCATCTCAGAAATCATTTGGAGATTCACTGTGAAAAACATTTTTATGGGGAAAAAAAGTCCTACGTTAACTGGTAAAAGCGTACACTTACCCAAATAGATGTTATTTTAATGTTATTGCAGTAAAGAGGCATGTCTTCATTATACTTTCATGTAGCCGGATGAAAAGATATACAAAATGATACCTAAGATGCATTATCACTGAGGCAGCCATCTAACATGTTTGGAACTTTTTAACATTACACTAGTTTATGGTCAAGATTTGATGACGGGCTCAAGGGTGATGTTCCCTTGGACTAGTGAACAATTTGCAGTATTTTTGATGCTTTTTCCACTGGATACCCACAAAGCCTCTGCCCTTGCCTAAAATTATCCTTCTTAATAGGTGAGTGAACGCTTCCTGAAGGTTTAAAATACATCCATGGAATCTTAAAAGGTAAGGTGAAGGTAGTCTTACAAATGCTGGAAAAGAATGTTCTGCACAGTGAAAATAACTTCAACAGGAATATGGAGATGAAACTAGCATGAATATGCCCCAGGAACTATACTGTAAATGATTAGTATCATTGAAATACAGAGTGAGAGGTAGGAGCATAGGACAGGAGACGTATCCAGAGATGTAACAGGGACCAACTACACTATGGAAGGCTTTGGGGACTACAGTAAGGGTTTTAATTTATCCTAAATACTAGTAGAAAATATTGTAAGATAAACCAGGTTTCTGCTTTAGGAAATCAGTCTGGGAATAGACGTGAGGATAAATTAGAGGGGGAATAAGATTCCAAGTCAGAGTGAACATTTGGTCCAAGCAGGAAATGATGAGAGCTGGTAGAGAAAGTTGTCAAAAGTGCCTCTACAGTAAAGTGAGGTCATTTTTGGGCTACTGATGCCCTGGACAACAGTAGAATTAACTGGAGTCTCAGCAAAGGCCTTAGCACCACCCTGCTTCAGTTAAATCGCCTATCAGTGTTGTCTTCTTTGGTTATTTGCCCCTTATCCTTGGTAATTCTGCTGCCTCCCTCCCTCTCCCATATTCATGTGAGCATCTTGTAGCCATCAGCCCTGAAGAAAGGCATGGGTTGTGTAGTTTGAACTTCACTAGTTTGACGGGTATGAAGCAAAGAAAAGAATAACTGGTTGAAAGGTAGGATTTTGGAACATGCAGAGTGGTTAGATGCTAGATGTTGGGCATAAGGGACAGGAAGAAGGCCAGAATGGCTCCAGGGTCTCTGTCATTGCAACTGGGAAGATGGAAGCACTAATCACTGTTTATACAGCCAATGAAAGAGGAGGGCCAAAAGTGAAGTGTATTTGCTTTCTATGCTGTGTTACAAATTCTCACGAAGTTAGCAGCTTAAAACAACATGCATTTATTACCTCATCAATCCTATGGGGCATGAGTTTGGGCATGGCTTAGCTGAGTTCCCTGCTTCAGAGTCTCACAAGACTGCCATCAAGGTGTCACCTACGGCTTGGTTCTCATCTGGAGACTAAACTAAGGGAAGGAGATGTGCTTCCCTGCATGTGGTTGTTGACAGCATTCAGTTTCTAGCAGCTGAAGGTTCATGACAGCTTCCTCCTTCAAAGCCAGCAACAGAGATAGAGAGTCCACAGTAAGCCTACTAGAAGGACCATCTTATGTCATGTATAAAAATCACAACGGTGACATTGCATCACCTTTGCTATGTGGGCTAGACACAAGTCACAGGTTCTGCCCATACTCACGGGGAGGAGATTATACAAAAGCATGAATATCAGGGACCAGGGATCATGACAGCCACCCTGTCTATCATAGGAGTACTTTTATAATGTTTACAAAATGTGAAATTACTGAGTGTTTTTACCTCCAACTATTGCTGTAAGGAAATTATATTATACCATAACTTGGATCGTTATTATATAGGCTTAGGATTATTAGAATAAATGTCCCAAGAATAGCTACCATATAGGAGGAAAAAAAGGAATAACTCCATTCTTTCTGATCTTTACCCCCCATTCAGAAGGGTTCCTACATTTCTAACAGGAATTTGTTCTTCAGTGTCTCACATACCTCTGAGAAATCTCAGTTTATGGTTTGGAAACTATCAAAGAGCAAACTCCAAGAATACCTAAAACTAAATAACACTATAACATTGGATTGTTGCTGGTTGCTTTCCTATCCACTGTGAAGTTTGACTTGTTGTAAATATTTAGGGAAGTATCAAAACTAACTTTAAATTATTTCCTTGTGCACCTCTTCTTGAACTCCCCCAAATAAGTCAAGATTTTTTAAAAACTAGGGCAGTCCTAAAATGGCATATATTATATCCAGTCGTCTTCTAAGTCCTAACAACTTTTTCTTTAAAATATTAATACTGGCTCTACCTCATCCCCTTTTTTCTATTTACACAACTTCTCAACACTGGTGCAAGCTGTTACTGTCTTATGTCTGGATAAATCAGCATCACCATCCTATTTGGTATCCTTACTCTACTTTTCCCTTCCCTCTTCTGTCAGAGCTATTCAAGATTGAATTTTTATTATATATAAACAGCTTTGAACATGCAGTTTCTTTTTTCAGTCCTGCATGCTGGTGCTCTATTTGCTATACTACCATCTACATGCCCATGTCTGCTTTTTTAGAAGGTCTATTATCTAATGTACCTGCCTATTCAATTATATTCCCATTCTTAACACAAATCATATTTTCTCTTCCAAATAATTTCCTCTTGGCCTCTATACAAAGCAGGCTTGTTTTCGTTTTTTTTGTCTGCTCAGATTTTAGTTCCAGCTTGGGTTGTCCATGCATCTGTCATCATGTCTGCCCTAAGTCATGATGAATAGATACTGCACAATGGGGAGCCCAGGTAAAGAGTAAGAGGAAACCAGATGTATAGAAAAGAAAAGGAGAAAGATGAGATGAACCCATAACAGAACTCAGAAGGCAAAGCCCATGGCAGAGCCAGAAGGTTGGAAGAAGGTAGGCGAAATGAACAGTAATATCATCAGATTCTAGAAGTCAAAACCAATCCAAGCCTGGTAGGTAAGCCAGGACAAATGTAAATATCAAGGGTGGAGACAAGCAAAGAGGGGCAGACAGAAAACATCCAGACACACACACACACACACACACACACACACACACACACACACACAAACAAACAAACAAAAAAGATACAAGGTCATTCTCAGGCCTTATAGGGATGAATGAGCAAAGAGAACAGGCAGGTGCATATTCATCAGGAGCAGCTTGATTAGAGAGGCCACATTCATCCTGAAAGCCAGGTTCTTTAACAACCCAGTGTACTTCCTGTTCAGGCAGACTGGTGCATGTGGAGGATTACGGTCTTTGAAGCCAGTCAGACATGGGTTCAAATTCCTCTTCCACCATTTGTTAACTGTGTGGCCTTGGACTTGTTATTGAACTTCCACAATCCTGACTTCACTAATCTGTAACATGTGGATCATTCTACCAGTCTCATGGAGTTATAAGAATTAAATGTGATTACATATACTATATGAAATGCCTGACATCGGCCAGGTGCAGTGACTCACACCTATAATCCCAGCACTTTGAGAGGCCAAGGTGGGTGGATCACCTGAGGTCAGGAGTTCGAGACCAGCCTGGCCAACATGGTGAAACCCCATCTCTACTGAAAATACAAAATTAGCAGGGTATAGTGGTATGTGCCTGTAATCCTACTACTTGGGAGGCTGAGGCAGTTGAATCGCTTGAACCCCAGGAGGCAGAGGTTGCAGTAAGCCGAGATCGCACCATTGCACTCCAGCCTGGGCAAAAAGAGTGAAACTCCTTCTCAAAAAAAAAAAAACAAAATAAATAAATAAATAAATAAATAAGCCTGACATCTGGCAAGTATACAACATATATGTTGATTTTTATCATTTTATTTTTATTTCTATTTTTCTGTCTGCCAAAACCAAAATGGCTGCCAACTTGTAGCTATCCTTTTATAAGGTCTGCATGACTTTCTCTAACCTCTTGTGATCCATAAAACCTGCCTCATACATTGTGCCACTTACCACAGAGTGTTCTTTAGGTGTGCTAAGTTTCAGGTTATTCAAGCTAATTTCTTCAATGATATTAAAAGCTCCTTGGGGAGAGATTTCCCAGTGCTGAGCTCATCATATTCAGCCTACACTTGAGATTACAATGCATTTCAAGGCCCCGCTTCATTCACCCATTCAGCAGCTATGTATTCAACACCATGTGTGATGTACTGGGGATGAGACAACAAAGAAGACAAGCTCAGCTTCCTAGAGGTAGGCATGGGTTATGTCACTAAAGTAAGGGCACTGTCATCTTAAAAATGGAAGGACCCTAAGAGATTATCTAGCCCAGCTCTTTACTTTTACAAAGATGCAACTGAGAATCACAGAAATGACAGTGGCATATAATTTCTTCTCCACTGACCTCTTTTTGGCCTGTTGAATCACTGTCATTTGGAAAAACGAAGAGATAAAAGTCTAGGATGTTTTAACTGAGTGAGAGTTTGAGAGTGGTTTTGCCTTCTGCCATGTCACTGTAAAAGAGGCCACTTATCTCAGACAGCATTGCCAGCAAATGTCCATGGCATAGCCTCCTGCAAGTCTCTACCAGAAAACATAAGAGTTCTCTGTGGCTGCTATGCTCTGACCTCTTTGCTTGTTCCCCAGTGTGAGAAAAATAAAAAAATCATCATAGGAAGAAACACAGGTAATTCAGGAAACATGCAAAGATACTTTCGCTTTCTTTGTTGGGAAAGGCCAAAACATGGTGGCTTCTTCCAGCAATCATTCCAGACCACTGCTTAGTACATTTTTTTTTTTGAGATGGAGTCTCGCTCTGTCACCCAGGCTGGGTGCAGTGGCGCAATCTCGGCTCACAGCAAGCTCTGCCTCCCGGGTTCATGCCATTCTCCTGCCTCAGCCTCCGGAGTAGCTGGGACTACAGGTGCCCACCACGATGCCCAGCTAATTTTCTGTATTTTTTTTTTTTAGTAGAGATGGGGTTTCACCATGTTAGCCAGGATGGTCTCGCTCTCCTGACCTGGTGATCTGCCCGCCTCGGCTTCCCAAAGTGCTGGGATTACAGGCATGAGCCACTGCACCCAGCCACTGCTTAGTACATTTAAAATGACACATCTAAGCATTTGTATGTAGGGATGCATTTGAATCAATAATATGAGACTGGCATCTGAAGACTCAGTGGCTTTAATCAAACTGTTTGCTCAACATCCTTCAATACTTGATCCACAAACTTATTTCAAAATTAGAATGTCAAGGTGAAGATTAACACCTCCAGTTCAGTGGGGCTAATGAGACATGACTTATTAATCCTACAAGAAAATCTTAATTAGGCACTGGGGCACTGCTTGTTTCATTGTTAAATACTACCCAATCCCCAAAGAATTGGAAAATAAATAGGGACTAAAATAGAAAGGAGTGTTATAATTAGGCCCCCTGAAATGAAAGAAATAGTTTTTTTCTCCCCACAGAAAGTATTTGTCACTTTTTTCCCTAAATTACCCAGTATTAGCATTTGTAATAAAAGTTTGATACAAACATTCTTGAAATAGCTAGACATGTGAACACCAGAGAACAGTGAGAGTCTGATGCACCAGAACTCTGCTAAGAGGGCAATTGTACTGCTGAGTTTCAGCTGCAGCAAAATTCACGTCACCGTCCAGGTTAATTAGCAAGATAACTTCATTATTATTTACTTCTTGTTCATTTAATAGGCTCTTCCATTAAGATACACTCATTTTTAACACTAAGGATTTCGTGATGCAAGTTGAAAAGGAATTGCTTCACTTTATTTCGTTGGCATTTTTTTGCAAACTATCCATAGTACCCAAAAAGGAAATGGGAGAAGGGAGGGCTGCAGCACAAGGGAATAGCAGACATTTACCCAAGCTTCCTAAAACTGAAAAGCTGGAACATAGCATACCCATAGTAACACTCATGACCAACAAGTTTTCCATAACATTTGGTGTTCTAAAATTTGTTTTCATCAGTGGATTAAAGATAAGTGCAGAAAAGAAGAAAGAAGGACAGAGAAGAGGGAGGAGGGAGGAGGGGGTAGGGAAAGTGGGAGAGAATCTTTGTGACATTCATTTACTACTTCAGAATAAGTCACCTTGTTAAGTTACAGCCAGAAAAAAATATCACTGGCATTCGAGACACAATTTGTTACAAAGTATACTAATAAACCAGATTGCCAAATTATGTCAGTCACATCTAAATAACAACAAGCAAATTGCCTTACACAGACGGAGAATGTGTAAGGTGCATAGATTTCCTGTGAGGCAACCTCAACTAAGACTTATTGATTAATGTTATCCTACTTGTTTATTCTGTTTAAAAGCACGGACTGCATTATTTTCGCCTTCCATTAAAGCCTAAGCCCCACATTTCAAAATCTTCAAGCTTTAAATAAAGTTTCCTTATCTTTGGCAGAGGGTTCATGGCCACATGTACAGGGTTCTCAAAGAAATGTCAGTGACTACCTCCCCAACGCCAGAGCTTCAGAAATGCAAGAGTACCCCCAACTAAAGTTTTGGGAAGCCAGTTTAACAATTATTCCGATTATTGTTATATTAGATAAAGCTATTAAAAGAAACGTTTTCTTTCCATGTGTACTAAACCATCAAAATTGTGTTTGAAGAGAATAAAGAATAAGAAATTATCTGGGGAGACTGAGATCATGAGATTGCCCAACGGCTTCTCCGTTCAGTGGCCACAAATTATACCCCTTGCCTCAGCATAATGAATCTGTGCTCTTATCCAATACAATTAATAATGAGAAGCAATCAGAGAAGCAATCATAATATTTGAAAATAATATAGAAGACACATACAGCTCCAACATTTCTTAGCTATGTGACGTTTGATCAGTTTAAGTTAACTTCTTTGAGTCTTTGGCTCCACATTTCAAAGTGGAAGCGCTAATAAAAACTAATAAGTTTGCTTTGAAAATTTGATGATATAGAATACATAAGACAGGTGCTCTGTAAAATATCAAGCAACAAATAAATGTATGAAAGGGACCAGGACACGAAAGGATAGGGGATCAATGAAAATCCATCACTGATAATTAGGAAAATTATTGAAAACACATATATACTCTTTTCTGCACAGAAAAATGCCAGCAAGATCAGCACTGACCAACTTGGAGAGGGTCATTCAAAAAGGAAGGAAAGGTGTAATTAACTATTGTGAATCCACATATGCCTAGATGCCATTGCCAGAAAAACTGTTAAATGGCTAATTTAATGGTTGGCTGAAATTCTGTTTTAAATATAGCTCCCCATTGCTTCCCAACTGTCCTTCCCCTCTCTACATGGTAGAATGAAAATACTACTATTCTGAGAATCAGGGGCTATGTAGCCTAGTTTGAGTTCACCAGATGTGTTTACTTTGCACTGATCATTTATTCATTCATTCATTCAGCCAATGTTTACTGACCTCTTAAGTATCAGGTCCTGTACTTACCACAGGAGACAGAGCAGTATACTTCTCACGTGCCTTCCTATCTAGCAGGGGTCTCTTAACTTCTCCAGCCTCAGCTCCTTCATCTGTAAGAAGAGGGAAATGAGCGCAGTGCTCTCTGCAGTATCTTCCAGCCCTAATGTTCTTAGTGTTGATTCTCTCTGAAGATTTTTGTTCTTTATCCTTCTCTAAGGACCTACAAAATCTTGCTGAGTCTTTCCCTATTCATTAAATTATGAAATGTTGAGTCTGTATATATATTTACATACATGAATATGTATATATATACACACATATCTGTATATAGCCTATAACCTATTTTCTAAATAGAATTCTTCCCTTCAATTTATGTATTGCACATTTTTGAGAGTTATTGAGGGAAGTCACTGTGCTATTTGTGAAGGCATATGCAGATAGGTGTATCAAATAGTCCCTATCTTCTAAGTACTTATAACGTAATAGATGAGACAAGATAAATATACAATAAATACACATCAGAATCCTTCCTTTAGAAGAAATCCCTTTCCATTAGTGGGATCAGAGGAGGTTTCTTCCAGTCAGTGAAGCTAAAGTGAGCTTGGAGGAGAGGATAAGATATTGATAAGAAAAATTAAAAAAAAAAAAAAAGAGAAGATCATCCAGGAAATAGTATAGGCAGAAGAAAAGAATAAGAAAGCACAGAATCTCTGAAAAAATACTGGCCATGGTGGACATTTCATATGTGGGATGTGAGAGTTGAGACAAGTAGAGGAGATTACAGCCAGATGTGAATTACAGCACAAAATTCAGGTGCTGGGATTTTATGCTGTAGGCTAGCACATCCCAGTAGAGTATAATACAAGCCACAAATGCAAACCACGTAGGTAATTTACAATTTTAGAGGCCTCATTAGAAAAAGTAAAAAGAAACGGGAAATTAATTTCAGTGATAAATTTTCTTTACCCAATATAGGCATCACAACATAAAATCAATATATTTGACATTCTTTTTTTCATACTATGTCTTTGAAATCCAGTGGACATTTAACACTTTTGGTACATCTCAAGCTGTGCTCATGGCTAGGGGCTAGTGACTACCATATTAGACCATGCAGTTCTAGGCTATGGAAAGTTATTACGGGGTTTTAGAGGGAGAGTTGTTTAGTAAAAGCAACTTTTAGGCAGCTGAATGAGGCTTTTGTATGTAGATGTGTATCAGATTGTAAGGATGTTATAGCACAGGACAGAGAGATGAACCTGTTGAAATCATCTGGTTTTGAAGCATGGTGGTCGACTCACAGGTTATGAAAACTTGGGAGAAACATTGAGGCTACACAATCCAATTAAAGAGAAAGTAGTGAGCAATATGCTGACTCATACATTTAAAAAAATAGAACTATTCTTTTGCATAGAACTCTTTTTTGCACCTGATTATTTTGTTTATCTCACTGGGCCTGAGCCACATTAGGTTCACTCAATTCCACAAACAAGGATCAAACATCTAATAATGAACTGCACCAGGCTTTGGGGATTCATAGACGTACAGGCCATTGTTCTTAATGTCAGTAACTTAATGTCATGGCAATTACACAACAGAGGGCAAAAGCTATTTTGAAGCCTTTGGAAACACAAAATAGGAACTATCCAATTCTGCCTGGAAAAATCAAGAAATGGGGCAAGTGACACCTGAGCTGAATATTGAATGATAACTACAATTTCTACAGGTGGAAATGGAAGAACGGGCATCATGCAGGGAAGGAAGAACAATGCTGGAAATTTGGAAAGTACCTGGCATGTCTGGGCAACAATAAATATCTTCCAAATTTAGGGTCTGTGTGGACATTTATCAGAAATGAAGCCAGAAAGGCAATTAAGGGTGAATTGGAGGAAGAGGGAGGTCAACATGTAGCTAAATGCAAAGTGGCTCCACTTTGCCGCAGAGACCTAGAGCCTCATCAAGGAAAGAGGGCACTTCCAGAGCCCACAGGTGAGCACTGAAGAACATGGCTTTAACCTGAGAAAAGACAGAGAGGAGTCAGCTTCTGTGAGAGTTATGTGAAGACAATAGTTTACAGATTACAACCCAGAACACTGACTTGGTGTCAGATATAATGATCTGCCTTTTCACCGAAAAGTATTTGACATTTCACTAAATTGACCTTTGCTTGCCAATAGCAAACTCAATTGCATTATCTTCTCTGTTCAAAGTTTAATAGTATAGTCATAGGCACAATGTATCTCTTGAAGGTGAGCTTTTGTTGTTTGGCATTCTGTGTTCCCCGAACAAAAAGCTTCAAGAAAAAATCACTAGTTTTGTTTTTTCTTAAAGCTACAGGTGATAGGGAAATATGCCTGCATTAGTTTTCTATTGCTGCATAACAAATGCCCACCACCATGGAAACTTAACATCCATTTATTAGCAGATAGTTCTTTAGGTCAGAAATCCAGGTAGGCTCAACTGGATTCTCTGCTGAGCATCTCACAAGGCTGAAATCAAGCTGTCAGGTGGATTGTGCTCTCGTCTGGAGATGACTCTCGGGAAGAATCTGCTTCCAAGTTCATTCTTGTGGTTGGCAGAATCCAATTCCTTGTGGTTGTAGGAATGAGGTCCCGGTTTTCTTGCTGGCTATTGACTAGGGGTCACAGCTCCTAGAGGCTGCTTTCCAAATCCTTGCATCTTCAAACTAGCAACACTATGTTAATCCTTCTCTTGCTTGGAATCTAATCACTCCTTCTGCTACTTGCTAGAGAAAATACTCTGCTGTTAAAGGGCTTATCTGATTAAATTAGACCCACCTGAGTGATCTCCCTATCTTAAGTTCAGCTGATTAGTAACATTAATTACAATCTGCAAAATCTTTTGCCTTGTAAATGTACTGCAATAATAGTAGTAACACCAAGACAAAGGTTATGGGAGCCATGTACAATTCCACACTGCCTTTAATAGCATGTCAGAGTAACTTTCAAATAGAACCGTTTTTTTTCCTGTAAACTGAAAGAAGCATTTGTTGCTAAAAATGAAACAAAAACAAAATAAAATCTTTGAATGTCCATAAAAGAACAGATATAGAAGTTTTTCCTCTAAGTGGCTGATTAAATGGGGGGGGGGGCAATGAATTTATATGAATTTAAGAGAAAATGAATAAAATAAAAGCAATTTTTATTTCTGATAGTATGGTAGAATAGGTACCCTATATCATTTATATCACCCTCACTGTTGAAATAACTAAAATATATGATGAAATATTTAAAATATATGTCTAAATCTATAAATATAAAACTATATCTATGAGGCTGCTGGAAAGTAAGGAGTGAACAGATCCCTAACATAAAATAAAATCAGAACACCCAATTGGTAAGCAAGTTATCAAGTGGCTATTGCTGTGAGAATTTTTGCTAAACCCTAGAATTCTTTGGCTTCCATTCTGATGGTTTTGTGGGACCAGCTGTGAGATACAGCCTAGGTCTTGGTCAGTGCAGGGAATCTAACAGGAGGCATTCATAAAAACAGTATTCTAGAGAGCTATACTGCCAATGTAAGAATGAATTTGCAATGAACTCTGATATTTCACAAGCAAATTGATTTTGGCATAGTGTGAGAGAATGGAATTCTCTGAGGATTCATAATCCCAAATTGGTCTTTGCTTGAGTTTGGGTTCTGATTCATCCTGCATGTGTGGTCCATAAAACCTCAAGCATGATCCCAGACGACCATGTCCTTAGGTGACTAGTAGAAAAAAATGTATAACTTCTTCGAAAGAACTCAACTTCAGCCCAGGATTCAAGATACCACAAATAAAGTTTCTTATAAAATGAACAGTCAAGAGTGAAGTATCACAAAACAGTAAAAGAAGTAAGGCACTGTGAGTAAAATGACAGACCACAAAATCCTCATATAATAGAATTTTTGACATGGAATATAAAACAGTTATGTTTAAAGAAATTTTCTCACTTTGGGAGGCGGAGGCAGGCAAATCACGAGGTCAGGAGATTGAGGCCATCCTGGCCAACATGGTGAAACCCTGTCTCTACTAAAATACAAAAAATTAGCCAGGGGTGGTGGTGCGCACCTGTAGTCCCAGCTACTTAGGAGGTTGAGGCAGGGGAATCGCTTGAACCCGGGAGGCAGAGGTTGCAGTGAGCCGAGATCACACCACTGAACTCCAGCCTGGCAGCAGAGGGAGACTCCGTCTCAAAAAAAAAAAAAAAAAGAAAAGAAAAGAAAAAAGAAATTTTCTAAGAGTTTGAAAATATGCTTAAGTTTGCTGCTGCCACTGGAGCCACTCCAATTGCTGGCCTCTTCACGCCTGGAACCTTCACTAACCAAATCCAGGCAGCCTTCCAGGAGCCACGGCTTCTTGTGGTTACTGACCCCAGGGCTGACCATCAGCCTCTCATTAAGGCATCTTATGTTAACCTACCTAGCATTGCTCTGTAACAATTCTCCTCTGCACTATGTGGACTTTGCCATCCCGTGCAACAACGAGGGAGCTCACTCAGCGGGTGTGATGCGGTGGACGCCGGCTCGGGAAGTTCTGCGCATGCGTGGCACCATTTCCCGTGAATACCCGCGGGAGGTCATGCCTGATCTCTACTTCTACAGAGATCCTGAAGAGACTGAAAAAGAAGAGCAGGCTGCTGCTGAAAATGCTGTGACCGAGGAGGAATTTCAGGGTGAATGGACTGATTCAGCTCCTGAGTTCACTGCTACTCAGCCTGAGATTGCAGACTGGTCTGAAGGTGTGCAGGTGCCCTCTGTGACTATTCAGCAGTTCCCTACTGAATATTGGAGTGCTCAGCCTGCCACGGAAGACTGGTCTGCAGCTCCCATTGCTCAGGCCACTGAATGGATAGGAGCAACCACTTAATGGTCTTAAGCTGTTCTTGCATGTGTTCTTAAGCAACATGGCAATAAGGTTGATGGGAAATAAACATCAGTTTCTAAAAAAAAAAAAAAAAGAAAAGAAAATATGATCAGGGAACCTGAGACCATAAAAAAAGACCAAGTGTTTGTACAATATAAGATTCTGCAAAGTAATATATAATAATTAAAAATTAAAATGAAATGGATAATACCATTCAACATATTAGATGTAATGAAGATAGTGAACTGGCAGATCAATCCTAAGAAACAAACTAGAATGCAGTCCAGAGAGATGAAAATATAGAAAACATGAAACATAGGTTATTACAGAGGCTAGTGTAAGAAGGTTTAGCATACATCTAATCAGAGTTTCAGGCGGAGATAATAGAGATAATGGAGAAGAGGAATACTCAATGGGGTGACAAGAATTTCCCCAAATTTTTAAAAGATCCAGTCTTAGAAATGGGAAACCTAGTGGATCCCAAACAAGATAAATGAAAAGATTTCTACACGAAGACATATTAAAGAAAAGCTATAGAACACCAAAGTAAAAGAGAAGATCTTAAAAGTGGAAAAAGTGAAAAGAGAGATTGCTTTCAAAGTATGAATAGTTAGCCTGATTATAAACTGCCTGTTTGAGATGTAAATCTTCTACCACCCAGAACTGTCTCCTTAATGACCTGGAGCTGTCTCTTTGACCTCAAAGGAGGTAGTGTGAGTTCCACCGATCCCCAACCCCCACTCCCCCACTCCCATCCCGTCTCCTGTCTTCTTACCTCCCTCTTGTTCTTTTGCCTCCCAGGCTCCTTGGGAGGGTAAGGGAAGAATTTTGTTAGGTGCCTTACCTAATTTGTAAAACTGCCTCCTGTCCTGGAGGTACGAAGTTTGTTTCTTCTCCATATAAGTGCCAATTAATAAACCAGATGGCCTGATTACATTGACCAAGCCCCTTCTTGTTTTTGTAATTTTCCATTTCCCTCACTCTGTTGGACCTGCCACTGGTTTCTCCTTCCCTGTTTCATCAGTCTCTCTTTAAACCACCATCACCTCTACACAGTTGGAGTCGAGCTCAGTTTTATACTTGTTATAAATAAAGTTTCCGTGCTGCAAAAGAAATAGCACTTGAATGTAAAATTTTCTTTTTAATTCTCAGCAAGGCAATGTACTTCTATAGAAGGGTGTGCCCTTACAGATGGAGCAATGGTGAGTGCACCCTTGGACAAGGGAGGGGAAGGGGTTCTTATCCCTGACACATGTGGCCCCTGCTGCTGTGTTGTTCCCCTGTTGGCTAGGGTTAGACCACACAGGCTAAACTAATTCCAGTTGGCTAATTTAAAGAGAATGACGGGGTGAGTAAGGTTTGGCAGGAAAAATGGTTATGACAGAGCAGGTAATTGGAATGAGTCAGGGTGGAGCAGGTAATCGAAAAAGGTTGCTTTCCGAGGAAGTTAAGTTTAAAAGTAGAAGGCAAAGAATTGAACATACTGACATATTGATTATTTGAAGAGAAATTTAGAACTCATAGCTAACATACTGAAGTCTCTCTCTACTACTGCAGTAGTATTACTGAATAGAAGCTGTCTTTATCACCTTTAACTAGTGTCTAGCTTTGTTTTTCTTTAACACCGCTCAATAAATGCGAACTTTATTCTGATATCTCAATACATTTCCCTGGTCCCCGTGAAGGTGTTTTGCCTCCTGGATGCTGACTCTTCTTTACAAGTTTGTGTCTTATATATTTTGGAGGCAATTACTAACCTAAGAGGTCTTTACTGAACACTAAATGACTTAAAATCCAGTTAAGAAAAAGAAAGTCAGATTAATTTTTTGAGGAGAAAATTTTAGTAACTTAACTCTTTTAAAACCAGCTTCAACTCACCGCTAGTCTCAACAGCTGATCATTAGGATGATATTTCAAGAATTAGTTCATCCTAATGAAGAAAACAGCTCAAAGAAAGAAGTCCTACATATTTTTGCCTTTGGGAATGAGAAGAAATTAAGGAAAATATTTCTGCATTTGGTTTGAAACGTCACAATTTTTGTTTGCTGAATGGAAGGAAATTCTACTTCTGGCAGAAGGAAAATGAAAGAGCTGAGATGCAAGAAGGAATAGTGCGACAGAAATTAGATTAGTGGTTGCCAAGGGCTGGGAGGGAAAAATGGAGAAATGGGGTAGACTGCTAAAGGGTACAGTGTTTTTTTGGGGGATGATGAAAACGTAAATGTAAAGTTAATTATGGTGATGATTGCACAATACTGTGAATATATTAAAATGTAGGTACACTTTTAAATAGGTGAGTTGCATGTGAATTATATCTCAATAAAGCTGAGACCAATAAAAAAGGAATAGTGAGCGATGGTATTGATAAATGTGGATAAATCTAAAACAAATATTATCTAAAACAGCAATAAAAATAATGTCCCATATAGGGAGATTTGGAGAATCAGTCTATAATGAAATTTCTGACTAAAAAATGTACCTATTAGTGTGGAGGAGATATTGGAACTGGTGTACTAATTCTACTGTTGTCATTCTCAGAAATTATTCAAGCAACTAGTTTATCTCCTCTTTTGCTAGCCTTGATGAATCTACTATAATCCTTCTCATCCCAGCATGATATTTTATGAGAGGAACCGTTGCTCCATCCAGAGAGAGTAAGACTATTAACAACTGTAAGTTTCAAATTATTTGACACCTCTTTCATTTCTTCTAAGTTCTGTACTTTTACAAAAATTACTTCAGCTCTCTTTTAAAATTTGTGCGTACCTTGTTTTACTGTGCCTCACTTTATTCTGCTTCACAGATACTGCTTTTTTTTTTTAATTAAAGATGTGTTGCAACCCTGCATTGAGCAAGTCTGCCAGCAGCATTTCTCCAAAGGCATGTGCTCATTTCGTGTCTCTGTGCCACATTTGGGTAATTCCCTCAGTATTTTAAACTTTTTCATTATTATATCTGTTGTGGTGATCTGTGATCAGTGATCTTTGATGTTACTACTGTAATTATTTCGGGCACCATAAACTACACCCACATAAGACAGCAGACTTGATCAATAAGTGTGTGTGCTGTCTGCTCCACCAACCAGCTGTTCTTGTCTTTCTTCCTCTCCTCAGGCCTCCCTATTCCCTGAGACACAACAATATTGCAAGCAGACCAGTTAATAGTCCTACAATGGCCTCTAAGTGTTCAAGATAGAGTCACACATCTCTCATTTTATTTTTTATTACTTTTGTTGTAATTTCAACTTTTATTTTAGATTCAGGGGGTACATGTGCAAGTTTGTTACCTGGGTACATTGTACCCTGAGGTCTAGGGTACAAATGGTACCATCACCCAGGTACTGACCATAATACCCAATAGTTAGTTTTTCAATCCTTGCCCCTTCTCTCCCTCCTACCTCTAGTAGTCTGCAGTGTCTATTGTTCCTATGTTTTTGTCCATGGGTGCTCAATGTTTAGCTCCCACTTATAAGTGAGACATGCGGTATTTGGTTTTCTATTCCTGCATTAAGTCAGTTAGGATAATGGCCTCCAGCTGCACCCAAATTGCTGCAAAGAACATGGTTTCATTTTTTATGGCTGCATACTATTCCATAGTGTATATGCACCACATTTTCTTTATCCAGTCCACCACTGATGGGCACCTAGGTTGATTCCATGTCTTTGCTATTGTGAATAGTGCTGCAATAAACATGTGAGTACACATTTCTTTTGGTAGAACAATTTAATTTCTTTTGGATATGTACTCAGTAATGGGATTGCTGGGTCAAATGGTAGTTCTGTTTTATGTTCTGTGATGTCTCTCACTTTAAATAAAAAGCGTTTTAAACATATGTGTAAATATCACATCTGTTCACAGCATCGTTTATTGAATGTGTTTAAGCTTACTGTTGAGACCTACTGTTTATTTAAAAAGGCTCCTTTCAAAAGATTACTGTTCACTGACAGTAATCTTGGGTGACCTAATCACCCAAGAGTCCTGATGGAGATGTACAAGGAGATTAATGTTGCTTTCATGCCTTCTATTACAATATCCATTCTACAGTACATGGATCAAGGAGTAATTTCAACTTTCAAGTCTTATTATTTAAGAAGTACATTGCAGGCCGAGCGTGGTGGCTCACGCCTATAATCCCAGCACTTTGGAAGGCTGGGGCGGGCGGATCACCTAAGGTCGGAAGTTCAAGACCAGCCTGACCAACATGGAGAAACCCTATCTCTACTAAAAAAAAACAAAATTAGCCAGGCATGGTGGCACATGCCTGTAATCCCAGGAATTTGGGAGGCTAAGGCAGGAGAATCGCTTGAACCCAGGAGGTAGGTGGAGGTTGCGGTGAGCTGAGATCGCACCATTGCACTCCAGCCTGGGCAACAAGAGCCAAAACTCCGTCTCAAAAAAGAAAAGAAAAGAAAAGAAATATATTTCATAAGGCTATAGCTCCCATTGTGATTCCTCTCATAGATCTGAGCAAAGCAAATTGAACACCTTCTGGAAAAGATTCACCATTCTAGCTGCTATTAAGAACTTCTGTGATTCATGAAAGGTGTTCAAATTATTGACCTTAACAGATGTTTGGCAGATATGGATATCAACCCTCATGAATGACTTTGGGAACTTCAAGACTTCAGTGGAGGAAGTAACTGCAGACATGGTAGAAATAGCAAGAGAATTAGTGGAATCTGAAGATGTGACTGAATTGCTGCAATCTCATGATCAAACTTGAAAGGATGAGGAGTTGCTTCTTATGGCTGAGCAAAGAAAATGGTTTCTTGAAATGGAATTTACTCCTGGTGAGGATGCTGTGAACATTGTTGAGATGACAACAGTGGGTTTAGAATATTACATAAACTTCATTGATAAAGTAGAGACACATTTTGAGAGGACACACTCCAATTTTGAAATAAATTCTACTGTGGTTAAAATGCTGTCAAACAATATTGCATCCCACTGAAAACTCTTTCATAAAAAGAAGAGTCAATCAATGTGGCAAATCACTGTTGTCTTAATTTAAGAAATTGCCACAGCTACCCCAATTTTGATCAACCACCACCCTGGTTAGCAGCCATCAACATCGAAGCAAGACCCTCCATCAACAAAAAGATTACAACTCACCGAAGGCCCAGCTGATCATTAGCATTTTTTTAGCAATACAATATTTTAAAATTAAGGCACGTACATTGTTTTTTAAAACATAATGCTATTACACACTTAATAGACTACAATATAGTGTAAACATAACTTTTATATGCTTGGGAAACCAAATGATCTGTGTGACTCACTTTACTGCAATTTTCGCTTTATTGAAGTGCTCTGAAACCAAATCCACGACATCTCCAAGGTGTGCCTATACTACTCAAGGATTAGATTTGCACTAATGAATGCATATCCAGTCCTAGAACCAAATAATGACAAATCTTCATAGAAAGGGGATGAATTTACCCAGCACAAACACTGAAGGTCAATACAGCTAGACTGTATTTTGAACTCTGCTAGTTATAGGTGCTAGGTAGACTGGGGCACCACACTTTAATGAGGTCTTGGCTTCCTCATCTATAGAATGGAGAATAAAATATCTTGTGTCTCTTATATTTTTGTTGTGAAAGTCCAATAAAATGTTTAAACTTGTGCTTTAAAAACTGAAAAAGCACTATACAAATGGATAGTATTTTGAAAACTGTGTGTTTGCCGGGCATGGTGGCTCACGCCTGTAATCCCAGCACTTTGGGAGGCCAAGGGGAGGTCAGGAGTTCGAGACCAGCCTGGCCAACATGGTGAAAACCCGTCTCTACTAAAAAAAATACCAAAATTAGCTGGGCTTGGTGGTGCATGCCTGTAGTTCCAGCTACTCATGAGGCTGAGGCAGGAGAATTGCTTGAACCTGGGAGGCAGAGGTTGCAGTGAGCAGATATCGCACCAATGTACTCCAGCCTGGATGACAGAGCAAGACCCCGTCTCAGAAAAAAAAAGAAAAAGAAAAAGAAAACTGTATGTTTATGTTTCTTAAGTGAACAGTGGGTTATCTGTCTCTAAAGTTTTCAGGAGGTTATACTTACACGAATTTGCTAAAATTTTATATCAAACATGTTAAATTTTTGGATCTAACTTGGTAATTTGAATATGATACATTCATATTTCTGCACAGTCTGCTAATGGTTTAATTCTTCACATAAAATATTTAATGTTAAAAATCAGCATTCATCATCAGTCATTATGAAAGAAATACATGGCATAGTGTTATGGAAATTAAAAAGGAGAAAAAAGTCACTGCAGAGAGAGGATAATGAAAACTACAATGAAATGAAGCTTGATGATAAAAATACCATTATACTTTTAATGTATCTATGGCATTAAAAGCCATTTATATACACATTTCTTTGGTCTTCATTAAAAACAAAAACAAAACTTGAGGTAAATAAAATTTAAAAGTTGGCTTTCTGTCTGGTAGTGAATACTACCTTTGATTTTAAAATAGATACCTTCAACTGTTAACAGATATGACAAATAGAACTAATATTACTATAAAACTGATATTTGCTACATGGAACAGAGGGAGGAGCTTAATCCAGTTAACTGGAACTCTTTAACTGCAGGAGCCTATATCACTAGAATGATGTTTGGACCATGTATATTAACTTAATTAACTATAATTGTTACCTCTCCAACTCACACTTTTCTATATAAATGCAAGATTAAAGAAGGAAGGATTCTGCTTCTGAGCTCCCTAGCAGGTCAAATTTACTAAACTAACAATTGTTTAATGCAGTGAAAAGAAATTTGGGGGAAGAGTGGATAAACATTAGTTTATCCCTTCTATAAACATTAGTTACCTATACCAGTGAGATACTGGGATTAAGAGTAATTGGGATTCCAGGCCCAAACAAAATTCAGTTCCCATATTTTTTCTTAAGACATCATTCTACTAAATGAGACCCCTGAGCAGAAGCAGAATTAACTGGCTCCTTTTAAGTTTGGTAATTACAAATGCAAAATGAGTATCCTCCTGCAGACAGAGCCAGAGGACTACTCAAGCTGATGCAATAACGGGAGCTGTGATAAATAATCTATGCCTGTTATGGAAAGCTGAATGGAGGACAGAAATGAAGAACCCATATGAAAATTTGGAATTTGCTCAAAGCTATTCTCACCATAACTCCAGGGAAGATAAGCAGTATTCCACCCTGCAGTTCTGTATAATTTATCAACCTTTTTCCTTTTCATTTCTAACATTCACCCTTCATGGTTAACTGAAGAAACAAAGAGCTAAATAGCTTCCTTAGCCATTTGATAGAGCAATTATGAGCATCCTGACTGATACACTTTCTGCTTAATCTACTAACAAATGGTGTCCATTTTCCTCTTAATCTCTACCCCATCTCCCATTCGACTTGACACGTGCACAACACTGCTTTTTGTGCCCTGTTCCTGTGCCCCTCTTCATTTGTTTCTTTCTCATTACAGTGCTCTTACGTAATTATTATTACAGAAGGAAAACGAGTTCTTTATGACAATTTTCCTCAGCTGCCCTTGGTTAATTTTTTCAAAATGTGATCTCTATGGGCTCCCTGACAACAGAGCAAATTGAAAGCTCATCAGTAGAATCTTTCTTAAGATCGGTATCTTTTCTAAGAAATGTTATGTCTTAGGACAAGAGGATTGTTTCTCCCAGTAATAGGCAGTATGATGTGGTGCAGCCATCTTTAAAGAGGTCAGGACTATTTAAAACTGGGGGCTATTAAGACATTAAAAATTAAAATGTACCTCAGGCATAAATTTCCCACCACAATGCAGTTGTCTTTACTTCCTTCTGCATTAATCTCTCATTATAAGAACATTCATTTTTTCCTAGAATAAGAGAATTTGGGGCCCAGAGGGATTGCTGAACTCATCCCTTCTCAGGCCTTTGTTTCTAGGAAAAAACAGAAGATCAGGGGGTTAAGTGGTTTACACAAAGTCACATAGCAGCAGGGTAACCTAGTTTGAGCTTCCTGTTTTGTTTTTCCCTTGAAGGGAACATGAAATGGAGAAATAATTTCCTGCCCCACAGAAGGAGCAGATGTCCTCAAGTCTCTGCCTTTTCTTACCTGTTTGATAGAGATACTGTCCTCTTCACCTCACAGGATTTCCCTCAGTAATCTATTGTGATGAAACCCTTTCTTCTGGGGGCATGTGTGTGTGTGTATCTCACAGCACTACCTTGTGTGGCACATACTCTGCTATGGTTATTGTTCTTAGGACTCTAAGGCTTTGTGGAGAGCTACCACGTTCTTGAAGGCAGACACCATTTTCAGTGTTGGTTACCCAAGGAAAAGACGAGCCTCAAGGACGACCACAGAACTGAGAGGGAGAAATAAAAGGGAGTGAAAATCCCAGCTCTGTAAGAAGATGTGAAGGGTTGTGTTCCTGTGTGATGGAGTTAAGACAGTGTCTGTCTCTTAAAGTTCAGTATCTGAAGAAGAAAGGAGGTACCACTGTGAAGAGCCATAGTCCCCACACAAGTAATCTATCCTCAAAGACCAAAAAGTCTGGCTGCAGAATCAGGCACATAATTTATGGGGCCCAGGGCAAAATAAAAATGCAGAGAATTCTAAGACAGCGACAATAGAGCATTAAACCAAGCACAGGGCCTTTCTGAGCACACAGCCCCACGTAAACGCACAGCTACCAGCTCATGTCTCACCACAAGTAGTTACTTTAGTAATGTCTGGTCTAAACATACCCAGTGAAGACTTCACTTTGCATGTGGTTTTTGAAGAAAAGAGTCTTGTTGAAGGAAGAGTTGTGCTTTTTGGAGAGTAGTTTGTGGCTACTTGGGCAGGAGGCAAGGACTCTTCAAGGTGGATTTTAGGGCCAGGAGGTGAGATTCTGAAGTGCAGCGGATCCTGCCTTTGTAGCGATTCTTCCTTCACTGCCAATCTAAGAGAATCAGAGGCTACAGCCACATCACCCTGAATGCGCCTGAACTCTCATGAGAGGATCTAAGCTCTATGTTTAACAGATGATGCGGATCTTATATGTATATCAAGAGTTGAACACTAGAAAACTACAAAAGTAATGAGGCAGAATCTGTGTCTGTTGTCCATATTATTTCCTGCATCTGCAGTTCCTGATGCATGGCAGGTCCTCAGTAACTATTTGTTGATGACTGGTAACAGGTGGTTATCTTAGTGTTGAAATTTGGTGGAGTCCTTCTGGCCCTAAAAGGAAGATCAGAGATTTAGAGAAGAAAGGTGCCTCTGGCAATAAAAAGAAAAAAAGTTTTGAAGCATGTTAAGAATGCTAATTTTAATACTGCAATTTAAGAAAATGTTAGCATGCCTAAGAAGGGGAGACTTTTAGTATCATTTTGCATATAAGCTTATTATATATTATTTTATAGGTTTATTAAATATTTATAAAGTTTCCTAAGATTTTTAGCTGTACTTTTGCTATCAATGTTACTTAAGAATAATATCTCAGTACTCTTTTCGTTTTAGGTTATTTTATTTAGAGAACATAGTCAGTGGCAGGGTATAGGGAGAAGCAAAAAAGCTGGGAAGAAAGACTTAGAAAAGTCAAAAAGAGAAAGAAAAGGATCACAGGGGTCTCAGAATTGAAAACAGGCCTCTGTAAAAAGGCAGAATAGAGAGGGAGGCTAAAAACAGAAGATGAGGGGTAGGCCCCCTTCTTTTTTAGAAGAGTTATTGGCAACATACTGCACACTTGATGGGAACTTGGGAAAGGCCTGATTATTGAATGTGCAAAAGAAAAATAAATGGGGCATAATTAGTGATGTCCTGGTAAATACTTAACAACTAGCTCTTGGGGAGTGGGGTGTGGTTTGTAGTATTTGTCAATTTCTATTGCATAAATTCTTCATGGCCTTTTTTTTTTTGCTCTTTTTTTAATTATTATACTTTAAGTTCTAGGTCACATGTGCATAACGTGCAGGTTTGTTACATAGGTATACATGTGCCATGTTGGTTTGCTGTACCCATCAAATCATCATTTACACTAGGTATTTCTCCTAATGCTATCCCTCCCCCAGCCTCCTACCCCCAAACAGGCCATGGTGTGTGATGTTCCCCTCCCTGTGTCCATGTGTTCTCATTGTTCAGCTCCCACTTATGAGTGAGAACATGCGGTGTTGGTTCTCTGACCTTGTGCTATTTTGCTGAGAATGATGGATTCCACCCTCATCCATCTCTCTGCAAAGGACATGAACTCATCCTTTTTATGGCTGCATGATATTCCATGGTGTATATGTGCCACTTTTTCTTTATCCAGTCTACCATTGATGGACATTTGGGTTGGTTCCAAGTCTTTGCTATTGTGAATAGTGCCACAATAAACATATGTGTGCATGGCTCTTTATAGTAGCATGATTTATAATCCTTTGGGTATATACCCAGTAATGGGATTGCTGGGTCAAGTGGTATTTCTGGTTCTAGATCCTTGAGGAATTGCCACACTGTCTTCCACAATGATTGAACTAGTAGGTAGTTTACACTCCCATCAACAGTGTAAAAGTGTTCCTATTTCTCCACATCCTCTCCAGCATCTGTTGTTTCCTGCCTTTTTAATGATCGCCATTCTAACTGGTGTGAGATGGTATCTCATTGTAGTTTTGATCTGCATTTCTCTGATAACCAGTGATGACGAGCATTTTTTCATATGTCTGTTGGCTGCATAAATGTCTTCTTTTGAGAAGTGTCTGTTCTTATCCTTTGCCCACTTTTTGATGGGGTTTGTTTTTTTCTTGTGAATGTGTTTAAGCTCTTTGTAGATTCTGGATATTAGCCGTTTGTCAGGTGGATACATTGCAAAAATTTTCTCCCATTCTGTAGGTTGCCTGTTCACTCTGATGATAGTTTCTTTTGCTGTGCAGAAGCTCTTTAGTTTAATTAGATCCCATTTGTCTATTTTGGCTTTGGTGGCCATTGCTTTTGGTGTTTTAGTCATGAAGTCTTTGCCCATGCCTATGTCCTGAATGGTATCGCCTAGGTTTTCTTCTAGGGTTTTTATGGTTTTAGGTCTTACAATAAGTCTTTTCCATCTTGAGTTAATTTTTGTATAAGGTGTAAGGAAGGGATCCAGTTTCAGCTTTCTACATATGGCTAGCCAGTTTTCCCAGCACCATTTATTAAATAAGGAATCCTTTCCCCATTTCTTGTTTTTGTCAGGTTTGTCAAAGATCAGATGGTTGTAGATGTGTGGCATTATTTCTGAGGCCTCTGTTCTGTCCCATTGGTCTATATATCTGTTTTGGTACCAGTACCATGCTGTTTTGGTTACTGTAGCCTTGTAGTATAGTTTGAAGTCAGGCAGCGTGATGCCTCCAGCTTTGTTCTTTTTGCTTAGGATTGTCTTGGCTATGTGGGCTCTTTTTTGATTCCATATGAAATTTACAGTAGTTTTTTTCCAATTCTGTGAAGAAAGTTATTGGTAGCTTGATGGGGATAGCACTGAATCTATAAATCACCTTGGGCAGTATGGCCATTTTCACGATATTGATTCTTCCTATCCTCTTCATGGCCAATTTTAAGCTACCACCATGAATTGACTGAATATGAAATCTTAAGCTACCAAGATGAATTCACTAAATGTGAAATTGGGAAGAGATGTGTAGTATTCCATTGTACAGATGCAACAGACTTAACCTCAAGACCATAGGTAATAGTAAAATGGAGTAAGATAATTAGGAAATAAGGAGTTTTTCAAATTTATTACCTTTGCTTTACTCTACTTAATTATAAATTTATATAATACAATTTTAATTTTTAATAATGACTTTAACAACTGGCTTCCAAAGTAGGAGCCAGCTGTAGCATGCCAGTGGATGGGCATCACCACATGACTCTACCATCTGTGTTAAAATATAAAAAGAGCTTTTTCAATTTTTTTTTTCTTTCTTAAAAGGAATTCAGAAAAGTGTATGAGGAGACAAGAATCTCTTAAGAGTATTTTTTGTCACCACTTTGCCAAAGGTTTTTTTCTTTTTAAACACTCAACTCAGAATTTGCAGATTGAAAGTTTAGACAAAGATGAGAGATACATCTTTTTCTACCAATAAAATCTGCAATATTTTCAGCTTTGCATGAACTTCATAGGGAGGCAGAGTGGTGCAATGTAGAAAGCCCTAATATAATTATTTACAACCCCAGACTAAGCAGTCTGCAGCTTTGAGCAGGACATTTCACCTCCCTAGGCTTTGAGACAAGAATGCCCACTGCCCCACTTCTATCACAGGGCAACATGTGCATGTCAGGTGGGGGCTTCTCACATGCTGCAATGTTGAGATCTGCCACTTATTTTTAATGGTTCCATAAAAGTAATATGTGCTTCTATAGAGACAAATAAAACAAATATGGAAAAACATTAACAATCAGCGAATCTAGGCAAAGGATATATGAGTATTCGATTTTTTTCAAAATAAAAAGATAGAAACACTAAAGTCATTTATACACAGACAGCATTTGGCAAACCTGCTAAGTAGTATACAAAGACAAAGTACCACATCTAAAGAGATGTGGTATCCAGATGCCATAATCTTAGGATAGTCAAAGTTCATTTCATCTAACTGATTGAATTATTCAGCAATCATTTACTGAGTATCAATGACCCTAAATGCTGGAGATAACTCAATAATGCACAACACATACTTCTTAATCTCACAGAATTTAATGTAGTTAGAGTTACACACAAATAAACAGAGAATTACAATATGGCTTAAATAGAATTAAGTAGAGACTGCTGTGGTGCCATATAGGAAGAACATCTAAACCAGCCCTAAATGATCAAGAAAGACTTTCCCAAGGAATCTGAGAGCAGTGAGAACCTAAGATCTAAAACATAGGAATTAAACCAAGGCCTGGGAGGGAGAGCAAGCATCCATCTACGTGTCTAGCATTTATACTATAAGCCAAGCAACACATGCCCATTTACTCCTCACAGCAGTGCTGTGGGGCAGGTTATTGGTATCCCATTTGACAGATCTGATTACAGACTTGGTATTTTCAAGCAAGGGAAATCTTAAGAAGAAAGGCCCTGAAGCAAAACTGATCATGGCTTATTCAAAAGAACTGCAAGTTGTTCTGTGTATTGCAGTTTGCATATGTAGGCCTTGGGTAGGGTATGTGGAGTTACAGTGGAAAGGAGTACAGGGTCTTGTGGATAATAGGCATCTATTAAAGGGTATTAAGCCTGGAGATGATGTGATCCAGTTTCCACTGGGAAAGATTACTCTGGCATCAGTAGGGAGAATAAATTGAGGAAGGAACAAAACTAATAGTGGGGATACCACCTGGGAGCTCATAAGTTAGTCTAAAACACACAGTGGCCTGAACTAAGGCAGTCACAAGTGATGGCAGAAACTGGGTGGATTCTGACAGGACTGGAGGTAGCATCTTACTGGCTGATTGGACATGGGGACAGGGTGGAGCCAAGAATGACAACTTCCAAGGTTTTTGGCAAGGGTGAGGGGCAGATGGGGAGCCAGTCACTGAGATATTGAGAGGCAGTGTTGTGGGAAGGGGTGGGTAGGGATTGGGTGATAATGAGAGGGCAAAGACAGATTTAATCAAGATCTTACAAAGACCAGCACATAAGAATCTGAGTCTGTGACAAGTGGCAGCTAATCCCAATGGTATTTTGATCATCTACTATAAATCTTTCTAAGAGATAGTTCTTGAGTTATGGAGAGAAAAAGTGGGGTATCCATGATTCTGGTCAGTTTTAATTATAAGTGGCTTGGTGAATATGAAAAAAACCCTTGGTAAATTATGGAAACATGACCTTTCATTATAATTGCTACTATCATTACTTATTAGTATTTTCTCCCTGCTTTCATCAGGTTCAAACCACCTAAATGGTCCCTTTTACCTGCCCTTTTATGGAAACATTTCTCCTCTTTTTTTTTTTTTTTCATCTCCCCATCCTCTAACTCAAGGTTCAGTGGCAGGTAATTTGGGTGGAGTTAAGTGGTTTTTGTCTGCTCTCAATCAATGAACGAATATTTATTAAGAATCTCCCAGAAGCTAAGCTGTGAGGGCACAAAGGCATGAGAGTGATAGAATGGACTTTGGGGACTGGGTCGGGGTAAGGTTGGGAGGGGATGAGGGATAAAAGACTGCATATTGGGTACAGTGTACACTGCTTGCGTACCAAGTGCACTAAAATCTCAGAAATCTCCACTAGAGGATTTATCCATATAACAAGATAACATATAACCACCTGTACCCCCAAAACTATTGAAATTATTTTTTAAAAACTCTCCCATGTAAGTGTAAACCACCACTAGAGGACTTATCCATATAACAAGATAACATATAACCATCTGTATCCCCAAAACAATTGAAATTATTTTTTAAAAAGTCTCCCATGGGCCGGGTGTGGTGACTCACGCCTGTAATCCTAGAACTTTGGGAGGCCAAGGCTGGTGGATTGCCTGAACTCAGGAGTTTGAGACCAGCCTGGGCAACATGGTGAAACACCATCTCTACTAAAATACAAAAAAAAAATTAACTGGGCATGGCGGTGTGTGCCTGTAGTCCAGCTACTCGAGAGGCTGAGGCAGGAGAATTGCTTGAACCCGGAAGGCAGAGGTTGCAGCGAGCCAAGATCGTGCCACTGCAATCCAGCCTGGCGACAGAGCGAGACTCCGTCTCAAAAAAAAAAAAAAAAAAAAATTCTCCCATGTAAGTATCCAAAGCTCTATGACTGGTGCTGCAATCATGGGGTCATGTTCTTTGGGGTCAGATAATTCTGAATTTAAATCCTCCTTCTGCATTTATTTACCAACCACAGCCCTTGGGTAAAAAATCTACTTATGTCTGCTCAGTTTCCATTAAAAAAAAAAAGATAATATTACAGAGGTTTGTTGTATCATATGAACATATGAACATATGAACACAGAGCCTAGTGTTCAATAAATGTAGTTCCTGTCCACCTCATAAGGCTGTTGCCCAGGATAAATGAGCTAATACTCAAAAGAGGGTTATGATTTCCTTGGAATAATTCTGCTATATAAGTTCAGTCGTTTTTAATGAATTTTGCTGCTATTGTTCCTCTTATTGTTTTTACTGGTACCAAGGGCTTGTGGTAACCATGTCTACAAGCCTTTGAGCAGCACTTGAACACATCTTTATTATTATTATTTTTGAATCTCCTTATTTCTTTGTTTCATCTGGGGACTCATTTCTTTCTTTGCTTAGTGCTGCTATAGAGAAACAGCCAGATGTCTCTACAATTTGTCGTTTCTGGCCACATACTCTGTTATTTAGATACTCTGCTTTGTTCAGCCAAGATACCGTGTCTGTTAAAGCTTTAAGAGTCTGAAGAAACTAATTGTGCTGTTATTGGCAGGCAAAATGAAAGACACTGAGAGATTAAAACTGTGGATGGGGGGAGCTTAAATGTCACTGTAGGTCTTCAAGCATTTTTTATATAAAAAGAAATAATAAACTTTCTAAAAAAAAACTTTAGTTTTATATAAATTTCCCATTACCAGTATAACTGCTCTGATGAAAGATTATTAAAATATCTGTTAAAGCTGGCATAGCTAAAGGGATGGGATTTGGGGGTTGGAGAAGCAGTTAACACTCTACCCGATTTAACAGCATTGTCCGTAAGGATCAAATGGTGTGCCTTCTCTTTGTCTTATATTCCTAGACCAAAAGCAACAATCTCCAGCTTTTAAGACACCATCCTGGCAGATTCAAATGCTTTATAATGTTATAGAAAACCAAAGAGGCATTTTCAAAGTTAAATTAACCGGATATCTTTGGTTTTCCCTGGGGAAGTTTTATTCAGAGCTGCTATGATATTGTATCTTAGCACATAGTCTGAGACTGGTTACAAAACAGAATGAGATTTCACTTTCTGTCTGCTAGAGAGCCTCATTAGAAACTTCTGGCTTGGCATCCTCATTTCTCAAAAATTCCAAGAGATTTCAGCTCAAGAAGAGAAATATTGACTGTGTGTGTATGCATGCGCCATCTTGCTTTGAACAAAAAAATAGCATTAGCATTCTAATTCTTAATAAGAATTTCCATTAAAAGTTATTTATACTTTAAAATACTATTTTTCATAATTCCGTATACTGTTTATGAAAACTGCATTTTTTAATTCTTTTTCTCTGTAAAATAATTAATCTACCTCCCGAAGCTATTAATTATGTTTCATTTTTGCACAATGCACAAATGTTCCCAAAGTTCTATCCTACTGTTTTACTCAGTGCTCACATCATAAGAACCCTGTGAGATAGACATTATTATCATAATTTTATGGATGAGAAAAACAAAACTCAGAAAATTTCCATTACAAAACCAAACCAAAATGTGACCCAAGGTCTTTTGACTCCCAATCCAGTTGTCTTTCCACTTCACCATGAGTGGTTCACTCATGTTAGTTGAGATCTTCAATAAAAATATTAGTTTTTCTCAGTGTCACAGTAGATAGGAAGGTACCTTGGAATGCGTACCGGGCCTGCCATAACCAGACGGGGCAGTGTAAGGAGCCAGGCCAGCCTTGCAAACAAAATGCTGGAGAAATCAGGTCTCCTGAAGAGAGAAAAACCTCAGTAGGCACATTTAAGGCATCTCAGGCACAGAGAAGCTAGGCTGGCAGTAGTATCTAATCCCAGGGAGCAAAACCTCTATAGTAATAACTGGGTTTATCATAAAGCGAGAGTTAGGTTTAATAGCCTAGTATATACCAGATGACCTGTGCATTGCAATTGGATGCTGACAGTTTTTTCGTCATAGTTTCCTAAATCTTGCACTACTTCTTCAGCAGGCTTCACATTCTGTCATGTTTTTCTTCTTTTTCCTGTCTGCTAAACTTAAACAGTTTAACCATGAGGTCATTTTATAACTTCACTCACCCCTACATGCAAAAGCCTTGCAAGTTTTATTCCCAAGCCCAGCTATTATCCTTTGGTCCTGTAATTATTTATACAATGGACATGACCCATTCCTACCCACCAGTGGAATGCATATTGGGATTTTTCCCCTAAACTCCACATCCACCGAGATCAAGATCACTTCCTAGGAAGACACCAGTAGGATCTGGAAGTCTCGAAGGAGGAGACATAGGAAAGATATCCCAGGCCAGCAAGGAAGCTGATGATTGCACAGAGATAAGAGAAAAGGCATATGGAGAACAGTGCAGGGGCTGACCTGACAGGCTCAGAGGCTGGAGTGAGTGACTTAAGAGGGTGAGAAGCTGACTGTCCACACTGGGACCTCAGAAGGAAGGGCATAGACTTTCAAGAGGAAGTGATTGAACTTGATCCAGTGAACAACCAAAAATAGATGAGGGACAAAATAACTTATATTAGGAAGATTAATAGTACTATACAGGGCCATAGAAAATGAACAAGGGGAGCATACCCAAATGTTAAGGAACAAGGGAGGCACAAAATGCCTGCACAGCACAAAGCAAGAAGAAATTAAGGAGAAATCATTTGTACTGACCTTGGTGACTGAAGATACAAAAGGTGGTAGAAAACGATAAGCTTTATAACTTTATTCTAATTTTTTTGTTGTTTTTTTTATTTTTGTTTTTGTTTTTGAGACGGAGCCTTGCTCTGTCACCCAGGCTGGAGTGCAGTGGCACAATCTTGGTTCACTACAACCTCCGCCTCCCGGGTTCAAGTGATTCTCCCACCTCAGCCTCCAGAGTAGCTGGGATTACAGGCACCTGCCATCATGCCCGGCTAATTTTTGTATTTTTGTAGAGATGGGGTTTCACCATGTTGTCCAAGCTGGTGATCCATCTGCCTTGGACTCCCAAACTGCTGAGATTACAGGCGTGAGCCACCATGCCCAGCCTGTTCTAGTTTTATAAATACAAGATTAATGCATACCCATTGAATCAGAATATCTGAGGGTGGTAGCAAGTGTGTGTGTTTTAAAGGCTCTGCAAACTTGCCATAGAGAATCACTGGCCTGTGCAGCAAAGCAGATTCTGGGCTTAGTACCTTTCTGTAAGCTTTCTAGTGCTTCTGAGTCAGTCAGTCGGTTTAGCCCATTGCCCCATTGCTAGGAGATGATGATAATACACACCAAAGAAGCAGCTAACACAAATCAAATGCTTATGCACAATGAAATGTCTAACTGTGGTTTTGACTGAAAGAACAAGAGTTAGTGGAGGTGGGTGATTGGATCCTGGACTGGAAGCTGGAGAAGCCTTCCCAGAGGAACTGTGATATAGCCCAGACCTTAAAGAATGGGTGGACTGGAGCTAAAAACAGACAGGTGGACCAAGGAGCTGGTGAAAGTGGACGAAGCATTGTGCAGTACAGTTTTAAGCAGGAGGGTGTGGGCACTATGTTTAAATAGCAGAGGAGGTCGATAACTTCCCTAGCCTTCCTCTGAATTGGTCCCCTGTATGAGGCTGGAGACCCTTGCAAAGGCCATGGGGCAAGAACATTTTTCCTTTATTTTTCCCATCCATTCCCTTTGCAGCTCAGCCACAGACAAGCTTTATTCCCTCACACTACTCATCTGTGAATGCACACTAAATTCAGTCATGCTAAGAAACAAATGACACATAATCCTTTGCATTAGTCTGGCAAGCTAATAAACCTTTATATAGTAATATCACCTGTAGAAAACTCATTTCATTCTTACTACAGCACTATGGAATGGGGAAGCCAGAAGTGGTCCTCATATTGTAGATAAGAAAAGGAAACCCCAGAGAATCCAACCTCAAAACCATAGAGCTACTAAGGGGAGTATTTAATTGGGGGACTTGAACACAGTTTTCTTTCTGCCACCCTGTTCTGCAACTTGCTGCAGTATTTGCATTTCAACAAGGATCAGAGCCCAAAGCACGCAGGTCTAACTGAGGACTTCAGACATCAACCTGTAGACAGGAGATTGGTTCTTTCAGTGAAGCTCTGAATCACATTACATAGGTAACTGTCTTTGTCTTCACATTATCTGTCAGTTGTGTGATCACAGGCAAGTTGGAGAAAATTGTGAGCTTCACTTGACCTATGAAATGGAAATAACTCCATCTACTTTATAGGGTTTTTGAGAATTTCCTGAAATACCACCTGGACAATGTCCTTGCTACACAGTAAGCCTCAAGAAACCTCACTCTCTTTCTCTTCCCCATTTTATTTACACACAAGGCAAGCCCTGCTATGTTAAAACCACAGGCTCATCCAGCCTACCTGTTTTTGCTCTCTCTTTGCTTATGCTCTTAATCCTTTCTCTCTTTCCCTCTACCTTTGTCCAACCACACCTGCCTGCCTTCACTTCTTAAACAAGCCGAGCCTTTTCCCTCCTCAGTCCCTCATGTGAGCTGGTTCCTCTGCTCGCTCATGCCTCCTTGCTCCTCCTCCTCCAGGTGTCACCCCAAGTGTTACTTCTTCAGGAAGGACTGAAGTAGGTTCCTCCTATTACTCTTTCTCACTAGATCCTGTAACTTTCCTTTGTCATATTGAATACAATTTGTAAGTATGCATTAATCCTGTATGTAGGCTTAATGCCTGTCTTCTCCACTAGACTGTGGACTCCCACAGGGCAAGAACATGTCTATTTAATTGGCCACTATTCTCCATAGTACCCAATACAGAATCTAGCACATAAGACATGTTCCATAAGTATTTGTCAACTGTGTGTTGGATGACTGCTGGTCTTATCTCTCCCTCTTAGGATGCCCTCCTACCGTCTCCTCAGCAATTCACATAGTACATTCCACACACACAAAAAAATTTTACCATGCCCACATTCTCTGACCTTTTCCTTAATTTTCTTTTCCCAACACTTATTCATACATTATCATAATTGGGTAATGTTCTCTGGTTATTTCATGATTCCCTAATCACATTATCAGTTTTCTAAGGAATAAAACTCTTTGGGGATCTGTTTTGAAATCTCTGATAAACCTAGTATAATAGTTGAAAATGCTTTGGGAATTCAGTGATTTCTTGAATAATGAATGAATAGATCAATCACTCAATCCTAGTATATCCCTTTTGCACAAAGAAAAACTTCACATAGCAATACAGAGATATCATTGCAGCAAAACAATTTCTAACCATGACTCATTGCTATCTATATAGCTTCCTTCTTGGGTTACTATTTTGAGTTTCAATAAGAGGCAAACAATCTTATCTTGAAAGAGGGATTGGATTTATTTTTAATAAGAAAGGCTGAATTGGGAACTTGCATTTTTCCCCAAAATTTAATAACAGCACTAGTAAAGCCCTACGCTCCTCAGCTGGCCTTATTTCAGGTATATGAGAACAGAGCTTCCAGGTAAGCTTCTTTCATGATCTAAGAGTGAGACCAATATCACCAAACCTGTCTAAATTCATTGACAGCCAGGGGAGGTCACATAGCAAAAGCATCTAGTCCGAACATGTTTCAGAACCCAGGACTGAGCAGAGGACATGGAGGGAAACATCAGGTTCCCCAAGGCCATTGTCCTCAAACATGTGACATCCTGATAGTCACCACTGATAACTTCAGTAAGTATCACTTCGATTTCACCCCCTTCTTCTACTCACAACTAAAACAAAACAAAAACATATGTAATTAAAATATGTCATTGCTATGCTCAAAATGATAACTTATGAACTGGGATTTCAAATTCACCTTGTTATTCTGAAGCAGAGCCTTCAGTTTATGGTTGCCCTGCTGTTAAGCCTCAAGTTGCTCTTTTTTTTTTTTTTTTTCTGAGACAGGTCTTCTCTGTCACCCAGGCCAGAGTGGAGTGGCATGATCGCAGCTCACTGCAACCTCCACCTCTTGGGTTCAAGTGATTCTCCTGACTCAGCCTCCCTAGCAGCTGGGATTACAGGGGCCCACCACTGTGCCCAGCTAATTTTTGCATTTTTAGTAGAGACGAGGTTTCACCATCTTGGCCAGGGTGGTCTTGAACTCCTGACCTCAGGTGATCCACCCGCCTTGGCCTCCCAAAGTAATGGGATTACAGGCTTGAGCCACCGTACCCGGCCAAGTTGCTCATTCTATCCATATTCTTTGAATCATTTTATATATACACACACACACACAAACACACTATATGTTACATGCATTTTAATTTACTTTGACAATTATCTCACAGGTTCTGTCTAGTTAGTACTAGTTAGTATCCTTCCCCATTGAGTTAGTATTTGATCTTATAACATGGTCCAGGAAAAGAAAGGTAAGTTTTGCTAAGTACCTGTTACATCATGACACTTGTGAGAGTTGGTATGGGATCTGCTCTTTGTGCAGTGTCACTTATCACCTGTCTTCCACCTCTGCTTAGCTCTGTGACAACCAACAGAGCCTCTAAGAGATGGCTGCTGATGAGTCCTTCTATCGCAGGCTGCAGCAGTCCTGAAGGTTGATGGAGGGCCATGCTATTCAAACAGCAGGCGTGGCTGAGACAGAAGCTCCTGGTGCTGGGAAGCCTTGCCGTTGGGAGTCTCCTGTATCTAGTCGCCAGAGTTGGGAGCTTGGATAGGTGGGTGCTTAAAACACATGCTTATACCCCTGTGACATTAAGGCTTGATTTAAACTTCCTTAGGACATAATTTTAAGTCTATCCACTTGTTTTTCTCCTTCGAAATTCCCAGGAAACATGCTTTTCTGCAGTATTGATTTTGATTTACTGAGCCTTTAAAAGAGAGAGATCCAAGTTCCTCAAACCAAGATGTTTTGTCAAGATCCATTTGTATTCCGTGTGCATTGACACTTGTTTTCAGGAAAGGGATAAAGCTGTGTACAGTAAAAATGTCATTTAATAGAGCTCAGTTGGTCCGTGTGCATCTGGTGTTGACCTCTAGCTGTAGCAAAACAGTGATGATGTATCTATGTATCTTTCTTTTGAAATTTATGAGTGGACACTTAATGTGCTATCAGGAGCATTAAAATTATGTATGAGCCTCTAAAGGAGCTCATCGAGTTTGCAATCCATTGCTCTGGAAAGATGGCTGCAGGCGTGGGGAGTTTTAACTATGTTAATTAGCTCTGGTTTTCAGGGGCTGAACGCACCAGACAAGGAGGCTGTTGCTCAGAATAATTGCCCAGAAAGCAATGGGAAATCCATGGAGAGAAAATTACAGTGCTAGGGTTTAGCTCTAAATAGGTGTACAGTTGAGAGGTATTGGACTTGCAGAAGTCCCAGCAACATCAGCTGGCTTCACAGTAAATGTTTCTGGTGTGTTCTATGTCTAGTCTAATGGGCAAAGACAGAGAAGTTAATTTCTGAAATGTGAAGCTTCCCTTTTTGCCCTTAAAAAAAAATTTTTTTTTTGAGATGGAGTTTCGCTCATTGCCCAAGCTAGAGTGCAATGGCGTAATCTCGGCTCACTGCAACCTCCTCCTCCCATGTTCAAACTATTCTCCTGCCTCAGCCTCCCAAGTAGCTGTGATTGCAGGCATGTGCCACACACCCAGCTAATTTTGTATTGTTAGTAGAGACAGGGTTTCACTGTGTTGGCCAGGCTGGTTTCGAACTCCTGACCTTAGGAGATCCACCTGCCTTGGCCTCCCAAAGTGCTGGGATTACAGGTGTGAACCACTGTGCCTGGCTGGCCCTTTAAAATTAATTCTTGCACTGGAAAGACTGAAGTGTGTTCTCCATGAGTTCAGTTCTCACAGTCAGTGAAAACACATACAAAATTAAAAATGAAAATCTTTTCCTTTCAGTTTTCTTTTCCTTCCAAAATTTAAGCTAATCTGTAGACCTTATCACTTAGATTATTTAGAAATAACATAGCAGTGGTCCTTGTTTTCCTTCAGTTGGTGTCATTTTGACTGGTAAAGTGAACTCCTTTGATGCTTCTCAATTCAAAATTCCTGAGTAATTGTCTCACTCACTAGTTGTTACCTACCCTGAAAGTGTAATCAGAGCTTCTCACCGACTTCCAGTAGTTTCCTAAAGTAGCACTTGATGGTTATTGAGAAGCCTTGAGGTGGTGCCATTGGCCTACCTCTGTAATGGAACTCTTATATCCAGCCCTCCCCAACTGACCTTTAATTAGCTTCCAATCATTTACCTTTTACTTAGTAATTGATCTAATGATCACTAATGCATTATTATTTAGTTGATGATTCTTTTCATTTTTTTAACTCTGTCTCTAGTCTCTAAGGGGATAGCTTTTATTTGGAATTGAATTGTTTGGTGGGCTTTCTAAAAGCCTCTCACTTCAGACTTTGAGATTATGTCTGAAGGTAACAGGCTTATTTAGGCCCACTCTCCAGTAACTGAAGACCCTGCTTTCTGGGAGGGAGACAGAGGTTACTTCTACCATCCCTTCCAATCCTAAACCTGTATGATTTTTCAGTCTGGGACCCATACTCAGAATCCATGCTTTCAGAAGTGGGAAAGAATATGATATTTTCTCATATTTTCACATTCTATCTTGAGTTAGGGAGTCCAAAAAGCGACTATTCTGCAGGATGTGATCTCCCAGGGTAGAAGATAGAAAGAGGAAGGAAGTAAAGAAGGAAAATGACCCTTTCTACAAGTGGGGAAATTCCATTTGACCTCAAACAAAGCAGAGACTGTCTATATCAGCCACTCTCAGCCAGGGTACTATGAAAGAATTAAATCCTACAAAAAAGAATTTGAGTGACTGTTTCCTCAATTCTTCCAAGGATGGTACTAGCATCATTCTAGGTGCTTAGGACAGAAATCCATCAATGGATGCCTTATGGAATTAGAGCTTAATTCTCAACCAGAACCCAAGAAGAACTGAAAGATGAACTTGTATTATTCCAATCAGTGTCACAATTAAAAGCATCTTTGCCTATGTATCTATTGATAATTTTACATCCTCCATTTAAAGCCCTAGTACATTAATCTCATTAACAAATTTATAAAAACAAAATTCATGTTTCTCTAAACTATTAACCGGGTTAAATCCTGTTTTTTAAAAGCTGTCTAGGCCAGGCACAGTAGCTCACGCCTGTAATCCCAGCACTTTGGGAGGCTGAGGCAGGCGAATCACGAGATCAGGAGTTCAAGACCAGCCAGGCCAACATGGTGAAACCTTGTCTCTACTAAAAATACAAAAATTAGCTGGGTATGGTGGCGCACGCCTGTAATCCCAGCTACTCGGGAGGCTGAGGCAGGAGAATCTCTTGAACCCAGGAGACAGAGATTGCAGTGAGCCAAGATCGTGCCACTGCACTGCAGCCTAGGCAACAGACCAAGACTCCGTCTCAAAAAAAAAAGAAAAAAAAGTTGTCTATATTTTCACACTTTCCACAATGAGCATGAGTTGTTTTAAAAATCATAAAAAAGAAACATCGTGAAAAGTAGTATACATTGATATTTTTCCTTAAGCATTATGATAGATAGCTGTTTAAACAGAACAAAGACCAAGACCATGCTCCTCAATTCTGCAGAACAGGCTGAGTGTATTAGTCCGTTTTCACAGTGCTATAAAGACATACCTGAGACTGAGTAATTTATAAAGAAAAAAGGTTTAATTGACACACAGTTCTGCATGGCTGGGGAAGCCTCAGAAAACTTACAATCATGGCAGAAGGCAAAGAAGAAGCAAGGCACGTCTTACTTGGTGGCAGGAGAGAGAGGGAGCTTGCAGGGGGCGGTGCCACACAGTTTTAAACCATCAAATCTCATGAGAACTCACTATCATGAAAACAAGGGGTAAATACACCCCCATAATCCAGTCACCTCCCACCAAGCCCCTCCTCCGACATGTGGGGATTACAATTCGGGATGAGATTTGGGTGGGGGCACAGAGCCAAACCATATCACTGGGCATGACCTTGAGGTTGTTTCTCATCTCAGAAAACAAGAAAGATGCAATACAGTCTCTTGGGAAAAGCAAGCAACAGCCTCATTGCCACAGAGGGGGAGACACAGATTCCAAATTATTAGAATAACTGGAAGCTTTCAAGTGTAAGAATTGGTTTAACAGCCTTTTTGACTGATATTATTTAATTTTACCAAGAAGGCTAAAATGCCCTCACAGATCAACTTAGGGGAATTATAATGAACTTCAGTTCAATTCAGACTATACCTAAAAGGAAACTCAATTTGCTAACCATATATGTTAGCCATGACAAATTAAACAGTCACCATCGTCTACTATCATTGTGACTGTTACCACATCTTTCTCCCTGAGAAAAGCAGAGATGGTTGTTCACTATTCAGGATAATACTGAAGTGGAAATCCTCCTGTCTGGCTATATCCATTGCACTCCTTCCTTAATGAGATTGAGTTCCTGATTTTAATGGGCTTGGCAATGAGGGCTTGAGGCTTCTGGCCCTGTCAAGGTCTTGTTGATGCCTGGTCCCAGGTGTGGTAGGTGATATACAGCACTTGCTGATGGCAATTGGGTTTGATTCTATATTCAGCAAAGTGGATATATAATCCTGACCTCTTTAGATAGAAAGAGAAAGAGAGGCAGAAGAAATATAGTATTCTTCTGGCTATCCTCAAGGCCCAGGGCAGAGAGTCTCAGAATGAAAATCTCAGCAAGTTCCAAGATTGGAATTTTGCAGGTTGATGATGCAAACAGCCCGGGGCAGAAACTGGGACCTCCTTTCAGATTATATCTCAAAGATTTTCAAGAGCCATCTGAGTGCTGCCGAGCTGCAAGAAAATAATACCACACAAAATGTGAAACACATGGCCTCCCTGCTACCCTTCCACCTCCCAGCTGAAGATTATAATCTCCTGCCTTTCACTTTTTCTTAATGATTTTAACTGGTGAGCTGTTAAAAAGCTATTAGTATGGCTGGTGCCACTTGTCTATCCTGTACTGCAAACAGAAGTACACGCCGTAGTCAATTAAGTGCTTGGAGAATAAAAAATTTTAAGGAGCACTAATAAAAAAATTCATCAATTATGTGTGCTCCATTTAATACATGGTTGCTTAAAATAAAATTTCCCAAACATATGTTCATTATGGATTGCAGCAGGCTGGGAACCAGTGGCTTTATTTATGCATTTAAAGTCTTGGTCTGACTGGGGAACCAGAAAAATGAAAAGTTAGTTGCAATGAGCTTAAAGTGTCTCTGTCTTGCTTGCAGGCTACAACCCATTTGCCCCATTGAAGGTCGACTGGGTGGAGCCCGCACTCAGGCTGAATTCCCACTTCGCGCCCTGCAGTTTAAGCGTGGCCTGCTGCACGAGTTCCGGAAGGGCAACGCTTCCAAGGAGCAGGTTCGCCTCCATGACCTGGTCCAGCAGCTCCCCAAGGCCATTATCATTGGGGTGAGGAAAGGAGGCACAAGGGCCCTGCTTGAAATGCTGAACCTACATCCGGCAGTAGTCAAAGCCTCTCAAGAAATCCACTTTTTTGATAATGATGAGAATTATGGTAAGGGCATTGAGTGGTATAGGAAAAAGATGCCTTTTTCCTACCCTCAGCAAATCACAATTGAAAAGAGCCCAGCATATTTTATCACAGAGGAGGTTCCAGAAAGGATTTACAAAATGAACTCATCCATCAAGTTGTTGATCATTGTCAGGGAGCCAACCACAAGAGCTATTTCTGATTATACTCAGGTGCTAGAGGGGAAGGAGAGGAAGAACAAAACTTATTACAAGTTTGAGAAGCTGGCCATAGACCCTAATACATGCGAAGTGAACACAAAATACAAAGCAGTAAGAACCAGCATCTACACCAAACATCTGGAAAGGTGGTTGAAATACTTTCCAATTGAGCAATTTCATGTCGTCGATGGAGATCGCCTCATCACGGAACCTCTGCCAGAACTTCAGCTCGTGGAGAAGTTCCTAAATCTGCCTCCAAGGATAAGTCAATACAATTTATACTTCAATGCTACCAGAGGGTTTTACTGCTTGCGGTTTAATATTATCTTTAATAAGTGCCTGGCGGGCAGCAAGGGGCGCATTCATCCAGAGGTGGACCCCTCTGTCATTACTAAATTGCGCAAATTCTTTCATCCTTTTAATCAAAAATTTTACCAGATCACTGGGAGGACATTGAACTGGCCCTAAAATAATATGTCATACAACACTATGTGTTGTGCCTGGAGACACACAATGTCTCCTGTAGATTAAAATATGCACTTTTCCTAGGCAGAGCTATCCAAGTCATTTTTCCATGTATATTTGTACATACGCAGTGTGTGACCAAATATAAGATCAGTTCTTTTTCTACTGAAAATTTACGAAAAAAAAAAAATTGCTGTCTGCATAGTCGCATCTTTTAAGCTATTTACAAAAGAGAAGAGGTGGTGGTATTGGGGGAAAGTGACTTCAGCTATTCTCAAAGAGTTAGTCTTCCTTTGATTCAGAATTTGTCACCCGCCATTTTCATAGATTTAAGCCAAAAGATAAATGTGTGAAAATGTACCAATGGCTGCGAAGCTTCAGGAAGTAGAGGATCCAGTGATGCATTTTTTTTTTCCTAAGGGAAAGCTGGCTCTTTAATTCAGATGCTGAATTGGTGCCATGAAAACAGAAAATGCTATTTTCTTATTATTTAAAAGAACGTCTTATCTCATAAAATTGACATTGTTCCAAAGTTCTTGTGGTGATTTTGCACTATTGTTTTCTCGTATGGACCATGGTGTCACTTGTAGCATGTCAATCACACATTGGAAAGTCAAGTCCTTTTACTTCCATGTTGTATGTCAACAGAGAGAAATGTCATGTACATAATGTATATTGTTGTAAATACTGGTTTCACACTAAGTAATTCTATTTTGTAAACTGAATATGGCTATTTAATTTATTGTGAAAATTAAATTTATTGTGGTATTTAAAAATGGAATGGATTAAAATTACTCTATGTGCAATTTTTTTTTTTTTTACTCATTTTGTTTTACGTGCCCCCTGCTGGCTTCCAAAATGGAAGCTGTTTACGTGCATATGAGAGCACTTGGAAAGATGTGCTTCCCTGCTGGATTTCTGTACCCCAGTGAAAATGTATTTATGAAGTGAGGTTGAGTATATTAAAAAAGAAAAACCTCAACCATCTGGAAATCAAGTATAATAGCCACCTCAAAGAACCCTAGTGCTGCTCTGCTACAACTTTGTAACAATTAATTTACTCGCAGTTGCTGCTGCTCAGGAAGAGAGACAAGGAATATTTTAACAGAATCAAGGCATAGAAGAATCACCATTTTATTTGAACCTCTAATCAGAGTCAGACCAGTAGAGAAATTAAATAAGATTAGAAAACTCTGTACTGAAAGCTGCTGATGCTTCAAAAATGAAAACAAGATCTCACAACTCTCCCTGTTAGTTGAAAATATATCAATTTGCTCTGAAAGGATTCAGCTGCCTAGTGTTGCCATTACTAACATAAACATATGGCTCATATTTCCATCCAGAGAAATTAATGCTAAATTGGTGCCTCGCTAACATCAGATACACTGTATTATGCTTAAATATATTCAGTAAAATGTGGAAAGGGGTATTAACAACGACAACAAAAAGATGGATTTTTTTTTTCTCACAATCACAGTTGCTAATCCAGTGGGAGATGTTTGAGAGAGTTTTGTTCAACATCACAGTGAGAGTGCCTAGGGAAATCAGAAAATTACAATGGATTCCCCTTTGATTGTAATAAGTGTTGATTTTCTCCATGAGTTGTTTATCCTGTCTAGTGATTTGATGGTGAACTTTTCTAAATAAATAGCCCTTTCCCCTCCGGTGTCGGTATATATTGCTTCTCAAGCCAGCGCCTTGGTAATCATCTCTATTGTCTGAATGAGCAGTGATGCTGTACTCTCAGCTTGAAACAGGCATGACACCAATACATGCTGGCAGGCCAGCTCCTCCCTTACTGTGGGATGACACTAGAATGAGAGCCTCAGGTCTAAATGTCAGCCACTTCTCCCCTAAGCCATGAATGAAGTCAATATAAGGATCCTGCAGTCAGATTTCTCTGGGCCTCAACTCTCTGCTAACCATCAGTATAAACTATTTGAATACAATGTTCAAGGACACAATCACTGTATTATCATTAATTTCATAGAAGTATTCCTAGAGCGCTATACAGCCAATATGATTTTGTGCCAGTAACTGTCAAATTATGCTCCATTGGAACACGGATGTTTCAAAAACTCAGACCAGGTATTCAATCAGTAAAATAAAAAAATGGTAATCTTTTCCCAGATTCACAGAGGAATAAAAAAAAGTTAATAAATTGAAATTTCTCCGTAATCATCTTTTATGTTACCAATTTTTCTTAGACTTTGCTACTGCTACCAATAGTGTATATCAGACTTTATTCTAAGATTCTATTTGACTTATGCCAACTTTTATCTCAATAAGCCAGTATTTCTTCAAATTCAGGGGCAGGAGGGGGGAAGCACTGTGATTTCAGTTGTTCTACTTCCTAAGTAAATTTGAGAATTGTTTTAAATCTTTAAGCCTCCCCACGGAGATCTAAAGCAAGGGCCTATGTTGGGAGAATTTTTTGGGTGGCAGGTTCTATTTCACTGAAAAAAACAGTCACAGCCACTGCTGATTGAGCTAGGTAGGGAGAAATAAAAATGCTATGATTTAATAGCATAACACTCGTGGAGATTTTAAACCTACTTGTTTAGAAAAATGTTTCCTGTTATCAGACAGACAACAGAACTCTAGAGAAATCTTCACCTCATTACAATAGCTCCACGAGGGCTCTCTTTAATAAGTTACTTCTTTTATGTCATAAACACCTTGCATGTTTTCAAGAGGCACAGTGGAACCATACAGCTTTGTGGAACAGTTCTAGCTGCAAAGAGAAAAATTGTTTAAGCAATGGCGGGGTTTCTGCTGGACCATAAAGCTAAAATTACACCATTTCTGGAAGCCAAGGAATTCCAGTTACAATTAAACAAATAGCCCAAGGGATGGAGAGAGACTAAGGATCAGAGAGATTTTAGATTTTAGAATAGTAAAATAAACCCATAGATACACATCCTGAAATTCCAAGTCTATCTCCTACCCACCTGAAACCACTGCATATAAACCCTTAATTAATTAAGGCACTAAACTTTTCTTAATAATTGCAATGTAGAATAACAGAAGCCCAAGACATTTTGGTTCTGAGTTAATATATGATCAAGCAAAGGCTTGTAAACTCTTATGAGGTTTATAATCCCATCTGATCTTAGATGTGGTACCTTTTATGTTGATGGAGCAGTGACAAGTCATAATTGGCAGCCCAGTTCCTCCTCATGAGTGTTTCATGGGCGTGCTTCCTGGAATGCTGCCCCTGAAATGAAGGCTCTTCTGGAAGACAAGCTTCAAGGCCTGTGGGGGGCATCACCTGGGACACTGCAGATGCACTGCTTCTCAGGGAAGGTGAGAACCAGGGACAAGTGCAGTTCAAATTCCATCCCTGCTGAGAAGATTTGCTTGGTCCAGAGAGCTGTTTGCTAAATCAAATTGCCTTCATAAGCCTAATTTGAGAATTTTCCAGCAATGGAGAATCTCAAATGATTGTAGAATCTTCCCACTGAAATCTTTTATACTCTTTCCACACACTCAGCAGCCATTTTCCACTAAAAATAGTCTACAGTCTAGGAAAGAAAGAAAAACATTCCCCCTCAAAATTACTAAATACAGAAAAATCCTAGCAATTTGGGATAACGAGGTGAAAATATAAAATATTTTCAAACAAATTCATTGCAATTATTGCCAAGTAGACAAAGCACCAAACCGGGAGGCCGAGTAGGCAGATCACGAGTTCAGGAGTTCGAGACCAGCTTGACTAACATGGGGAAATCCTGTCTCTACTAAAAATACAGAAATTAGCTGGGTGTGGTGGCACGTGCCTGTAATCCCAGCTACTCAGCAGGCTGAGGCAGGAGAATCGCTTGAACTCGGGAGGTGGAGGTTGCAGTGAGCCGAGATTGCGCCACTGCACTCCAGCCTGGGTGACAGAGCGAGACTCCATCTCAAAAAAAAAAAAAGAAAGAAAAGAAAAATATCCAATTGTGCCTGCTTTGCCAAATCAAAGCCTCTTAATTGGCATATTGGATTTTTTTTCCAAACTGGTATTATTCAAGTATTTCAAAATAGTCTGTTCTCTTAAGTAGGTTATTCAAGCCCCCTAGCATCTGTCAATTTTTACAGCACACCTTTCTTTTATAGCTCGTGTAAGAGTGAAATTTAGTCCAAAATATGATCATTTGGTAAGGTTCTAATTAACGATGCCTTACTATACATCTTATAAAAACAATTTCTTTACATTTGAGCTTTCAAAAAATTCTTTTCAGTTACATTTTATTGCACCTTTTAGGAATAAGAGTGCTATTTCATAATGATTAGAAACAGATTGAGGAGTTGAAAGGCAGAACTGAACTGATAGCAATACGCAGCTCCCATAGAAAGTGCCTGACTGGTATTTCAAAAACAAGTGTCTGTTATTTAAAGATAGTTCAGTTGAAAAGCAGTACCCTTTCAGTCATATCAAGTACCATGGCTGGTACTTGATCAGGCTAGATCTATTGATGAATTTATGAACCACATCAGTCTACCAGGTTTGCGGGAGGTGTTGGTAAAAGGCTTTATTGTTTCTAAAGATATGTGTCACCCCCTCTCAAAAACAGTCTGTCAAGAAGGTGAGTGTCTCCTAATAGATGGGTAGCACCATTTCAAAAAGGTAGCTTACCTTACACATATCTAAATGCACATGTCTCTGCTTTGCATTTCCATTTCTTTGATGACACCAGAGAACATCCTTAAGGCCAACTCTAAAACTGCCTGTTTCCTTGGTAAAGCCTCAAGAAGACTCACCTAAAGGTTTGGGCGTAAATTATAAAAGAAGTTGTAATTGCTACGTGATCAGGTAATCCAACACTAGGTCCTGTAAATAAACTTAATATGACTCTTTAAAGGTGAGACTCTCTAGCAACGCCAGATGATCATGTTGCCATACCAAGTAGAACTAGTGAGTCACAGTTCAGAAACTGTAGGAGAAATAAATAAATAACTCAGCCTGGAAGAATCAGAGAAGGCTTCCATGAGGCACATTTGAAGATCATAATATCTCACCAGGCAGACAAACAGGAAAAGCATACTCTAGGATGAGGGAAACAATACAGCAAAAGCACAAAGTGTGAAAAAGACTAGCATATCCAGTATAGCTGGAGAGTAGGTCATAAGAGAAGGTGGAATGTAAGAATGGAAACTGCAACAGAGCTTCCTAGGCCCTGAGCGAGTCCTTCCACCATAGCCTTGAGGGGACCCTGCTAGATAGCAGGCCAGGCCATCATGCTGAGTCTACACCCGGCTGATCCTTAGAGGCTGAGGGTTCAATATTGGAAAAGAGATGATAAAATTAATAAGCCGAAGGTTATCTTTCAAAGAGAAAAAAAAAAAATCACATGATTGGTGCCCATAGAATCATCATTTTCCTTCCCATTCTGCTTCACTCTTCTCTTTGCTTCTCTCACTTCCCTTCATGGCCAGTAGCTTTGCTGCAGCTGATGGGATCCTCCATATTTGGCTCATTTTTCTCCTGAGATTGAGGAAAAAGTGTTTCTGTGGGTATACTGACCATGGAAGAGTCATATTGTCTCCTTGCCACTGAGCTTCTCACTAAAACTTCACCCATCCTGAGACTATAACAGGAGACATAGGAATGAAAAGAAAAACAAACACAATATTCTCCTGCAAGATAGGTGTTGAGTGTTCTCAAAAAAAAAAAAAAAAAAAAAGCCAGGAAACATATTCATTTCATTACAAATAAAGCAAATAAAGTCATGCATCACTTAATGACAGGCATATGTTCTAAGAAATGCATCATTAGGTAATTTTGTAATTGTGTGAACAATATAAGAGTGTACTTACACAAACCTGGATGGTATAGCCTGCTAGACACCTAGGCTATATGGTATAGCCTATCACTCCTAGGCTACAAGCCTGTACAGCATGTTACTATATTGAATTCTGCAGGCAATTGTAACACAATGATAAAGATCTGTCTATCTAAACACATCTAAACATAGAAAAGGAACAGTGCAAATATATAAAAAATTGTTAAATGCTACACCTGTACAGTTAGGGCACTTATCATGAATAGAACTTGCAGAACTGGAAATTGCTGTAGGCATCAGTGAGTAAGTGGCGAGTAAATGTGAAGGCCTAGGACATTGCTCTACACTACTGTAGATTTTATATATAAACACTGTACACTTAGGCTACACTAAACTTATAAAAGAATATTTTTCTTTCTTCAATAATAAATTAACATTAGCTTACTGTAATTTTTTATAAAATTTTTAATTTTTTCTTTTTGACTCTTTTGTAATAACACCCACCTTAAAACACAAACAACACATTGTACAGCTGTACAAAAATATTTTCTTTCTTTATATCCTTATTCTATAAGCTTTTTTCTACTTCTAAATTTTCTCATTCTTTCACTTTTTAAGCTTTTTTTGTTAAAAACTAAGACATAAATATATACATTAGCCTAGGCCTACACAGAATAAGGATCATCAATATCACTGTCTTCCACCTCCAGATCTTGTTCCACGGGAAGGTCTTCAGGGGCAATAACAGGCATGGAGCTGTCATCTCTTATGATAACAATGCTTTCTTCTGGAATACTCCTGAAGGACCTGCCTAAGGCTGTTTTCCAGTTATTTTTTTTTAATAAGTAGAAGGAGAACACTCTAAAATAATGATAAAAAGTAAATACACAAACCAGCAACATAGTCATTTATTATCATTGTCAAGTATTATATACTGTACATAATTGCATGTTCTATACTTTGATACACCTGGCAGCACAGTTGGTTTGTTTCTATCAGCATCACCACAAATGTAATGCATTGTGCTACAACATTATGATGGCTACGAGGTCACAAGGCAATAGGAATTTTTCAGCTCCATTACAATCTTATGGGACCACCTGTCATATATGAGGTCCATTGTAGACCCAAAAATATCATTATGTGGCATATCACTGTATAAGCTAAACTTTCAGGATGAAATGGGCAAGCCATTTTGTCTTTTTGAGCTTCCCATTAAATAGGAAAATCAGAACAGGGAATTTTTATGCTCCTTCTTATGACATTATATCATTCCATGAAAGGGATTATTGGAGCATTTCTTGTGACACTGAACGTCCACAGAGTCAGGGCATGAAGGTGGAGGAGGAAGGAGGGGCCTCTACTGTACTTGTGCAAATGATCTCTCCAAAAAACGTTGTCTATGATTTTGCCTTTAAGGGCTCTTCTTTGTCACCACTCCCTTGCAACTAAACTTTCGTTTATTCAACCTTATTCTCAACTTTGGTTTCTAGTTTACCTATCCCTTCCCACATTAATTAACCTTTGCCACACAGCCAACCATCCCCCCAAAATTTAATTTAGTTCACAATTCTGTTGTTCAGCTGGACAATTCTTCTGTTCTGGCCCAGCTTGTCTTCCCTCTGCTGGCCTCTTTCACATACCTGTGGTTTCTGCCGGGTCAGCTGCTGCCTGGATGATCTCAGGTGGCCTCATCTAAATGTCTGGTGGCTTGTGCTGCTTAGTGATTGGTGCTACCTCCCAGTGTTAGCTGTTGGCTTGATGACAAAGGTGCCTAGGTCACATGTATCTTCTCACTTAGTATATGCACCAGGCCTCTTCACATGGTAGTCAGAAAGGGCTTAAGAGTAGCAAGAGAAGGCAAGTCCCAGTGTGCAAGTACTTTTTAAGTATCCGCTTCCATCATGTTTGCAGTAGTCTCACTGGCCAAAGTATGTCATATGGCCAAGCTCAAAGTCCACATGAGAGGGGATTTCATAAGGGTGTGGATACAGGAAAGGAAAGGAAATCATTTTTTTAAAAATGTTTTGGCCAGGCATGGTGGCTCATGCCTGTAATCCCAGCACTGTGGGAGGCTGAGGCAGGCAGATCACAGGAGCTCAGGAGTTCAAGACCAGCCTGGGCAAAAGAATTTTTAAAAAATTAGCCAGGTGTGGTGGCATGTACCTGTAGCTACTCAGGAGGCTGAGGTGGGAGGATCACCTGAGACTAGGAGGCAGAGGTTGCAGAAGGCCAAGCTCATGCCTCTGCACTCCAGCCTGGGCAACAGATTAAGATCCTGTCTCAGAAAAAAAAAAAAAAAAAAAATTGAAGAGATGGAATCTCTCTTAGTTGCCTAGGCTGGTCTTGAATTCCTTACTTCAAGCAATCCTTCCCCCAACCTCAGCATGAGCTGCCATGCCCAATAAGACAGGAAATTATTGTGACCATTTTTACAAATAATCTATTGCACTTCAACCTTGACTTTATCATGATGAAAATTATAATATAGCAATAAACTTTATGTTTCTTAATTTTTAAAGAAATACATAATCTTAATAAGAAGAGTGGTAGGTAGAATAATGCCCTCCCTCAAAGATACCTACATCCTAATCTCGGGAACATGTGACTATGTTAGCTTACATTGCAAGAGGGACTTTGCAGATATGATGAAGTTAAGGGCCTTGAGATGAGGAGAGTATCAAGGATTATCTGGGTGGTCCTGATGTAATCATAAGGGTCCTTAAAGGTAGAAAAGTGAGGCAGTAAGGGGCAGTTAGTGGAATGATAAGAACTGAAGAATGGGTTTACACTTCAAGGACCTTCAGGGAGATGCAACAATGCTGGCTTTGATGATGTAAAGAAGGGGCTAGAAGCCAAGGAATGTGTGCAGCCTTTAGAAGCTGGAAAAGGCAAGGGGACAGCTTTCCCCCAGGGCCTCCAGAAGGGAACGTAGCCCTGCTAACAACTTGATTTCAGCCTGGTGAGACCTGTGTTGGATTTCTAAACCTACAGAAATGCAAGATAACAAGTTCATGTTGTTCTAAGCCACTAAATTTGTGTTGATTTATTACAGTAGCCATAGAAAACTAATACAAGAAGCAAGAGGAAATGGAGGGCTCACAAAATGTCGTGTTTAATCAGCTTATTCCCCTTCATCATGAATGGGTGATGAGGCAAGAGCCATCAATCACAAAGGACATTTCCGAACAATCCAAACAGAAGTCCTGAAGGATAGGAGAACCTTTGCAAATCCCTAAGACTGAACAGGCCTAGTGAATGCAGGCAGAGTGACCCTGCAGGACACAATCCCCTGGTGATGGAAACATGGAGTGAGCAAGCCTCATTTCTTCTGGGACACCTTCCCTGTAGCTCAGAGTAAAAAACAATTTTCATGCTAAATTTCAGATAAGTTTATGCAAAGTGCACATTACATGATATTTTTTAATATCCTTAACATTATGGCTTTTATGCTGAAAAGAGAAAACATTTCTTTTCTTCTTACAAATTTGTAGTATCTCACCTTGATCCAGAAAATCTGAAGTCCCCAAAGATCAGAGCCAGGAGCCTCCGTCTTTTCCCAAGTTGATCCCAAGATTTCCTCTAAATGGCATTGAAAATCATTCTATAGGAAAATAAAGACCTGAAATGCTTTTTCTTGGACTTAATGAAATTCAGAGGTATTTATTGATCATCTAATCATCTAATACATTCCTAGCTCCTGAAGAATTCATCAATTACTAAAAGTCACTAGGAAAACCAGTTAGGCGTGTGACCAGAATACAGCTCTCCAGAATTCCAGCCCAGGGCCACTTGTCAAGAAAAGTACGTAAGTAGTTCTATTTATTATTTATACCTGCAGACTTCCTAAATGGATTTGAGGTGGCAATTTTCTAATTAAAATGTGTTTCTAATCCCTTCCTAATCTCGTTTTATTGGGTACATTTTAATCCCTTGTACTTAACCTTGAATAGAAGCATGTACTGAATCTGTATAAAAATATGAATTAGCTGAGTGCAGTGGCACATGCCTATAATCCCAGCTACTTGGGAGGCTAAGGTGGGGGAACTGCTTGAACCCTAGAGTTCAAGATAAGCCTGAGCAACATAGCGAGACCTCATCTAAAAAATATATATATGTGTATAAATTAGCATTAAAATTAAGATGTACATCCATTTAATATACATGTAATATATATGAACACATATATTTTTATTTGTAAGCCTGTTGAAAGAAGCTAATAATAATGGTTCATCCTTGGACCAATTCAAACATTCTTTTGCTAACAATTACCCATCAAATTTACAGCTGCCTTTAAAAAATTATATTCCAAAGGTGTCACAGTCTAGCCAAACAAAGTAAGAATATATAAGAGAAAAAAAGAAAAACTCAATAAATTGATATTTCAAAAGCACATCAACCAATCTGGAAACAAATACTTTGACAAAAGAGGATAGCTTGTCTAAAGTGTCACTATATAGTATAAGAAGTTTCAACGGTAAAAGGCAGATGTCTTCTAATCCGAGGATACTGAAAGTGCTATTAGGAAGTATTATACATCCAACTATTGTGTGTGTGTGCATGTGATTTTCAGCAATTCTTTAACTGGTTCATCCCATTGTGATGATCACGTTACCTTTCATCTTGACCATCACTGCAAGTATTCCACCTTGAAATTGTATCAGGTTTCTCTGAAAGCACAATTAAATTTAAAGATAAATTTAAGAATAAAGTGTTTACTTAGTATTATTGCCTGCATCTATTGTGTTTGAGGTCTCCTTCATTAATATAAAGTGATAAATTAATAAGCATACAAACCCAAGCCTGAACCTCTGAGAACAGAGTCTTGATAACTTTCTCTGAGATCCTGAAACGTCCTTAGGAACTCTGAGCTAAAGATCCAAGCAATTACTGAAAACAAAAGGTGTTCGCGGTGAGGGGTCAGAATCATAGGGACAAAAGAACCCCAACACAGACACTCACTGACACCCATTATCAACTATGTTTATACTCACAGACGAACCAGCCAAATCCAGCCACGCAAACCATTATTTTGGATGAAGTTTGTTAAGTTGGTCAAATTATTGGTTACTACATGATCATCCTCAAAAAGTTACTCCAACCTTTCCAATATCTGTCTCAAATAATGTCTTTGAAATATCTGGAGAAAGAACTTAAGAATTCATCGTGTGAAATTAATTCTTTGTCAATCTCTTTGGCTGCCTCATGCCCCCAGCCACTGTAAATGTACTCCCAGAGCATTTCCAGGAGTCCTTGGGAACTTCTAAGCTCTGCTGACATACAAGCCAGTCAGCACTACACATCACCTGTCAAACATGGCTGCCCTCCTGCTGTGTGCCTCAATGTTTGTTCAGTACTACAGCCAATTCTGTTCAGGCAGTGTGGCTTCCCTAGTCAGGCATTGCGGCTTCCCTAGTCAGGCATTGCCACAGTCTCCAAATAACCAAAGACCAAAGACCAATGACAATGGGTGTGTGTGTGTGTGTGTGTGTGTGTGCACGCGCATATGTGTGTGCATGTGTGTGTTTATGGGGGCAGGTAATTCTTTCTCTCCTATGTAATATTCCCTTTGAAAAAGTACCAAAGCTACACTATAGTGATATATCAATAAAGCCACTCTTTCAGTTCCTATGTTCAGAATCTACCCCTGACCTTAATAGGGTCAGGCTGGAGTGGAAGACAAATCTGTGTAACAGACACCATGTTAAACTCGGAAGCTTATGATAGATGTTTAATAGACATTAATGGAGTGGGTGAATGAATCACTCTTTCATTATAATGACAAAGGCATTACTAGAGGGATAAACTTATCTGCTCTTTCTTCCCTTCGATTGGGTTCTCTGCCAAGAGAACCTAAAATTCTTTATGCAAATAGATTTCTGGTGACCAGTCCACCAAAGAGTCAGACATATCCCCTAGCAGTGAACACAGTGCAGGATTTTGCTGAGCTCCTGAATGCCCATTACACTTTTCATGCATTGTAAGACACAAACACAAAGAACCAAGGGCTAACTTGAAACTCTGCTCTTCAAAAGACTTCTCGTGCCAGGTACCAGCATGACATTTCAAGTCACTTTGTTCCTTTATGCCTTGTAATATACTACAGTGAGGTGGTAGATGTCGACTCCTATTTATGTAAGAGTCCTTTTCCCTTAATAACATGGATCCCTAAATTTTCTCTATTAAGCTGTTAAATTTTACATTTAATTAAGCATGAGTTAAAATTGTAAGTTTCCAAAACCATAACTCAAATAATAAATGAAGTGCCACCTTCATCATATTAAACCAATGTTCTGAATATTCATTGTTCAGGGTTTTATGATATTAAAAGTGAACATCTTAGTTCACTAGTGGTATGGAAGCTAGAGCTAGTTTTTGTTGTTGTTTTGACACGGAGTCTCGCTCTGTTGCTAGGCTGGAGTTCAGTGGCGCGATCTCAGCTCACTGCAACCTCCGCCTCCTGGGTCCAAGTGATGCTCCTGCCTCAACCTCCCAGGTAGCTAGGACTACAGGCATATGCCACCACGTCCAGCTAATATTTGTATTTTTAGTAGAGACAGTGTTTCATCATGTTGGCCAGGATGGTCTCGATCTCTTGACCTCGTGATCCGCCCGCCTCAGCCTCCCAAAGTGCTGGGACTGCAGGCGTGAGCCACTGTGCCCAGCCATTGTTGTTTTTAATTACACTTGAATTCTATCTTTTTTTGCATGTTAATGAATCTTAGCCTGGCAAAGTGCCAGACACAGTCCAGTGGACTCAAAGAGAAGCAGGCAGTTCATAGGACACAATGCCTCTGGAGAGTAATAGGGGTCTACATATACACAACTTCCCAGTCATAGATTAGGAGAAACACTCACTTTTATTTACTTTGACATATTTAGGAAATCACTATTAGACATTAATTAAAGAATGATTGAGACTAATTATTTGCACAAGGCTCTGTGTGTACAAATGAAATAATCAGACCATGGATGATCCACTTATTTCTACTCTCTAATGGCGGAAATAGCTGCAAACTGAAATTGTCATTCTCTGAGTCTAGTTATTATTGCACCTCAGTTGATTGGTTACATCATATAGACACAGGCAAATCTTTTAGGAACATACTTTAATGCATGAATAACTTTGGAAAATTCACCAAATGAAGAGGCAGCAGCTGTGAATAGATGAAAAATTCTTGGCCTGGATATCCACTTAAGTCAATAGCGATAGTTCTGTCTAGGTACGATGGATAATAAGGTTAACATCTACCCTCCAAACTGATTATTTCAGCATCTCACAGGTAATTCTGGCAGAGACTCAAAATAAATGTTTATGTCACTTCCCACCCTCATATGGCAGAGGAGAAAACTGGGATGCAGAAAGGTTCAATGACCTGCCTAAGCTCATACAACAGGTAATTACAAAGCTGGGAGCAGATCCCAGGGATTCAGATTCCCACCAGTCTAGGAACCCAGCTGTTCTTATCATATTTAGTCCATTGTTATTATTACACTTGGGAAGAGTGGCTGTTTGTGGCAATTCATGAGTTTAAAAAACAAGGTAGAGAGTAGGAAGGAGAGCTATGTCCACATCCTGAAAGTACCAGGTAGAACCCTTCAAAATCTGGGATTACAGCACACAGGCAGGGAACGGGGCTTCTCAAACCTTTTCATGCCACAGCACACATACTTATATGTGATAATATTTGTTTGCAACCTAAAGTACATACAAAGCTATTATTCCTGACCCTGGAGACTCTTTAGCTATCCAGACCCTGTCCAGATGCTCAGAGGGCATCAATTTATCCTCTGAGGACAACAATTTATCTTGGCACATTTCTAACCCATTCACAACTCACCCAGATACCTTGGACCATAAATAGGAAACCCTACCAGATCGTAATTATTCTTTTAATTATTAGAATTAAATGTAACAACTGAAATTACTGTGGCTTCTTGGCTTCCATTATTCTTCACTAAAGATCATATCAAGTAAAAAAAAAAAAAGTTTACAGAAGCTAAAAATATAAGGCTGTACCTGGTTTACAAAAAATTATCAAGAATCTCTGAAGTTCATTATTTGCTGAAAAATAGCTTCTGATGCAAAATAACTCCCAGAGAACACCATGGATGGTCTTACATATAGGCATTTAGTTCAGAGCCCATCATGAGAATGCAAGAAGGCCCATTTGTTCCAAGCCTCACATTGACAGAGTCCCAACTTTACAGCCGTGACATTATACCTCCAAATGAGATTATACTGTTCTCTTTGAAAAGCTCTGACACATACCACGTATTTTGACTTTTTTTAAAAATGTGCCTGGAATCTCAGAAAATATTGGTGGCCCTGGGCCTCTGAGCATCAACAATCCTCATACATATGGGACTAAACTCATTCATAACAGGATTGTTAATAGAGAAGTTGCCCTTTAGGTATTCATTTTGCTCTTCCTTGTCAATTCGATAGAGAAACAAAAGCATGGGATCCACAGGTCTGCAGGAGAATGTGCTTTTGAATAGAGCAAGTGCAAACGGGAGAAAAGGTACAGGAACACTAATCCACATTCCCATAGAAATGCTCAGGTTTCAATATTCCTTTTGAAAAAATGTAGCTTCTCTAGTAAGTTGGTCACACTCCAAGAGGAATTAAGCTTGAAAGATAACAGAACTTCAAAAGCCAAGTTGAAAAGACCAGACCTGAGGCAGTGAAGGGCATTCAGAAGAAAGAAGAGTTTTAACTCAGCTTTCAAAGCATGTTCTCCTTCCTCTTTGAAAGTTTCTGACACTTTCAGGGTTGCTGGAGATGTTCCCACCCATGACATCTTTCATCAGAAAAGCATGAAATAACAAAAATCTCTCTCCAGGTAGAATAGGGAGAAAAATGTGAAAGTAAGTTAAAGTAAGTTGCTTCTTGTTCCGCTTCTTCTTGAGCCTAACAAGTCATCTCCAAGAAAATTACTTGAGCCTTATCTCACTGCAAATTAGCAAGATGCAAATTCTACTATGTAGTGGAACTGAGGCCCCAAACGAGCGGTCCCCGAAAGGAAGCAGAGGCTGGTTGCCAGCCATGTGTTTCCATGACTCATTTTTCAGGACTGGCCAAAAAACGAAAAACAAAACAGCAACAAAACAGTCGGGAAAAACTAGAAGGTAAGAGTAAAATGTGTACTTAAGACTCAGTAATTACATCTGTGCCTTTTAAAGGCTAATTCCATTATCAGTAATCCCCTGTTGTTCTGCATTTACCTGGGTAACTCTGCTGATCCTTCACAGCTCAACTGAGAATCATTCCAATTACTACTGGGTGCCAGGCCAAGAGCTGAGCACAAGGAACATGATAATGATATGCACAGTGCAAGGTACCTACCTTCAAGGAGCTTTTGCCAGACTCAGTGCTGGGTGCATGGGACATGACGGTATGCAAGATGAGCCCCAATAAGCTGAGAATGGGTTGACTGCTAGGCATAAGAAATGTGACACAGGGAGACCCCATCTCTACAAAAAATAAAAAATAAATTAGCTGGCCGGGCGTGATGGCTCAGGCCTGTAATCCCAGCACTTTGGGAGGCCGAGGCAGGCGGATCACGAGGTCAGGAGTTCGAGACCATCCTGGCCAACATGGTGAAACCCCATCTCTACTAAAAACACCAAAATTATCTGGGCTTGGTGGTGCATGCCTGTAATCCCAGCTACTTGGGAGGCTGAGGCAGAAGAATCACTTGAACCAGGGAGTCGGAGGTTGCAGTGAGCCGAGATTGTGCCACAGCACTCCAGCCTGGTGACAGAGCAAAACTCCATCTCAAAAATAAATAAATAAATAAACAAATTAGCTGGGTATGGTGCTTCATGCCTGTAGTTCCAGCTCCTCGGGAGGCTGAGGCAGGGGGATTCCTCGAGCCCAAGAGTCCAAGGCTGCAGTGAGCTAGGATCACACCACTGTACTCCAGCCTGGGTGACAGAGCAAGACCCTGTCTCTTAAAAAAAGAGAGAAATGTGACAATGTGCACAATACAAGATTGCTGCTCATAAAGAAATGTGTGCCAGGCTCAATATGGGCAAAATTATGGTACACGATGCAAGAGGCCACACCTCCAGGGGCTGCTTTCCTTGAACCCTGGCCTAATCATTGCTTTCAGAACCCCCATTTATACCCTGATAAACACCAACATTTTTGAATGAAATATTTTCAGTGCCTATTTCCCCCAATGACTATAAGCACATTGAGGGCATTAATTATAACTTGTTTATGCTTGTATCCCTGGCACCACACACAGTGACTGCAAAAAAACAAAACAACCGCCACCAATTTCAACACAGATGTGTGTAGCACTGAGCCAAATTACTCAATTTCTGCTCAAGAAAGGTCAATGAGGTTTTAAAGGAACAGCTTATCTGCTAACATCTACGTAGTATTTTTACATCAATATTCATGAGTGATATTGGTCTGTCTTTATCTGGCTTATACAGCAGTGTTATACTTGCTTCACAGAAGGAGTTGGAGAGGTTTCTTTCCTTTTCAGTGCTCTAGATCAGGAATCAGCACATTTTTCTGTATAATAGGTCAGACAGTAAATATTTTAGGCTTTGTGGTCCATATAGTCTCTGTTGAAAGTTTCAACTTTGCCCCAAAGCAGCCATGTACAATGAGGAAACAAGTAGGGTGGCTGTGTTCCAATTAAACTTTATAAAAAATAAAACAGGTTGCTGGGGCTGAATTTGGTCAGTGGCTGATATCTACTCTGGAATAATTTATACACCACTTGAACCATGTGGTCTTCAAAGGGTTGAAAAATGCTATAGACTAAATGTTTATGTCCATGTAAAATTCATATGTTAAAGCCTAATCCCCAATGTGATTCTGTTACAAGGTGGGGCCTTTGGGACATGATTAGTTCGTGGGGGCAGAACCCTCATGAATGGAATTAGTGCCTTTGTAAAAGAGACTCCAGAGAGCTGCTGTGCTCCATTTGCATGTAAGGGCCCAAGAAGAAGGTGCCATTTATGAACCAGGATGTAGGCCCTCACCTGACACAAATGTTCTAGGACCTTGATCTTGGACTTCCCAGCCACCAAATCTATGAGAAATAAATCTGTGTTTTTCATAAGCCACCCAGTGTGGTATTCTGTTATAGCAGCCTGAATGGACTAAGACACTAGAGGAATGCCTGATCTTAATGGAAAAGCCTCTAGTGTTTTCCCATTAAAAAAGATCACGAAATGTTGCAGGTTCATCTTGTATTTTCGTTACCTTAGTTCTGGAATAAACCATGTCTCCAAGGAGGCAGTGGCATACTGTTTTAGTTACAGAGTGTTTATAGTGTATTTTTGATATCTAGTAGAAGTAGTTCCCCTTGTGGTTTTACTGTTTTCCTATTTTGTGACAGAATCTTTCTTGGCTGAGCCAACCACAGAAGAACAGAGAAGACTAAAAGGGTGTGTGACCCAAAGTCAGACTTGCCACAGGGACAGTGGGTGCAAGGAGGAAGCGCAGCTTATCAGGCCAAATGTGGAAGCTAGTAGCTTGAGCATGGCAATATTGTGACCATGGGTTCCAGCATGTGCTCATGTCTGTGGGTCCTGGCATGTGGTCAGGGAGGCTGAGAGTTTAACACTAGTGACATAAGGCTCCAGCAGCAGTGAATCCAGGTGCAAGAGAAATCTTGAGACCGACACATGCTGGGTAGCAACTGGTTAACAACGGTCCCTACAGAGGAAGGTTAGCCTGGTAAGGACAAGGCAAAGCCCTCACTGCAGAGGCTCAGGGTCCCAAGACAGCGACCCAGTAGAAGGATCAAGGCAGATCTGTTTGGTAGAGCTGCCAGGCATCTGGGGAAGAGACTGAGATGCCAAAATAAGCCCTAAGATGAGTTACCAGAACTGGAGCTCAGGGCACAGCTGGACATGCACCAAATGGGGTTTAGGGTGAACTCAAATATCAGGCTAGAGCTCCTAAGTCCCTCCTGACTAATGTCCCAATTAGTCCCAGAGTGTCCAAGTAGAGCCGATTACTCTGGCTTTGAAGTAAGGAAGGAGAGCAATCTTGGAAATAATCAAGGTCAGACAGTGGACTGAGTTTTGGGGGTTGTCCTCGATTAGCCAAATGACCTTGGGCAGACCACTTTACCTCTCTGGGCCACCAACGGAATTGAATGAAATTATGTCTAAAGTTCTGTTTACTTCTAAAAGGCTAATTAATTAAACCATTTGAGAGCAAAAGGAACTTGTATTTCACCAGCGCATTCCGTGTGCCATGCACTCTGCCAGTCATTTTACATACATTAAAGGGAGGGAAACTAGTGTTTTATGTTACCAGTGGCATGTTGGTAAATGTTTAACCAACATTTTTGGTTAGCCAAATGCAAACCAGCTCTCTTGTGGGTGGAGAGGGCCCTGATTTGTAGCATTTGCTAATGTCTGTGGTATAAATACTCCCATCATAGTTTCAAGCTACCACCATGTAGTTACTGAATGCAGGGCTGGGAAGAAATATGCCATGGAACACCATAATATGCCATTTCTATCACACAGAAACAATCCATGTAAAAAACCTTAGAGCGGCTGGGCGCGGTGGTTCACTCCTGTAATCCCAGCACTTTGGGATGCCAAGGCAGGTGGATCATGAGGTCAGGAGTTTGAGACCAGTCTGGCCAACATAGTGAAACCCCGTCTCCACTAAAAATACAAAAAATTAGCAGGGTGTGGTGGTGTGCGCCTGTAACCCCAGCTGCTCAGGAGGCTGAGGCAGGAGAATCACGTAAACCAGGAGGCAGAGGTTGCAGTGAGCCGAGATCACACCATTGCACTCCAGCCCAGGTGACAGTGCGAGACTCCATCTCAAAAAAAAAAAAATCCTTAAGGTATAGATATTAGTAAAATGCAATAAAATTATTAGTAAGTGATAAGCTTTAAGTATTCATTACATTTATTTTTAATATAATTTATTTAACTACAAATATATATAATTTAATTTTGCATAATGCCCGTGTTTAACAACTGGCTCTCAAAATTTCCAATTTATCAATCGGTTTTTGAGAGCTTGTATACATCACCTATAACATACCACTGACTGTTACCTATTGTCTGCCAGTCACCATGATTGGCATTTTAGATACATTCTTTCATTAACCCTCACTGTACCCTTCTGGAATAGCTATTATTTTACAGATGAATAAAATATCTCAGAAAGATTAAATAAATTGCCTGGATTCACATAGCTAAAGTCTGGTTGTATGACCTCCACCCCCTAAATCTCCATATTCAATTATACTGCACAGCCATTCATATAACAGAAATTTGCTTTTAAACTGTTTTATCCTTTATCCAAGATAATAGATTGTGTTCCACATAAGCTGGGGTCCTTTAAATTCAGTGAGTCTGAACATCGATGTATGTGCTTGAGTTCATTGACACTGAGTAGTCTAGTTACAGAAAATACCATTAAGCTGGATAAGAAACCCAATGTTAGGCAGGACTTAAACCATATGGAGGATGATCATGGGGAGCTGATTACGCCATATTAAGTCTTCCACCCAGAGGCACTAGAATCACTTCAACCTCTTATCTCATTTTCCTTAAGTTAATTTCAACTCAACAAAACTAATTCCTTTTTAAGCAAGTTTCTTTTTTTGCACAATGAACCTAAAGGTAGAATATCCAATAACATTTCAACCACTATTTTCAACTAACTCATAATAATTGTTACTGTTGTAATTTTTGTGCCAAAACAATTTGTTAATGTTTTGTAAGTTTTGTTTCTTCTTACAACATAACAGGATGGTATTTTTTTCATTATTAAGAGAATATTAGTCACTGTAATCAAACCCACATAGATAAGACCTTACATATTTAATACAAGGGTTACTCCTGTACAAATGGAAATAAATTAAGTTTAATGTTACTACACAAATATGGTTGTTAATTTATGTACAATGTCAACTCAACATGGTAAACTGGGATACTTTTTCCAAAGTTTACAGTACAGCTAAAGTTTCCAAAAATTCAAATTATATGTATATATATAATTATATGTATAATTGTACAAACATAATTATATATAATTATAATTATATATATTTATATAAAAAGACCAATAATAGCAGCATGTTATGCATCAATAGCAGCAACAACTTGTCCAGGTTCTGCAGTCATCTGAACAAAATATAGAGACACCCAGCACACTCCATTTAAAGAAAAGGGGAAAAAAAAGTAAAAACCAAAATCCCAGAAAATTGCAAAGTTCTGTTACTATTGTGGTACCTGGCACCATTTTTTTAAATTAGCTTCAGAATCATTATCTGGAAGGAAAACATTCTAGAATAACATTATTTAAAACAACTTTGATAAAGCATGGTCACTACTATGTACCATAAAGCTGGTACAAGATATTCTGCATTCACAGAGGTATGATACAGTACTGTCCTACATCTATATTACTAGAAGATACAATTAAAAAGGCATTATTTCAGACTTGATTCTACTTTCCTAGGAGAGGGCCCAAAGGATGGTATGACACAGCTCTGTAAAGAAATGCTCCTTCTTAGGATTTCCTTTCATTAGCAGCACAGTTCTAGGTACTCACTGTTCCTCATGAACATCAACTAAGAACTGTTTTTTAAAAAAACAGGCCACATTTTCTTTATCCAGTCTATCATTAATGGAAATTTAGGTGGATTCCATCTATTTATTTATTGTGAATAGTGCTGCAATGAACATAGGCATGCACGTGTCTTTATAAAAGAATAATTTATATTCTTTTGGGTATATACCCAGTAATGGGATTGCTAGGTCAAATGGTATTTCTGTCTTTAGGTATTTGAGGAATTGCCAAACTATCTTCCACAATGGCTGAACTAATTTATACTCCCACCAAGGGTGTATAAGTATTCCTTTTTCTCGACAACCTTGTCAGCATCTGTTGTTTTTTGGACTTTTTAATATTAGTTATTCTGACTGGTGTGAGATGGCATCTCATTGTGGTTTTGATTTGCATTTTTCTAAGATCAGAGATATTGAACTTTTTTTCATATGATTGTTGACTGCATGTATGTCTTCTTTTGAAACTGTCTGTTCATGTCCTTTGCCCACTTTTTTATGGGGTTGATTTTTTCTTGTAAATTTGTTTAAGTTCCGTATCGATGGGGGATACTAGACTTTTGTTGGAGGCATAGTTCGCAAAAATTTACTCCCACTCTGTAAGTTGTCTGTTTACTCTGTTGATAGTTTCTTTTGCTGTGCAGAAGCTTTTTAGTTTAATTAGATTCCATTTGTCAACTTTTTATTTTTCTTACAATTGCTTTTGGTGCCTTCATCATGAAATCTTTGCCCATGCCTGTGTCCTGAATGGTATTGCCTAGGTTGTCTTCCACGGTTTTTATAGTTTTGGGTTTTGTGTTTATGCCTTTAATTGATCTTGAGTTAATTTTTGTTTATGGTGTAAGGAAGGGGTCTAGTTTCAATCTTCGATGTATGGCTGGCCAGTTATCCCAGCACCATTTATTGAATAGGGAATCCTTTGCCCATTGCTTGTTTTTGTGAGGTTTGTTGAAGTTCAGATAGTTGTAGGTGTGTGTTTTTATTTCTGAGTTCTCTATTCTGTTTCATTGGTCTATGTGTCTGTTTTTTTTATTTATTTATTTTTGATCTTAACATTTTAATATGTGTATTTTGATTTTATTAAGAAGCACATTCAAACTTCTCAGCCAGGAATAAGAGAATCAAAGATAATTCAAAGTTTTTTTAAAAGCAGTACCACCCCAGAAAAATAGACTTTAGCTTTCATAACTGCATCCAAGCCATTCAATAATAAGCTAAAGTGTACATATGTGACTCTTCAGGATCTGAAAGCTGCCAGTTTGCCTTCCTACGTATCAGACACTTTTCTCTAATTAATCTTTTTTTAAATTATTATACTTTAAGTTCTAGGGCACTTGTGCACAACGTGCTGGTTTGTTACATAGGTATACATGTGCCATGTTGGTTTGCTACACTCATTAACTTGTCATTTACATTAGGTATTTCTCCTAATGCTATTCCTCCCCCTGCCCCCACCCCACGACAGGCCCTGGGGTGGGATGTTCCCCGCCTTGTGTCCAAGCATTCTCATTGTTCAATTCCCACCTATGAGTGAGAACATGTAGTGTTTGGTTTTCTGTCCTTGTGATAGTTTGCTGAGAATGATGGTTTGAAGCTTCAGCCATGTCCCTACAAAGGACATGAACTCATCCTTTTTTATGGCTGCATAGTATTTTACTCTTTTCTCAATAGCCCCAATAACATCAACTATTTTACCCTATTTTATATCTTTCCTCACTCCATCCCTCCATTATGTCCTCTATTTCAATGCAAAAAAAAAAACCTCCTATATATATAAAAGTGCATCATGAAAGATACAGAACAGAATAACAGTTCTCTAGCCCTTGCTCAATGCGCTCTCTATCCCTTCAGTCACTCATTTCTTGGCCTCCCCTGAAGTGGTAGGCACTGTGCCAGGCTCTGGGCACATTGAGATCAAAGACACATATCCACGCTCCTTTTCTGTTTTCCATGTACTCCCTTACTGAATGCCAGAAGAGAAATGGAGAAGAGCAAGGAGGAAATGAGAGAATCAGAGAGAGAATAAAAGAAGGGTATAACTGAAGGTAGGGGACAGAGAAGCAGGAACAGTGAAGATAAGAGGAAACACATTCAATATTAGGTTAGGCTTCTAGGCTGCACACATTCTGTAGAGCTTCCTGTGTGGTCCCTGAAGCAAACAAAAAGGGAAAAATAACATTATGAATTGATGCCATCATAACTCAGGACAAAAGGGGCTGATGATGAATGATGGAAGAGAATCTTCCACTTTATTTCATATATTTGTTTTATTTAAAAGATCTATAAAGAAGAATTTAGCAATTTGAAGATGAAGTTTAGGAATGATTACCCAAGAAACCTTTCCTGTATACTGCTGAAGAGATTGGTTTCAGCATCTTCATAATGTTCCTTCCTACTAAGTAATACAAATAATACAAATAATAATTTAAAATAATAGTCACTGACATTGAGGGCTTATTATGTGACAAACCCTGTTCTAAAGACTTTATATGCATTGTTTCTCCCAACAAGCCTATGAAACAGGAACTATTTTATTACCCTAACTTTATAGTTAACTGAAGAACAAAGAGATTACTAATTCGTGTAATAGTTTTGTATTATTCTAAAGATAAACTCCAGGTCCCTTAGGATTTCAATCAGGGCCCTCCACAATCTGGTTCTAAATACCTTTCAAAATTAGGTCCTACTCCTAACTGACAAAAATAGCACTATAAGGTTCCTAGCATGTCTTCTTGCTTTCTTGACTGTAAGCTTCACTCCAACCACTGTTTCCATCCAAAATGCCTTCTGCCTATCCTTTGCCTATTTGAATCTTTCCCATCATTCAAAACTCAGCTGTAGTGTCAACTCTTTTATGGAGACATCTCTGACCAATCTCACCCAATGACCTTGCCCTCCTCTGAATTCACAACTCACTCTTACAAATACTATCTTTTAACTTCTCTTGACTTATTGTCTTATATTATCATTTAAATGACCATAATTGGATTTTTGTTTCTCCAACTAGCATGTTAACTTGGTATAAATCATGTCTCCATAATGTATCCACAGTGCCTAGCTAAGTTCTCAGTATGCATAGTTATCATCAATGACTTTTTTGTTAAAGTAATGTATTGTGTAGCATATACAGAGATTATTCATGTCATTAGAATGTATTCTATTCTTCTTGGAGCCACACTTCACATACCTTCAGCATGAAAAATGTTCATATGCCCAAAGATTACATCCATTCTGGTAAGAAGAATTGATACAATTTATCTATTAATCAGAATATTTACTACTCCAACCCATATTTTATTGTATTTTCATATTCTATAAAAAACAGAATACTAAAAAAAAATCCCACTTTAAACAAACTGGTTATTTGAGAAATAATACTGAGAAAACTTGCAACTTAGACAAGAAATAAGAAATTAAATTGATTTTCTTTTAATAATGTACAAAACCAAAGGTCAGGCAATTGTAAGACAGGTAGAATGTCCTACTCTATTGGACTCATATTTTTGTGGTTGTTTTTGTTTTTGAGAAGGAGTCTCGATCTGTTGCCCAGGCTGGATTGCAATGGCATAATCTTGGCTCACTGCAACCTCTGCCTCCCTGGTTCAAGTGATTCTCCTGCGTCAGCCTCCTGAGCGAGCAGCTGGGACTACAGGAACCCACTACCATGCCTAACTAATTTTTGTATTTTTAGTATAGATGGGGTTTCACCATGTTGCCCAGGCTGGTCTCGAACTCCTGACCTCAAGTGATCTGCCCACCTCAGCCTCCCAAAGTGCTGGGATTACAGGCATGAGCCACCACTCCCAGCTTACTGCACTCATTTTTAATAACCTTAAAGATCCCTGGAAAAGGAGAGGTTACAAACATCTAAATTTAAATAAATATATATATATATATTTTAATGGTTAGTGAATTAGGAAGTTTGGAAAACTTTCAGGACAGTAGTTCACAGCTTTCTGAACGTACTTAAATGAGGTGGAAACTGACAAAATTGAATTGTTTTGGAAAACTTGCCCAAGGCAGACAAGGAACAGATGGAAGGATTATGCCAAGGAACATATCACATGCTACTTAACTCGTTTGGGGACGGACTGTTAGGCTAAAGATGAGAAGAAAAAACAAACAAACATTTAACTCCAAATGAAAGAAACAACCTAGCTGCTTTCAATGCACTCTGCCTGACTTTATTTCAAACCTCTCTTTAGGAATCAGTACATCAGTTTTTTCGAAAAGGCAGTGAAAACCATCTCCATGTCCCTCACAGGCTGATTTGCTCATAAAACAAGAGAATGAACAAGACTGCAGTGTCAACATTTACTGTCACCTTATCGAAATTAGTGTTGTCATTTTATTATTTATTTATTTATTTATTTATTTTTGAGACGGAGTTTCACACTGTTGCCTGGGCTGGAGTGCAATGGCACGATCTCGGCTCACTGCAACCTCCGCCTCCCCGGTTCAAGTGATTCTCCTGCCTCAATCTTCCAAGTAACTGAGATTACAGGCACCTGCCACCATGCCCGGCTAATTTTTTGCATTTTTAGTAGAAACGGGGTTTCACTATGTTGGCCAGGCTCGTCTCAAATGCCTGGCCTCATAATCCACTCGCCTCCGCCTCGCAAAGTGCTGGGATTACAGGTGTGAGCCACTGTGCCCGGCCAGTCATTTTTAAAAGTCCTGATTAAGCCAGGCGCGGTAGCTCATGCCTGTAATCCCAACACTTTGGGAGGCCAAGGTGGGCAGACCACTTGATCCCAGGAGTTCATTGAGACCAGCCTGGGCAACCTATTGAAATCCCATCTCTACCAAAAAAGATACAAAAATCAGTTGGGCCTGGTGTTGCACACCTATGATCTCAGCCTCTCTGGAGGCTGAGGTGGGAGAACTGCTTGAGCCCAGGAGGCAAAGGTTGCAGTGAGCCAAGATTGCAGCATTGCACTCCAGCCTGGGTGAGAGAGTGAAAGCCTGTCTCAGATAAAAAATAAAAAGTCCTGATTAGAAAAATTCTTAGCACAACACTTAAACACCAAGGTGATTTAATTGGAATAACATTAGCCAAGAATTCAGGAAAAATTCTTGAGGAATTGAAATTAGATAACAATAACAACGGATCAAGAATGCTCTAGATTCAGAAAGTTGTGGACTGGCTAGTTTAACTTCTATCCTAAAGAAATTATTAGGCTTTATTTTTAGAAACCAATTGGGAATACTAATGGACAAAGATTCCCTTCATTAAACAGAACTATCCTGGTTGCAGGAAACTACGGTCACTTTCACTAACAGGGGTAATAAGAGATGCCATTTAAAGATATTAGAGCAGCGGCACACACACACACACAAAAGCCAACATCATAATTAGATTGCCATGAAGAGTATGACAGCATTTCACACTCGGAGTAAAACATATAAAGGCCAGAGTCAGGGAAATGCTACTAATGACACACCAAGCACTCAACGTTAAAGCTCAGATGCAAGAAAGAAAGATGCTGTAACCTTGGAATCTTAGAAAGTCTGCATGGCAGTACCCTGTAGGTGAAATTGTTATGTACTGAGGATCAATTTTTATTAAATATAAATAGTAGATTACAACTTGCCTAAAAAAAGTTCTAATATGATAGACAATATGATATGAAGAATCATAACTTAATAAGGAAAAGTCAATCCAACACAAAACTTGGTAAATCAGGGCTATTTCTCATCTGCACTGCTTTCTGAAGAAGGTGTAAGCAGACGGAAACATATCTAGAAACTTCTGAGCAAAAATAAATGTCCTACATTTCTTGTCGCAGACTTTCGCTCTAAAAATACAAATTGGCTTTGAACAGAACAGCTGGCCGATTCAGTCCAAAGTTCCATCAATCATCAGAGTGCTCCCAGGCAGCTGGATTAATGACCTTTTTCATGTATTGACTCTCCACTTTGGTGTCCTGAGATTATTCAAGGACATAAGTGACTTCTTAAGAAAGTTGGTCCTTTGATGGGCATGTTAACTCTTTTATCTCCTGGACTTTGAAACAGCATATATAACTCTAGATTTTTCACCATCACCAAACATTTACTGAGACAAAAACCAACATACATAAGAATATGTATTGAAAAGACCGGGAGCAGTGGCTCACGCCTGTAATCCCAGCACTCTAGGAGGCCGAGGTGGGCGGATCACCTGAAGTCAGGAGTTCGAGACCAGTCTGGCCGATGTGGTGAAACCCCATCACTACTAAAAATACAAAAATTAGCCAGGCATGGTGGTGCACGCCTGTAATCCCAGCTACTCGGGAGGCTGAGGCAGGAGAATTGCTTGAACCCTAGAGGCAGAGGTTGCAGTGAGCCAAGATCACACCATTGCACTCCAGCATGGGCGACAGCCTGGAGACAAAACTCTGTCTCAAAAAAAAAAAAAAAAAAGGAAGAAAGAAAAAGAAAAGAAAAGAAAAAGAATATGTACTGAAAATAGCTACGTGTACAAACTACCAACCAAAGGAATGCTAAGGAAAACAAATGCTACAGAAAGAGGTAACATCTTGCTCTAGAGAGGTGTCAATGAAGAATTCACAGAGATTGCAGACACAAAGTGAGTTTGAAAGTACTGGAAGCACTGGACAAATGAAGAAGAGGAACATGGGCATCGAGGGTAAGGAAAGCATGTCAGCAAAGGGCTAGAGATTGGAATTCATCTGGCTTGTCTAATTTGAATACAGTCAGTATTCCTGTAGCAGACGTAATGGAAAATAAAAGTGAAAAGGTAATTAAGAGCAAAATGATGTAGTGTCTTGAATGTCAGGCTTAGCAATTTGTACTTTATTCTGCAGATAAATGGACTGTGATTTAGGAAGATTAAGGCAATACCTGTGAACAAGATAGGTTAAAAGCATGAAGATGGGAAAACCAGCATGAAAACTATTTCGATAATTCAAACCAATGAAACCAGATTCATACACAATTTGCCCATGGGCCCAGTCTGGCCCACAGCTGATTTTATTTGGCCGACATACTTTTTTGAAAAAATCAAAATAAGTTTCCAATATTTAATATATAATATTGCACATTATAACCTGCATTTGCAACTTCTCCAGAAAGGCTTGTTTCAAGACCCTCAAAGTCTTCCAAGGCCGAGACACTGAGTTTGGAGGCCCAACCCCAGGGAAACCCCATGTTTCAATCAAACATCTCAAAGTGAATGCAAATACCAGACTAAATGTGATTTATATGTAATGGTATAGATCTTGACTTTCACTTAATCAGTTGATATTTTAGGTCTCGCAGAAAACCTCACTCTACCTCCTTTTGTAGTTTACTCAAAACACTTATTAGGAAAATAGAGTTCAGTAGTTATAATTAGTTTTAACAGCTCAACTCTATTTCTTCAAATGTTGCACAATCCCTAGACCAGACCACATGGACCCTGAACTTATTTCACGTAGAAAAAAAAATGATGCATTTCACTTAAGTAGAAAAATCAGAAAGAAAAAGAGAATAGAATAAATAATTTTAGACATGTTGAATTTCAGGTGTTAGCAGAAACATCTATGTTAAAATATTCAACAGGGCACTGTGGATACACAATTGGAATTTGAAAGAGATTAGGTCTGGAGATTTAAATTTTACAATCATTTACACAAAAGTAATGATTGGGCCAGGCACGGTGGCTCACGCCTGTAATCCTACAGCTTTGGGAGGCTGTGGCAGGTTGATCCCCTGAGATCAAGAGTTTGAGACCAGCTTGACCAACATGGTGAAACTCCATTTCTACTAAAAATACAAAAAATTAGCCGGGCATGGTGGCAGGCACCTGTAATCCCAGCTACTCAGGAGGCTGAGGCCGGAGAATCGTTTGAATCCGGGAAGCGGAGGTTGTAGTGAGCTGAGATCGCACCACTGCGTTCCAGCCTAGTCAACAAGTGCATAATTTTGTCTCAAAAAAAAAAAAAAAAAAAGGAACAATTGAAGTTATTCAAAATAAGCCTTGGAGAATATGAAGATTAGCAGACTGGAGGAAGTAGAGGAGTCAATGAAAAAGAGGTAAAAGCAAAAGAAACAATATATTCTAGGGGTTGGAAGCCAGGAGAATAATGAGTTTTAAGATGAGTCAAACTCTGAGTCCAAATCAGCTTGCACTCCCATATACATCCGCTTATTTAATCCATACAACGACCCTTCAAGATGTGTCATTACACCCATTTGACAGATAAAAATACCAAAATACAGAGAGATTCCCTGAGTAATCTGATGGCACACAGCTAAGAAGTGATAAATCTAACAGTGTGTCTCAACTACAGGTGATTTTGCTTCACACAAGACATTTGGCAACATCTGGAGGTATTTATGGTTGTTAGAACTGGGAGTGGAAGGGAGGAAAGGAGAGAGGAGATTGGAGGGGGAGAGAATTGCTATTAGCAACTAGTGGATAGAGGCCAGAGATGCTGTTAAATATCCTACATTGCCCAGGACAAAGGAATTAAACAAAGAATTATCTAACCCAAAATATCAATGTTACTGATCTAGCACATAGTCTTTCAAATGTGATGTTTAGTCTTTCCATAAGACCACTCTATCTAAGATGCAACCAGGTTCCTGCACTAAGGCCAACATTAGGCTAAGGGAGCCTTGATAGAAGTTTATAATTTTTTTTAAGAGACAGGATCTCACTATGTTGCCCCAGCTAGACCTGAGCTCCTGGGCTCATGTGATCCTCCCACCTCAGCCTCCTGATTAGCTAGTATTATTGGTGCACGCCACCATGCCCAGCTCTGGAATATGTATTTTTGGGTAGCACACAAAACTGAATAAGAAAATCTGGAAGTGGGGCCCAGCAGTCTGTGTTTTTAAAAGGCTTCAAGGTGATTCTGGCATATTCCAAAGTTTGATAACGAGTAAACTTTAAAAAACTAAGTCTGAAGAATTTGGCAATTTGAAAGCCATCATGGCTTATGGAGTATGTACTTTTTGAGAAGGTGCTGGGGAAAGAAGTAAATGCTTCAGCTAGGCATGGTGGCTCACGCCTTTAATCTCAGCACTTTGGGAGGCTGAGACAGGAGGATGGCTTGAGGCCAGGAGTTTGAGACCAGCCTGGGCAACATTACAAGACCCCCATCTCGAAGAAGAAGGAAAGGAAGAAGAGGAAGAGGAAGAAGAACAGGAAGAAGAAGAAGGAGGAGGAGGAGGAGAAGGAGGAGGAGGAAGAGAAGGAGGAGGAGGAGGAAGAAGAAGAAAAAAGAAAATGCTGGGGGCAAAGGAATGAATGTTAATAAGGAAACATAATTTTATCTAGTTAGGCTCTAGTGGATAGAATCCTGCCTTGCGTTTACATAATAATAATAATATCCCTTATGTTTCCTCATATAGTACTGTAGCCTGATTGCTCAAATAGGAAACATGTCTTACACATTTACAGATTTCCCTTGGTACTAAGCACAAAATACCATGTAGTCATTATTTAATAAATGTTTGATGAGTGAAATTAATCAAACTTTAAAAAGTCCTGCTTTGTGTTTTGGGCAAGCTGATATTTACCTTTACCTTCACAAGGCCTAGAACATACTCATTCTCTCAGCCTGATTCTCTGACATATGGGTCAGAAGTAAATCAATCAAGGAAATTCCTAAATAAATTTATTAGGATAGGAGAATTTATAGATAAGGGAAAAAATTCTTTCTATGCATTCATTGGGTCAACTTTTAGCCCATACAGAATTATGCAAAATAATTTGGTTATTTCAGTATCATCGCTATTCATTCTTAAGGAATTGCATGTTTGCCTGGTTCTAGGTACTGTGCTAAGATCTGGCAATATAAAGACCAATACTTTATGGACCTTGCTCTCAAACAACCCACAGTCAGTTAGATTGAAAACAAACATAAAAACAAGAGTGTATAGTTGTTTGAAGATCTAGATGGAGTTCACTGGGGCACTAAGGGTACAACTAGGTATGAGAAAGGGGATTGTTGGTACTCTAAAATGAAACAAATAAAAATCCAGTGAAGTTAGCTTAAGAAAAAGTTAAGGATTTAGGGGTGTCTGATGAATCCCAAATCCAGTGATGCTGCTGGACTTCAAGGACAGGAACCAGAAAGTAGGAAGTAGGGCAGGAGTTGAGAACAAAGGCTTTTTCTTTTGTTTGAGACAGAGTCTTGCTCTTGTCACCCAGGCTGGAGTGCAACAGCATGATCTCGGCTCACTGCAACCTCCACCTCCCGAGTTCAAGCAATTCTCCGGCCTCAGCCTCCCAAGTAGCTGGGATTACAGGCCCCCGCCACCATGCCCAGCTAATTTTTGTATTTTTAGTAGAGATGGGGTTTCGCCATGTTGGCCAGGCTGGTCTCGAACCCCTGACCTCAGGTGATCCACTGGCCTCAGCCTCCCAAAGTAGTGGGATGACAGGCATGAGCCACCGCGCCTGGCTGAGGAAAAAGGCTTCTTACACAACATGGTTACTAAAATCCCACCACTGAAAAGAAAAACTTCATCAAAACGATTATTCATAAGACTAGTTGCAAAGAGGAGAAAGCATTTGCCCCGCAGAAGAGCTACAAGAGGGCCTTCTAGGCAAGAAAGCGAAATGAGCAAAGGTACGGGGACGTGTATCAGTGTGGACCATGTTAGGGTAACAACAAGCAGCTTAGGGTGACTAGAGAACAGCCAGGGAAATGCTGGCAGGGGAGGGGTCAGTTTGGAGGGCAGAAATCAATGAATTGGCAGTGTAGGCAGGAGGTGGATCACAGAGCTATCAAAACAGGTCGGGATGCAAAAGAGTTTCAAACATGAAAATACCAGAATTAGATATACATTGAAAAAGTTGACTTGGGCAGCTATCTGTAGGGTAGACTCAAGTAGGATATGAGGCTAGAAAAATGTTAGGAGGATGTTATTGTATGCATGTCATCAGTGGTGTCCAAGGTGGGAAGAGTGTACCCTAGGAGAGGGGTGAGCCTATCCATTTTAGTGGAAATCAGAACTTCTTTTTTCTTCTTTTCTTTTGAGACAGTCTTGCTCTGTCACCCAGGCTGGAGTGCAGTGGTATGATCATAATTCACTGCAGCCTCAAACTCCTGGGCTCAAGCGGTCCTCCCACCTCAGCCTCCCTAGTAGCTGGGACTACGGGCTCCATACACCATCATGCCTGGCTAATTTTTAAATTCAGAACTTCTTTTGATATGTTATTTGTTATATTTATTGTTATCTAAAACATTAAGCTTTACTAGTAGTACATGAATTAATACTGAGACCTTTCCTTGGTCCATGTGCTATTTATCCTGATGGTAGAGTGAGGAGAGTTCTATGATGTAGAACCATTGATAGTGACACTCTTCATCTCACATATTTTAGAGTGTCTATTTCAGCTAAGATGTTCCCAGTGAAGTGGATTTATGGCTTATATTATCTAATTTAAGCTAAACTAGCCCTCAAAAAAATGAGCACATGATCTTTAAAAGATTCCTGCAAAGAGACATTAGATTGTAGATAATATGAATAATTCAAGCACAAGGAAATGGCAGAGCTGAAGCCTCTTCTGCTAGCTGAGCCTCTTTCTCAACCACATTGTTAAAAGCAATGGCCACATAGATCTAACAAGAAATTGGCCAAAACAGTCTAAATTATCCATAAGTCTATTTAAAATATTGTTTTACATCCTTAAAGATAAACCTTACCCAAATTGTGTATTGTGCTTTGAGATGTCAGCTATTAGTTATTGGTAGTACAAAGTCACCAGAATTAGGAAGATGTTTAAACAGCGAGGATGAAAATATATACTGCTACTTACAGCAAAATGAATGAATCTCAGAAACTTCACATTGAGCGAAAGAGGCCAGACACAAAGGAGGATTTGCTATTGATGAAATTTGTGTATAAAGTTCAAAACAATTAAAACATAGCTGTGGCGTCAGAGGTCAGGCCAGTGATTATCCTTGATGATGGGGGAGGAGAATGATTCACTGGGAGAGGTCATGAGGGGAGCTTGTAGGTACTGGCAATGTTCCATATCCTGGTCCTAATTTAAACTACATGCTCACGTGCTGTGTCCACTTTATGAAAATTCATCCAGCTGCACACTCACAGTGTATCATCTTTTCTACATATATGCTGCCATTGAATAAAAGGTTATTTGAAATCGATTTTTTTTTTTTGAGACGGAGTCTCACCCTGTCTCCCAGGTTGGAGTGCAGTGGTGCGAACTCAGCTCACTGCAACCTCTGCCTCCTAGGTTCAAGAGATTCTCCTGTCTCAGCCTCCCAAGTAGCTGGGATTACAGGCGTGCGCCACCACACCCAGCTAATTTTTTTTTTTTTTTTTTATCTTTAGTAGAGACAGGGTTTCACCATGTTGGCCAGCCTGGTCTTGAACTCCTGACCTCATGATCCACCCACCTCGGCCTCCCAAAGTGCTGAGATTACGGGTGTGAGCCACTGTGCCCAGCCTGAAATAGATTTTAAAAAGTAAGATGCTTAACTATTTTAGGTAGCACATATAAAAAGAATTACACAATATTTGTCCTTTTCTTACTAGCTTATTCACTTAGCATAATGTCCTCCAGGTTAATCCATGTTGTCAAAAATAACAGGATTTCTTTCTTTTTAAAGACTGAATAAAATTCCACTTTGCATTTTGCATATGTGTGTGTGTATAAATACCACACTTTGTTAATTCACCTATTGATTCCACTGATATGAGGCCATCTAAAATAGTCAAACTCATAGAAGCAGAGAAAAGAATGGTTGTTTACCAGAACCTGGGGAGAGGGGAAAGAAAGAGCTGTTGTTCAATAGGTATAAAGTCACAGTTATACAAGCTGAATTAGTTGTAGAGATCTACCATACGGCATAATACCTATAAGTCAATACAGTCAACAATACTGTGTTATGCACTTAAAAATCCATTAAGAGGATAGATCTCATATTAAATGTGCTTATCACCACACACACACACACACACACAAAAGATGCAAAGAAACTTTTGGAGGTGATGGATATGTCTGTTACCTTGATTATGGTGATGGTTTCACAGGTGGATGCACATGTCCACATTTCAAACTGTACATACTTAATATGCTTAGTTTTTTGTATATCAATTATATCTTAATAAGGCTAAAAAATAAATTTAAAAATTAAAATTTGTTTTCTCTTTTTAAAAAATTAAGATGTTTAATAATTATCAAGAGCATTGACAAATTTCTGTAATTCATGGGAAACTGTTTTTGTGCTGTTAATAAATACAGTTTCTAAAACACTATTGTTTCATTATCTCATCTTCTAAAATTTATATTTGAAATGTATAAAATATTAGACAAATAGCACATGTACTTAATCTCATAATTTCATCAAATATAATTTATTGGAGCGTTTGAACACATCAGTTTGCTGAAGGGGACGTGCCATAAAAAGCCTACCTGTCCAGGCACTTTGGGAGGCCGAGACGGGCAGATCACGAGGTCAGGAGATCGAGACCATCCTGGCTAACACGGTGAAACCCCTTATCTACTAAAAATACAAAAAATTAGCCGGGCGTGGTGGCGGGTGCCTATAGTCCCAGCTACTCGGGAGGCTGAGGCAGGAGAATGGCGTGAACCCGGGAGGCGGAGCTTGCAGTGAGCCGAGATCACGCCATTTGCACTCCAGCCTGGGCGACAGAGCGAGACTCTGTCTAAAACAAAACAAAACAAAAAAGAGCCTACCCGTCCAAACAAGAGCTGATAAGAGTCTGAACTATGTCAATAGTACTGGGAATGAGAAGAGGGGATGGAGAGAAGAGATGACAAGAAGAAAGAATCTGCAGGACCTGATAACTGATGTTTGGGACGAGTAAAAGGAAAGAATCTCTGGTGGCTCCAGGTTTCCATGAAGGCTGGTAATGCCCTTCACCAAGAGAGGAAACCCAGGAAGATAATGGGTATGAGGAATATACAGACATTTAGAATATGGAAACCACACCTCTTTATTGAAATCCACAACAATAACCCCTTGTTATATAGTCAGCCCTTAAAAATGATTAATTCATTATTTTCTAAAGCCACACAAAGAAGTGTCACTCCTAAGAGGAAATCTTAACTAATTAATGTTGTATACTTATGATTACACTGTAAGTGTAAGGTATAACTAGCAATGAAAGTACATTTGCTTTTGAAAGAAGGTCTAGGAAAAATTATTCTAAAATCGAGTGCTGTAATTATTTTCATAAGTATGGGGGAAAGTACAGTGTTTTATTATCAGGTCTATGAAAAAGGGCAGTGTAATTAATCATCAACTATATTCTTAAAATTAGGCTTTTTTTAAAACATAAAAGTCAAATAAATGCATTTATTTTTAATTGAGGCTCTAAGAATATTTTTTAAATTAGCATCATGAAATTGTTATTAGGACAAAAATCATTTGCACTGCCCACAAATGACCCCATTTTCAGTAATGTGCATCAAGTGTATCATCCATAATAAGACTTCGTCCTGGCTTGGCTTTTTTTTTTTTTAATCTAAAAAGCTTTAATTTCTTTACATATATTTATCCAGTGTCCCTGTGCCTCATGAGGATAATTCTCTGGGACATTAAACCACAAAAAGATGCCTGACTTTCCCCCAAGTCACAAGAGGCATAGGAATAAGGGACACCCCCAGGCGAGACTCCTTGGCATTCCATGTTGCTCTCTTTACTACAGTAAAATGATTCCACAAAGTTATGAAATTCAGATGGGAGGCCCTAACATGCGTTGGAGGCCAGAAAAAAAATATCCCTAAGAAGACAGGGGCCGGGCATGGTGGCTCACACCTGTAATCCCAGCACTTTGGAGGCCAAGGTGGGTGGATCACCTGAGGTCAGGAGTTCAAGACCAGCCTGGTCAACATGGTGAAACCCTGTTTCTATTAAAAATACAAAAACTAGCCGGGCATGGTGGTGGGTGCCTGTAATTCCAGCTACTCAGGAGGCTGAGGCAGGAGAATCACTTGAGCCTGGGAAGCAGAGGTTGCAGTGAGCTGAGATTGTGCCACTGCACTCCAGCCTGAGTGACAGAGTGAGACTCCGTCTCAAAAAAAAAAAAAAAAAAAAAAAAGGAACATATTGAAGGAAAAAAGAGAAAAGTGGCTCCAGCATTTAAAGGATCACTCTCTGCCATCATCTCTCACTGTTGTTTGAAGTGTTTCCTTTCTATTACATTAATTCTTCATAAATGACAGAAGTTTCCTTTCCTTCCTCTTCCTTTCTTCTGCAGTCAGTACCTGCGAGGTATCAGGGATGTCAGCATAACTAGGACACATTCCTACCCTCAAGGAGCTCAGAGCTGAGTAAGAAACTTAAGATTTAGTCAGAGAAATATATGCCTTTTATACATTTTTTTAATTGACAAAATGGTACGTATTTATCACGTACAGCATGAGTTTTAAAGTATATATACACTGTGGAATAACTAAATCTATTTAATTGACATACACGTTACCTTACAGTTATCATTTTTGTGGTGAGAACATATAATATCCACTGTCTTAGCATTTTTCAAAAATGTAATGTATCATTAACTATAGTCATGATGTTGTACGATAGATCCCTTGAACGTATTCCTCCCGTGTAACTGAAATTTCGGTTTTGTCCAACATCACCTCCTTGCCACGTCCAATAGCTCCAGCCTCAGATAAATACCATTCTACTCTTTTCTTCTATGAGTTCAACTTGCTTAGATTCCACACACGAGTGAGATTATACAGTATTGTCTTTCCGTGCCTTATTTTACCTAACATAACATCCTCCAGGTTAATCCACGTTGTAACATATAACAGAATTTCTTTGTTTTTTTCATGGCCGAATAGTATTCCATTGTGTATACGTACATTTTCTTTATCCATTCATCTGTTGATGGCCACTCAGGTCAATTTCATAGCTTGCTACTGTGAGTAATGCTGCAACAAACATGGGGGTGCGGATATCTCTTCAACACATGAGTTTCGTCTCCTTTGGATACATATCTAGTAGTGGAATTGAGGACCATATGGTAGTTCTATTTTAATTTTCTTAAGGAACATCCATATTGTTTTCTGTAATGACTGCACTAATTTACATTCCTACCAACAGTGTGCAAGGGTTCCCTTTTTTCCACGTTTTCAATGAACACTTATCTTTTGTCTTTTTTATAATAGCCATTCTAACAAATGTGAGATGATATCTCATTGTGCTTTTAATTTGCATTTGTACATTTTTTTGGCCCAGGGAACATTTGGAATTTTTATTTTGACCAGAAAGCTATGAATATTTTCACTTTGAAATCTTAAAGTACTGACAGATTGACATCTTAAAAGCAAATGCCGCTTGGAGGAGGTGGTCATGCTGCTGCTTTGGCCCAGGGCCTCCCCAACTGGCCTACACCAGGGCCTGACCTCGCCCTCAAGCTGCCTAGGGGTGTCGCAGCCTGGCACCCCCAGCCTGCCTGCACCGGGACCCGCGCCCCTTCCTGCGGCTGTGCCTGCACCTTGACTGCACGCCCGACATCTGGGCGCTGCAGGAGGGGAGTGCCTGGCTCACACCTTTCATGCACGCTGCCACTCATCACTCCCACACGGCCTCCTTACTGCGTTGCCTCCTGGAGCCGCTGTCGGTTTACCCTGACTTGGCCAAGGTGGTGGGCTGCCAGTGCTCATCTCTGTCAGTTGCAGCTGAGAGTTTCTTATCAAAAGAAATGTGGTTGGCACCCCCACAGTTCTACGAAATAAGAAGGCTTGAAAACTTGGCCTCTCTCCCTGACTTGCACAAATTGTGTTTGGATGGTACATTAGAAAGATAGAAAAGATGGCTGCCCATCACCTTGTTAACCGCTGATGGGAAGCTCCAGCTTTTTGCAGTTGATGAGCTACACTTGGAAGATTCAGACTTTTTAGAAAAACTTTTTTCTACTGCAAAGAAAGACTGGGTCGGGCGTGCTGGCTCACGCCTGTAATCCCTGCACTTTGGGAGGCCGAAGCAGGTTAATCACCTGAGGTCAGAAGTTCGAGACCAGCCTGGCCAACGTGGTGAAACCCTGTCTCTACTAAAAATACAAAAATTAGCCGGGCGTGGTGGCAGGAGCCTGTAGTCCCAGCTACTCGGGAGGCTGAGACAGGAGAATTGCTCAAACCTGGGAGGTGGAGCTTTCAGTGAGCCGAGATGGCACCATGGCACTCTAGCCTGGGCGACAGAGCAAGACTCCGTCTCAAACAAACAAACAAACAAAAGGCTGAAGAAATCATGAAGGAAGGCAAGCAGTTTCACAGAATAGTGATATCCAATCACAATCTTTATGATATCTACGTGAGTGTTCAAAGTGTAAACACGTTTATCCCAAGAACTCCTTAGTAAGAAAGAGCCATCTGTAGGGTGCCCGTGCTTGTTTATAAACTGGCTTACTTGGAGTCCTTGTGAATAATGAGGGTTGAATTTCAACTTGCTTGAAACGTAAGGAACTTTGTGTCAATAAAAGTTATTATAATGCACTATTTCTTATTTCAAGTGTTTTAGGGAGCTATCTTGCTTATTTTATTCTTTAAACCTTCAGTGTGCCACATGTATAAAGTTTATAAAGTATTAATGATCTTGTTAACCAAAATAAGAAAAAAATTTCACAAGGGTTCCCACTCTTGTATTGTTTTATTATCTCAAAAGTTTAAATAAGGCCGGGCACGGTGGCTCATGCCTGTAATCCCAGCTATTTGGGAGGCTGAGGCGGCAGATCACGAGGTCAAGAGATCGAGATTATCCTGGCCAACACGGTGAAACCCCATCTCTACTAAAAATACAAAAATTAGCTGGGCGTGGTGGAGTGCGCCTGTAGTCCCTACTCCACCTACTCGGGAGGCTGAGGCAGGAGAATCGCTTGAACCCATCCACTATATTGGCACTTTTCCTGATGTGCTTTGGAGGATGATCCATGAATTTCTTAGACACTTTGCTGGAATTACTTCAAGGGTGTCTGATTAGATGGTGAACAGGAGACTGAGACAAACTAAAAGTGACCATGTCATTGTTTTCTTGCTATGTCTTTAGCTTGATGATTAAGATACAATTCCTTTTAAAACGAAATGACATTAGTTATTATGTTTCCCAAATTAGAAATCTATTTTAGTTGATATTTTAAAGGAACGTGAAGCCATAACCAAAACCATCATTGTTTTTACGCCAGAGTGTTAATGAATGTAAAGAGGTTACAGAGGTGTGGTGTTTAATTAGTGATGTTTATTTTTACTATATTTAGTGAGTAATTTTTCATTGTCTTTAAAGACAAATAATATTTATTGATTAAAGGTGAGAAGCCGAGTGCAGTGGCTCACACCTTTGGGAGGACGAGGCTTGAACCTGGGAGGCGGAGGTTGCAGTGAGCCAAGATCGTGCCACTGCACTCCAGCCTGGGCAACAAGAGCAAAATTCCATCTCAAAAAAAAAAAAAAAATGGGTGAGAAATGATAGTTAAGACACCCATTGTGTCAAGATCTTTGACTATATTATGCATTGGACAAATGATTTCATTTTGAGGCAGGAAAATAGGGTCTGGAGGCAAGGGAACATAAGGCTGATTCACACTTAAGCTATGACAGGAAATATCCTCTCCATAGGGTGTTGGGGACCAGCCTCAACACCACTCGTAGGGTACCCGAAGTCCGGTGGCAACAAAGGAATGAGAAGAGACAGGTTAAGAGTTCATAAAAGTGGGAGCCAGGGTGCCAGAGCAAATCAGAGGCTGCAAAGGCCCAGAGTTCTGGTCTCCACACTATTTATTGAGTACAGTCACTTAGATCTAAGAAGCAGATGTTCAGGGCGAAACAGTGAAAGGGAGGTGTCAGGCCTCTGAGCCCAAGCTAAGCCATCATATCCTCTATGACCTGCACGTATACATCCAGAGGGCCTGAAGCAACTGAAGATCCACAAAAGACGTGAAAATAGCCTTAACTGATGACATTCCACCATTGTGATTTGTTTCTGCCCCACCCTAACTGATCAATGTACTTTGTAACCTCCCCCACCCTTAAGAAGGTTCTTTGTAATTCTCTCCACCCTTGAGAATGTACTTTGTGAGATCCACCCACTGCCTGCAAAACATTGCTCCTAACTCCACCGCCTATCCCAAAACCTGTAAGAACTAACGATAATCCCACCACCCTTTGCTGACTCTCTTTTTGGACTCAGCCCGCCTGCACCCAGGTGAAATAAACAGCCTTGTTTCTCACACAAAGCCTGTTTGGTGGTCTCTTCACATGGACACGCATGACATTTGGTGCCAAAGACCCATGACAGAGGGACTCCTTCGGGAGACCAGTCCCCAGTCCTCACCCTCACTCTGTAAAGAGATCCACCTATGACTTCGGGTCCTCAGACCAACCAGCCCAAGGAACATCTCACCAATTTCAAATCAGGTAAGTGGTCTTTTCACTCTCTTCTCCAGCCTCTCTCGCTACCCTTCAATCTCCCTGTCCTTCCAATTCCAGTTTTTTCCTCTAGTAGAGACAAAGGAGACACATTTTATCTGTGGACCCAAAACTCTGGCGCCGGTCACGGACTCAGGAAGACAGTCTTCCCTTGGCATTTAATCACTGCGGGGATGCCTGCCTGATTATTCACCCACATTCCATTGGTGTCTGATCACCGCAGGGACACCTGCCTTGGTCATTCACCCACATTCCCTTGGTGGCAAGTCAATTGTGGAGATGCCTGTTTTGGCTGCTCACCCATATTGCAGCCCAGGGCTGCTCCCCACCCCTCTTCTCCATGTCTCTACCCTTCTTTTAAACTTGCCTCCTTCACTGTGGGCAGCCTTCCACCCTCCATTCCTACTTCTCCCTTAGCCTGTGTTCTCAACAACTTAAAACATATTCAACTCTCACCTGAACTAAAATCTGAGCATCTTATTTTCTTCTGCAATACTGCTTGACCCCAATACAAACTCGACAATGGTTCTAAATGGCCAGAAAACGGCACTTTTGATTTCTCCATCCTACGATACCTAGATAATTTCTGTCGAAAAATGGGCAAATGGTCTGAGGTGGCTTACGTCCTGGCATTTTTCACACTTCGTTCCCTCCCTAGTCTCTGTTCCCAATGTGACTCGTCCCAAATCCTCCTTCTTTCCCTCCCGCCTGTCCCTTCAGTCCCAACCCCAAGCGTCGCTGAGTCTTGTGAATCTTCCTTTTCTACTGACCATCTGACCTCTCACCTCCTCCCCAGGCTGCTCCTCCTCAGGTCACTCCCCGCCAGGCTGAATCAGGCTCCAACTCTTCTTCAGCCTCTGCTCCCCCACCCTATAACCCTTCTATTACCTCCCCTCCCCACACTTGGTCTGGTTTACAGTTTCATTCTGCAACTAGCTCTCCCCCACCTGCCCAACAATTTCCTCTTAGAGAGGTGGCTGGAGCTGAAGTCATAGTCAGGGTACATGTGCCTTTTTCTCTATCAGACCTTTCACAAATCAGCCAGCATTTAGGCTCTTTCTCTTCAGACCCCACTAAATATATACAGGAATTCTGATATCTCACTCTGTCCTACAATTTAACCTGGACTGACTTTAATGTTATCCTAACTTCTACCCTCTCCCCAGATGAATGGGAAAGTGTTTTTTATCTAGCCCAATCTCACGCTGATAACCACCGGCTTCATGAGCCAGACCTCCAGGAAGGCATTAGAGCAGTCCCCCGAGAAGATCCTCAGTGGAACTATCAGGCAGATTCCCTAGATATAGCTAGGCGAGATTACATGGTTTCCTGCCTAGTTGAAGGGCTTAAAAAGGCAGCTTACAAAGCTGTTAATTATGACAAACTTAAAGAAACTACCCGAGGTAAAGATGAAAACCCAGCCCAGTTCATGGCCCGCTTAGCAGCAACACTTAGACGCTTTACCACCCTAGACCCAGAGGGGCCAGAAGGCCGCCTTATTCTCAATATGCATTTTATTACCCAATCCGCTCCCAACATTAGAAAAAGCTCCAAGAATTAGATTCCAGCCCTCAAACCCCACAACAGGACCTAATTAACCTCACCTTCAAGGTGTACAATAATAGAGTAGAGGCAGCCAAGTAGCAACGTATTTCTGAGTTGCAATTACTTGCCTCCACTGTGAGAGAAACCCTAGCCACATCTCTGGCACACAAGAACTTCAAAATGTCTGAACCGCAGTGGCCAGACATTCCTCCAGGACCGCCTCCCCCAGGTTCTTGCTTCAAGTGCTGGAAATCTGGCCAGTGGGCCAAGGAATGCCTGCAGCCTGGGATTCCTCCTAAGCCACATCCCATCTGTGTGGGACCCCACTGGAAATTGGACTGTCCAACTCGCCCGGCAGCCCCTCTCAGAGCCCCTGGAACTCTGGCCCAGGGCTCTCTGACCGACTCCTTCTCAGATCTTTTCGGCTTAGTGGCTGAAGACTGACACTGCCCGATCACCTCAGAAGCCTCCTGGACCATCACAGACGCTTTGGATAACTCTTACAGTAGAGGGTAAGTCGGTCCCCTTCTTAATTAATACGGAGGCTACCCACTCCACATTACCTTCTTTTCAAGGGCCTGTTTCCCTTGCGTCCATAACCATTGTGGGTATTGACGGCCAGGCTGCTAAACCTCTTAAAACTCCCCAACTCTGGTGCCAATTAAGACAATATCCTTTTATACACTCCTTTTTAGTTATCCCCACCTGCCCAGCTCCCTTATTAGGTTGAAACATTTTAACTAAATTATCTGCTTCCCTGACTATTCCTGGGCTACAGCCACACCTCATTGCTGCCTTTTCCCCCAGTTCAAAGCCTCCTTCACGTCCTCCCCTTGTATCTCCCCACCTTAATCCACAAGTATAGGACACCTCTACTCCCTCCTTGGAGACCAATCATGCACCCCTTACCATCTCATTAAAACCTAATCACCATTACCCCGCCATGCTTTAAAAGGATTAAAGCCCGTTATCACTCGCCTGTTACAGCATGGCCTTTTAAAGACTATAAACTCTCCTTACAATTCCCCCATTTTACCTGTCCAAAAACCAGACAAGCCTTACAGGTTAGTTCAGGATCTGTGCCTTATCAACCAAATTGTCTTGCCTATCCAACCTGTGGTGCCAAAACCATATACTCTCCTATCCTCAATAGCTCCCTCCACAACCCCTCCATAACCCATTATTCTGTTCTGGATTTCAAACATGCTTTCTTTACTATTCCTTTGCACCCTTCATCACAGCCTCTCTTTGCTTTCACTTGGAATGACCCTGACACCCATTAGGCTCAGCAAATAACCTGGGCTGTACTGCCACAAGGCTTCACAGACAGTGTCAATTACTTCAGTCAAGCCCAAATTTCTTCCTCATTCATTACCTATCTTGGCATAATTCTTCGTGAAAACACACGTGCTCTCCCTGCTGATTGTGTCCAGCTAATCTCCCAAACCCCAACCCCTTCTACAAAACAACAACTCCTTTCCTTCCTAGGCATGGTTAGGTACTTCTGTCTTTGGATACCTAGTTTTACCATCCTGACAAAACCATTATATAAACTCACAAAAGGAAACCTAGCTGACCCCATAAATCCTAAATCCTTTCCCCACTCCCCTTTCCACTCCTTAAAAAACAGCCCTAAAAGCAGCTCCCACACTAACTCTCCCTAACTCATCACTCCCTTTTCATTACACACAGCCAAACTGCAGGGCTGTGCGGTCGGAGTTCTTACACAAGAGCCAGGACCACACCCTATAGCCTTTCTGTCCAAACAACTTGACCTTACTGTTTTAGCCTAGCCCTCATGTCTGTGTGCAGTGACTGCCACTGCTTTAATACTTTTAGAGGCCCTCAAAATCACAAACTATGCTCAACTCACTCTCTACAGTTCTCATAACTTCCAAAATCTATTTTCCTCCTCACACCTGACACATATACTTTCTGCTCCCCAGCTCCTTCAGCAATACTCACTCTTTGTTGAGTCTCCCACAATTACCATTGTTCCTGGTCCGGACTTCAATCCAACCTCCCACATTATTCCAGACACCACACCTGACCCCCATGACTGTATCTCTCTGATCCACCTAACATTCACTCCATTTCCCCATATTTCCTTCTTTCCTGTTCCTCACCCTGATCACACTTGGTTTATTGATAGCAGTTCCACCAGGCCTAATCGCCACTAACCAGCAAAGGCAGGCTATGCTATAGTATCTTCCACATCTAACATCGAGGCCACCACACTGCCCCTCTCCACTACCTCTCAGCAAGCTGAACTCATGGCCTTCACATGGGCCCTCCCTCTTGCAAAGGGATTACATGTCAATATTTATACTGACTCTAAATATGCCTTCCATATCCTGCACCACCATGCTGTTAGATGGGCTGAAAGAGGTTTCCTTACTATGCAAGGGTCTTCCATCATTAATGCCTCTTTAATAAAAACTCTTCTCAAGGCCGCTTTACTTCCAAAGGAAGCTGGAGTCATACACTGCAAGGGCCACCAAAAGGCATCAGGTCCCATCGCTCAGGGTAACGCTTATGCTGATAAGGTAGCTTAAGAAGCAGCTAGAATTCCAATTTCTGTTCCTCACAGCCAGTTTTTCTCCTTCTCATCAGTCACTCCCACCTACTCTCCCACTGAAACTTCCACCTATCAATCTCTTCCCACACAAGGCAAATGGTTCTAGGACCAAGGAAAATATCTCCTTCCAGCTTCACAGTCCCATTCTATTCTATCATCATTTCATAATCTCTTCCACATAGGTTTCAAGCTGCTAGCCTGCCTCTTAGAACCTCTCATTTCCTTTCCATCGTGGAAATCTATCCTCAAGGAGATCACTTCTCAGTGTTCCATCTGCTATTCTACTACTCCTCAGGGATTGTTCAGGCCCCCTCCCTTCCCTACACATCAAGCTCAGGGATTTGCCCCCGCCCAGGACTGGCAAATTGACTTTACTCACATGCCTCCAGTCAGGAAACTAAAATACCTCTTGGTCTGAGTAGACACTTTCGCTGGATGGGTAGAGGCCTTTCACACAGGGTCTGAGAAGGCCACCACGGTCATTTATTCCCTTCTGTCAGAAATAATTCCTCAGTTTGGCCTTCATACCTCTATACAGTCTGATAACGGACCAGCCTTTATTAGTCAAATCACCCAAGCAGTTTCTCAGGCTCTTGGTATTCAGTGGAATCTTCATACCCCTTACCGTCCTCAATCTTCAGGAAAGGTAGAACAGACTAATGGTCTTTTAAAAACACACCTCACCAAGCTCAGCCTCCAACTTAAAAAGGAGGACTCTGTCAAGGATAGAGCCCAAAAACTCACCAACCAAGCAAGTAATTATGCTGAACCCCCTTAGGCACTCTCTAATTGGATGTCCTGGGTCCTCCCAATTCTTAGCCCTTTAACACCTGTTTTTCTCCTTCTCTTATTTGGACCTTGTGTCTTCCATTTAGTTTCTCAATTCATACAAAACCGTATCCAGGCCATCACCAATCATTCTATACGACAAATGCTCCTTCTAACAACCCCACAATATCACCCCTTACCCCAAAATATTTCTTCAGTTGAATCTCTCCCACTGTAGGTTCCCACGCTGCCCCTAATCCCACCCAAAGCAGCTTTGAGAAATGTCACCCATTATCTCTCCATACCATCCCCAAAGTTTTTTGCCACTCCAACACTTCACCATTTTGTTTTGTTTTTCTTAATAATATAAGAAGACAGGAATGTCAGGCCTCTGAGCCCAAGCTAAGCCATCATATCCCCTGTATATGTATATGTATATGTATATGTATATGTATATGTATATGTATATGTATACCTGCACGTATACATCCAGATGGCCTGAAGCAACTGAAGATCCACAAAAGAAGTGAAAATAGACTTAACTGATGACATTCCACCATTGTGATTTGTTTCTGCCCCACCCTAACTGATCAATGTACTTCGTAATCTCCCCCACCCTTAAGAAGGTTCTTTGTAATCTCCCCCACCATTAAGAAGGTTCTTTGTAATTCTCCCCACCCTTGAGAATGTACTTTGTGAGATCCACCCCCTGCCCACAAAACATTGCTCCTAACTCCATCGCCTATCCCAAAACCTATAAGAACTAATGATAATCCCACCACCCTTTGCTGACTCTTTTCGGACTCAGCCTGCCTGCACCCAGGTGAAATAAACAGCCTTGTTTCTCACACAAAGCCTGTTTGGTGGTGTCTTCACACGGACGTGCGTGACAGGAAGCAGTGCATCTTACGCATAATCTATAGCAGTGGTGGTTTAAATGAATCTCCTTTGTACTCAAACAGCATATCTTTAACTTATCAGAGAGTAGCTAGCAGAGCAGGCTTAACTAGGAGCCTGCATGTCTGGCCACATTCCAGTGCTTCAAAGGAGTGTCTTTCTCCTTGAACACAGTGTTTATGGATAAGAGAGCAGGTCTCGCTCTGAGCATGGGAACATGATGGCATTTACGGGGCTTTCCTCCTCAGAGGCCTCTTGTGGCTTTCCACAACTTATTGTCCCATATTTTTATGGCCAGCTTATGCAGGCACCCCACAAACCCTTTTCCCAACAATAGGGCATACATTGAGTAAATGATTTTGTAACTTTACTTCATCCTCTTCATTTACATAGGGCGTGCCCCCAAGTAACCAGTGGAATCTTCTAGAGGGTATTTAAATCCCCATCAATTCTGTAACGGCACCCTATGCTCAGGCCCGCTCCCACACTGTGGAGTGTACCTTCATTTTCAATAAATCTCTTCATTCCCTCCTTGCTTTGTGCATTTCGTCCAATTCTTTGTTCAAGATGCCAAGAACCTGGACACCCTCCACTGGTAACGTATTTTGATGAGCCAGTCAGGAGAAATTCCAGGAGAAGGTAGGTCCAAAGTTTGGGATTTATTTTTCTTCTTTCCCCTTTCCTTTCTGCTCTTTACAGGGGAATCTCTCTCTCTGTCTTTTCTTTCCAACTCAGGACACTTTGGTGGGCAGCACCAAAACAAGGAAGCAACTGCAGGTTTCTGGCCGTGGCCAGTGAAACTAAGGGGTTTCCATGTGAAGGTGCCTAACTGCCACCGCCCAGTTTGCTTAAGGGACCAGGGTCTTTTTCATTTTTTCCCCCCTTTCTTTCTTTTTCAGTCTTTCAGTGGCTGTTTCCTAGTACCTGCTTGGAAATTGAGGGCAACTGGCTGGGGTCACTCCCTAGTATTGCCTGAAGGCCCAGGAATGCATGGGAATAACTGCCCTGCCCAGAAGGGGAAATGATTCTTTTTTTTTTTTTTAAATCTTTTCTGGGTGTGGTCCCTGATCCCTGTGTGTAGACAGCTCAGAGCAAACCCGCACAAGTTTCAGGTGACTTAAACCTTCTTTTCTTATGCTATATTCTGCCCTTCCCCTATTCAACTGGCTAAGGGCAAAAGAAACCCACCCAGCCTCCAGTTCCTATCATTAAAGTTTGTGGAAAGGGAAGCATGGGAAAGCGTGGCCTTATCAAATTATAAGGATGCTAAAAGTCAGGGATTACACCCAGGTACCAAAGGAAAGCTCATAGTAGGCTCTGGAGGGAAAGCATGAAAAGTGGCACTGGTGCCCACCTAAGGTCAACAACGTCTGACACTCTAAGATTGCACCCCACAGAAGGACACTCTGGGGGATCCTGTGGACCTCAACCTCCCCAAAGGGGACGCTCTCGGCAAAGGTTCTGAGATCTAGTCATAAGCCCTCCTTAGAATTTTCTCTGAGTTGCAATTTTGCTTGGCCCCAAAATTGTTTAGAATCTGGAGTTTACTATCTAATGGGAGAGTGGGATGGCCATTGCATGTATGCAGGCTTTTGCACTAAGCAGGGGGCCTGGTTAACTAACGTATGATGCTCTCATTTGGTGCTGTTTAGCCCCAGTGTTCTTTGGAGTCGGGAGGTTTGGCCTTTAAAAATCAAACTGCCGTCAAAACTGCTTTACCTGAAATTTTGGTTGACAGCCTTCATTGGATTATCTACTGGGGCAACCAAAGTAAAACTGGTGAGCTCTTATTGCTATTTCATGGCTACGGTTGTAAGCTACTGCATCATTTATGCCTGTGTATACGTGTCTAGATGTGTTTATTTCTATGTATACTTACTGTTATATCTTGTGTCTACCAAACTGGCTTATAAGTAAAAGAGCGCTCATAAATTAAGTAAATAGTCTAAACAATTTTCAAGTTCATGTGACTTAAGTTACTAAACAAGCTGGCTTTAAAATTATTGGTAAAATAAGGATAGAAGTGCCTTCAGAATTTTCAGCATACATTTTTGTCTGGATTTTATATTTGTCTTTGCTAGAGAGTTTGAGATGTTAGTGTTTGGCATAGAAAGTTATAAAACTATAAACCTAGCTGAAACAAAATGACCTTGGTTTGCATGCTTTTTTTTTTTTTTAAATAAATCAGAGTAATTTATGAAAGGAAAATATCTTGGGCCCTCAAAATCACCAAGCTGAAGGGAAAATTCAAGCTAAGAACTCCTTAGGGCAAACCTATCTCCCATTCTATTCAAAGTCTCACCGAGATGAATGCATATATGCATATCTAATTGTTTCCTTTGGAAGGCTAATCAGAAACTCAAAAGAATGCAACCGTTTGTTTCTCACCTACCTGTAACCTGGAAGCCCCCAAACCCCCTCCCTGCTTTGAGTTTTCCCACCTTTCTGGAGCAAACCAATGTTCATTTTACATATGTTGATTGATGTCTCCTGTCTCCCAGGTTAAAAGTGAAAGAACTGAGTACAGTGAATGGAATAAATGTTTTAGGTAAACTTTTTGTGTAAATTAAAATCTTAAAGTTATTTTTGATGCTCATTTAATATCTGGGTCATTTTCAATTAAGAAAGGGTTGTTATATAGGGAAATATGTTTCTAAAATTGTGGAATTGTTCTTATCTAAAAATTCCCATATCTGATAGTTCAAGATTTCTTGCTTTTTAGGGTTTCACTAAAGTTTTAGGTTTCTAAGGATAAAAATTCTAGTTAACCCATAATTCTGTATACAAAATGTGCCAGAAAGGGTTATGCTGTTAGTGAAAAAAAGAATAATTCTGTCTAATTCAGAAGTTACCTAAAAGTTAGTTCAAATTACAGATTTGAAAAGGTTATTTGTGAAACAATGTAGTAAGGAATCATTAAGTAGAGAGGAAAGATCTGGAAAAAGTTTAAATAATAAAATATTATTTAAAACCTGATGGAGAATTGGAGATATTTGGCTAACATTTTCATAAAGCTCTTAGTCTTGATTAAAGTAAAATAAGAACTATTGTAAAGAAATGCCAATTTACGCTCCAGCTATGACAGGGAATATCCTCTCCATAGGGTATACGTCGAGTAAATGACTTTGTAACTTCACTTCATCCTCTTCAATTACATAGGGCATACCCCAAGTAACCAGTGGAATCCTCTAGAGGGTATTTAAACCCCTGTAAATTCTGTAATGGTGCCCTTGAGCCCCTATGCTCGACCTGCTCCCACACTGGAATGTACTTTCATTTTCAATAAATTCCTTCCTTCCTTCCTTGCTTTGTTTGTGCATTTTGTCCAATTCTTTGTTCAAGATGCCAAGAACCTGAACACCCTCCACTGGTAACAATTTTTCATGAAATGACTTAGTTTTCCTACTATAAAATAAAGACAATGATGAATTTTTAAAAATGCCTACTTGTACCCGTCTTTTATTAAATAAATGCCTTTTACAAAGGACTAAAAGGCAAGGAAAGTCTACTTTATCTTTGGATGATGCTTTTCCATGGCTGGAAGGGATTTTTTTAATATAATGATTTTTTAGTGATACTGACGCATACTGCAACATTTCAGAGTGCCACTCTAAAACCCCAGACTTTATGGCTTTAAAAATTCAAGTTTTTTACTTCCCCCTTGCCCACATTTTTTGGCCATTCTAAGACCAACCATTAAGCACAGGCACAGCAAGCATGCTTTCCTTCTAATAGGCTCTGCAATGTTCCTGAACTACAGTTTCCCTCCTTATTCCTCAGCTCACTGTTAAAGTTGAAAGATAGGGGCTTCCCTTACATGGGGCAGGGATATCCTGGAACCTCACATTGGGTTCTGGAGTCAGTAACTGATGCATTTTTAATGCAGCAACCACGCCATTGTTTTCAGGATGTGGCGCTGATGTTGGATACTATGAAATGAATAAATATCAGCCTGTGTACCTAAGTATCCTCCCTCAGGGCTCTGTGGTATAGAAAGTGCTTTGATGTGGTTGGGAGAATGAGACACCCCATGGGCTGCTTCTGCTCCCCAGCACAGAGTAAGTGTCTTCTAGTGACATAGTCAAATGAAAAGGAACCACAATTGTTGTGCAGATGAAGCAGATTTTTGCCTAGTGACCTGTTGTAAAATGTAATCAGAGCTTTCCTTTAATGGACTGAAAATCCAAACTAATTAAAATACTGTCTGACCCAAACCATAGTTCAGATCAGACTGTGAGAGGCTATTGTCTTTAATGTACTTCACCTCTCCTCTGAAACATGCCCTGCTTCTTTTGAAAAGGTTAAAATTATGTCCATGCAGCAAAACTATAAATGGCCTGCCTTAAAAGGAGCAGGCATCCAAAAGAGATCCTGAATCCTCACCCTTAGCAGGATGAAAGAGCAGACACTGGAGAAGAATGTCTGCTTATATTTTCAGGCAAAAGATGTGAAGTAGGGAAAGAAAAATGTTAATAAATTGACATTTATTCAAATCATGATGGGAGGAGTTTTAGATGTTATTCATTGTGTTATTCAGGAAGACAGCACATATCACTGCCCATCCATACACACAGGGAAGAAGTCTCCACTTCCCAACAAGAGATGCATGGATATCATGGGACCATCCATGAATTCAAACTGAAGGGCCTAGAAAATCAAACTGAAGGTCAGTGTGCGTGAACAGCAGGGATAATGGCTCCATGATCCTTTCTTCAAATATATGATAAGACTGAGAAGGAATTCATTTTGGAAAAAAAAATAGAGGTAGACAAAAGAAGCCAAATTTTGCTTTCTCCAGCTGAATCATCTGCCACGCCATCTGGTTCCATGAAAGTCCTGAGCAGACTGGCAAGAAAAAACTTAAAAGAGTTTATAGGCTGGGCGTGGTGGCTCACGCCTGTAATCCCAGCACTTTGGGAGGCCAAGGCAGGCGGATCACGAGCTCTGGAGTTCAGGACCAGCCTGACCAATATGGTGAAACCCCATCCCTACTAAAAATGCAAAAATTAGCCGGGCATGATGGCGGGTGCCTGCAATCCAAGCTACTCAGGAGGCTGAGGCAGGAGAATCGCTTGAACCCAGGAGGTGGAGGTTGCAGTGAGCTGAGATTGGGCCACTGCACTCTAGCCTGGGCAACAAAGCAAGACTCTGTCTCAAAAAAAAAAAACAAAAAACAAAACCCGGCTTATGGACCAGCATGGCCAGAGTAGAATGAATAAGGGAAATAATTCTAAGAAATGAGGTCAAAAAGGAACAAGAAGCACAACCGTGAAACACAGAAAGCCCTTATCCCAGTGCCTGAGACTTGCTCCCTAAATGGTACCTGTAATAGCTGCCTGTGCGACTGTGAGCTCCTAAGAGAGACAGAAGCCACCAGAGCAGGAATCCATCCTCTTCACTGATATTTTCAGCACCTCTGGTAGTTCCCAGCACAAAGAAAGTGCTGAGTGAATGATGAACAAATTATTTACTCTAATTACACTCACGAGACTGTTGTGTGAGGTCAGAACATGAAGTTATTAATTTATAACATGTGATACACCTCTCTAATGTATTAATTATGTCAGGTGGCTATCCAGGGCACTTTCTACCAGTTATCAAAGTAGTTAGGTAGCCTAATTAATCAAAAGGAAACTGCTTAATAAGCATGGAATAAGGTCAAAGAAAGCTGGATAGTCTTAAGGGATGTTACTTGCAATCTTGTCTTCTTTGCCCTGGCAATTTTACATATCAGAAGACATATCCAGCTAATAAATTGGGTCAAAGGCTGAACATGGTGGCTCACGCCTGTAATCCCAACCCTTTAGGAGGCTGAGGCAGGTGGATCACTAGGTCAGGAGTTCAAGACCAGCCTGGCCAAGATGGTAAAACTCCGTCTCTACTGAAAATACAAAAAAATTAGCCAGGTGTGGTGGCAGACCCCTATAATCCCAGCTACTTGGGAGGCTGAGGCAGAGAATTGCTTGGACCAGGGAGGCAGAGGTTGCAGTGAGCTGAGATTGCGCCACTGCACTCCAGCCTGGGTGACAGAGTGAGACTCCATCTCAAAAAAAAAACTTCAGTTACCTCTTAAAAACTGTATCTCCAAATTCCTCAAATGTCCAAATATCTCCTGCCTCCTTAAAGGCCCTATCACATTAAGCATTAGAATTTCAACATGAATTTGAGGGAGACACAATTCAGCCCATAACAGCTTGCCTCTTATTAATAATATACCATTTATTTAGTCATTGTGACAATAATTTCAGAAGGTCAGTGTAAGCCTACTATCACAACATCTAATGCACAACAGTGACTATAGATTGTGCATCAAATTTTTAATTTGGATAACATAAGCAGGGGATTAGACTCGATGACCTTTAAGGTCCCTCCCAACTCTGAGACTCCATGAGTATATTTGTTAACCGCTAATATTTTAAAAATTATGATTGTTTATATGATATCAGTTGAATTACTTTTAGGTGCGAGCTTCAGAAATATCTAGATAAATGCATCAAAAAGTGACTTAAGCTGCATTATGTAAAAAGCATTCCAGGAGTAAAGAAGTTCCAGGTTAGTTAATAAAGTTGCTTAACAAATCATCAGAGCCAAGGTTCTTTCCATCTTTCTAACCTGCCAGTCATCAATGTGCCAGCAGTTTCCCCATGGTCACAAAATGGCTGCATTAGCTCCAGGTATCACATCCTTACAAAGTCTCCACAGGCAATACAAAGGAAAAGTGAAACATCTTTGCTTCTTTCCATTTTTTTTAAGAATAAAGAAAGCATTTCATAAAACTCCCCGTCGGGCTTCTCATTGGTCAGATTTTTGTCACCTATGTACTATGATTGGTTTAAATCAGCAGACATCCCTTCATTTCTCATTGATAGAACTAAGTAACATATTGTACACACCAAATCAATGAAAGGCAAAGCAGGAAAAGGCACAAGTGAATTATAAGTCCTTCCTAGGGGTTGGTGAGGAGTCAGTTTCCCTTGACATGGAATATGTAAGAATTGACCAAATCCAGGTTCTGTTAGCAATGAAGGATAGGAAGATCTGTTGGCCACAGATATAACCATGTTATCAAAACCCCAAATCAGAGCAAGCAGTGAAAATGAGCATTTGATAACAAGATTACCTTGGGAAATCTGAAAAACCACAAAGATGGTGACGACAGTGGTTCCTACACTAGTGTTCCTTAGAAATATCAGAAGGTATTGATGGAATTTCTGAGCTATTTTCAATATCTCAAAAGCCCTAGGAGAAAAGATCTATACAAACTAACTAAAATGTTAAATTTCTTTGATTTTGACTGAAATTCTATAAAGTCAGTATGCTAAGGATTATTCTCTCATCCTAATCAGAAGCTTATATTAGTTTTAAATATATATTGAATCAATGGAATGTTTTCAATAAATCAATAACTAAATAAATATATTTGAAAGGTATATTTCAAATATGAAAGACTCTTTTAAAACAAGAATTCCATGGGAGAAAAAAATTTTTTTTTGTTTTTTGAGACGGAGTTTCACTCTTATTGCTGAGGCTGGAGTGCAATGGTGCAATCTTGGCTCACTGCAACCTCCGCCTCCTGGGTTCAAGAGATTCTCCTGTCTCAGCCTCCTGAGTAGCTGGGATTACAGGCATGTGCCACCATGCCCAGCTAATTTTGTATTTTTAGTAGAGATGGAGTTTCTCCATGTTGGTCAGGTTGGTCTCAAACTCCTGACCTCAGGTGATCCACCTGCCTCGGCCTCCCAAAGTGCTGAGATTACAGGCATGAGCCACCATTCCCAGCCTGAAAATACTCTTTAACGGGTTATTGGTAGAGAAAAATGTGAGAAATCATTGATGTTCAAACTATTTCCTTCTTCAAGGAAATGTAAAGAATTTCAGCTCCTTGGGACTCAGGAGTGCTATCCTGTCTACAGAGACAAGCAGTAAACACCCACAGACATTAAACATTCAACCTCAGTCTATTCTGTGCTTAGGCAGACATCTTTCACACTGACCATATGCTAAAAAGTCATGATCTTTTCATATCATTAACTTAAGACACCACGAGGATTTCTTGAATAAATGCATTAATTAATATAAGTGAATGTAATATGCACTCCTGTTATCTTTTATTTCTACTAGAAAAGGACAAATCAACAATGAGCACTTAAATTAAATTCTATCAGCAAAATATACTTATATGATATCACAGACATTTGCATTTATATCCTGCAATTACTATCTGCTAATAGTAATTTAATTGTTTAATGAATAATATCAAGGAGAGTAAATATTAATGAAAATGTAGAACATTTTATTTTATTTATTTATTTATTTATTTATTTATTTTTGAGACAGAGTCTTGCTCTGTTGCCCAGGTTAGAGTGCAGTGGCGTGATCTCGGCTCACTGCAACTTCCACCTCCTGGGTTCAAGCGATTCTCCTGCCTCAGCCTCCCGAGTAGCTGGGATTACAGGCGCCTGCCACTGTGCCCGGCTAATTTTTGTATTTTTAGTAGAGATGGGGTTTCACCATGTCAGCCAGGGTGGTCTCAAACTCCTGATCTCATGATCCACCCGCCTCAGCCTCCCAAAATGCCGAGATTACAGGCGTGAGCCACCATGCCCGGCCGAAAATATAGAACATTTTAATATGAGACCTTCTGGTTTTATTTGTCAATAGTGACAACTATATTTAGCAATTTTTAAAAGATCATTAATCAAAGCCAGAAAATAGTAAGGAGAGATGATTGCATGGCTCTTGAATATTAGATGGCTAAAGGAAAACAGCTAATTTCTAGAAGTAGTGTTTAGGGAAGAGAATAGAACAAATTGTAGCATAAAGTGTAGCATAAACTGTCAGGTGTTTTGCATATGTATTGTGATACTAATGGAGACAATAATATAAACTGGCTAGAAAGAGAATGCATTGAGATTCCATGAATACCCCTATTTGCATGACTTTTTTATTAGAATAACATCTAATCCTGCTTGGCAGCTGAAAGATATAATTAGTGTGCTAACGAGTAAAACGTCTACAGAGTTAGAGAATGATCTCAAAGGTTGGTGGAAGATGTTCTGGGAAGACATGTTTTTGCTGTTGTTGCTTTATTTGTTATTAAGTTATGGCTTGCATTCATACACTGGTGAAGTGGACACTAAGCAACAAGTATAACCGATACTCCTTGTCATGCTGGAGGGTCCCTGTCTTAAGGAGCTTTTTGGTTTCCAGGAACGAAGACCCAAACTAACTCAATTAAGTCAGGATATTGGGAACATACAAGAGGACAAAAGAAATGTCACAGATACAAAAGCCAGAGTAGGGTCAACACTCACACATCCAGGAGAATAAACTGAAAGCTGGGTCTTACTCCAAGACTTCTCTGGAGAGCTCAGCAGTATGTCTTTGCTGCAGTGCTCCACAATTGACAGGGCACTTACTCTTCCACACATGCCTCTCTGGTTTCTCTTCCTAGGAACTGTCTTATTCACCCTCTAATCTGTGAGTCTTTTCTCCATCTTGAAGTATATGCTCATTTATAACTATAGCTCATGCACAGTTTACCTCACTCATAACTTGGTCCAGCCTATCTCCATCTCGCTCCCTTTCACTTTCTTTTCCCACTGATAACTCCATTCTGGAATATCCCACTTAGATTGTCTAAGACAGATAGTCTGATTGGCTTAGATCATCTTTCATGCATGGGTCACCGACTAGCTCATACATTGACTGCCCTGGGTCAGGTGCCCATTCTTTTCCAACCAGTTGTGTCCGGAGAGATGGGGACACATGGTACTAAATGTGACTACCCAGGGCTCTTCCTTCAGTAGGGAATGGAGAAGGGGCCACTTTCCTTTGGAGCATCTGCAGGTCAGCCAGGCAGTGTGATTGACATCTCTAGTTAAACAACTAAATCAGGGGAACTCAGTCAGAAGACATGCAGTAGATAGCTTCATTATCTGGTTTGGAGATCTTCAGTGAGTCAGTAAATTTATAATTGTTTCATATTTACTTTATATAATATGATTATAGCCTATATTTCTTTTAATTTGTAAGTAAATGTTAGTAATTATGAGAGACACTTTTCAGGTACACTGGAGTTCTGATGCAATTAGCTTCTTGAGACAAAACAACTCCAACAGATAGAAACACCTAGGAACTCACCATCTTCCCTCCCATAAAATAAGCTCCCTTTAGAATCCATGAATCATGACTGTCCAATCCATTTTTAATAGCTTCTGTCAGAGACATTTCAAAATAAAGGGCAGTTATTATTTATTGTTTGTAATGAAACCTACTCAGCCCAGAGGGACATTATGAGGATCACTGTCAGATTTTGTAAAATGCCTTTGGCTTTTCAATGGAAAGGTACTATATATGATAATAAAAGGAATAGCAATAATATTCTTGCACCATCTTGACACTGAGTTCATCTTTGTCTTAAAAAATAAGTTCATCTTTAGACATTATGGGGATTACTGAATTCAATTTGTCCTAAGAATGCTATGGCTGGTGAAAAAAAAGATGCTTATTATAAAAGCGCTTTCTCCATTCCCTGTTCTGTTCTATATGTGTTGTGTTGTTCTTAACTTTTGTGTATATGGGAGAGTTGACTATCTCTTGTAAATGCACAATAAAGTAAAGGCAAAAACTGCCACGGCAAAAAATGGTGCTTTTGCCATTACTTTTGCACTAACCTAATAATTGAAATTTGAACTCTATAAAAATTTTAGGATGGCATAGAAAGAAATTTCTCAAGTGAAACTTTGAAAATGTTTCCCAGACTCACATGCATGCACTCATATGCTCAGGCAGTTCTATGCACACATATTAGAAAGAGAGACAAAAATAAGAAAAGGAGATGTGAAGTGAGAATTTTAAGAAAAACATTATATTCATACCTATATATGGATTGTGTTTATATTGCCTTACAAAGCACTTCTGTACATGTTATTTCATTTGATTCTCACTAGAAACCTTGGAGTTAGGTGGGAAGATGAGGATTGTCTAGCTCTTTTGCCCTGGGCACTATAAAATTCAAAGGCAGATTTTCCAGAGAACAGGGCTGGGGATGGGAGAGCAGATGTGTCCACCGTTTCATGCAGGACACAAAGGGAAAGACTCTGTGGAAGCCCAGAAAGCTAGTGAACCCAGACATTGTTCTCTATCATGTCTTAATGTAGATTTCCAACTGTTTTTCCTTTAACCTTGCCAATACCTATGTTAAGGTGAGGAGAAGGATGCATTGTGAGACAGACAGAGTTGAAGGGGTTAGATCACTTGGATTATTCATTTCTTGTCAATTTTCAGGAAGCAACAGAGACCAAGAGACTTAGTGCAAGCCACAGAGCTAAAAGTAATGATAAAGTAACTATATATGATATGAGGAGGCCAGGAACAAGAGATCTTTCCAAATCTGAGCCTCATGCAGGGGTTGCTGTGGTCAGTTCTCTATGACTTTAAGTCTGACTCACATATTTGATATGCAGTTAATTCTCTATAAACAAACAAGCTGTTTGATATGCTTTGGCTGTGTCCCCACTCTGATTTCATCTTGAATTGAAGCTCCCACAATTCCCAGGTGTCATGGGAGGGACCCGGTGGGAGGTAACTGAATCATGGGAGCAGGTCTTTCCTGTACTGTTTTCATGATAGTGAATAAGTCTCACAAGATCTAACGGTTTTATAAAGGGGAGTTTTCCTGCACAAGTTCTCTCTTGTCTGCCACCATGTAAGATGTGCCTTTCACCTTCGGCCATGATTGTGAGGCCTCTCCAGCCAAGTGGAACGGTAAGTCCATTAAATCTCTTTGTCTTTATAAATTACCCAGTCTCAGGGATGTCTTTATCAGCAGTGTGAAAATGAACTAATACACTGTTTTGACCAAACCACAGCAAAGAATTAAGTAACTGCCCCCAGAGAAGTTGCCCAAGGCTTGCCTCTGCAGGTACCCCTACCATCAACTCCTGCCTCTTGTGAATGATCACACTGCTCTAGTTTTTTTTTTTAATTTCCGCTTTTCAAAAATTCCAGGCTGTCTCAAATGAGGCAACCTAGCAACTTTCTCCCTATAGAAAACTTCACCTTGTCATTCTGCCACTTCTAAATCTAATCCAGAATTGCTTTTCTGGTTTTTACAACTCTTCATTGGTTTGCTCCTCCCTCCTTTTCCAAATTCATTTCTCCTTATCTTCATCAGTCTGCCACCTTCAACACCACCCCGTCACTCTACTTCTTGGCTTTTCAGGCAGTTACTGTTTGAAGGAGAAGATTGAAAATATCATTTCTCACTTTTGAGAACTCTTACAGGAACATATTGCAAAGCCTCCCTCACACCTGAGAGAGAGGAAGAGAGAGAGAGCGTGACACCTCACAAAGAATGTCTAAAGTGGGAGTAGCCCTAAAATAGAGCACAATAATAAACTGATGGGGCTGTGCTTTCTTAAAAAAAAACAAAAAAAAAACAAAAAACAAAAAACAAAGCAAAAAAAAAAAAAACAAAAAAAAAACAAAGCAAAAACTCACAATAGAACTTTCCCTCCATAAATGAGCTATTATCAAAGTACAAAATATTCAATTCTAGAAAAATTGCATAAATTGCTAAATTCTCTTTAAAATAAATAAATAAATAAATAAAAAACCATGCCATTCAAACCACTGCAACAAACCACAAGGGAAAAAAGGCTACAAAGACAAAGCCCCATTCTCACTTGGTACCAGTGCTACCCTGGTATATGTTACACCACTGAGAAGACTTGTCAATTCAAACATCTGTTCTAAGGCACACTTCACTATCAGAACTAGTACTCCATTCATATTCCTTCCTTCCACAGGCTTGACAGATGGATGAATTCCTAATGGCCCCAGATTACATTCAAATAGTTGCAATAACCACCTCCTCCTTAGTGAACACTGCTTTCCCCCAGGCAATAAAACAAAGATAATGGTAGAGGGGTATAAAATAACATAAATTGGGAATCTAGGCTCAAAATCCAACATTTTCCCTGCCGGCAGGAACACCAGACGGTGGTGTCTTGATCCTGCCATGCACATATTCCATGAGTGACAACAGGCAATGAGATGTGAAGGAAAAGAGAAAGATGTGCCCACCAGGTCCCTCCCAAAGGGCAGCCAAGTGTTTTGTTTGAACTGCCTTGTGGCTTATTGGAGTCAGAACTGCATGTTCCGTAGAAAACTGTCTACCACCAAGTTAGGATCTTTACTGATTATCACCAAAGGTCTTTTGTCTTCAGAATGCAATGAAAAATAACTCCCATAAAGGAAGGTGGTATAAGGTGGGAAATGCAGGCTACTATGTCAGAGTCATGTGGATAGATGTGTTCTGCTAGCAGGCTTCCATTTTACTCTATAACAGAAAAGAAAGATAAAATTTCCAGGAAAAAGAAATGAAAGCCGCTGCCAGTGAAAAGAATTTCTACCACCAAGTCAAGTAGGCTGGGGTCTCCACTTACAGATGGTGATTACCATAGACTATGGATTAAATCATGTCTGCATATCCACACCAGAAGTCTCTACAACTCTATTTGATCTTCCCCCTCATGGTCTTCTCTTTTCTTTTCTTTTTTGAGATGGAGTCTCACTCTGTTGCCCAGGCTGGACTGCAGTGGCGCGATCTTGGCTCACTGCAACCTCCGCCTCCTGGGTTCAAGCAATTCTCCTGCCTCAGCCTCCCGAGTAGCTGGGACTACAGGCGCACACCGCCACACTTGGCTTATTTTTTTTTTTGTATTTTACTAGAGATGGGGTTTCACCATGTTGCCCAGGCTGGTCACAAACTCCTGACCTCATGATTTGCCTGCCTTACCTCCCAAAGTGCTGGGATTACAGGCCATGGTCTTTTCTTATACTATAGTCTTCCAATTTTGATTTTTGCTCTAAGTTGGCATAAGATTCACATTTCTAAGGATGTCAGGTTGTAAGTACAAAAATGAATTTCATTCTAATTTGTTTTTGTGTATGAAAGTTAATGTAGAATGAGGATGTATACATGATTAAAAGAGGCTGTGAAGAATATCTTATAGTGAAGAATTTGCTTCCTGTAGTTTTGTGGCCTCTGGTGTTGTAATAGAGGGTAATCCATTTATATATTTTCATTAAAATTTATTCAAGACCTTGTCATGTTTCTTTTCATAATGTGCCAATATTCTTGTCCTATCCACTATCAAAATGAACTTAAATCATTTATTTTTTAAAAGGTTGCATGCTATTGAGTTTACATGTTTTCTATTGGTATATTTGTCCTCTGCACCCTCTTTTCCCCTCTTGTCAACTGCTATTCCTATTCACATTTGGCTTTGCTTTACATTTTCCCCAATTCTAACTTCCCATTTGCTTTCTTTCCGCTCTCATTTCCTTGCTAACTCTCTGGAGAGAATGAAATTCTATTGTTGTTATTGTTATTTTCTTTTTTCTTCTAAAGATTGGAGAGTAGAGCTGAAATATTTGCGAAATGAGCAGTTCCATAAATATCAAGAAGTGAGTAATAAGTGGAAACTGTTCTTGGAATGCTAACTCCTAGGATGTGGTCTATTTTTAGTAGACCACATAATAAATGGGTGGAGACCAACAATCCAAGTGCCTTGAATATTGAGGGTGAGCTGAAATCAAATCAGGTTTCTTTATGGTAATTGATTATAAAGTAATTTCGTCCACAATGACAACGAATTGATAAGTCAATTTGAGAAATATGTTATTAACTCATTTTTATAATTAAGAAGCTCTTAACAGATTTCTGTAAATGCTACAAAAATAAAACTCCAAAAACGAACATAGTTAATTTTGTTGATAAGATATAGCTCTCATTTAAAAAAATTTTTTTTTTTTTTTGAGACGGAGTCCAGCTCTGTTGCCCAGGCTGGAGTACAGTGGTGTGCTCTTGGCTCACTGCAGCCTCCATCTCCTGGGTTCAAGGGAATCTCCTGCCTCAGTCTCCCAAGTAGCTGGGATTACAGGCGCCCGCCACCACACCTGGCTAATTTTTTTGTATTTTTAGTAGACACGGGGTTTCACCATGTTGGCCAGGCTAGTCTCGAACTCCTGACCTCAAGTGATCTGCCCGTCTTGGCCTCCCAAAGTGCTGGGATTACAGGAGTGAGCCACTGCACCCGCCCTCATTTTTAAATTTTTTTTTAAAAAAGGTAAAATTGGCCTCTTAGCTAAGTGATTATTTCTCTTGCAGTGTGAAAGGACAAGAAAGCTCTTCTGGCACAGGACTTAGCTGCTGCTGACCTCCTTTATGTTATCAGTGGACAAAAAGGCTGGTTAAAACCTGCTTTGATGCCAGGCGTGGTGACTTACACCTATAATCCCAGCACTTGGGAGGCTGAGGCAGGCAGATCACTTGAGGTCAGGAGTTTGAGGCCAGCTTGGCCAACATGGTGAAACCCCATCTCTACTAAACATACAAAAATTAGCCAGGCATGGTGGTGGGTGCCTGTAATCCCAGCTACTCAGGAGGCTGAGAGAGGAGAATTGCTTGAACCTGGGAGGCGGAAGTTGCAGTGAGCCAAGATGGCTCCACTGCACTCCATCCTGGGTGACACAGCAAGACTCCATCTCAAAAAAACAAAAAACAAAAAAACAAAAAAAATACCACCAAAAAAACAAAACCAAAACCAAAAACCAAAAACAAACAAAAAAACCTGATTTCATATAGTTTCCTGGTGATTTTTTGTTTTGTTTACCGCTGAGATTTAAAATGGTTGCTTACCTTAAGAGAAAGAGAGTATGCTTGTAAAATTTAAGTGCAGGACCAAAGCATGGAGCAGGACCAAGGGAGCAGAGGGTGAGCACGCAGGAGACCACAGCTACTCTCTGCCGTGTTATAGGAGAGGGTAGAGCCAGCTGGCAGACAGCAGGCTGGAAGCCAGCAGTTAGAAGCAGCAGCTGTGGGTGACCTCAGCTGGGAGAAATGAGAAGGATCCCTTGAGTGGAGAGATGTGACGACAATGCTCATAAAACCATTGTTGCTTTTACTGAAAGAGCAGAGGTCAGATGTCTTCAGACATTAGAGGACAGACAAGTCAGGTGAGCTGCTTAAAAATTCAAATTCCTTGTCCTACTTGAGTCTTGGGGCTCGAAAATCTTTATGTTAAACCATCAACACAGATGACTCTGATCCAGCTCTTCCAGGAACCACACTTTAAAAATCCCTGGACTAAGATGCAGCATCTGTGAAAATAAAACACAAAGATTTATGACAATTTTGCAGGTGATAGGGCTACATATTTCTACTTAGGGATATGCCTTTGTTTAACCCTTTTTAAAAGTCTCACCTACTCATGATATTAAATTACTTCAGGGTTATTTAATTAAGTAAGACACTTCCATTTTCCGATATTCTGACTTCTTGTCAGACAGTGTGTCCCCATTTGGAGTGTTCTAAATATAATCCTCATTTTAGAAGAAATTATGCTCTTTGCTGTTACAGCAGTTGTTTATATTTGTTGCTATTTCATTCTTTAAAAATAAAACCATATGGAGATACATGCACAATTCCTGCTTCTCTCAGTTACCTACCCAGAAATAAAATAATTCTAGCTATAATTGAGTCTAAGCTATGCCAAGCCTGTCTGGTATCCACTGTTTGAAATGTCTGCACAGAGCCTTGAAGGAATTCATTGTTCTTCAAAGTGCCAGCTGTACATACTGCCATTTCCTGCATGGCTTCTGCCACTCAGGAATGCTGCACCCTGGTGGTTCTTTAGTGGTGTCTTTTTTCTCCATTGCTTCATTGTGGGACCCACAGTGTCTGTCTGAAGATACTGCACCACAGCTCAAGAGCACCATCTTGGGATGCACATTTTTGCAACAGATAGAGGATTTGAGTGGCATAGAATTCCATAACTGCTAGAGGCAAGTGCAGTAAACCTAGAACAAAAAAATTAAAAGAAAGAAAGAAAAGGGGCAATGGGGCAGTTACTTTAACCATGTGCATTAGCTTGGCAATACCTCTTAGATTTTTTCTTGGTAGGAGATGCAGACTTTATCCAAGAAAGACAGTGCTACTGCCTTCCACAAAATTTATATTTTGCTATTTTTGTCTGCAGGTCAAGGTCACAGTCAGCTTTGAAAGAATCAGCTATAAATCTAATAAGGGCAAAGAAACTTAGAGGGCTTTATGGAAAAGTAAGTTCTTTTCAGATAGCCTGCAAAAATGTGCTGGCCTTAAATCACCCCATTGTAATATTTGAGATATGCAAGAAAATCATTGAACTTTGGGACCATTTTCAGAAAAACAAAAATATAAAAGTACTTTTATTTTCAAATCTCTAAAGTGAATCATCAGTAAATTATCACATAATCTAAAGGTTTGACAAACTGGGTCATTGCACCTTGGATATATGTGTTAGAAATTCTGTGATGGAGTCTCATTTGGCCTTTGGTGTTTCCAGGCTAGGGTTTTCAGCACTGATGTCTTATGCTGGATCTCCCTCAGCTGCCCACACACCCCATGGAAATGGGACAGATGATGCAGTTGGTGGATGGGGGAAAGAAAAGTGAGACTAATAAGAGGGACCAGACTGGGAAAGAATTCATGTTTTTCCTCATGGTAATTAGAGAGCTTGATGTATACGCAAATTCATATACATTTCTTTAGGTTGCCATAGACACTGATGCCAATATTCCCTTTCATCCTCAAATTCTCTCCCTGAGCATAGGCAGGCTCTATAACAATGTCAATGCCAATCTGTGTGTGGAACACCAACTAGGAAAAAAAGTTGGATGGCATTAATTTCACATGTGAAGTGGTCTGAACAATGCAACTAGGAGTTAAGAAAATGCCAATAACAGCCAGGCGCAGTGGCTCACACCCAGTAGTTTGGGAGGCCAAGATGGATGGATTGCCTGACGTCAGCAGTTAGAGACCAGCCTGGCCAACATGGTGAAACCCCATCTCTACTACAAATACAAAAATTAGCCAGCTGTGGCACACACCTGTAATCCCAGCTACTTGGGAGGCTGAGGCAAGAGAATCGCTTGAGCCTGGGAGGCTGAAGTTGCAGTGAGCCAAGATCGTGCCACTGCACTCCAGCATGGGCGACAGAGCAAGACACCATCTCAAAAAAAAAAAAGAAAATGCCAGTACCATCTCTCAGCCTCCATGGTGTCTAGGCTGTTGTGGAAGAATGAGCAGCCTCTCTTCCAGAAGCTTGAGGGGAACTGAACTCCTGGGGGACAGGCAGGAGATTAAATTTAAGGCAAGAAGTTTGAGGATGTAAGGAAATTAATTAGATATCAGTTAGGGTAATGCTAGACAAATGCTAACGAATAAGCCCTCACATTTCAGTGGTTGTCGTCACCCCCAGGTTAAGAGTCCATTGCAGGTGTTCTTCGTTGGCTGCAGCTTTTCTCCATGGAATAGTTCAGACATCCAAGCTCCTTCCATCTTGTGGCTCTGTCTTCCCCTAAAGCTACAGACTCCTTCCTATTCAGATAGGGGAAGAGAGTAGAGAAAACAATCATGCTTTTAAAAAACCCCATCTGGGAGGTGACATAAATCTCTTTCTCATTTCATTGATGAAAACTAGTCACATGGCATAATCTGGATGCAGGAAGGGCTGGAAGATGCGGTTCCTGGCTGGGCAGCCAAATTCAACTGACATCTCTACACTGTGAAAGGGGATGCTGAATTTTAGGGGACAGCTAGCCATCTCTGCCATGTAAAGTTTTGATAAGGCATAATGGACAAGACTAAGAAGGAAACCAGCAGAAGAAACGGAACATTACGGGAACTGGACAAGACAGTTAACTAAAAGGAATTGCATTTGTCTGGTATCCTGGCGTAACAAAGATGAGATGGATGACTGAATTAATTATCTTTGAAATTTGGGGGTAAGGTAGTCTAAGAATTCAGGCATGATGAGATTAGGAGGCTTTGCTCAGTGCTCAAATCGGATATAATCAAGAACCAGGCCAAGCATGGTGACTCACGCCTGTAATCCCAGCACTTTGGGAGCCTGAGGTGGGTGGATCACCTGAGGGCAGGAGTTCGAGACCAGCCTGGCCAACATGGCAAAACCCCATCCCTACTAAAAACACAAAAATTAGCTGGGCGTGGCGGTGTGTACCTGTAGTCCTAGCTACTCAGGAGGCTGAGGTACGAGAATCCCTTGAATCCAGGAGGCGGAGGTTGCAGTGAGCCTAGATCACGCCACTGCACTCCAGCCTGGGTGACAGAGCAAGACACTGTCTCAAAAACAAAACAAAACAAACAAACAAACAAACAAAAGCAAGAACCAGTTCTGGGGTCTCCAACCAAAAAAAATTCTTTCCAAGTTATTGGAGGACAAGGTGAGATGTTTTCTAGTTGTTCATGTCCCAGAGAAATTTGCTGTTTCTCTAGCTGGAACACCTGGGCTTTTGCTGGTAGAACCACAGATAACTCTAGAGGAGAGGTGTCCACTATGTCTGCAATGAGGGAAATGTCCTATATCTTTACTGCTCAATACAGTAGCCACTGGCAACATGTGGCTATTGAGCACTCGAGATGAGGCTAATGTGTCTAAGGAAATTTTAAGAAATTTACATTTACAATTAAATAAGTACAGGTGGCCAGTGCCTACCATTTTAGACAGCTCACCTCTAGAGGGATGTAATGGGCACCTCTTGCGTCATCTGCCCAGGCCCCCCTTTCTCTGCAAACTGACCCTTCTCCTACAAGCTTCCTCAGGTAGCTCCGCACAGCCAGGTTCATAACGTTTTTCCTTTTCACCAGCCATGGTTGCCTAACCCTGGGGTGATCACTATACCAACACTTTAGCCAGTCAGAGCCTCTTCACAGATGCTGGGGGAATAACAGAGCAGTCAGTCTCCTCCGCAGGTGGATACAGAAGCTGTTGGTAGCCATGTTTTCTGCAGAAGCAGAGGATGCCAATCTGCAAAAAGAGATGAATGAAGCAGGCATGAAGACAACAGTGAGGTGAGAGAGAAAGCCAGAATCCTGGCTGCTGTTCTAGCCCCTGATTCCAAACTATTTCTAAAACAGGGCTGCAGCTGACCCTCAGGGCATGATGGCTTGTGCCTGTAGCCCTAGCTACTTGGGAGGCTAAAGCAGGAGGATCTGTTGAGCCCAGGAGTTTGAGGCTGCAATAAGCCATAATTGTACCACTGCTCTCCAGTGTGGGTGACAGAGTGAGACCCTGTCTCTAAAATTAAAACAAAAACAAAAACACATTAAGTCAGTTTGGAATGTCTGACTGCCATCTCTACCTATCAAAATTCTACGAATATTTCAAGGCCCATTTCAAAGGCCATCTCCTTCTCTATCCTATTTTTCTTTCTATTTTAGTTTTTGACTAGTTTGAGCACATGGCCTTCATTGTTTTATAATTGTTTATAGATGGTTTGTAGGTGCAATACTCCAAAACCTTCTCCAGACACAATTTTTTATTAATGCAGTCTAAAATGGCATTCAATTTTCTGGTAGCTACTTCATATTTTCATCCATATTGAGTTTTGTGGTCAATTAAGACCCTCAATGTCATCTCACTGGCATGAGATGGTATCTCATTGTGGTTTTGATTTGCATTTCTCTAATGACCACTGATGATGAGCTTTTTTTCATATGTTTGTTGATCATATAAATGTCTTCTCTTGGGAAGTGTCTGTTCACATCCTTTGCCCACTTTTTTATGGGGTTATTTTTTTTCTTATAAATTTGTTTAAGTTCCTTGTAGATTCTGGATATTAGATCTTTGTTAGATGGATAGATTGCAAAAATTTCCTCCCATTCTGTAGGCTGCCTGTTCACTCTGATGATAGTTTCTTTTGCTGTGCAGAAGCTTTTTAGTTTAATTAGATCCCATTTGTCAATTTTGGCTTTTGTCACCATTGCTTTTCGTGTTTTAGTCATGAAGTATTTGCCCATGCCTATGTCCTGAATGGTATTGTCTAGGTTTTCTTCTAGGGTTTTTATGATTTTAGGTTTTATGTTTAAGTCTTTAATCCATCTTGAGTTAATTTTTGTATACAGTTTAAGGAAGGGGTCCAGTTTGTTTTCTGCATATGGCTAGCCAGTTTTCCCAGCACCATTTATTAAATAGGGAATCCTTTCCCCATTTCTTGTTTTTGTCAGGTTTGTCAAAGATCAGACAGTTGTAGGTGTGTGGTGTTATTTCTGAGGCCTCTGTTCTGTTCCATTGGTCTATATATCTCTTTGGGTACCAGTACCATGCTGTTTTGGTTACTGTAGCCTTGCAGTATAGTTTGAAGTCAGGTAGTATGATGTCTCCAGCTTTATTCTTTTTACTTAGGATTGTCTTGGCTATATGGCTCTTTTTTGGTTTCATATGAAATTTAAAGTAGTTTTTTCTAATTCTGTGAAGAAAGTCAATGGTAGCTTGATGGGAATAGCATTGAATCTATAAATTACTTTGGGCAGTATGGTCATTTTCACAATAGTGATTCTTCCTATCTGTGAGCATGGAATTTTTGTCTGTTTGTACTGTTCTTGTAATAGGGAAAAAGTCTCATGAGATCTGATGGTTTTATAAAGGGCAGTTCCCCTGCACATACTGTCTTGCCTGCCACCATGTTAAGACATGCCTTTGCTCCTCCTTCGCCTTCCACCATGATTGTGAGTCCTTTCCAGCCATGTGGAACTGAGTCCATTAAAAATCTTTTTCTTTATAAATTACCAAGTCTTGGGTATGTATTTATTAGCAGCATGAGAATAAATTAATATGCTATTGAATCATAAATACTGATCCAACAAACTATTTTCAGCACCTCTGATATGTGATCACTTTGCTGTAGCTGACACCAGCTACATCTCCAAACCTTCTTGGCTTCTGTTGACACCATGCTTCCCTGTGGCCTCCTCCTACTCCAGTTCCACAGTTTCCTCTCCAGCAGGCACTTCTTCACCTCCTCTTATAAACACTGCTATTCCTTGCAGTTCTGTTCTGGGCCTCTTGTCTTCCCACTTCACACATTCTTCCCCAGTGGTCTCATCCACATACCTTTGATTGGTTTTCCACTATTTGCTACTGACTCCCAGCTCTTATATCCAGTTAATTACTCACAACTCAAAACCCTTCAAAGTTCTCTTGGAACCTTGAGATCAGTTTCCTTTGGAACCCAGTTATGCCTTTAATCTTCAGCCTGCCACCTCCGTGTTCTTCCTGAACTAGACCTCTGGCTCAAAAATGACCACTGCTATGGTTTGAAGTTTCTCCCCTAACCCTCCTAATTCATATGTTGAAATCTTAACCCCTAAGGTGATGGTATCAGGAGGTGGGGCCATTGGGAGGTGATTAGGTTATGAGAGTGAAGCCCCCATTAATGGGATCAGTGCTCTTATAAAGGGTATTCCAGAGAGCCTCCTCTCCGTTTTGACCATGTGAGGACACAGAGAGAAGAGGGCTGTCTATGAACCAGGAACAGGTCCTCACCAGACACTGAATCTGCTGGTGCCTTCATTTTGGACTGCCTAGCCTTCAAAACTGTGAGAAAAAATTTCTGTTCTTTATAAGCTATTCAGTTTATGGCATTTTGTTACAGTAGCGCAAACAGACTAAAACAACCATTGAGCATCTAAGTCATCCCCGTAATTGCTGTATTCAATCCTATTATATTACCAGGGCTTTAAAAATTGTTTATCGTGACCCATTACTAGTCCTAGAATTAATTTTGTGGGTCACAGCTGATTTTTTAAAGAATAGAACAGGCCAGACGTGGTGGCTCACGCCTGTAATCCCAGCACTTTGGGAGGCCAAGGCAGGTGGATCACGAGGTCAGGAGATCGAGACCATCCTGGCTAACACAGTGAAACCCCATCTCTACTAAAAATACAAAAAAGCCGGGTGTGGTGACGGGCGCCTGTAGTCCCAGCTGCTTGGGAGGCTGAGGCAGGAGAATGGTGTGAACCTGGGAGGTGGAGCTTGCAGTGAGCTGAGATCAGGACACTGCATGCCAGCCTGGGTGACAGAGCAAGACTCTGTCTCAAAAAAAAAAAAAAAAAGAATAGAACAAAGAAGAGAATGGAATGGAACAGAAATAGCAGAATGCTTGCCTCCATAGTAAGTATTGTTTTAAGATTTTTTAGTGTGTGTGCATTAAGTTATAATAAACATTTTATTTTTTTATTGCAGCTCATAGACAAACATTTAGTACCCACTGGATTAGACCACTGTGTCTTCCAGAGCATCCTGAATCAACTTATAATAAAAACAATTTGGAAACTAAATTTTCTGGGTTCAGTCACAGGTTCTGGTGCTTACTAGCTGTGTTTTATTGGGCAAATTAATTAACCTCTCTATTTCTCAATTTTCTCATCTGCAAAATGGATTTAAAAATTGTATATCATCATGGGCCTATAGTGAAGATTAAATGAATTAATACAGTTCTTGCCTGACATGGATGAATGCTTTCTAAGTATCATCTACTCTTAAACAATAAAATATCTAAATACTCTATTAAAGATATCAAAATCACGAAAGCACATGAGAGATACTGAAACATAAACATATTGTATGTAATATGAAAACAGAAGAATTCATCAGATTGCTTTACCTAAAACAATCACACTTTGAAAGACTTTACATTCATTCAGTGCCCTTTCTTGGCTTGGCAATCTTCTTCACCATTTTAAGGATTTTTCAATCTTTTGAGGAAATTTTGACTTGATTTTTATAGGTCTAATAAATGATTATCAGATTTGGATTTTATTTATATCCTGTGGGCATGGAAGTTTTGTATGCATCATCCATGACCCCTTCTTCCTTCTTACCCTGATATTAGTAAGAGATATACTTCTGTTCTACACATCTCCATGCTTCTGGAAAGGGACTGTATCCATCACCTAAGCCAATGCTTCTAGATTTTTTTGTGATGTGACGAATTAAAAAAAAAAAACAGTGCTTGTATAGCCTGTAGGATAAAAGGAAGAGGCCACTCTGCTTGGAGATGACTGGCGAGATGCGACAGTGGCTTTGGGGCAAGAAAAAATGGCAGCCCTAAGGCCTGAAGGGATCAATATCTCTACATGTGTAACCCATTCTCAGCGTAAGATGGAAACCTCTGGACTCTAAACCAAGAAGTGCATGTCTTTCCCACTGCCACAATTACCAGTTCAGCGTGGGCCTATGATCAAGCCTGGCCAAGGAAACTGACAAGAAGAACTTAGACCCCATCGTATCTTCGTCTGTCTTACTAGATGAGAAGAAGGACGACCATTGCCCTAATTGACACCAACCTTAGGATGACACTAACTCTGTGGATGGTAGAAAATGTCATCTAAGGAACCTGGCTCTGACAAAACTGCAGAGCTGCTGCATCAGCCAACCCTGAAGCCTACCCTATTCTAGATTCCCTGTTAAGGAGATAATAAATGTCTTCATTGCTTAAGCCATTTTGAATTATCATTTCAGTTACATTTAGCCCAAAGCATCTTAGCTAATTCAATGGCTTGTTCTACTTTATAGATTTTTCAACACTGCAATTCACAGAATTATACTGTACTATGAAATATAAAGTATTACACGCAACTTTGATAATTGGTGTTATGGACCACAGAGCACAGATAATCACAAGTGTTTAAATTTGGGGTTTTAGTTTCTTCTCAGACCCCCATTAACCCTTCCTTGGCAAAGGTTACTGCTAACTAGAGGTTTTTTGCCCCATCTATACCTCATTTAGATTCTTCAGCTTTTTGGTGGAATCAAAAAGCACTTCCCTAAATCTGGGTAATTTCAACATGTAAGCTGCTGGAAGCCACAATGACACCTACCTGTGTAACTGCTTTTTTTGGTAGTTCATAGGGAACTCTGGCACCGGAATTTTATATTTACTATAAAAAGATTTAAGTTCATAAAACCAGTAACTGTGGACATGTGTATTAGTCCATTTTCATACTGCTATAAAGAACTGCTCAAGACTGGGTAATGTATAAATGAAAGAGGTTTAGTTAACCCCACAGTTCAGCATGACTGGGGAGGCCTCAGGAAACTTACAATCATGGTAGAAGACAAAGGGGAAGCAAGGCACCTTCTTCACAAGGCAGCAGGAAGGAGAAGTGCTGAGCAAAATGGAGAACAGCCCCTTATAAAACCATCATATCTCATGAGAATTCACTGTATCACGAGAATGGCATGGGGGAACCACCCCCATGATTCAATTACCTCCACCTGGTCTCTCCCTTGACAGGTGGGGATTATGGGGATTATAATTCAAGATGAGGTTTGGGTGGGGACACAAAGCCTAACCATATCAACATGTGAGCCCCAGTACCCTCAAAATGGCCCATAATTAATTGTGCTGGCTTTCATGGTATGGTCATCTTGAATGTGTCAAATCTCTACAACTGCCACAACTAGGAAAAGGCCAGGGCAAGCACCATGGGAGCTTTTTTGTATGTTGGCCATTGGTCTCCCAGCTCTTCTTCAGGCTGCTACCTGGCATCATCCTCCAAATGTATTGGCACCCATGGAGCAGACGGCCTGGAAACTCACAAAAACCCCCTACGTGGCCAGCACTTCAAAGCCCCTCCTAACTGACAGAGGATGAACAATGGATTCCAGCTCCTGCTTGTGTCTCAGCAGGTGAGTGTATGCCAAAGGAGAGGAGTGGACCTAGTTTACACAGCCCTAAACAGTGGTTGGGACAGTAACAAAGCAGTTCTGAAGAGCCCAACCACACAGCTGCCCCTACATTTTTAGGCAGCTTTGGATGACAAATGGTAGCAAACTCACATCTTCGGCCTTGCAATCACTGTACAGGAACTCCCTCCTTCTTCTCTGCCACTGGAATTCATCTAGAAGAAGCACATCTAGCTATGAGTAGGGGTCACTGGATTGGCTAGCCTATTCTTACAAACTCCCAGACTGCTTTTTGTTTGTGTGTCTAATATTAGAAATATTAAGGAGCTGAAGGGCCTTGGCTGCTCTGACCCCTGGACTTCCCTTATGCATTAAGAGCCTCCACTCCTATCTCAGCTGTTTGAATTTAGCATCCACAGAGCACCTTCCCCTGGGGAAGGATGACTGAGATGGCACAGGTTCTGGGGTCCCCTTCATGAGAACCTCTGCATTTTCATCACTTGAAGATACATGGAGGCCAATCCTCTACCTATCCCAAGGCCAGTTCCAAGTTCTTGTCTCCAGGGCGTGTGATGCTTCTTTGAGGAAAACTTAACATACATATTTGTTTCAACCAGGGAATGCCCTTTTGCAGTTAATGGCAGTTTCACTCCCTAGAGAGGAAGACAGCATTTGGACTTGATGCCCTTCATTTGGAAAAAATGTTACGAAATTATTTATAAAAATAAAGCAAGTAACCATCCATTGTTCTCAGAGATTAGTCTGAGTTCACTTAAATCTACGACAGATGCTAAAGCCTAGGATTTTAAGGACTATGGAGAAAAATAAACATTGATTAAATGGAGATTTAGATCCTTCCCTAAAAAAAAAATCAGAAGAAAAGATTTTCAATAGAAGAAAACTTAGGTGGTGGCCCTGTTATGAAATTATTTATTATTGAAGATCTAGATTTTGAGAATTATACTATCATTTACAGCACTGCTTTTCTAGGCCATAATGTCCTTGGTTATCTATATGGAGCAAATAATCTGTGTGCAGTTAAAAGAAGTAGACTATATATATTCTTGGATGTAAATTGAGAAGACAGCACTTGTTCTGGGCAGAGCATGTGGCTGATGCCAGGGCCTCTCCTTATCTGGCACCTTGAAGACTCCTTGATGGGAACAGCAACAGCAGCAGCAAATGGGCTGCTTCAGCAGACCATCAGATTTCCTCATAATGTAACTATGGTCCTTTTAGACAAAGCACCTCAGAATTCTTAAATGTATCACAGTGGAGATCCTGAAGAGATCAAAGAATAGATGGAATGGGAGTCTCTTAAAAAGAAATATGACTTGGCTGGGCACGGTGGCTCACACCTGTAATCCCAGCACTTTGGGAGGCCAAGGCAGGTGGATCACGAGGTCAGGAGTTCAAGACCAGCCTGGCCAACATGGTGAAACCCCATCTCTACTAAAAATAGAAAAATTAGCTGGGTGTGGTGGCGAGCGCCTGTAATCCCAGCTACTCGGGAGGCTGAAGCAGGAGAATCGCTTGAACCTGGGAGGCAGAGGTTGCAGCAAGCTGAGATCGTGCCACTGCACTCCAGCCTGGGCGACAGAGTGAGACTCTGTCTCAAAAAAAAAAAAAAAAAAAAAGAAATATGACTTTACTTCATCCTCTAGCCTGTGAATTGAAATATTCATATTATAAGCAAGTGTAATGGATATATACTTGTTTAATTGATGTATAATTTATGTACAACATGCTGCATTGCACATATTAAAAATAAACAATTTGATGTTTTGACCTGCATATACACTTATGAAATCATCCACACAGTCATGATAATGAATATATCCGTAAATTCCAAAAATTTCCCCTTGCCTCTTTGTAATCCTTCCCTTTCTGCTCCTCCCACTGCTCCTCCCATCTCCAAGCAACCACTGATGTGCTATCACTATAGTTTGCATTTTCTAGAATTTAATATAAATGAAATTATACAGTATGTATTTATTTTTGTCTAGCTTCTTTTACTAAGCACAATAGAAAATCATCTATGTTGCTTCATATATCAATAGTTCATTTTTTAATGCAGAATGGTATCACATTGCATGGCTATATCACAATTTGTTTAGCCATTCACCTGTTAATGGACAGGTTGTTGGATTTTTCAAGTATTTTGCTATTATAAATTAAGCCCCTATGTACATTCATGTACAAATCTTTATATGTTTGTATCCTCTTATTTCTCTTAAATAAATACTTAGGTGTGGAATGGCTGGATCACAAGATAGATGTATGTTTAACTTTAAAAAAAATTAGAGACAGGGTCTTGCTAGATTGCCCTGGCTGGCCTCAAACTCCTGGGCTCAAGCGATCCTCCCATCTAAGGCTCCCAAAAAGCTAAGACTATAGGTACATGCCACTGTGCCTGGTTGACGAATTTTTTTTTTTTTTTTTTGAGACATAGTCTCACTCTTGTCATCCAGGCTCAAGTGCAGTGGCGCCATCTTGTCTCACTACAACCTCCATCTCCCAGGTTCAAGCGATTCTCCTGCCTCAGCCTCCCGAGTCACTGGGATTACAGGCGCCCACCACCACGCCCAGCTAATTTTTTTGTATTTTTAGTAAAGATGGGGTTTCACCATGTTGGCCAGGCTGGCCAACTCCTGACCTCAAGTGATACGCCCACCCTGGCCTCCCAAAGTGCTGGGATTACAGGCTTGAGCCACTGCGCCCTGCCAAATGTTTAACTTTTAAAAGAAACTGTCAAATTGTTTTCCATAGTGGTTGTGCCATTTTACATTCTCAACAGTGGTGTATAAGAGCTCAAATTGCCCCACATCTTTGTTAACACTTGAGGTGATCAGTCTTTCTAACTGTGGCCATTTTAACAGGTGTATAGTGGCATCTCATTGTGGTTTTGATGTGCATTTCCCTAGTGATTGAGGTTGAGTACTTTTTAAAGAACCTGACATCTGCAAATCTTCTTTGGTGAAGTGTCTTTTCAAATCTTTTGCCAATTTGTAGTGTACATATATATACAATATTCTTTCATAAAAACATATATTTTTGGCTACCTCATACTAGATCAATATGATGAGGCAGATTACTACCTAAGAAGTCACCAACTTCTTATTCCCACAGCTGCTAAATACACTTTACAAGTAGAAAATTTGTAAAGTCTCAGCCCATTCATGGAGTAGAACATAGAGTTCTATTCTATGTTTGGAACACAGAGTTCCAAAAGTTTCCACTGTCTCAGGAAGCATATACACAGTGTGGAATTTAGATGGCCTTGGGGCAGAGGGTGGGAAAAGTCAACTGTGAGTTGAGCATAGATCCTAGGACCAGTGTGTACAAGTGGCATCCAAAGATAACTGAAAATAAAGGAGGTTAGAAGGTCAACTGCTGGGCCGGGTGCAGTGGCTCACGCCTGTAATCTCAGCACTTTGGGAGGCCAAGGTGGGTGAATCACGAGGTCAGGAGTTCGAGACCAGTCTGGCCAACATGGTGAAACCTCATCTCTACTAAAAATACAAAAAATTAGCTGAGCATGGTGGTGGACGCCTGTAATCCCAGTTACTTGGGAGGCTGAGGCTAGAGAATCGCTTTAACCCAGGAGGCGTAGCTTGCAATGAGCCGAGATCGCAACACTGCACTCCAGCTGGGGCAACAGTGCAAGACTCCATCTCAAAAAAAAAAAAAAAAGTCAACTGTTGTTTTTAAGTGGCTCTGGGATAAAGGGCAATATTAGGGTCTTTTTTACTTGCCTTTGTTCTCCTCTTTGCTAACATGACTCACAGGCAGATGCCACCCCCATCATCTGCTGCACTGCACAGTGGCAGCAACAGGCACATGAGACAACTGGGCCCCAACAAATTCACTGGATGTTAATCCCAGGCCTCTCTTGAGAATGCCAATCTTAAGAGGGTTCACAGAGGCCTAAAATTAAACAGACTGGACACAGAGTGGGAGGGTGGTACTGCTGGGAGTAAGTGGCTATGATTCAGTAGGCATGGTACTGCCCAGTGTGGCTAACAGAGTATTTCAAAGTTGGCTGCAATAATCCTTTCAATCCACGATGCTTTTCTGAAATGTCACCTTGACATTGGAGTAGTGGGCTCTATGTCCCCCCATCTTAAAATTGGGTGCACCTTTGTGAATGCTTCATCCAAGAAGGGCCGTAAAGTTATGCGACTTCTGAGGCAAGATCATAAAAATGCCATCTTCTTCAACTCTATTGGTACATCCATTCTTAGAACCCATCTAACCATTCTGTGAGAAACACTAAGGAACCACATGGGGAGTCTTGAAGTGTATTCCCACAAATCACTTATTTACAAAGGGGAAAATGAAAACTACACAGTGGAGAAACCTGGTAGACACCACCTTGACCTAGTTATCAAAGTTAACAAGACCAATAGATAAGGAAAATAGATTAATGCATCTCCTGTCATGGTCACTAAGGACACAACATCACTCCTATGGTATTTCTGCAGACATCACAGCTAAGTGTAATATATGATTCTGGATTGGATCTGAAATTAGCAGAAAAATTAGCTGTAAAAAACTATTGGGATAGTTTGCAGGAATTTTAATACAAACCCTGAATTAGATAAGTTTTATATAGATTTCCTAATTTTGATGACTTTATCTGATTATGTAAGGGAATGTCTTAGTTCTTAGGAAATACACACTGAAATGTTTCCAACCTACTTTTAAGTGGTTTAGAAAAAAAAAAAAAAAGTGTGTGTGAACAATTGGCGAATCTGGGGAAATGGTATACAGAAGTTTCTCATACTATTTTTGCAATTATTCTGAAAGTTTAAAATTATATAAAAATTGAAAGCTCTCCCTAACCCTCTAAAAGAAGGTAAGGACTTAAGCGTTCATGGAATAGGGCTGGTTTGGACATGGGCAATACTTGTTTCCCTGGATCCAGCAACGCTCATAGGCTGGCTGTGTTTTAGAAAATAACAGATGATCCTCAGGGAATGGGAATGAACTACAGAGGGATGTCATTGCTATTTAGACAGGGGTTTGGACCAGCAAGGGTCTCCCTACAGCAGAGGGTGGCCAGTCTGTGCAAGCTCTTCCTTCTGTGACACCTTGTGGCAATGAAGAGCTATTGCGGACCTCAGTGCCATCTGTTCACCAGGACTGACCTGCTTTTAATTCCATCATCTCCTAGAGTTCTTTGACAATTTGAGAGTAAAGATGTTTAGGAAGAGACACAATGCTTTCAGTTAATATGGCATGTGAAACTTCAAACTAGAAATGGGAAAAATAAGAGATGTAACAGTGTTTGTGTCTTTAGTTTATAAAGTAATGCCAATCATATTTCTGTAGCTTTATATGCTACGGTACAACAATTGTGTCAAAAACTATACAAGTACTAAGAGATAATGACAAAAGTATGACTGAACAGTTCTCTCAAATGGGAAAAGTGCAACTGCAAAGCAAAGTTATGTAATAGTGTCTTTGCACATTAATGTGTTCTTGAAAAGCTGAGTAAACTGAACTTTTATAACTGCAACCATATTTTCACTGCACCTTGAGAATTTGAAATAATATTATAGGATGAAATTTTGAAATGTGAAGCCATAGAAACTTTTTACTTATCTAAATATTCAGTCTCTGAAAAAAATCATGTTTTGCTAAAGTGCAGTATTCCTACAAAGTTAGATATTTACATAGTTAGAAGCGAGTGATAAATCATGTACTTAAGAGCTTACATGTTTAAAATTGTGGACCACATAATAGGCAATTAGTTTGTATAACTATTAAAATTATTTACTGATAAGAAGGGTGAATTTTTGTATTTTATTTTGAATTTGCATTATGTATTAATAAAAGCTGTTTGGCTTATAAATAAGAGAGATTCATATAAACTAGTTCAAGCAAAAAATGGGAATTTATTGACCCATATAACTGGGGAGTTTAGAGGCAGTGCTAGCTTTCAGGCATGGCTCAATCCAGGGGCTCCAGTGTTTTCTTTCTAGCTAGCTAACTAGCTAGCTCTCCCTCTGCTATCATCTATATCTCTTTACTTCCCTCTGTATTTTTCTCAGTTCCTCTTTGTACAAACGGGCTTCTCCTTAAGGTCAGGGAAGACAGCCAAAAGCAAATAAAATAAGTTTCTCCAGTTTGCTCTATCAGCAATGTCTGGGGAAAATATTCTGGCCCAATCTGGATCACAAGCACATCCTGGAATGGGAGGATGGAGGCTATGTGCTTTACAACCCTACCAGGATCCTGGCCCTGGATGGGTGGCAGAGCAGGATGTTAGGAGTTATAGTTCACCCAAAGAACCAGAAGATGAAAAAAAAAAAAAAAAGGTAGTAAACAGACAAAAACTATAATTACCACTGTCCCCTATGCTTCATTAATGTACACTTTTATAATTCTAATGGACATATAGACAACTATGTATCAAAAGCTTTTTAAGCTAAATATTGGACCAATGCATGAAGACGTATTTTAACAGATTTAAAGAAAGCACTATTTGTAAGAGCCAAAAATTTTTTTAATCTAATAGGGTTTAGTTAAATCTTAATTTATTCATGAAATGTTTTTGCATGTATTTATACAGAAATGTATTATTGAGAGGGGAAAGGCAAATTTAATACATTATGTGTTTATAAGACAGCATTTAAACAGTAAATCCCAATTTTTGTTTTACAACATATATCCTCACCTGCTTACATAGACTTACGTGTATTTCTTTTTTGTTTGTTTGTTTGTTTTGAGATGGAGTTTCACTCTTGTTACCCAGGCTGGAGTGCAATGGTGTGATCTCGGCTCACTGCAACCTCCGTTTTCCGGGTTCAAGTGATTCTCCTGCCTCAGTCTCCCAAGTAACTGGGATTACAGGCAGGTGCCACCATGCCCGGCTAATTTTTTTATTTTTAGTACAGATGGGGTTTCACTATGTTGATGAGGCTGGTCTCGAACTCCTGACCTCATGTGATCCGCCCGCCTTAGCCTCTCAAAGTGCTGGGATTACGGGCATGAGACACTGTGCCCGGCCAATTTATGTGTATTTCAAAAGTAAGGAAGCATGTGCGACAAAATGATATTAAGGGCTGGGAAGAGAGATGCATGATAAATTTTTTTCCTTTTTGTCTGTATTTTCTTATTTTCTATTAAATGACATATAAAACAAAAATCAAATTCTATACAACTCAAAGTTTTATGCATTCAACCCTAGTTACAAATACTAATCCATTCCTGGCCAAGTGCGTTGGCTCACGCCTGTAATCCCAGCACTCTGGGAGGCCGAGGCGGGCAGATCACCTGAGGTCAGGAGCTTGGGACCAGCCTGGGCAACATGGTAAAACCCTGTCTCTACTAAAAATACAAAAATTAGCTGGGTGTGGTGGTGCATGCCTGTAGTCCCAGCTACCCAGAGGCTGAGGCAAGAGAATTGTTTGAACCCAGGAGGCAGATGTTGCAGTGAGCTGAGACCATGCCACTGCACTCCAACCTGGGTGACAGAGCAAAACTCCATCTCAAAAAATAATAAATAAATAAATAAAAAATAAAAATAAACAAATACTAATCCATTCCAAACTATCATGGTGCCTAGTGGCAAAAGGCAGAAGTCAGGCCCCACTAACTTACCCAGTTAACATGAGCTAAATGATTCAATTTATAAGAAAACTTTAGGTAAAAATCTAAGTGTGCTACACTGACGTGCAGAAAATGTTTGGATACCAAGCATTAGTCAAGTTTAGATACTATGCATTAGTCAGTAAGTGGATCTTGGCTCATCTATATCAGAATCACTTTGAGAAGCTTGTTAAAATGCAGACTCCCCGCGTCTCAGTCCAGAACTTCCAATTCAGAAATAATAGAAGGTAGGCCAAGGAACTGGCATTTTCAATCAATTCCCAGGGGATTTTTATATACAATGAAGCATGAAAACTCCTGTTTCAGAAATGATAAGGTAGAAACAGTATAAAAGGGAAGTGATCAGTCTGCCAAGAGAGACTTCCCTACATCATTTATGTTACAATCATTATTAATAGCACAGTTCTTTTGTATAACATTTTGACTATGAACATTAATCAGAAAAGTATAAAGTTGTCATTAAACATTCAAAAAACAGAGTAATTTTATTACATGTAGGGCTCAACATTTTTTTTCCCAGTAAAATTTTTAGCGATTAAAATTCATAAAATTCACAAAATTCTTACTACAGAAACCATCCTAGGATCTCATCTATGTTGTTAACAAAATAATCTTGAAAGTATAGATAGTTCTTGGAAAAAAAAAAAAAAGAAAAGGCATGTAAGGAGGGAGGAAAGAAAGAAAAACTCATCAGAATTTTGCTGGGCACCGAAAAAGAACTTAGGGAAAATACTTCTAAAGTCATAAAATTCCATCAAGGGTAGTCTCTAAATGATTTAAAATATAATTTTAATATACCAAATTTTAATTTACAAATTAACTTATGGGGAATCTACAATTTTAGGGAATACCTATTATCCTAAAATTTTAAGATAATAAAATGAAGAAATAAAAGTAAAATTATCCAATTAACCTTGCTTCAACCCTCTACCTAGCCAATGTGCATTTGCAAGTATATTGTAATGGAAAGCCGTGAGTAGTAATAAAGGAAACAATTAAATGGAAAATTTTTGTTTAATAGAGTAAAATGAGTTAAGCTAAATTCTGGTTTATTATAAACATACTGAATAATTTTCTATTGGGAAGAGCAAAAATCTTTATTGCCTGCTATAAGTACTTTTGAAGTACTTGGAAATATATTGTAAAGGAAAACTCAGCAAAATACAAAAATTAAGTGACCTTTTCAGTTATTTCCTTCTTTAGTTTCTATAGTGTAATAGTTGAAAGAAACTTTTTAAGATGGGAGAGCTGCAGTGTACCAGATTGCAGTTATGCAGCCCTCAGCTTATTCTTAAGTGACATAGTACTGATCCTTTTACTATGGTTGCATTAGTCAGGGTTCTCCAGAGAAACAGGACCACTATCAATCTGATGGAGTTTTCCAATTAAACTATCCAAAACATATGTAAAATTTCCTAGGAATTTTCTGTTTTCCACCTATGATCAGAAAGAATCTAGGAGTCATCCTAATTTGAATATTTCATTCATCCAAATTAGGATGACTCCTAGATTCTGTGGGTTTATAGTATAAAAAAATTCTCATTGCTTACAATGCTTTGGCATTACAGTTGACCCTTGAACAAAACAGGTTTGAACCATGTGGGATTCCATTTCAACCAAATGCAGCATTCCCCGGATGTAAAACCCATGTATATGGAGGGCCAGCTTTTTTTACACTCGGGTTCCACAGGATCAACAGTGGGACTTGAGTATGCATGGATTTTGATATATGCAGCAGGTTCTAGAACCAAGCCTTCATGTTTACTGAGGGAGGGATGACTACCTTTTGTCATGAACTGTAAAGCATTTAAACTTTTACCCTTCTTGTAAGCTAATAAATTAATCTGCTGGTTTCATGGATGCTGGCAGAAGTCACAAAAATCCTAGTTAGGAGACAAAGTACTTTATTGCTTATAGCACAGAAAGCAGCATGAGCATCAGCATATTTGTCAGTTCCTCTTGCCCCCAACTCCCACAGGGAATATGTAATGGACCCAAATGCCACCTGCACACTTAGTGGGTTGCACTGCAAAAGAGAAACCCAGATCCAAGGGTCCAAATTTCTTGAACAAGCAGCAAACAAGCCAATCTCCCTTACCCTGATGGTGAGCAGTTACACGAGAGTCATTGTACAGTTACCCTGACCCACTTAATTGTCTATGTGTCTAGCTGCAAAAATGCTCAGTCTCAGGAGACAGATAAGACTTGCAATCTGGCATACTTAGCAAAATTATGCAGGGACACTCAGGACCAAGACAGATCTTCCTCTTCTAACCATCCACCCTTAAACGTTCTTGGCAGAACTCAAAATTTCACATGAATATGTGACTCCATTGACCACTGTGATTAATCTGATGTATAGAGGCTTAATTCCATTTGTCTTGTATAGCACTTAATTAAGGGACTATCAACAATACAAGCAGCAGGACAAAGTATTGACCTTAATCATGACACCCAGAGTTCTGAATACCACAAACCAACAGGGTCTACCTTGGAAAGTCAGTGGCTTTCTCCTTAAGGCTCTCATTTGACCTTTCTACTTGGTTTGCGGCATTAATCCAGGTATAGCTGGATGTTTTAGGGACGATTTAGAATCTGACATCTGTTGCAATTCTATCATCTATAACAATTCTGGTCAGTGAGTTGAGTTGGAGCTGACTACCTTCTAAGGCCCAGGTGGTATCATTAATCACTTCAGCTGAACTCAGGGACAAATTTCTTTTCTTTTTTCTTTTCTTTTCTTTTCTTTTTTTTTTTTTTTTGAGATGGAGTCTCGCTCTGTCGCCAGGCTGGAGTGCAGTGCTGTGATCACGGCTCACTGCAACCTCCACCTCCCAGGTTCAAGCAATTCCCCTGCCTCAGCCTCCTGAGTAGCCGCAACTACAGGCCTGCATCACCACGCCTGGCTGATTTTTTGTATTTTAGGAGAGACGAGGTTTCAACATGTTGACCAGGATGGTCTCGATCTCCTGACCTCATGATCCATCCGCCTTGGCCTCCCAAAGTGCTGGGATTACAGGCGTGAGCCACTGCGCCCAGCCTCAGGGACAAATTTCTTACCACCTTTTCTAATTATCTGACTCCCATCGTTGGGACAACCAACCACAAAGTGCACACAAATGAGTCTGCCCTCTGGAAAGTTCCACCAAATAACTAAGGGTGGCCTTATTTCAGAGGGCTCCCCACAGTCATCTGAGGGCTATGTAGTCTATTCTGGGTTCCGTAAACAATCTGAAATTTTACCCTATTTGCAAGCTAACAAGCTAGTCAGCCACAGTTTCATCATGCTAGTATTAGACTCAAGACTCCTGTGTTAAGGGATAATTTATTACTCATGGCAATAGCAGTGACCAGAGCAACAGTATTAATTTTTGTGCTGCTGTTCTGAACCCCAATTCCCATATGCCAACATGAAGATGCCACATAATACTTGTACTGGCAATGGACTGCAGCATAGTGTAGTGTAGTGTAGTGTAGTGTAGTGTAGTGTAGTGTAGTGTAGTATAGTATAGTACAGTAAAGTACAGTATAGTACTTAGAGAACCTGATTTTTTTATAATGGGTAGTAATCATGCTTGTTCTTTGCTCCAGAAGGAGTCATTTTCTCTATCTTGGAACGCTGTTCACTACAAAAACATCACTGAAAAGATAGTTTCAGACAAAGCCAGCACCTCTGTTCTCAAGATATTCAGAAACCCAGAAAATTGTCTCCCAAGGGAAGCCTGTAGTTGGGAGAAATTATGAGAAACCACTAACTTCTAATTCAGATTTTGCATGAGTTAGGATTATATTCAGCTACATATAACAAAATCACAACTACAGTGGTTTACCTAAACGTGTTTTTTTGTTTGTTTCATTTTTTTTTCCCTGCATGTCACCAGAGTCCAGAAGTGCACAGTCCAGGTCTGGAACGGCTACATACAAGGTCATCAGGGACCCGGGTCCCTATCCGTCTGCTCCACTATTCTTGTCATGTGGCTTTCCACCCCATGGTCACAACATGCATACGCCACCTCCATCTGTACAGTTCTGGTGGTAGGTGGAGAAGAATGGTGACTAGATTTTAAGGAAGGTTAAAAACACTAGGATAGGAGGCCGGGTGCAGTGGCTCACGCCTGTAATTCCAGCACTTTGGGAGGCCAAGGCAGGCGATCACCACGTCAGGAGTTAGAGACTAGTCTGGTCAACATGGTGAAACCCCATCTCTACTAAAAATACAAAAATTAGCCTGGCGTGGTGGCGGGCGCCTGTAATCCTAGCTACTCCGGAGGCCTCAGCCTACTACTCCAGAGGCCTAGCTACTCCGGAGGCCTCCTGCGGAGGCAGGAGAATCGCTTGAACCCGGGAGGGGGAGGTTGCAGTGAGCCGAGATCGCACCATTGCACTCCAGCCTGGGCAACAAGGTCGAAACTCTGTCTTAAAAAAAAAAAAAAACCCAAAACACTAAGATAGGAAAGAGGAAGAATTAAGATATACATGTAAGGTGATCAGGAGACACTAACAAGTTAATTTTCTCAGATGCAGTGTGAGTATAAAAATTAGAAAATTTGAGCAAGTAGGTGGATTAGATCAAAGTGATACTGTGTTTTGAAGGTCATCAGCAAAGCATTAATCAGTTAATAATGTAACAGGAATGATTTGAAAGGTTTAGTGTAACAGTAATTGAGTAGATAAGCTATAGTTCAAAAATATATTTTTAATGTAAATGGGTAATTTGAAATTTTGTTACACAAATGCACAGTTCAAAAGTACTATAATCTCTCATTGTTAGATGTTGCTATTCAGGTTTATAAGTTATAGCTTGTAGTACTGTGTAAAGATAGGCACCATGCTTACAAGATCAGAATTCAGCTTGAGGCTGTGTGAGTTTACGACAACACTGTAGTGTGCCACTGTACTTCTCTACCTTCTGTATCGCCGTATGGAATTACTACACAAAATTAGCACTAAGAAACCTAAATTTCCTTACAGTAGAAATAAGCTTATATGAATAATTCTCTTATAGAAATTAAACTATCTGCTGCAGTTGTCAGCAGGGTTTAATTTTTAGCATAAGCTGAGGCCATCAGTTTCTTAGCAGTCCTATTCTTAAATAATCATTTCTGTTTAAGAGATCATTTTACTGAACAATTTCAAAGCACTAAATATCTTCGAGATTGAAAAAATAAGCACCTATAGATGGAGCAGAAACTAAAGAAGAACAATTTAAGGAAAAAGACAGTCCTTAACTATGCACGCATCCTATGAATTATCCATGCTTTCAGCTGGTTTCCTTTTACTGCACTGTCTAAAACTCCATATTTAAAAGGGTTTGATACAGCAGAGTTAGAATGTGGTCAATGAAATCTGGAGCTTGTCAATGGGTTTCAATAACTGATGCCACTTTTAGCTCTGCTAACATAGTAGAGATTATAGACAGAATTCTCTTGGCCAACTCCTATCATGGGATAAAACTCCTCCCACACCAGTTTCTAAAGGTAATGTAACTTGCTTCTATTGGTTTAAAATTATTAAATAATAAATACGTTTCTCAGCTAGTCAAAAGATATGTCCAGGCTCTTCTCACAAGTTCAATGTTAGGTGCTGTGGGTGCAAACAGTAATTTAGTAATTGTCACTGTTATTATAGTAATCCTAATAATCCCTTATTCACATAATTCTTCATTTTTTAAAAGTATTCCATATTAATTTTCTTATTTGAGATTCTGAATATTACTCTCCAAGTAATACTGCCCCATTTTACAGATAAGGCAATTCAAAAAACGTTTAAGTGACTTGCCCTAAGTCACAGGCACTAGAGAAACTATTACATGCAAGATAAACCTGGTCCCTTCATTTATGACACTCCATTCATAGTGGGACATTCAGACGAGTTGTGGGCAACTGCAACATGGTTAAGTGTTGAGCTACAGCATACAACGTACATGGCATGGAGAACAGTCTTGGCGGGAGAGGGGTCAGGGAAGTCTTCCCAAAAGAAACAAAGTGTCATTTCAGACTTCATTGTGTTGGCCCTGGGGAAGAACATTCACTTCTACTAAATTCACTTATTCTGTTCTCAGAATCTTCCAAGTTGATTTTGTACTTGATAGAGCACAACTTAGAAGGTCAATTAACTTTACCTCTAGGCCAGTGTTTCACTCACCGTAATTTCTCTAGCAACTTCATCAGTCACCTGGGGTCTTGTTAAAAATACAGAGGAGGGGGCGGAGGGAGGGCAGGGGCCACCCTGGACTTAACTTTTTCTAAATCTCTTGGGGGTGAGGTTGGGGAAAATTGCTGCTTTAAGCATGAACACTTTCGGGATTTTGAAGTCAAACAGCAAATTAAAAGGGGTATTTTTGGTAGTGGCTCTTAAATTCCAGCATCAATACAGCCTTTTTTTTTTTTTAATAGGGGTGTATTTGGGGGGTAGGGATAGCAATTTTATATAACTGGGATTGGGTGCTATAAAACAGGCTGTTAGCCTCCAGCCCTCACCTGCAAGGTGGCTGGCTTAAGGTAGGTACTTGATAAATGTGGATTTATTTAACAGAGGAACACTTGTATTCATAACCTCCAAGAGTTTCGAAAGTCTTTCTGCTCCAATCTTCCAGTGTCTAGCCAGCAGCATTGCTGCAGAGTGGAACAGCTAGGGTGCGTGGAGTTTGCAGAATGAGTTCAAACCTCCAGACTTATCAGTTAGCAGTAAGAACAAGTTCCTTAATCTGCCTCCACCTATAAAGAAGGAGTACAATTGCCACTTACCTCCTAGAGTTGTTGAGAGTCTTAAATGAGATTAAATATTATAAATAGATTATCAATGGAATATATTATAAATGCAAGTGCTTAGAACTGTACCTTATAAATGAGCTCCACAGATGCTTATTAAAACCCGAGCGGTGCCCTCTCCCCTTAACATCCGTAATAGGCCCCCTTACACCTCATACCCATTACGAGTCAAAATAATAATAATAATAATAAATAAGTGAACAAACGACAAACGAGAAAACTAGGCTACCAGGCACTGGGGCGATGGGCCACAGCCCGGCGGGGTAGTGGGCCCGGAAGGGGCGCGGGAGTGGGCTCTCCCCGCCGGGCTCGCGGCACGTGGTCGGCTTGGGCGGGAGCTTCGCGACAGTGGGGGAGGGGAGCAGCGTGGGACGCCGAGGAGGGGTCCAGACCGCCAAGGCTACGAGGCGCCGACTGCGCAGGCTCGGGGACAGGCGCAACCACTGCGCGCAGACCTGAGGGGGAGAACGTCCACCCGGCTGCACGCTCCCTGGATCTACTTGCGCAGCGAAAGCTTGTCTTCTTCCTCATTTTAACACTGTGTATGGCGCCGCCTTGCGCAGGTTGTTCACCCTAACAGGGCCTCTAACCTCGAGCCCGAAACGGCCTCCTTCTCCAGCCGTGCCCCTTCCTCCCCCGTGGAGGCCGCAGTGGATGCGCTCACCTCCCTGCGGCCTCCTGAGGTGGTTTGGTGGCCCCCTCCTCGCGAGTTGGTGCCGCTGCCACCTCCGATTCCGAGCTTTCGGCACCTCTGCCGGGTGGTACCGAGCCTTCCCGGCGCCCCCTCCTCTCCTCCCACCGGCCTGCCCTTCCCCGCGGGACTATCGCCCCCACGTTTCCCTCAGCCCTTTTCTCTCCCGGCCGAGCCGCGGCGGCAGCAGCAGCAGCAGCAGCAGCAGGAGGAGGAGCCCGGTGGCGGCGGTGGCCGGGGAGCCCATGGCGTACAGTCAAGGAGGCGGCAAAAAAAAAGTCTGCTACTACTACGACGGTGAGCGGCCGGGCCGGTGTCGGGGTGGGCGCGCGGGGCCGGGCGCTGGGTTCCGCGGCTGCCGTCGCGAGTGGGCGCCGGGGCTGAGGGGTGGGAAGGAGGAGGGACCGACATTTGGCCGCATCTTAACCCGTTCCCGGCCCGGCACAGTTAGAACGAGACCCTCTTCCTGGCGCAGCCCCCGCGGTTCCTGCGGGCGGGAATCAGGGGGCCCGCCCGTCTTGTCTCCTGCCTCTCCCCCTTCGGCCGTGCAGTCCGCAGCCTCGAAGGTGGCCGCCGCTGGGGACGGCGCCGGCCTACCCCGCCTTGGTGGTGGCGGCGGCGAAGGGGGCGGCCCATTCTCTCCCTTCTCCCGCCCACCATTCGTGGCAACGCAGGTTTGGGGTGCCCCGCGTCGGCCTCCTACCCCCTCGACCCGTCCCCCGCGAGGCAAAATTTCTATCCCGGCCTTGACTCTACACAAAGCCCCGCGGCCGCGAGAGCTCCGCCCCTCCCGTCCCCTTCCCTCCTCCTCGCCTGCTCGCCTCCCCTACCCTGCGTTCGGTCTGGCCGGAGCGTCTTCTCCTTCCTCGGCTTACCCTTTCCCCGGACCCCTCCTCCCGGTGGGCGCTGGAGAGTAGTTACTGAGGGTGGGGGCTCAGGTCGCGTGTGGCTTTATCACACCCATGTTTTGCGTGGGCTCCAACCCTCTCCTTTGTTCGCTGGGTTCTTTGAGCGCGTCTTTCTCAGGATTCAAATGGAAGGGCTTCACTTCCTCAATAATAGTTCGGGTTTTCCAGTTTCAGGCAGAAAGACTTCGTAGGAAATAAGAGGTGGTAGGGAGATGTGGAACTGCTACTGCTTGTGTTGTAGATCAGACTCCATGGGTCCTGGCTTGCCTCAGAGAGGTGGTTACCACCCACTTCTTTGTTGCTCTTTGTTCGATCAGGAAATAGACCCTGCTTTGGGGATTTAGAGAGCATTGGTATCTTGCAAAGGCTGTTCCTAGGTGGTGGGGAATCCTGGTATGGGAAAACTTTGAGAAGTGGGAGAAGTGCAGAAGTACTAAATATTCTAATGAGGTAAATTTGAGGTCACCGTGTAGTGAATTATAAAAGTCAGATAATTTAATTATCTTAAGCATTCTATAATTTGGAGTATGAGCAGTAACATTAAATCTTCGAATCCTGTTTCCTGTGTTTTCTTGCTCAATGGAGTAGTAACCTGTTATACAGATTTCACAAAGGCTTGGTAAATAGTTTATAGTAGGTTACTCTTGAGAGAAGGGATTCCAAAATTTAACAGAGAATCTATCCTAGGCTCCTTCTCCTGAAAGTCCTGTCTGATTTGTAGGAAGCAATACAAATTTTGGAAGCTGTTTCCTACATGTGGTGTATTGTAAATCACAAAATTTTAGAGAAGTAAGACCCCAGAGCACCAGCTCAGAATAAATCTACTTTAACTTGTAAATGACCGTACTGTCTCTTTTTAGTTAAAAAGGATTAATCTTTTAATGACTGATACATATAAAATAACCACCTGTGTCATTTGGGGAAAATCTGAAATCTTACAGAACAAATCTAAATTGATCTGCGATAGCTAGGACAGAATAATAACAGCCCTACTTTTAAAAATGATTTTTCAGAGGACTAGATATGCATTATATAAGTTGATTTGAAATTATGCCATCGTGGAGGGGTGGAGATGGAAATACATTTTAATTTCAACATGATTTACATTGCATATTTTGGGTTATTCTTGCCCTGCATTCCCTGATCAAATTGGAAAGGAAGTAACCCTGCGTATAAGTTAATTTGTAAAATTACATTGTTTCTAAAGTTTAGAGATTTATCCTTGTCAGGGCTTGGAGTAAAGAGGAAAATTTTGGTTAGGGAAAGTGGTACTGAGGTCCTTCTCGAAGCTGTCAGTTGGTGTTGGTAGTGATGGGCTCTGAGGAAGTAAGCTGCTTGTAATTTGTTGTCACCACAATGGAACCCTAGAACCAGGAGGGTACACTTGAGTAGCAGTTTCTGAACAGCGCTCTTGTCCTGGGCCCATTTATGATAACCTTCGTTGTGGGAATGGGAGCAGGCACGGGTACCCGGGAAAGGATGCAAGCTTGATAAGTAGGGTGGAAATATTTGTCTTGTGATTGTGACTTAATATGATACTTTATTGTAGCCCATTCACCTGCTTACGTGATGGCCAGCAACAAGTGAATAGCTGATAGTTTGGAAATCTCTGGTGGGTTATTTTGTCTTTTGTCTGTGACTCGTTTGTTAAAGTGGAGTTCCTAGTTGCTTATGTTTCACATACTCTTTTAATTTTTGTGGGAGGGAATTAAAATATTTTGCAGAGATTATTAATGTTTATATTATGCTAATTATTAATATGTGATAGTGTGCTGACCTCATCCAAAAACTTATATTTTTATTACCAGAGAACATTGTTTTGTCAGCTTACAAAAGTAGCAATACTAATTCTTTTTTTATTGTGAGAAGAGAATGCAAGGAAAGGAGCTTCTGTATCAAAGAATCGTGACTTTAAGGTATATAACATGGATTGGATTGGGAATGGGTTATATCTGTAGTAATAGGGTCTGAATTATCTGCTAGCCTAGGTTAGATGGTTTTAACTTCTTGGTAAAGGAAGTAGAAGGAAGAAAGTGAGTGAAAAAGAAAAGGACGGAAGTAGCAAATTCTATAACCATAGGAATCCTACCTTTAGGCTTCCTGGGGCTGTTAGGCACACGGAGCCTCTTGGCCACACAGAATGTCTGCCACTGAGGCTGTTTGCATCTTAATGAAAGAACTTTTAAATATATACATATTGTTCTCTGCACGTTATGTAATCTTCAGGTAACCCTTTAGGTCACTGAAACGTTGGTCCCAAGGGAACCTTCAGACATTGATGGATTAGGTATCCTTAAACCTTTGAAGAAAAGTAAGAGAAGTTATTACTTCTCTGACTGTAGCTATTGATCCATGCCTCCAAATTCCCAAAAACATACTTCTGAATCATGTTCCTTCTTTATACACTAGAAGATCATCAAGAATCTGTAAAATGATACAGCTAATTAGATAGTCACTAAGATCCCTTCTGGGCCTTAAAACGATGTGATTTTTCTCTACTTAAATATAATTAGCAGCTAAGCTGTGTTAGGCTCTAGTTATACCACTCACATTTTTAATACTGTATCTAGACATGTTTATGCTTTGTTTTGAATTAATCTTGAGGCCAAACATATTTAGTGCTTGTTTTTATGGTGTATACAGTATAATAGGGTTTATATACCTAATTTATGTAACTATACACAAATTTCTCTGTGCTCTATTTTTTCCTCCTCTGAGAGGGATGCATAATCAGTTTTGGAGACAAGTGGTCCAGAAAAAAACACTCAAAGACTGTATACAGATAAAACTATATAAATACAAAAGTTATCAAGATTAGGCCAGGTGTGGTGGCTCATGCCTATAATCTCAGCACTTTGGGAGACTGAGGCAGGCAAATCACCTGAGGTCGGGAGTTTGAGAAGAGCCTGGCCAACATGGCGAAACCCCGTCTCTACTAAAAATACAAAAATTAGCCAGGCGTGGTGGCAGGCACCAGTAGTCCCAGTTACTCGGGAGGCTGAGGCAGGAGAATGGCTTGAACCCAGGAGGTGCAGGTTGCAGTGAGCCAAGATAGTGCCATGGGCAACAAGAGCGAAACTCCGTCTCAAAAAAAAAAGTTACCAAGATGATACCTCCCAACGTACTCCTTCTTCAGCAAATTATAGAAATTCTACTTGGCAGCCAACGATTGTCAGATTTTCTTAGACTTGTATTTATGAGTAGTACCAAAGTCTTTTGCTGAATAACCTTTAATACAACTACATGGGTTCTTAGCTGTGGTATAAATCTTTATTATCCGTGAAATAGGTAATAATTTCTTTGGAGGCAAATAAGTGCTAAATTAATTATAGCAGCAGTTCATAAATACCAGTAATACTAATTGCACAATAAAACATGACTAAATAAGACTGAAATTTTCCTATACTTCTCTTTCCCCAGAAATCTTTTGCCTCTCTTTTCTTTCAAATTTTACCTCATCAGAGATGCTTTCTCCTATTACCTAAGTCCCTGTTATTGCCTTATTTTTCTTCCTTTTGGTTGTACCATATAACTTTTGTCTCTCTCCTCACTATAACATAAGCTTCATTAGGACAGTCTGTCTGTTTTGCTTGTGTTTGTATCTTCGCCAACTACATTTAAAAACGTAGCTTTTTTTTTTAATTAGTGATGAATAAATTATTAATTCCTTATACTTTTTTTTTTTTTTTGAGATGGAATTTTGCTCTTATTGCCCAGGCTGGAGTGCAGTGGCGTGATCCCAGCTCACTGCAACCTCCACTACCCTCCCGGGTTCAAGTGATTCTCTTGCCTCAGCCTCCCAAGTAGTTGAGATTACAGGCACGTGCCACCACCCCTGGCTAATTTTTGTATTTTTTAGTAGAGATGGGGGTTTTACCATGTTGGCCAGGCTGGTCTCGAACTCCTGACCTGGGGTGATCCACCCACCTCAGCCTCCCTAAGTGCTGGGATTACAGGCGTGAGCCACTGTGCCTGGCCAATTCCTTATTCTTATAGATAGAACGCTTTCATATAACGTTCCCTCTAATTCTTGAAACTACTCTGAACTACATTTAGGTAGGATGGGTGGCATTTTGGCATTTTTGGTATTGTTTAGATGAAAACAGATTCACATTTGTTTGGTGCAGTCTACCACTTTTCCTTTTCCACACTGACTGTAGTTTTAATGTTCAAGGAGAGTTCAACATCCGGAATCTTTATTTTTCTTTTTTCCTTTTCAAAGTGTTTCCTCTGCTACCAAACAAACAAAACTCCTTAACAAAAACTTTAAATGCTTCTGTTGACAAGTCCTTAAAGGAAAACACTTGGGATTGGAGAAGGCATCTCTTAGGGAATGTTAATAAATTCAAACTTGGAAGAATTCAAATCAAGTCTAAGGATTTTTTTGTACTGGTTATTAAGCCTTATTCCTCTGTATTTCAGTAGCAGTCTGCTTATTGTTACTTGTTCATTAAGCCAGCTTTGGGTTCAGACATATCAAATAGGCTTAAAGTTCCTACTGTGTGCCAAATAGACAAAAGATTGCTCAAGTCCTAAGAAGGAAATAAAAGACTGCAGGTATAAAGTAAGAGAGGGGGCCGGGTGCAGTGGCTCACGCCTATAATCCCAGCACTTTGGGAAGCCGAGGCGGGCAGATCACAAGGTCAGGAGTTTGAGACCAGCCTGGCCAACATGGCGAAACCCTCTCTCTACTAAAAATACAAAAAAAAGTTAGCTGGGCATGGTGACGGGTGCCTGTAATCCCAGCTACTTGGGAGGCTGAGGCAGGAGAATCGCTTGAACCCGGGAGGCAGAGAGGTTGCAGTGAGCCGAGATCATGCCATTGCACTCCAGCCTGGGTGGGTGGCAAGAGCAAGACTCTGTCTCAAAAAAAAAAACAAAAAAAGTAAAAGAGAGGGGACCTTTGATAGTGTAATCAGAAAAGGGAAGACCTGAAGGAAGAGAATGGGCCAGCCTTAAAAAGAGTTTACTACATAAGATATTACAAATAGCAAAGCCAGATAGTTATTAATAGAACTTGGTGCACTTAATGGGAAGGAAGACAAGGAAAATGTGGAGTCCCATGTTAGGCAGTAAAAAGTGGGACTGCACAAAACTGTGTAGTAAGAAATTTGACTTTACCCAGAGGTGGAAAGCCATTGAAAGTTTCTCAAATAGAATGCATTCTCTCAAAATAATTGGTAAGGAGTTGTGGAATATAGGCTGGAAGCAAGAATTGAACACATATTGGTCCATATAAAATGTAATGGTTGCATTTTAGATAGAAATAGACATATTTAAGAGAGATTTGGGCCTCAAACCAATAGAACTTTTTGATGGATTAGAAATGGAGTTGGAGCTGAGGAATGGTGTTAGAGAATGAAGGATGACTCCTAAGTTTCTGGATTGAGCAGTTAGGTGGTATGTGGTACTACTCACTAAGATTGGGAATACAAATAAAGAGCTCTGTTTTGAACATCTTATATTTGAGATCCTTATTGAATTCAAGTGAAAAGACTGAGAAGAGAGTTAACCTCTGTGAGTTTATAATCCAGAGAGGAGAGTCTAGACATAGAAATTTGGGATTTCTCAGCTTATATCAGGTGAAGTATTGAGACTGAAAAAGATACAGCATAGACAGACGACTGGTCCCAGGACTTAACTCCCGAGAGAAGAGAATTTAGGGCAGAACTATTGTTCACTGATGAACCCAAACCCTTAGAACAGTACCTGCTTGGCACATGGTAGGCTCTTGATTTATTAAATGAATGGCTGAACTGAAAACCCTTGATGTTTAAAGGTTGGTGGAGGAGTGGCCTTGGGGTACAAGTAAAATCCCAAGAAAATGGTATTATGGAAGCCAAGGCTCCGAATGTCTCAAGGAGGAATAACCTCCTTGAAATATGTATTAAAGATGTGTTAATATGTATAAAAAATGGATAGTGGGCTAAGTAGTCTGGAAGATGAAAATAATAAACTTTTTTCTTTTCTCTTGTTTTTTTTTTCCTGAGTCTCTTTTTGCAGTCAACTTATCTTTGTGGCTAAAGGTACATTTCACAGTTCTGAAATCCAAAATGACCTGAAAATTGAAAAAAATTTTGGTAACTCATTTGGAATCAAAATCTTAACCTGAATCAATGTGAGGCTATTTATGATCTTTATTCCTCTGTGAATACCGTGAATATTCACACTTTTTTGCTGTAGAAATATTAATGTTTGATTATATCATGCCACCCAAACTCTAGGCTATTACATAATATATGGCAGGTGTACCATATTATCTCTACAAAATCTGAAAAAGTGTAAAATTTGAAACATATCTAATTTGAAGGAATATGGATAAGAGATTGTGGACCTTAGTAGACACTTCCATTCTGTTAGTTTCTTGAAGAGTGAGCAATTTGTAAAATTTTGCAGATAAATAATTCTTTACAGTAATTTCTTTGCATTGACAATTAAAGTTTGTTGTGTTCAAGGAACCACCTTGAGCTGATTTTTCTGAATGTTTATTTCATTGGTAAAGTATTTTTATGTACAGGTTGAATATCCTTTATCTGAATTCTTGGGACCAGAAGTATTTCAGATTTGGGGAGGTTTTGCAATATTTGTAATTATTTACCAGTTAGCATCCCTAATTCGAAAATCAAAAATTTGACATGCTCCAGTTAGCATTTCCTTGACTATTAAGTTGGTGCTCAAAACAGTTCAGATTTTGGAACATTTTGGATATCAAATTTTTGGATTAGGGATAATCTGTATTTTGATGCAAATCAGTAACATTTAAAATGCCCAAATTATTAATACATTACTGACCATTTAAATGATGAATAAAAATTGTAGGGTCTTAAAACTTCTTAGCCTTTTTATACTTTATGAAAAAGTGGGCTGGGCACAGTGGCTCACATCTGTAATCCCAGCACTTTGGGAGGCTGAGGCGGGCAGATCATCTGAGGTCAGGAGTTTGAGACAAGCCTGGCAAATATGGAGATACCCCGTCACTACTAAAAATACAAAAATTAGCCGGGTATGGTGGTGGGCGCTTGTAATCCCAGCTACTTGGGAGGCTGAGGCAGGAGAATTGCTTGAACCCCAGAGGTGGAGGTTGCAGTGAGCCAAGATCACATCACCGCACTCCAGCCTGGGTGACAAGAGCGAAACTCCATCTCAAAAAGAAAACAAAGTGGATGCCTACAAAGTAGCCATCTAGAGAATTGTGAGATACAGAATTAGTGGGAAAAAGTTGGAGATGGTTATTTTATAACGCCTTTATATTTTAGAAGAATTCTTTTTTTTTTTTTTTTTTGATACAGAGTCTCGCTCTGTCACCCAGGCTGGAGTGCAGTGGCACGATCTCGGCTCACTGCAACCTCCGCCTCCTGGGTTCAAGTGATTCTCCTGCCTCAGCCTCCTGAGCAGCTGGGACTACAGGCGCATGCCACCACACCTGGCTTTTTTTTTTGTATTTTTAGTAGAGACGGGGTTTCACAATGTTTGTCAGGAAGGTCTCGATCTCTTGACTTCGTGATCTGCCCGCCTCGGCCTCCCGAAGTACTGGGATTACGGGTGTGAGCCTCCACGCCCAGCTAGAAGAATTCTTGGTAAACCAAAAAATTATCTGTAGCTTGGCTGCCCTGTATACATGTATCATTTAGGTTCTTTGTGTATTCTTTGTGGGACTGGGGTCCCTAAATTTCAACAGAGAAACTTGTTGAAAGCTATGCGTATTCGTATACGATTTGAGGACCCTATTAGTAAAAAGTAAATTACTCTGATATATTAGGTACAGTTTCTTGTGTTCATTTTCTTTAAATTAACCAAGACCCTAAGCCTTTATTTAAAATATTTATATTTCATATTATGTCTTTTTTTCAGCCTTCACCCTGCCATTTCTAGTGAATCTGTAAGTGTCCTTGACATTCCCTGTTGTTATTACTTAAGAACATTAGCTGTGAGCTGCCCTGCCAGAGTTTGAATCTAGCTCCTCCACTTGCTGGCTATGTGACTTAGGCAATAATACCTGACTTGTCTGTTTCTCATCCTTCTTTACTATTATACAATAGGAATAATGTAATAATACCCACATCATAAGGTTATTGACAAGATTAAAAGATATGTGAAGTACTTAATAGTGCCTTCTAGTAAGCACTCAACAAGTGTTAATTACTGCTTTTTTTTTTTTTCAAACACACTTGCTCAGAAATTGCTACTGTAGTCTCCAATTATTGGGGCCTGGGGCTTTTCACTGGATTTTCAGTGTGCATCAAATAACTAGAGTATTTGATGTTATGATGTGGTAGATGTTAGAGACATTTCATTTGGGTAATTGTTACACAGAGGCAGATAGATGGAAGTTATTGTTTAGTTTGTGTCTTTTCTGTTTTAGGTGATATTGGAAATTATTATGGGCAGGGTCATCCCACGAAACCTCATAGAATCTGCATTTCTAGTGAAGACTAGACTTTCATTATTTTTACTTTAATGATTTCTTTAGTAGTGATAACTAAGAAATGCCTTCCCTTGTATTAATTTAATTACATGATGCTTTGTAATAACACTAGTGGGTTTTCCATATCTAAGAAATGATGAGACCAGGCTGCTTTCAAGGAACTATATATCCCTTGTATTGTCACCATGTAAGGTAGAGCTTTATGGTAGATTCTTTCTTAATAGGTAGTTTATTTTCTGCAATCATAGCCTCTTAATTATAATTGCAGAGGAATGTTGCAAAGGGCCATGGCCCTGCTTTGCTAAACTCTATATTGTTTCTTAGCCTTGTTGGCACCTGCATTAAAAAGGTGGCTTTCCCTTTAAAAGACTTTGTATATGAATTGTTTTCAGAAGAGAGCTGTGCTGAAAATGAAGTTAACTAAAATTAGAGGTGTGATACCAACAAAATCAAGTATTTATGTTATTAGAAGCATGGATTTTGTAAAAGCTGATTGTTTATCCCGTACTGTTATCAAATATGTAGGAGAGAGGACAAAAAAGTTTTTGGGGTTGTTTCCATTAAACAAACAAAAGGTGTATTTAGGGAGGACTTTGAAAGATTTAGTGGATAAATTGCATTTTTTATTCTAGCTTTTATTGTAATATATAAACCCGTGTTGAAATGATAGACTTCAAACCATTAAAATAGCTTGACTGTCCTGACCCTGTGGGGAATTAGTTCCAAGACTTCCACAGATAGCAAAATTCATGGGTGTTTAAGTTCCTTCAATAAACTGGTATAGTATTTGCATATAACCTATGTATATCTCCCCTTACACTTTAAGTCATCTCTAGATTACTCATAATACCTAATACAATGCAAATGCAGTGTAAATAGTTGTTACACTGTATGATTTAGGGGAAGATTACAAGGAAAAAAAGTCTCTACGTGTTTCCAGCAGACACCACCATCTATTTTTTAAAAATATTTTCAGTCTGCAGTTGATTGAATCCACAGATACAGAGGGTTGACTTTATATATTTGAGAGGCTTCTTGTTATTTACTATTATAGGAAACACTGGAGCTTTACCTAAAAGTATTAATTTTATTGAAATTTAGTTGATGAAAATCTGTGATTTTGTTATTTTCTCTTTTTTAAATCTTATGCATAAGTTTAAAGACATTGTGATATAAGATGCCGTTTAAAAAGACAGGCTAGGAATTACAACTTTTTAGTCATGAAGAATGAGACAGTATTTTTATTACCTTGAAAAATGTAATGCTGTGTCTTAGTGGAGCAAAACCTCATTTAGGACCTAAATTTCAGTTACCAAAACTTCCCTGATGGGCTTTAATATGGACACGGTATGTTTTAACATGCAAAACGCCAATTATGAGATTTCTGAAATGCCAGCAAATCATCCAAAAAGCAGTATTTGCTGAAAAAATTTTAAATCATACCAATAAAACTCAGAGAACTTAAAAGCATGTGAATTTGCCAGAGAATACAGAAAGCAGGCATCATTTCAAGGAACAGAAATTTTAAAAATTGGGGGTAGCTAAAAATCAGAAAAGCTTGCTTTCCTTAATCTACAAATAAATATAATGTGTAATAATGGAGTCTTCAGCTGGTAAAAGTGTGCGTAGCGTCTTAGTCATCTGATACAGTTTGAAAGTTGCAAAATAAATCTAAGTTGCTAAGGTTTTAAATAAATTTTGTTAAGTAGTAAATGCCTTCTAATGATAGACATACATAAATTCAAATAGTTCATGGAGGGTCTCTTGTCTGTATTGTTTAGTTTGTGTCTTTTCTATTTTAGGTGATATTGGAAATTATTATTATGGACAGGGTCATCCCATGAAGCCTCATAGAATCCGCATGACCCATAACTTGCTGTTAAATTATGGCTTATACAGAAAAATGGAAATATATGTGAGTATTCCTTTTAATACATATTCAGCACTGATCTTTTTTATTTTTTTTTAGCTACTGTGAAACTTTGTCTATTATTCCCCTTTTGAGGGCATTTAGCAGATGAAAAGATCTGGAAGAAAACAAACTTCTTTTTTCGTTTATTCTTAGGAGATGAATAAGAATGAGAGCTATACCCTCTTTTTCCTTTTCCTTTAACCATTTAAAAAAGTTCCCCCTACCCTAGGCTTTCATGGTTCTGGAGAACAACTCAGTATAGCAACAACTCAGTGTAGCATATTAAGTATTTTTTTTTTTTTTTTTTTTTTTACAATAATTGTTAATCTGCCTGTGCTGCTGAAAAGAGTTGACCTGGGACTGTTACAAAATAATAACACATAAAATTAATCCCACAAATATTTGCAGGGCATATAATACATATGGAATACTGTGTTAGTGTGGCCAAGCATAGTACAGATAACACAAGTGCAACAGCTGCCTTAATGTTTTTGTAGATAAAGATGAGGGTATGTATAAACAAATACAGACACGACAATTAGCTATTTGGGGAGAAAAGAAATATTTAAAACAATTAATGCTAGGCAATATATGTGAATATGTGAATTATTTTCAGTTACATGTAGACATTTAGAGAAGAGGGGAAGTTAGAATAAGACTCAGTCTGGAAGTCTTGTGGAAGAATTGTGTCATACGTGAAATTGAGCTCTTCGGAACAAGGAAGATTAGGATAGAAAAAAGGACGAGAGGTCGTGAACAAAGATTTAGAATTGAAAACTCTTGTAGTGAGTGATTTCATTGATGAAATCACTGGATGTTTTATCATGGAAAAGGAGAGAAAGTAGAGTTTATGAACATATGGATTTGACTTTTTACTCGAACTGTTTCCACTAAAATAAGGAGTGATTAAATCATAGTTGATATGCCTGTGTAATGCTTTTAAAGGAGTTTGAATTAGTTTTGAGATTGATTACTGTTTTCTAAAACACATATAAGTTTGGGTTAGTTTTGGAATTTATATATTTTGTTCTGGTAGACTTGGTTCTTTTGAGGGGACCGATAGGGGAATTTGTATATTTGTTTGATAATACTGATATAACCGGTTGTAATTCCACAGTTCTGACATTTATTTCTCTTCACAGAGGCCCCATAAAGCCACTGCCGAAGAAATGACAAAATATCACAGTGATGAGTATATCAAATTTCTACGGTCAATAAGACCAGATAACATGTCTGAGTATAGTAAGCAGATGCAGAGATGTACGTTTCTAAGTAAAAAGTAGTTTTGCTTTGATAAATGTAAATTAGTATTTTTAGGAGCTTAGAATGATCTAAATCTGAATATTTTTCCTGTTGGTCTAATATGTTACAGTTATTTACTGATTTGAAAAGTCATTTTAACACTACTAAAGCTACTTAAGAAAAAAGTAAACCTATCTGAAGCTTATTGGTTTGCAAAACTGCTGTTTGGGTATTCTTCTACTCCTAGTTTGCTCCCCTGATAACTTTGGGTTAATACATATTGGTAGGGAGACCTCACTCCCTTACTCCCTCGCTTCAAAAAAACAAAAACAAGATTACACTTTGATTAGCCTTAGCTTGGCATGTACATATCTCTTGTCTTGTCTTTGTGTACTTCAGTTAACCTGGACTATAATACACATCTCTTTTTCTTTGTTAAGATATTAGTGAAGCTTTTGATTCTACGTAATGTTCTCTTGTACAGGTTAAAAGTATTTTATTTTTAGAGATTAGTAACAAATTGGCTTGAAGGTAGAATGCAAAAGTCAACCTAAAATTATTGGAACAGTATCTTTTAAAGCTTGATACCAAAGTTCATTCTCATTAGTGTTTGTATTGACTGACTTCAGTGATGATTATACTAAATTAGTGTAGGTGCTAGACATCTCATATTTACAACCTCATACACATTTCTGCCATATCTTGTTTGATTTGTTATAATGCTACAATGTAACTAGAACATGTAGTATTTAATTTTTTTTTTTTCAATGAAGATTCCAACTTAGATGCAAAAGAGGCATGAGTAGCCCTTGGGCAAACAACATAACAGGATTGATTTAAAACCCACATAATAATGAGTTCTATTAAGCTTATGATCCTGGCCAGGTGTGGTGGCTCACGCCTGTAATCCCAGCACTTTGGGAGGCGGAGGTGAGTGGATTACCTGAGGTCAGGAGTTCGAAACCAGCCTGGCCAACATGGCAAAACCCTGTCTCTATTAAAAAAGTACAGAAAATTAGCTGGGTGTGGTGGTGCGCGCCTGTAATCCCACTACTCTGTAGGCTGAGACAGGAGAATTGCTTGCTTGAGCCCCAGAGGTGGAGGTTGCAGTGAGCCAAGCTCACGCCATTGCACTCCAGCCTGGGCGACAGAGTGAGACTCTGTCTCCAAAAAAAAAAAAAGATTATGATCTCTCTGTGCAGTAAGAAACTAAAATTCATTTCTTATAGTGCTTGTGACTTAAGGGTATACAAAGATATTAATATACAAAACAAGGACCCTTATTCTTGAAGAGGTTACAATTCAAGGGCATAGGGAAAGACTAAGAAAGGGTTACATACATCTGCCATATCCTTTCATTCTCTCAGTGCTAAGGAACTAAATGTGTGATCGTTTATCTGTAAATGTTTTCCTTGTTGTCTTTAGTATCCTATGTTTTGGCTCCCATGAACCTAGTTAATTCTTAGCAACTTTCAAGATCAAGATTAGCCATGGGAATAGGCAACCAGCTGTTACATCTTTTTGGTTTAGTAACTTACTGACATGCATTTCAAAGTTACAGATATTATAGGTATTTAAGGAGTTTCAAAGAAAGTAAATTATAAAGCAATTGAAGTTGCTTTTAGAATGTTAACTTATTGTAATATTAAGGGGAAAGGCCTAGAAAATTTAAGCCTGTGTTTTAATTAAATAAGAATTGTTGTACTTAGACAACTATTGAGTTCTTGTTAATAGACAGAAATATTCCACAGATAATCCTGATAAGATTTGATGATCTTTCACAGATAACACTTTAATTACCTTGGATAAAACAATAAATATATTTTAAAGTTGGAAACTTTATATTATACTGTGAAGTGTATGTTTGATGATTGCATCAAGCAAAAAAGTATTTGTGGGAAATAGTTTTTGTAAGAAAAGGCTTTCATTAATTTGCAGAATGTGTTGAAATTAATGAAATCCATCTTCCACAGTTAATGTTGGAGAAGATTGTCCAGTGTTTGATGGACTCTTTGAGTTTTGTCAGCTCTCAACTGGCGGTTCAGTTGGTAAGTGCTAATGCAATCAGATTTAAAAGTTGATCTGAACTTGGTGTGTTATCTTTCGGGTTATTTGTGTAAAACAGAAGTTTTAATGATTGTGAATTTTGATAACAAAAGGAAATCAGTATGTTTATAGTAAAGTACAATTTACTTTCAAACCTCTATGTTTTATGATTATGACTTAAACGCTTTTTAAACTTATTTTCACTTGGAGACTTCATTCATTCCCTTTGTCTTCTAGGTATCATTGTTACTACCACTTTCCACATAAACCATTATTTAATCTCAGGTTGCAGCTCTAGGAGAATATTTTTCTAAGGAGTAACTCCTATTTGTGTTATAGATGATTTCTGTTAACTTTCATGATTTTAAGCTCTTGCTTATGCATGGCATACACTTGTAGTGTTTTTGTCTCATTCTACTACTTTTTTATGATAAATGTTTAAAAGGTCTATCTTGTTTCTACTTCTTAGCTGGAGCTGTGAAGTTAAACCGACAACAGACTGATATGGCTGTTAATTGGGCTGGAGGATTACATCATGCTAAGAAATCAGAAGCATCAGGATTCTGTTACGTTAATGATATTGTGCTTGCCATCCTTGAATTACTAAAGTATGTTAATTTATATTGATACTCTTTTCAGTGATAAAGTGTTTTCATTAAAACACAATAAATAAAGTCTATGGCTTTAAAAAATATTAGGTAAACCATAGGTTGAAATAGTTAATGGTGAATTTTCTATGAATTCATTACAAAACAATGAAGAAATGCAGGAAATTTGCCCAATTCTTCAATTATTAAGACTTAGAAGTGTGGCCAGGCACTATGGCCCAGGCCTGTAATCCCTCCACTTTGGGAGGCTGAGGTGGGCGGATCTCTTGAGCCCAGGAGTTTGAGACCAGGCTAGGCAACATGGCAAAACCCCATCTCTACAGAAAAAAAATTAGCCAGATGTGGTGGCATGCATCTGTAGTCCCAACTACCCAGGAGGCTGAGGTGGGAGTACCTGAGCCCAGGAAGTTGAGTCTGCAGGAAGCCATGTTCCTGCCACTACACTCTAGCCTGGGCAACAGTGTGAGACCCTGCCTTAAAAAAAGAATTAGAAGTGTATAAAAGGCCAGTGCCGTGGCTCATGCCTGTAATCCCAGCACTTTGGGAGGACGAGGTGGGTGGATTATGAGGTCAGGGGTTTGAGACCAGCCTGACCAACATGGTGAAACCCCATCCTACTAAAAATAGAAAAATTAGCCGGGCGTGGTGGCGTGCGCCTGTAATCCCAGCTACTCAGGAGGCTGAGGTGGGAGAATTGCTTGAACCTGGGAGGTGGAGGTTGCAGTGAGCCGAGATGGCACCACTGCAGTCCAGCCTGGGCTACAGAGTGAGACTCCATCTCAAAAAAAAAAAAGAATTAGAAGTGTATATAAATGTCAAAACTCCCATTAAATACCCTTTTTTAAAAGTAGTTTGGCAATTTTCATTTTAGTTAGTTTCAACTAGTAAAAAATGACAATGACCTTGGAAGTTTATATTCTAGTATTTTGGATGTTTTAAACTGAAGACAAAAATTTGAAGCCAGTGTTAAAGGAAATTTTTTTACCTATTGAGTTAGTCTAACTGCCTAACTTCCATATCTGAATGAGGCTTTGTTCTCTACTGATGGATATAAAATTATCTCTGAGTTGTTGAAGGAGTTATTTTTCCTTATCTGTGGCTGCAGTTTGAGAGAGAGATCTATAGAGGTACTTAGGAATTTGGATGTTCGCAATGTTAGTTATTTTTTGCCATCAGTTATGACACATCTTAGCAGATTCTACTTTGTATTATACTGAGCTAGTGTTTTTTGCTTGTAGTTATTCCATGCATGCTATCCATAGAGGCTGACTTTTCAGTCAACTTAAAATTGATACTGACTCCTCAAATAAACAGTGATTGAGCAGTATCAGTGTAACATCTTGCCTGCTCATCAGGAGCAAAGGAAAATCATTTGCAATCATTTGCCTTGTTTTTTAATTGACTGTTGATGTTGGTTCCAGTGTCTTCAACTCTTTGAGCAAGTTCTTGCCCACTCAGCTAATAGTTTTAAACAACTTTAATTTGTCTGGACACATTTTTTTGGGTGGTGTAATCAAACATGATTTAATTAATTGACTTGGTGCACAGCTTTCCTTGCTTATCTAACACGTGAGCCGCTCAGAAACTTTATTTTGATCACAGCCTCATTTCTGTTTTTTTAATTTTGTGAAGAAATTTTGCTGTACTATGGTATGCTGTTTATAGTGTTATGAGAATATTCTTATGAGTGCTTAGTCTGGAAATATCAATTTACATTGTATTGTTTTATTTAGCACAGTTATGGCACCATTATATAATAAATACAATGCTTTGCCATCTAATAATATCTCACTTCACTATACTTCAAAAGGATGACATGAGAAGTCCATTTTCCCCTTATTTTGACATGAGTATACACTGGTAACAAAATGTCATGACATGGTGATTCATGTGACTCCTAAACTGCGTTTGAGTTACAACTGTGTCACTAATCTGTGGTGCTCCAAGCACCAGTTTGAAGTCATGAGAGTACCACATGTAGCCTCTGTCACAGCTAATCGATTCTGCAGTTCAAATGAAGCCATAGGTAATAAACAATTGAGCATGGCTGTCTTTCAGTAAAACTTTTTTTATGGACACTGAAATTTGAATTTTGTATAATTATCACACGTCAGAAAATACTCTTGTTTTGGTTTTGTTTTTAAACCATTTAAAAAATAATAAAAACTTCTTAGTTCAAAGCTGAAAAAAGAGGCAATTGGCCAAATTTGGGCCATGGGCCATAGTTAGCCAATCCCTATTTTATACTATTGAAGATTTACTACAGAGGTGTTTTAATTAACAATCTTGAGTATGGTATAATCTTCAGTTTTTAATATATTAGAAATATGTGCTATGTTTTTGAAGCATGTAGAATAGAACAGATTTCACAAAGAGTAAATATATATTTTTTAACCTACATTGGGCCACAAGTGGGTATTTAAAGGCCTGAGGCTCAAACCTCAGATATTTGAATAACCTCTTAGGCTGAATGTAAAAGGTGATTAAACATTCTGGAATGCAAGAGCTCAAAAATGGGTTTCCTGAATTTGTGGTGCTTCTTCCCATCTTAGAACCTTTAAAGGAAAAACCAAAACTTATGGATTTGTTTTCAGGTATCATCAGAGAGTCTTATATATTGATATAGATATTCATCATGGTGATGGTGTTGAAGAAGCTTTTTATACAACAGATCGTGTAATGACGGTATCATTCCATAAATATGGGGAATACTTTCCTGGCACAGGAGACTTGAGGGTAAGACTAAATTCTGTCTGAAAAAATATTGTGAGATGAACCTAGGAGATCAGTAATCCTATACTTGAAGTAGTATTTTTCTCCTGAGTTAATAATTTGAAACTTGTATGCAGAATTGAATTACTACGTATGCAGTAACATTTGCTAGAATTCACTGTTGCTGACTATAAGCAAAAATTTAGTGAAAACTTAAGGACAGTTTTTTTCTCAGCTGTTTTCTTTGGTTGAATAAATGTTTTTGAATATCCACAAAGCATGAAGCCCTTCTCTTGATGTTCAGTTTGAATCTTCAAAACTACCTGATGGTAGCCTACGTTGCTATTGATTGTAAAGAATGGTGGAATAAAATAGACTAGGTCTTTTTAGGTTCTTCTGCTCCTCTCTTTTGTGATTGGTCTTGATTTTTAGTAGATCTAATTTTAATCTTTTTTTTTCTTTAAGCTTCTAAAATTGGTAATGTATTTAGGTAGAGAAAGGATACCATAGTGTAACCTTGCCTGCCTGTTAACATTAAGTGTATTTCTATTTTATTTGTTATCTTTTTCCATTTGATGCTCTTGTCTTTTATGACTCTGAAAACCACTGGTCAAATCCTATTTCTATAAGTTCATTGAAGGTTTTTTGCCTCACTACACTTTTTTTGAACCTAACTATACAAATGTCGAAATTTATTCAATAATTTAAACAGCTGTTTTTAGTTCAGCCTGGATTATATGGGAGATTTATATGGCATTGAACAAAGTTTTAAACTATTTTATTAAGATTATTTTTCACATCTGTGGTATATCATTACAGTTTAGCAACCAAAGTTTAAAGAGTTGCCATAAAGTATTCTTAAGCTGTATGGCTTTTCTTTATTAGATCACAGTGTGATACTTTCTCAGTAAACTCTTTGAGTAAAAGAGTTACCTTACTGAAACTTTTCCATACTTACAAATGGGTGGGAGGTCAAATGTTTGGTTTGAGTTTAAATTATTTAGCTTTTAAAATTGCAGATTTGTAATTTCAATTCCTTGCCAGTAAACTCCTTCAATTTCTCCCTTTCCCCACCTGGTCTTATCTTACAGACCAGTGCTTCTCAAACAGTGGCGCCTAAACTGAGGAAAGCAGATCAGCATCACCTGGGAACTTGTTAGAAATACACATTCTTAGGGCCCAGAAACTCTGGGTGATTCTTCACCTTAAAGTTTGAGAACCACTGCTGTAAACTGATAGAATACATTTGTCAACAACCATTACATCCTAGTGGAAGTCAAGCAAAAGTCTTCTCTGTTTTAAGCTTAAAGAATAAGACAGTATCTTTGCAGTGTGATGCTAGTTTATCTCAGAAGTGGAAAATGGAAGCTTCATTTAATTTCTGACAGGTGGATGTCACTATGGTCTCATCTCAGTTATTATTCAAAATTCTTACAGTTTGAAGTTTTTGAAAATATTAGAGAATGCTGTTTTAGAAGGATTTGAGAATGGCTTTCAACATCTCTTTTTCTCACTTAAGATTTTACAATCGCTGGGCCGGGCGCGGTGTCTCACGCCTGTAATCCCAGCACTTTGGGAGGCCGAGGTGGGAGGATCACGAGGTCAGGAGATCGAGACCATCCTGGCTAACACAGTGACACCCCGTCTCCACTAAAAATACAAAAAATTAGCCGGGCGTGGTGGTGGGCGCTTGTAGTCCCAGCTACTGGGGAGGCTGAGGCAGGAGAATGGCGTGAACCCGGGAGGCGGAGCTTGCTGTGAGCCGAGATCGCTCCACTGCACTCCAGCCTGGGCGACACAGCAAGACTCAGCCAAAAAAAAAAAAAAAAAGATTTTACAGTTGCTGATGTTTTCAGGATAACATTTGAATATTTTAAGCATGTCCCCATAACTTCGTAAGAGAATTAAAATCAGTCATTACATTATATGTACAGCTGTTTTTGGACTTTCTGTGTAATTCACGTGTATCTTTGGATGTTAATTTAATAAACACTCCTTTTTCTGCCTGCTAATTCATTCTCATGCTGAAAAGAAGGCTACTCTGAGTTTAGCTCATTGTTGAAACTGTTTGCTTTAATTCAAGTAGTCTAGTGGAAGAAAGAAAGGTGGCATAGTAGCAGTTGCAGAATGAAACCTGGAAGAGAGAAAGCTATGTCTAACAAGGGCAGCAGCTCTGAGTTGCCAGCTAGTTAGTAGCAGTTAGGATGAGAAGTGCTGACCAACTTTTCTGTATTCTGAAATCTTAGGGTCAAAATATATTTCATCTGTGTTTTAACTGTGCAGTAGGACTGTAAAGTTTTCACAATACTTTGGCTTTTCCATATTTGTATGGTTTGTATTTAGTTAATCTTAATAAAAACTTAGACTTCAAGAAAAATTGGGAGAGGAGGTGTGTAATTTTGCTTGCTTTCTCCTCGTTGGATGTTGGGTCTCATAACTCTAATATTGAGGGTAAATTTTGCTTTTGTAAAATTGGACTGAAGCTAAGATCATTCCATGAGAGGTTCAGAAGAACTTGCACAAGTGCTAGTAATCCTGAAAATTCATGGATCTTCAGACATTATCATTCAACGCACATAAGAATTAGGCACCCCCCCCCCACCCCACTCAGGCGCAGTGGCTCATGCCTGTAATCCCAGCACTTTGGGAGGCTGAGGCGAGTGGATTACCTGAGGTCGAGAGTTCGAGACCAGCCTGACCAATATGGTGAAACCCCGTCTCTACTTAAAATGCAAAAAAAATTAGCTGGGTGTGGTGGCGTGCACCTGTAGTCCCAGCAACTCAGGAGGCCGAGACAGGAGAATTGTTTGAACCTAGGAGGCTGTCTTGGCTCACTGGAGTGCAGTGAGCCGAGATCATGCCACTGCACTCCATCCTGGGCGACAGAGCAGGACTTGATCTCAAAAAACAAAAAAAAACAACAAAGAGGCACACCCCAATCCTTTGGTATTGCAGTTAAAATACTATTTTGTAGTAATGTCTGTACTATACAGTATCTTCTAGGAATACGTATACACACACAGAAATGCATATGCACACCTACAAATGCATAACATATACAAATAAGTAAGTATATATAATATATGTATATATCATTTAAGAGTATATGTAGCTGGAACCTTTGCGTCTTTTGAGAGAGATTAATGCCTGGAGTGGTACTCATTCAACAAGTAGGAACAAAATTTGTTTGAAGTCCAAGTCCAATTAAGAACAAATCTGAGGCTGGGCACCATAGCTCACGCCTGTAATCCCAGCACCTTGGGGGGCCGAGGTGGGTGGATCACCTAGGTTGGGAGTTTGAGACCAGCCTGTTGAACATGGAGGAAACCCTGTCTCTACTAAAGATACAAAATTAGCCTGGCATGGTGGCACATGCCTGTAATCCCAGCCACTCGGTAGGCTGAGGCAGGAGAATTGCTTGAACCTGGGAGGCGGAGGTTGCAGTGAGCTGAGATCACGCCATTGCGCCTCCAGCCTGGGCAACGAGCAAAACTCTGTCTCAAAAAAAAAAAAAGAACAAATCTGGTGCTTTAGTCGGTAGCTGTTAAATCTTCGAGAAAGTGTGGGTCGTTCTTTCATCATAAGTAAACTCATACCAACAGATTGTGAACCACAAGAAGGATTCTGCAGATGATTGTCCGGCAGGGCTTTTTGGCTTAATTTATTTTCCACAGGTTTACTCATAAAGTTGCCTTGTCATCTTAAATATTCTATTTATGATGGATTTTCTGGTTTAATGTAATGTAATTTCATTGCCTTTAACTTGTGTTAAATTTCTTTTCTGTCAAAAATAATCACTACAGATTAATTGAAAATGGTTCTTGTATGCTTTACAAGCAGTCTATAAATATTGGAGCATATACTTATTTGTTGTTTATTATTTCCTTTCTCAGTTTGATTGTTCCGGTCTCAACTTCTAAGATGAATTCAAAATTGGATCCTTAATACTTAGTCTTTCAGTCTTTTCAAAATGTAGTAAACAAATGCCAAACTTTTTATTATAGAATATTCTCTAAGATCAGTTTAATTATGTATTTTAGGATATTGGTGCTGGAAAAGGCAAATACTATGCTGTCAATTTTCCAATGAGAGATGGTATAGATGATGAGTCATATGGGCAGATATTTAAGCCTGTAAGTATTATTGTTTTCACAATTGGAATGGAATTTCAGAATGTTATTGGAGATGCTAACATTTGTTATCTTGTGTGTAGATTATCTCAAAGGTGATGGAGATGTATCAACCTAGTGCTGTGGTATTACAGTGTGGTGCAGACTCATTATCTGGTGATAGACTGGGTTGTTTCAATCTAACAGTCAAAGGTAAGCAATTCAAAGGGTGGTATTTCCAGAAAAAAATGGTTTTTCTTCCACCCAAGAACTCCCCGTAAAAGTTCTCATTGTAGTTTCTTGCCTGCTGTTTTAACACTGTACTCTGCATTTTTCATGGGGTTTTGTCTGTTGTATGTATGACTAGAGTTATTCTTGTTTCATTATGGCAGATTTATATATACATTTATACAAGACTAGTTTTTTAAGGTTTATTGTAGTTTGAACCCAAGGCAGCTATTTTTGAATGGTTGTTGACTCAGTGTAAATAAAACATGCATACTTTTTTACTTAATTGGATTATTTATTTCTCATTAAGGAAGAAGAGGGTTTAGCTCTCCTCACCATTTTGCCCACAACATACTTGTACCCTTCCCATACCTCTATTTTTACAAATCAGAATTTGATTGTGATACTTAGTGTTTACGGCAGCATCTTTAAACACTTTTCAGCTTATCCAGTTGTTCTTTGCTGCATAATTGTTCCTAAGTTTCTCATTTGCTTAGTTTTCTCTCCACTTATTGCTGAACTACTGGTGTCTCAGTATCTTCATGTGTTCAGATTCATTGAATATTCTGTCACTTTCACCTTCTTGAAAAACAGCCTTCTCATCTGTTCATGTTTGGATGACTATCTTTGGTAGACCTGGCAGGACACATAGCTGTTCTCTGCTTTTTTTCTGTTGTATTGGTTCTCCCTGGTGGCTCTGTTCTCTGTCCTTAATTTTTTTCTCATGTTTTGGTGGAGTGCCTTCTGAAGTAGCTTCCTGATAAAAAGTGTGTGGGGGATTAGGAGTGCTGCAGTACATACTAAATTTTGATCATGTGTTGAAATCAGCATATGATTGAAGGCTAGGCCAAAGCAAAATATCACCATTCTGGAATGAACTTCTAGGGTGTAAGAATAAATCTGAAATTTTATTTAATAAGATATTATAATGTATATGTAGATTAGAAATGATTTTTATCATGAGTGTTTGTGTATGATTTTAGAGGTTTTTTTCCACGTGAACTTTTAGGTAGCAAGTTGACAGTGTGCTTTGTATTCTCTAAGATGTGGAGAATTCTCAAATAGAACTTTCTCCAGAACAATTGCTGGTCTTAATGGAATTGGATAACTAAATACAGATATTAAAAGCTTCTTTATTTAATGTTATGATTGCTACTATACCAGCTATATTAGAATTATGGTATAATCTGTTATTCTATGTTAAGTGGAATGATATTAAATTAATTGTCCCTTTGTAGGTCAACAGTGGTTGAACCGCAGTTTCATATTGTAACTTAATGTGTTAATAACCATCTTTTGCCTCAAAATGTTTATAAACTTTCTAAAATGATCTACCTAATGTACTCTTAAAAGTGTATATTAACTATCAGTTTTCCTCTTTGACTTGAAAGTCCTTAATGTTTTTGTACTTAATATTTTTTATAATCATAAACTGCAGCAGTTCACTCTTAGAAAAAAATTTACTTTGTATTTCAGCTAATAGAGTTTCAGTTGCATAAAGCGTGTAAGGATATTTGTAATTCCAAGTCTTAAACTTCATTCTGAGTTTCTCTGCTGCCAGCTTTGATTCAGCTTTTTCAGATCTGCTGAAGTTAGTTATCTCTTTTCCATCTCCTTGCTGCCATCAGCTATGTTCTTCCTCTTGTATTGTCTCCCATTCTTCATTTTTACAAATTTTGGCCTTTAAAAAAATCCCTTTCGAGTCATTTTTGTCAAGTTTTGGGATGAAGGAAAAGTAAACATCTTTGTTTAGCCAGCTATCTTTACTTGGAAGCCTGTAAGTTAACTTTTAGTATGTTTGTTTTTTCTTTAAAAATATCCAAATGGTTTTTATCTGTTAAAAGAAACTTTTCTAGTAGCAATAATAAAAATTGAGTGCTAGAATTATGTAAATCACATGTTGCAACTATTGAAGAATGCTTAATGAAAATTCCCACAGTATACAGTTACATGAAGAGAACAGATAAACTTTGTAAAATTAACTCTGAAATGGAAGGAAATATAGAAAAACGATTTTTGAATAATGTCATTTTTAGGTGGTTAGTTTTTTCATTGTCCCTTTTTAATTTTTTCCCAAATACTCTTCAGTATGCACAAATGTCTTTTGTAATTGAAGGATTTTCTTTTCTTCTTTAAAGATTGAGTTATGTGCCTAACTGGTAATATTCCGAGAAGGGAACTTACTGGAAACTTATAAATGTTTATTGAATTATGACATTTATCCACATAAAATATTTACTTTTATGTTAGGTTTACTATTAATATTAAATTTCTACACGTAGAAGTTGAAGTTTTTGAAAATTAATAGATGTTTTTAACTCTTAAGTTAGGAAAACTACTCAGTACCACTACCTAAAGTTAACTCAGGGTTAAACTATGTTGTTTAGCTTTCCATAATTATTTTACACATGTCCATAGGGAAAGAAAAGTCAATAAAAATTAATTTAGATGATACATAATGTTTTATTGTAACATGATGAATTTCACCATGTAACCCTACATGAACATCTTTCTGTGTTAATAAAATAGGTGTATATTCATATTATAATCTTAATATAGTTGTGTACTTGACTTTTCCATCAGGGACACCTGCTAAAATAGCTAGTTATATCTTAATTTTTTAATATGTATTATTGTATAACGTGTTTGGAAAGGAGTTTTAGACTTGACATTTTTTACATTTTTATTTGTTTTTAAAATATTTAGAAAACCCATTTTGGTTGAGTAACATTTGCACTTATTATCTTTTTAAAATTTATTTTTCGAACTGTTGCAGTATGCAGATTTTGTTGTTACCCAAATCTTCTTGTCTTAGGTCATGCTAAATGTGTAGAAGTTGTAAAAACTTTTAACTTACCATTACTGATGCTTGGAGGAGGTGGCTACACAATCCGTAATGTTGCTCGATGTTGGACATATGAGACTGCAGTTGCCCTTGATTGTGAGATTCCCAATGGTAAGTGTTCTCATTACAATATCTTTATTGTATGAACTGTCAATACAGATGCTCCTCTAATTATGTTGCAATTAGGTCCTGATAAACCCATCATAAGTTGAAAGTATGATAAGTAGAAAATGGATATAATACACTTAACCTACCAAACATGACTTAGCCCAGCCTACTTTAAACGTGCTCAGAACAGTTAGGTTAGGCTTCAGTTGGACAAAATAATCTAATACTGAGCCTGTTTTATAAAAATAAAACGTTGAATATTTCATGTAATGTACTGAATACAAGACATTGAAGTTGGTACAAAAAAGCCAGAAAACTGTAAGTCAAGCCATTGAAAGTCAGAGACTGTCTGTATATAGAAATAGATGGATGAATGATTAGAGTAAGTGCCATTCTTTATAAATAGGAGAACATTCACTTTGTGTTCACTTTTAAACATTTTCTTAGGAAATATTTCACCACCTAAATCTGGATTCTGTGCATGGTTTTTTGTGAAAACTGAGCTTGTAATATGTAACTTTATTTTATTGTTTTCATTAGAGTTGCCATATAATGATTACTTTGAGTATTTTGGACCAGACTTCAAACTGCATATTAGTCCTTCAAACATGACAAACCAGAACACTCCAGAATATATGGAAAAGATAAAGTAAGAAATCATTGAATTGTTTTGATAAACATTTTATCTTGACAAAGATTTAGTATGCTTTAAAGGGCCAAGTATGATGGGTCTTTTTAACTTTATTAGATATTTTGTTTTTTTCTAAAGGATTTGAAACATTAAGTTACTGATTATTCTTTTTTTTTTTTTTTAATTTTTAATTTTTTTGTCAGGATGGGATATTGCTTGGTTGCCCAGGCTGGTCTCGAACTCCTGGCTTCAAGTGATCCTGTCACCTCTGCCTCTCAGAAGTGCTGAGCTTACAGGCATGAGCCACCGTATTCAGCCATTTAATTTCTTCAGTTAATGGAAATAATTTTTTTTATTAGTTGAAATGTATTTTAAAATTGCAAGGTGCACTATAAGTTATTTTCATTGTCTGGAACATTTTGTTAAGGCTTTGTCTCCACAAGCAAAGTAGAGACATTATAGTACATAGCATGGGTTTGAGTCACCTCTGTACCACAAACAAGCTGTATGATGTTTGATAAGTTCACTTGCCTTTGTGCTTATGTTTTCTCATCATTGAAATGGCAGGCTAAAATAATGCCTCCTTGGCCAGTCAAGGTGGCTTATGCTTGTAATCCTAATGCTTTGGAAGTCCGAGGTGGGAGGATAGCTTTAGACCAGTAGTTTGTGACCAGCCTGGGCCATATAGTGAGACCTTGTCTGCAAAAAATTTAAAAATTAGCCGGGCATGGTGGCATACACTTGTAGTCCTAACGCGCAGAGGCTGAGGCAGGAGGATTGCCAGGAGTTTGAGGCTGCAGTGAGCTATGATCTTGCCACTGCACTCTAGTCTGGGCAACAAAGAGAGACCTTTTAATATATAGGTTTAGCTAGACCAAAGATGAAATTTTTTGCTAAATATTTTCTCTTGCATGTAAGAACTGCAAAGAAATTTAATTTTGTCTAATAAACTTTGCATGTGTAATTTAGACAGCGTTTGTTTGAAAATTTGCGCATGTTACCTCATGCACCTGGTGTCCAGATGCAAGCTATTCCAGAAGATGCTGTTCATGAAGACAGTGGAGATGAAGATGGAGAAGATCCAGACAAGAGAATTTCTAGTAAGATAATGCCTTTATTTTTCCAATTTGTCAAAATGATAATTGAAATGGAAGGTTTTAGTGGCCTAAGAACTTCACTATAAAGTCATGTTCACGAGCACACTGTTAATATTGTCATTTTTGCCACTTTCAGAGATTTAGCTTCCTGATGTCTCAGAACCTGATTTGGGTGTCAGCAGTTTCAGTTTGTATGGCTGGATATACATATATGATTGAAAGTTTTCAAAAATTAGCAACTTTAGTATATTTGGAAATTAATAAGACATCTCATTTATCTAAAGTAGGGTGAACTAAATAACTAAACATCTGTTTGATTTTACAACTTCTCATTACACTTAATGTGATGGTTAGATTGTAGCATAACAGTATGTGTAATGGTATAGACTGTCTAACATATTTGGTATTGGTACTTTTTTTTTGGTCTACTTCACCTCTCAGCTCTGAAATAAAATGCTACTTTTTAAGTAATGACATTATTCCCATCCCCTATTAGAAAAACACACTTTTTTCCTTTAGAGTTTCAGCATTTTTAAAGAAAAAGAGATTCCCCCAATTTTTATTATGTGTTTTTGAGCCATTTCTTCATACATGAAAGCAAAGTTTTCAATATTAAATAAACCATTCATTCCATTCAAATTTTAAAATCATTAGGCATGTTACCCTTTACGTTTAAATGTGGTAACTAACTGCTTAGTGCATTTGTATGAGTATGCTGTAATGATTATAAAACCTGTGACTGTTTTTGTCAAAATTTATTAAAATATTCTGTGCAGTTCGAGCATCAGACAAGCGGATAGCTTGTGATGAAGAATTCTCAGATTCTGAGGATGAAGGAGAAGGAGGTCGAAGAAATGTGGCTGATCATAAGAAAGGAGCAAAGAAAGCTAGAATTGAAGAAGATAAGAAAGAAACAGAGGACAAAAAAACAGGTCAGATTTGTTTCTTGGTAATTGTGTTTTAATTGTAAATTTTAAAAATTGGGCTGCATTATAATGTTTATGCTATCGAGAAGTCAGTTGCACAGGTATCAGGAGGAAGTATGCTAGGTAGGTGACTCTTTTTTCTTACATATAAGTGGTACTTAGCTCTTAAAGCTTTTATATAAATGTTATTGTTCCTATTTGCTTTAGTAATACAGGAAACCTTATTTTCTTGATAACATAGGTTTAAAATAGTGAACATTGCATTGTGATATAGATTGGTTAAGAAAGAGGACAAAGTAATTATGAATCTATTGGTAGTGCATGGTCAGAACTGAACTTCTAAGGTAATTTTTAGCTACCTAAAGCTTATTTAATGGGAGAAAACACAAAGAAGAGTTACATATCCTTAGACCAGTTTTGCCATTTTGAAAAAGGTCAAATAATGGATTTTGTTCAGAAATTGAAGAAAACATTAAAAACTCTGAGGAAAGCTAGGAGGGGATTTGGGACCTGGGTTAGGGAGGAAAAAATACTTTGATACATTGCCTTACTTTAAAACGCTGTGTTAGCTTTAGGCAATTGAATTTGCTACCGGAATCTGTTACCTTTCATCTGACTTCCCAGAACACTTACACATGCCTCTGCCATTTTATTTAACACATCATATTATAGCACCTCACAGGATTTTGTCTCCCTACTAGACTGAGCTGCTCATGGCTAGGGAACACAGTATCTTAAATATTTGTATTCTCAGCACTTGATGCATTTCCTAATGCAAGTAATGGTGATGAGCACACGTTTTAGTTAACCTGTTAATTTTGATCCTGTAGTATGTGAAAAACTGATTTAGAGATAATGATCCAATTTTTCCTATGTCTATCAAATTGAAGTTATGTGAATAAGCCAGCTTTTTTTTTTTTTTTTAAACTAGAGAGTTAGTAATCTATAACATCTGACACATTTAGTTCTGTTCTTTTACTTGTGGATTCACTCCTCAATAGGCTACATACAGAAATTTATAATTTTAACTTCCCAATGTATTACAATGATGGCTTCAGTCTATATTTGTAACTGATTGACATCCAAAAATTCAAGCCATGACTGAATTAAGGACGACTTAACTTTAGCTGTAGGATTTTCCTAACTTTTTTTCTTTTCTTTCATTTTCACTATGTTTTCTTGTCTGTCTGTTTTTGGTGTTCTCATTTTTAAAAGCTTTATCTTTTCTGTGCTTAAAAAATAAACTCTCTATTTGGTGATGAGGCTCTTTCGATAGGGCCTTGCAGTTGTTAAAATTCTTCAGCCTACTGAAAAATGAAATACTACCACAGAAAGCTTTTTTTAAATCTATAGGTCAAAACCTAGAGTTAGGGCCACCTTTTCTCCCTCTGCACCCCAATCCAGTGACTATTCATAGCTTGTACTGCCATCGTTTAGGAAACACCCAACACAAAGCTTATTTAGACCGAATTCATTAATAATAAGATTGCATAACTTTTTATATTTTAAAAATAAAGTATATTTTGAAATAATATATATACATTTTATATTTCAAAATAGGTTTTAATCTTTTCCCAATCTTTATTTTTAGACGTTAAGGAAGAAGATAAATCCAAGGACAACAGTGGTGAAAAAACAGATACCAAAGGGTAAATGATGTTCCTTATCAAGTACTTTTTACATACTATAAAAATACTAAACATGTTTATTGGTGTGTGTTTGTGTACACACTTCAGAAATACTAGACTGAACCTTAGAACATCATTATGAGGTGCTCTGAATTTTAGTTTGTATTGGTACATAAGACAACATATGCCATCTTACCTATTGGTTTATCAGTATAACTATATCAGTCAGTTTGTATTCTTGTACGTAGTTTATCTGAGACCCTTTTTTGCTGTTATCTTTTATATATGCACTTAATGGTTTTCATGGTGTTCTTATTTCTGTGTACATGATTTTTTTAGTGTTGTGAGATAGGTAAATTTAAGAAACAATTTTAAGTAAAAACAGTTGAGGATTTTAGTGTCAGAAAGCATGTAAATGTTTGGGCACACATAATTTTGTGCCAGCCTTTACAGGATAACTTGGAATAGTTTATTAAATCACTAGAAAAATTAAGGCATTAATTACTCCAGAAACACTTAAGACATTATCAATTAATGTGTTTCTTAGCATGAGCCTACAGGACCTGATCAATATAATAGGTCAGTGCATTTAAACCAAGATTGTGCCATTTTTAATATTTCACATTGCCTCTTTTAACAGAACCAAATCAGAACAGCTCAGCAACCCCTGAATTTGACAGTCTCACCAATTTCAGAAAATCATTAAAAAGAAAATATTGAAAGGAAAATGTTTTCTTTTTGAAGACTTCTGGCTTCATTTTATACTACTTTGGCATGGACTGTATTTATTTTCAAATGGCTTTTTCGTTTTTGTTTTTCTTGGCAAGTTTTATTGTGAGTTTTTCTAATTATGAAGCAAAATTTCTTTTCTCCACCATGCTTTATGTGATAGTATTTAAAATTGATGTGAGTTATTATGTCAAAAAAACTGATCTATTAAAGAAGTAATTGGCCTTTCTGAGCTGATTTTTCCATCTTTTGTAATTATCTTTATTAAAAAATTGTACTTGGATTATCTTTTGTCTGTTTATTACTACAATATGAAGTCTTGTTTCAGTGGCTAATGACATCATTTCTGTAGACTTACAATACACTCTAGGTGAAAGATAATGATTACAGCTTGAAAGATAACTATTTGCTGTTTCTTTGGGAAGAGTATTTATAGTAATTATTACTTATCTTTGCAATAGAAATTCTACCACCTTGCCCTCTATAGCTTAGCCAGTTAGTATCAGTGAAGATTAACATCCCATTACAATTTATGAAATAATACAGACTCTGCAATTGAGATGTAGGAGTTCTTTGAGTTGACCCAAAGATTCTCAAAATTGAAATGGAAATTCTGAATTGAAAGAAGAAACTGACCAGAACTTGTATTGACCAGACTTGCCTATAGTATATTGCTGGTTTAAAATGGAACCTGCAGACAAAACCTGTTTCTTTTACTGCATTTACATGGCATCCAGGTTCCATTATTATTTACGTGACATCCAGGTTTCTAACTCAAGGAAATAAACACAACTGATTTATCATTCAGCAACTACTTATTGTGTGTCTGCCCATTTTAAGACTGTAGGAGTGTAACTGAATATAATGGAAAAATGCTTTCACTCAGAGCTTACACTCAGAGCTTACATTCTAGTAGCAGGAAGCAGACAAATGGGGGTAACTCCTGCTACTAAGATGTGCAAAGAAGACAAAACATTTTAGGAACTTGCCAAAATCAGTGAAATCTCCCTTTTTGTCAGGCCCACATTGATTCTTTTGAGATTAAAAATTACAGAATGCCAGAAGATAATTCAGTCAAAAGTATTTCTCTTCAGTGCAGTAAAATATTAAAAGAAAAAATATTTCTCTACAAGCCTCTTAAATGTTTCAGACATTCACAATAGCACCTAGACTTTTGTAATGAACAGCTGTGCACCCACCCCGACTTAACAAATATTTTACTTTTGCTATATTTGCTTCGGTGTTTTTTTCTTAAAATACACCGAAATTGAAGCTCTCTTTGTGTACTTTGTCGTTTGTAATCCTCCCTCCCTCCCAGCCTTAAGAAGTAATCACCATTGTGATTATTTTATCCATGTTTTTGTGAATATTTTACCCATGTTTTTGTACTTTTGCTACATATTTGTTATCAATCTGTAAACCTTTATGACATTAGGAACTAAGAAACTTAGTCCCTTCGTTAGGGGGATAATGAAATGTATTTAGTGTTTGTGAAACATAGATGGTATGTATTTGGACAATTCTGTAACTTTGCTTTTTTTATTTTTATTTTTCCATAGCTTATTGGGGAACAGGTGGTGTTTGGTTACATGATTAAGTTCTTTAGTGGTGATTTGTGGGATTTTGGTGGACCCATCACCCAAGCAGTGTACACTGCACCCTATTTGTAATCTTTTATCCCTCGCCCCCCTCCCACCATGCCTCCCGTCTACCATGATGATCCTGTTTTAAATAAGAAAATACCATTTCGCAGGCTCCAGATGTTCTGGCATCCTCCCTGTGGATTTCCCAGTGCCTGCAGCTCACAGGACAACAGGGGCTGTGGTAGAGTCACCTATGAGATCCTGGAGTAGTGGATGGAGGAGATGGAACAGTGAAGACGGAAACTGAGCTCAGTATCCGGGTGCCAGGAGACAAAGGCCCTTTGCTTTTTTTCATTTAATATTCTGATCTACCCCTGTTGACACATGTTAAGTATAGTTCATTTTGACTGCTATGTATTATGTTCCATTGTGTGAACATACTGAAATTGTACACTTCAATACTATACTGGATCTCCTTGGGTGTATTTAAGAGGTTTTGTTTTTCTAAGTAGTTGGTTATATACAACTAAAACCTCAAGAGAACTATCTAAAGCAATTTCAGCAAGGTGATTTGGTACAGCATTAATAAACAGAAATCAGTAACACTTAGTGACCAAGTCTGTTGGAAGAACAAAGACCCCCATTTGTAATAACAAAATTTTTAGAAATAATATGTAAAGAAGCTATGGTTCTTGTGTCTAGTAAGGTCAATGTAACATAGTAAGATGTCAGAATACCCTAATACTTTAAAAAATTCATATAGGATAAAAATGATATTTGAAATTGGCAAGGAAAGACATTATTTTGTAAGTGGAATTGGGACAACAACTGGTAACCAAATGGAAAACCCAGTTTTCTGCCCTCCACTAGAAGATTTAAATAGGAAAAGATAAAACTACCAAAAACCTAAACTCTTAAAGCAAATGGATTGAAGAAGGCCTAAGTGTGACACCAAACTCAACTATAAAAGATATATTTGATAACAAAAAAAAAATTAGTTCAGTGGACCAACAAAAACTTAGAAGACAAGTCAAGAAAAATGACAAAAGACAGAGTGGGAGGCAGATTTGTAACTCATCCAGGTCAAAAGGCTCATATCTAAAGATAGTAGAGGAACAAAATGTATAAGGATGTGAACTGGGAAACAAATACATATAAATAGTTTGTAAATATGAAAAGATCTTTAACCTCAGTAAATAAAAAGCTATAGAGAGACTTATTTTTTAACTTAGTTTTTTAAACCTATTATGTTTATTTATTTTTTCTTTTTTTGAGACGGAGTCTCGCTGTTGCCCAGGCTGGTGTGCAATGGCGCAATCTCGGCTCACTGCAACCTCCGCCTCCCAGGTTGAAGCCATTCTCCTGCCTCAGCCTCCTGAGTAGCTGGGATTACAGGCGCCTGTCACCACGCCCAGCTAATTGTTCGCATTTTTAGTAGAGACGGGGTTTCACTATGTTGGCCAGGCTGGCCTCGAACTCCTGACCTCATGATCCACCCACCTTGGCCTTCCAAAGTGCTGGGATTACAGGTGTGAGCTGCCGCACCTGGCTGTTTATCTCTTTTTTTTAGAGAAAGGATCTCGGTCACCCAGGATGGAGTGTGGTAGCCTGATCATATCTCACTACATCTTAGAACTTCTAGGCTTAGGGTATTCTCCCACCTCAGCCTCCCAAGTAGCTGGGACTACAAGTGTGCACCATCACACCTAGCTGATTTTTACATTTTTATTTTGGAGAGATGGTGTCTCCCTGTGTTGCCCAGGCTGGTCACAAACTCCTAGGCTCAAGCGATTCTCCTGACTCAGGCATGAGCCACCGTACCCGGCCTAAACCTATCATGTTACAGACTTAGAAAGCAACTATTGTCAAGTGTTTGAGGAAACTCAGGTCAGGTTTGGTAAACTAAGATATTAACTCAAGTAAAGCTCTTTAATTCATTTAATGAAGGTGCCACATTGTCTCAGTTCTCTATGGCATGGGTGAATGCTGTTCTAAGTCAGCATTGGTACTCTAAGCTAGTTACATCATATCTAAGCTTTGCCCTTCTACCAGAGCTGCTAGCATTCTGTCAATGGGCAATTATTTGAAGTTCTTACATTGAAGTTAGTCACCTACATCTTCTGTTTTTTATGGTTTTGATGTAGTAATACTGCTGAAGTTTTTTTGATAACTGCGATTCATAATATTTGTTATTCATATTGTGATATAAATGATAAGGGCTTTTGAAAACAAGTAGTAATCATTTCAATAGCTTAGGATCTCCACCATAATCTTAGGAAAATTACTAACCTCTGTGCCTCAGTTGCTTCATCATTTAAAATGAGGAAAATAATAGTCCCTACTTAATAGGTTTGTTGTGAGGATTGAGTTAATAACATAGTTAATGCTCAGTAAGGGTTAGCTGCTATTTTTTTTTCTTTTTTTTTTGAAAGAGTCTCACTCTGTTGCCCAGGTTGGAGTGCAGTGGCATGATCTTGGCTCACTGCATCCTCTGCTTCCTAGGTTCAGGTGATTCTCATGCTTCAGCCTCCCAAGCAGCTGGGAGTACAGGTGTGCACCACCACACCTGGCTAATTTTTGTATATTTAGTAGAGACGGGTTCTCACCATATTGTCCAGGCTGGTCTTGAACTCCTTACCTCAAATGATCCACCCGCCTGGGCCTCCCAAAGTGCTGGGATTACAAGCATGAGCCACCGCGCCTGGCTTGCTATTGTTATGAGGTAAAGGTAGATAGATGGGTGAGAGTGGTGCCAGGGGAAGTGTTAAATTTTTGAGTGTTCCTTTAGATGCCAGATGGGTTGTATCTGAGCCTTTTATTGCAGTTTGATGCCTACTAGTGTGAAGACTACTAGGTCATAGTGGATAGAGAAGCAATCTTTTGGAGACCTGATTTTAGCAAGGATACGAATAATATTTGACAACTTTGGGGGGATCTTGATGCCTCTGTAATTTACTCAAGGATAATCTCAAGAAAAATGGCATTAAGTAGATTACAGAAAAAATAGAACTATCATATTGTTATTATTGGCTATTTACATGAGCAATGCGGAGAAATGTTTAGGATTACAGCATTTAGAAGCTTCTCAATTGCTGCATTTCCTCACTGTACCACAAGATGGCAGATACTGCATTTAAAATTTTTTTTTCTGTGTGTTTTCTCTTATAGTCACTTGGTGGCCATGTAACAAGCAGAGCAACATGTATTAACAGATTCTTTTTGAATGCAATATTGGATTAAAAACTTTGAATTAAACTACAATTAAGTTTACTGATTTAGGTTTTCCTATAAGAATTATAACACTAATTTCTAAGTTTTACATCTGCAAAACACAGTAGAGTGTATCTGGTAGTCATTGACTAATTGTGACTTTGCTAGTCAGACAAAATGGAACTGAATATTAGAGCCAGAATAATTTTCTGTTTTGACTGGTGGTAAGAATCAGTTAGTATACAGAATGGGAAAGAATTGAAATTTATTTCTAGGAATTATAGTTATAGTGAAGTTAATATTCAGGGGCATTGGGTGCTTGTTCCACGACTTTTGTTTACTGAACTAAGTACCTAACCCCTTTGGTCTTTGAACACTGCAGAGTTATGATTAGGATTATTAATGAAAAATTCTTTTTTAGTAGAACAAACAGTTAAGGACAGAAGACACCTTGATTAGATTCTGTTATTTGCTCTTTTTATTAAGATTGTTTTTACTCTAAATGTTAAAGAAATGTATAATTATTTCTAAGGTAAAATGAGTAGCAGGATTCTGAATAGGAGATTTTTTTTGGCCAGACCCATTTTGCAGCCAGTGGTTTGTATTTAGGAGTGAGTTGAACAAAGAAGACTCTAATCTGTTTTTGTGTTGTGGATTTTTTATTCTATTGATAAATCAGTAGCTTCCAGCTTCTCTTGTATCCTCTACTAGTCATCTTTTTTGTTTCTTCAGAAATAAACATCCAGGGTCACTTCCCTGCCCTTGCCATATACTTACTAGGATGATGTACAGGTAAAACTTTTAAAGGAAAGTACGGACAGGCAATTCCTAAAGTAAAAGAGAGCACATTATCAAAACTGGCTGTACTTAACAAATACCAACAAAAAGTCATTACACTTCTGGCAACAAATAATGTTTGATTTAAAAAGACAAGAATTTCCCCTTTTGCTCTTATTTTTTAAATATGCTATGTCCTTAAGTGAGAAATGCACTTCAAAAATTTTCTTATTCTGAAGTCTAGCCGGAAAGTTTGAACTTGTGTTGCCTTTGGCTAGACTAGGTGAAATTAAGGGGCTTAAGAGGGCACTGTTGTGTGGCCCTGTGGTAGATAATAGCCCTCCAAGCATGAGGATGGGAGATCTACCATTCACCAGTATTTCCAAAGTTATATTCTTAAAAAGGCTAGATTTCTAATTTCCGTAGAATCTAGGTATGTTCTTTTCAACTCAGCATCTGATAAGAAAGTTTGGGCAAGTAGGTGCGAAAAATTTACTCTAGATACCATTTTCCAGGAAAAAATATAATTCAAGTCCAACGTATTACTAGCTGTCACCTTCCCCAACAATCAAATAAGCATTGTTATTGTCAAACACATTTACTTGTATAGTTCAGTGTTATATGTAATGGACTTAGGTATAATTCCTGTGCTATTCCCTTTTGATGCCAAACACCCTTTTGTAAGCTGTTTTGTTTGAAATCCAAATTTATATGTCTTAAAGTAAATGGCAGCATTGGGCTTTCTTAATGTAATGACTCTTCTGCCATCCTATTTCTAGAGTTAGGCAGAAAATTCTGTAAATCTATCTTATTTCCAGTCTGTTTGTGACTATGGTGGGCAATAAATCTGATTTCCCAGAAAAACACATCTGGACCCCTATAGGTAAGGTAAACAAGCCTCATCTTAAATTGTTTGTACTTCCGACCTGACCTCAAAACACCATCATCATCTAGAGCAGCAACAAGTAAAGAACAATGCACTGGAAATCACATATATGGGTCTAGCACCAGCCTTTACATTACACAACTTTGCTTTGGGCAAGTCATTTAAATTTCTGTGCTTCAGTTTACTAAATCTATGAAACTGACTAGGTAACAGCTGACATGCTTTTCCAGCACTCCGTCTTTTACCTGTCTGATGTCACAAATTGATCATTCCTTTCTGGCCTTGAGATGCGTATCAACCCAGATAGTCATTAACCCAGATAGTTGGCATTCAGGATAAAATGTTTTTGCCTTTCCTGTCCTGCAAGCTCTTTAAAGTCCAAAATATGCCTTTATATCTTTATGTGTAATAGGTATGAAATCTATTTCTTGGTTGTTGAATAGGATAGGCTTATTAGACATTCTAAAGTCAACTTTTTTCTCATATTTAAACATTTACCCGTAGAAATTCAGTTTTTTAAAGTTTTAAGTCAGTTGATTGTACCAAACATTACTATTAAAAAAAAATCAAAGTCAGAGACCAGAGTTTCCCTGCATCAGCGTTCAGTCAGGAGACAGGAACTATACTAATTTGAACATGTAAAGTTAAATATAATCCTTAATAATAACAGGATTGGAATAAGGGATAAAAGAAAGAGAATTCCTTCTATATATATGTATACACACACATATATATATATACATGTGTATATATGTGTGTGTATGTATATTATATAATATACATACACACACACAAAGAATGTCAGACAAGGAGCAGCCACCATTCTGCTTACTTTCACTGGATTAAGAGTTTCATAAGGGCAAGGGTTTTGTTTGTCTTACACTCCACTGGGGATTAATCTCCAGTGTCTAGAACAGTGCCTAACACATAAATAAAGCCTCAATTATTATTTGTGGAATGGAATGGAATTTGAGTGAAATGGAATGGGAATAGAATGGACTGGAATGGAAATAGAAGTGGGAAGGGGAATGGAAGGGGATAGAAGAGGATTGAAGAGGACAGAAGGAGATGGGATAAGATGGGATGGGATAGGATCGAATCTCAGGTCCAGGAGTCAGAATAACTGAATCCTATTCCAGTTCTGCCATCAACAAGTCCTGTGAAATTTGGAAAGTCACTTAACCCTCTGGCCTTGTAGAATATCTCAGTGGGCATGTCTGATGTTTCTTCATGGTTAGATATAGGTTGCATGTTTTGGGCAAGAATATCACAGGAATGATGCTGTGTTCTCAGTGCACCCAGTCAGGTAATGCATGATTTCAATTTCTCTCATTACTGATGATGTTAACTTTAATCACTTAGTGAATGAGAACATGAGCATCATTTTGAAAGCAAACTGCAAAGTTTTGATGTCAACATTTTAGCAATTACGTATAATTTCCCCCAAGGATACTGGCTTTGAGATAATGTAAATATACATGGGAAAGACAAAGCTCAAATAAAGGAAAAAGACCCATCTCTTTTCTTGCTGATCACATGTGTGAAGATAGACTATTGCTTCTCTCTTCTCCGTGCTTCCTCAGAGAAAAGAAAGGGTGTTTGTAAATATGGAGGATGTATGGAACTGTAAATTTTATAAGCATATTTAAGCCTAAGCCTAACTTTAAAAATTGTTGACACACACACAAAGTTAGTTTCAAGATATTTATTTATTTATTTATTTATTTATTTTATTTTTAAATTTTTTTAGTATTTTTTGATCATTCTTGGGTGTTTCTTGGAGACGGGGATTTGGCAGGGTCATAGGACAATAGTGGAGGGAAGGTCAGCAGATAAACATGTGAACAAAGGTCTCTGGTTTTCCTAGGCAGAGGGCCCTGCCGCCTTCCGCCGTGTTTGTGTCCCTGGGTACTTGAGATTAGGGAGTGGTGATGACTCTTAACAAGTATGCTGCCTTCAAGCATCTGTTTAACAAAGCACATCTTGCACCGCCCTTAATCCATTTAACCCTTAGTGGACACAGCACATGTTTCAGAGAGTACGGGGTTGGGGGTAAGGTTATAGACTAACAGCATCCCAAGGCAGAAGAATTTTTCTTAGTACAGAACAAAATGGAGTCTCCTATGTCTACTTCTTTCTACAGAGACAGTAACAATCTGATCTCTCTTTCTTTTCCCCACATTTCCCCCTTTTCTATTCGACAAAACCGCCATCGTTATCATGGCCCGTTCTCAATAGCTGTTGGGTACACCTCCCAGATGGGGTGGCGGCTGGGCAGAGGCGCCCCCCACCTCCCGGACAGGGAGGCTGCCCGGCGGAGACGCTCCTCACTTCCCAGACGGGGCGGCCAGTTAGAGATGCTCCTCACCTCCCAGATGGGGTGGCGGCGGGGCAGAGACACTCCTCAGTTCCCAGACGGGATCGCGGCCAGGCAGAGGTGCTCTTCACATCTCAGACGGGGCAGCGGGGCAGAGGCTCTCCCTACATCCCAGACGATGGGCGGCCAGGCAGAGACGCCCCTCACTTCCTAGACGGGGTGGCGGCCGGTCAGAGGCTGCAATCTCGGCACTTTGGGAGGCCAAGGCAGGCGGCTGGGAGGTGGAGGTTGTAGTGAGCCAAGATCATGCCACTGCACTCCAGCCTGGGCAACATTGAGCACTGAGTGAGCGAGACTCCGTCTGCAATCCCGGCACTTCGGGAGGCCGAGGCTGGCAGATCACTTGCAGTCAGGAGCTGGAGACCAGCCCGGCCAACACGGCGAAACCCCGTCTCCACCAAAAAATATGAAAAGCAGTCAGGTGTGGCGGCGTGCGCCTGCAATCCCAGGCACTCGGCAGGCTGAGGCAGGAGAATCAGGCAGGGAGGTTGCAGTCAGTCGAGATGGCGGCAGTACAGTCCAGCCTCGGCTCGGCATCAGAGGGACACCGTGCAAAGAGGCAGAGGCAGGGGCAGGGGCAGGGGCAGGGTCAGAGGCAGAGGCCAAGGTATTTATTTTAGTGTTGTTTACAATAATAGCCTAGATATTTACCTTCAAAAATTTCTTTAACCAAAATGGTAGGGTAGAAGCAAGCTGGCTTTACTCCCCCTGGCCCACAGAAAAACAAGGACAAATACACAGTGCTTTGATTATCACCAGCAATGTCCCACTACTCATATGTGAGGATAAGCCAGTTCTTGAGGCCATAGAGAGGTGAAAAATTCTGAGCAGATGGTGATACAATTAGACGTCCATATCTACAATGCCCCTCCCCTCCTTTTGCTTGTCACCAAGCACAGGGAAAATTTTCTCCAAACTCAGAATTTCTACTCTTGAAAAAGTGAGATTGAGGTGGACAACCAGCTTCCCCCAACCCCATAGTGATTTTCTTGGCAGGAGACCTGTCCCTGCCTCAACCCATAGAAAGCATTAGGAGTGCCTGAAAAGAAAAATATCCCCAAGGACAGCCAGAAACAAAGAGGAGAGGCAGGACTACCATCACCAGCCCTGAAAACTCTGCTGTGTTACTCAGCCGAAGGAGATGCTAAATCAGGGTGTCTCAGCACCACACTGTAGGAGGTTCATTCCACAGGTGTCTTAGGTACAAATTCTAAGCCAGCCTTTCCACACTATCAGGATATCCCCTTTGGGACCGCCTCCATTTGGGACAGGTGGCACTCTGATTGTTTAGTAAAACCAAGGCAAACCTGGGCTTAAGGTCCTATCTAGTGCCAAAAAGGAGGTAGCAACCTAGAAGAGAGAGAGAGAGAGAGAGGGGGAGAGAGAGAGAGAGAGAGAGAGAGAGAGAGAGAGGGAGAGAGGGAGAGAGAGAGAGAGAGAGAGAGAGAGGAGAGAGAGAGAGAAAGAAAGAAAAAAAAAGAAAGAAAGGAAAGAAAAAAGAATGAAAGAAAGAAAGAGAGAGAGAGAAGAAGAAAGACATGGTTTGGCTCTGTGTCCCCACCCAAATCTCATCTTGAATTGTAATAATCCCCATGTGTCAAGGGTGGGACCAGGTGGAAGTAATTTGATCATGGGGGGTGGTTTCCTCCATGCTGTTCTTGTGATAATGAGTGAGTCTCAAGAGGTCTATAAGTTTTTATAAGTGTCTGACATTTCCCCTGCTGGCACTCATTTTCTTTCCTGCTACCCTGTGAAGAGGTTCCTTCTCCCATGAGTGTAAGTTTTCTGAAGACTCCCCAGCCATGCAGACCTGTGAGTTCTCTTTTCTTTATAAATTACCCAGTCTTAGGTATTTCTTCATAGCAGCATGAGAATGGACTAATACAGAAATGAAATAGGAAAGGAAAGAAAGGAAAGGAAAGGAAGAAAGAAAGAAAATCAACAGGTAAATTAGAAAGAATCTCTAAGTAAACATATCCAATAAAAAAAAAAAAAGCCAGACAATGAAGACTGAAATAAATAATAAACCCTTCAATGCAAAGACATAGATGTACATCCACAACAAACAACAGCAAACAGGGAACTATGACCTTTCCATACAGAAAAAGCGAGGAACCAGTGACTGACCCTAAGGAGATGGTGACATGTGAGCTCTCTAACCAAAAATTTAAAGTAGTGGTTTTAAGGAAACTCAGTGATCTCCAAGATAACACAGACAAGCATTTGAGAAATTTATGAGAGAAATTTAACAAAGAGATTAAAATGATTTTAAAAAATCAGAAATTTTGGAACTGAAAAATATATTTGCTGAACTGAAAAATTTATTAGAGACTCTCAAGAGCAGAATGGATCAAGCAGAGGAAAGAATCAATAAGCTTAATGACAGGCTATTTGAAAATCCACAGTCAGAGAAAAAATAACATAAAAAGGAAAAAAGATCACCTACAAGATATAGAAAATTATCTCAAAAGACCAAATCTAAGATGTATTAGTGTTCAAGAGGGAATTGAGCAAGAACAAGAGGTGTAAATCTTATTCAAAGAAATAATAACAGAAAACTTCCCAAAACCTAACTTACATGATCACAAGGTCCCACAACAGACTGTCTGCAAACTTGAGGAGCAAGAAGAGCCAGTCTGAGTCTCAAAACTGAAGAACTTGGAGTCCGATGCTTGAAGCAGGAAGCATCCCGCACAGGAGAATGATGTAGGCTGGGAGGCTAGGCCAGTCAAGCATCCCAGCTACTAGGGAGGCTGAGGCAGGAGAATCATTTGAACCCAAGAGGCAGAGTTTGCAGAGAGTTGAGATCATGCCGTTGCACTCTAGCCTGGGCAACAAGAGTGAAACTCCATCTCAAAAAAATAAAAAAATCAATCAGTCAATCTAAGATCTGAAATTATGAAACTACTAAAAGAAAACACTGGGATAACACCCCAAAACATTGGTGTGGGTAAAGCATTTTTATGTAAGACCTCAAAAGCACAAGCAACAAAAGAAAAAACAGACAAATGAGATTACAGCAAGCTAAAAAGCTTCTGCAGAGTACAGGAAAAGTCTTCAATAGTATGAGGAGACTATCCACAGAATGGGCAAAAATACTTGCTAACTATCCATCTGGCAAATGAATAATAAGCAGAATGTATAAGGAGCTCAAACAACTCAATTGCAACAAAAAAAATTGGATTGAAACATGGGCAAAAGATCTGAACAGATATTTCTCAAAAGAAGACATACAAATGGCCAACATGTATATTAAAAATGCTCAGCATCACTAATCATCAGAGAAATGCAAACCAAATCCACACTAAGATATTATCTCACCTCAGTCAAAATGGTTTGTATCAAAAAGACAATAATACATGCTGAGAGGATGTGAAGAAAGGGGAACCCTTGTGCACTGTTGGTAGGAATGTAAATTAGTATAGCCACTATGGTGAACAGTATGGAAGTTCCTCAAAAAACTAAAAATAGAATTACCATGTGATCCAGCAATTCCATTACTGGGTATATATCCAAAAGAAAGGAAATCAATTTATCAAAGGGATATCTGCACTCCCATGTTTATTGCAGCATTATTCACAATAACCAAAGTATGATCAACCTAAGTGCCCATCAACAGATGACTAGATAAAGAGAATGTGGTATATATACACAGTGGTATAATATTCAGCCATAAAAAAGAATGAAATCCTGTCATTTGCAGCAACGTGGATGGAACTGGAGGTTATTATGTTAAGTGAAATAAGTCAAGCATAGAAAGACAAATATTGCATGTTCTCAGTCATATGGGGGAAGTAAAAAAGTGTATCTCATGAAGATAGAGAGTAGATTGGTGGTTACCAGAGGCTGGAAAAAATTGAAGGGAAGAGGGAATAAAGAGAGGTTCATTGACGGGCACAAATATATAGTTGCATAGAATAAATAAGACCTAGTGTTTGATAGATCAGTGTCAAACTGATCTATGACTATGGTTTACAATAACCTATTGTATATTTCAAAATAACTAGAAGAGAATAATTTGAATGTTTCTAGCATAAAGAAAAGACAAATATTTAAAGTGATGAGTATCCTAAACACACTGATTTGATCTTGACAAATTATATAAATGTATTAAATTAAAACATGTACCATGAAAATATGTGTATTATCAATTTTTAAAACATTAAAAATCTCTTTAAGAAAGTATAGTTTATTAATTCAATTAAATACTTATTCCATAAAAGTTATAATGTAAATCTATATTCTTGACAAGGAAATATATTATTTATATATATATTAATTAGTGAGGGAAAGCAGATTATATAACAAACGTATAATGTGACTACATTGTTGTTCAGATGATAACAAAAAAACAAATGCATACACTGAAAATAAACTTGACAATATTTAATCTATTAATAATACTTCCCCAAATTCTTTGAGAATAGAACTCTTTCTTGTTTTAGCAACTGCTAATAAAATTGGGACCTATTATCTGCAGAGCAGATTATGGAAGATTTGAGCTTAAGTGGTGATTCAGACTCTATATATGTGTATCAACATAAATAGAGTCTAGAGGTTTAAAAATCAAAATATTAACTGATTTTTTTCTGTATGATGTGATTAATATGTTTTTAAATTTCTTCTATTTATTTCTCAATTTATCTTCAATGAAAACATACATTACTTTGATATTTTCTTAAAACAACTCATTGGCTGCAAAATGTGATTAACTTTCTACCACTGGAATATTGTTAACATTTTCTAACTTCCAGATAAGAGGAAAGCTGGAGATGAAAAATTTACACAAAGAAGCAAACTTTGGGATTCTCTGTATTTTTGTCCTTTTTTTCCAACTAGAATCTTGAAGAGATCCAAAACTATAACTCTAAAGTACTTGCTGACAGTGTACGACCTGTCATTAAATAAGCCTGATGGAGACCTACCACAGAACAAAGGGAAATATTAGGTTACTGACCTGTCTCTTGGAGAGATTCCAAGGGAGTCTAGGAACTGCACGTATTAGCTGGTCAAACTGAATTTCACTCAAGAAAAGCTGAAAAATCCATAACAAAGCACTAGATCACCATTTAAGCTCATGTCTCTCATAATCTGCTTTGCAGATACTAGTTCCATGGTATGTTAGCAGTTGATAAAACAAGAAAATAGCTCCCTCCATGCTCAAAGAATTTGGAGAAGTATTAGATTAAATGTTGACAAGTTCATTTTCAGGAGCACCTTCACAGATACTTGAATGTGCAAGTGTGATTGGTGATCTCTTAAAGTGAGGTATCACATTCACAGTTCTCTAACCTATTGACCATACAACGCTTTTTCTCCACAAAGCACCTCAAAGGACAACACCAGTGACTTCAGCTAATGCTAACTAAAGAGCTAGGTAGGTCCAATCAGTGAGACAACCTCCAGAAAAACACCCTGAGGCTGAGTAAATGGCCTGCAAGTGGCAGAAAGGATTCAGTGTGGACCAACAGATAATATAAGAATATAAAGTCACAATACCAACTTCAGTAGTATTCGTTCTTTTCTAAAAATACTTTGTTTTTGAAGTGATACATGATTATCATAAAAAAAAAAAAAAAAGCAATGTAGAAATGTACAAAGAAAAAGTAAAACTCGCCTTGGATGCCATCATAGGTAATTGTTAGTAGAACTCAGAAAACAATCTTAAGGACTTTCTCTACCTACTCCATATGTATTTATGTATTCATTTTTATAGGATTACATTCTACACGTGGTGTTCTTTAACCTATGGTTTTTTAATCCATTTGTTTTAAAATATTTTCCATGTCTATAAATATAGATCTACCATTCTCTAAATGTTGCATAGTTTTCCTTTATGTGGATGTGCTATAATTTGCTGAGCAAATCCCCCTTGATGGGCATCCATGGTCTTTCCAATGTATTGACAATGTAATAGTATCAGTTATCCATTCATTGAGAATTTCCCATTGGTTTCCATGGATGAAGGCTTACCTAGATCTCCTCCTAAGTTTTTAAAAATTGATCTTCTAACTTCTTTTGCTTTTCTCTAAATTGTGGATGTTCTCCAAGGTTCTGCTATTTGCCTCTAGCAAGTTTGTCTGTTCTCATAGATTCAAATATTATTTCTCAGTCCATGATTTTAAAATTCGTATCTCTAACCCCAATACATAGCCCCCCTGTAACCTCTCACATGTGTTCCAGTACTGTATTTCCAACTACATTCTGCACACATTTACTCAGATATCCTGCCATTGCTTCAAGCTCAATGTGTTCAATGTTAAATTCATTAGCTTTTACTCCAAATTGACTCTCTTTCCCAACTACAACATGTGTGTCAATAACCTAGTTACCTCCCCGTCTTTGAGTATCTTTCTCCCTGGTTTCCTATATTCAGTCCATTATTCATTTGTTTCTTCCTTTATAATATCTCTCAAATATGTCCATTTAAAATCATATATTAACATTGAACATCTATTATATACTAGGTGTTATAAACTGAACATTTTTTTTCCTCCCATAAAATTCGTAAGTTGAAATTCTAACCTCCAACGTGATAGTATTAGGAGAAGCCTTTGGGAGATAATTATGTAATGAGGGTGGAGCCCTCATGAATGAGATTAGTGCCTGTATGAAAGGGACTGCAGATTGCTCTCTTGCTCTTTTTCTGTTAGGTGAAGATACAGTGAGAAGATGGCCATCTATAAACCAAGTAGTGGGCCCTCATCTAACACCAAATCTCTTGATGTCTTTATCTTAGACTCCCTTGCCTTTAGAAGTGTGAAAAATAATGTTTGTTGTTTAACACAGTCTATGGTGTTCTGTTGTAGCAATTTAAACTGATCAAAACACTAAGCATTTAAAAACCTTTATAATTTAGTCTTTATAACAATTATGTATGCTGATTTCACATCCATTTTATAAGTTGAGAAAATGAGGTTTAAGGAAGTTGGGTACCTTGCTTGAAGTCACAGAGTTTATGAGTTGTTGGGCTGGGATTCAACTCCAATTTTTCTGATTTTGAAGTCCATGCTTTTCCTAGTAGCACATGGATTTTTTTCACTGAATTTTACAGCAGTAATCTTCCTCATTTCCTCCATGCATGGTGGCCAGAGCCTCTGAGTTTGTCTTTCCCCCTTCCAATCTCTTACTGCTTCAATCAACCCTTCTCAATGTATCTCCCCTGCCAGGTTAATTTTGCTTAAACATGTATATCCCAAAGATATAGGTCCTCAAAAAAAAAAAAAAAGCTTTTTATTGAAACTGGCAGGAGAGGGAGCAGTGAGTTTCCAGTGGCTTCACAGAACTTCAATTATTCTGCTCCCAGTAACATTTTCAAAAAGAAAAAAAGGAAGTTATAAATAATCAGAAGAGGACAAAACAGTTAAAATCTTCAAGAGTACTTGAATGAGACCTCAAGTCAGGTGAAATCTAGAGAGGAACAAGATGTGGAGAAGGGACAAGCCCATGGTCCAGATGTTGTTTCCTTTCCCCTCTGTTCCTTCCTATGCACCAAGAGGAGGAGGGTCCCTCTGCACAGCACAAGAGAGCTGGTCTGGGAAACCTACCAACAATCCACAATGGAAACTGGAAAAGGAAACTGATGTTTTGATTAAGTGAATATTTGAAATTATTTCATTCCAAAGAAAAATATCCCAATGAAAGTGCCAAACATTCAATATTCACAAACAGAAAACAGATGCAACATGTGTTCAGTTTGAAACTGAGTTGGGAATAACTCTCATGAAGCTGAGTGAGGACATATTTAAACAATATAATTCATAATAGCTTTGGAGAGGTTTCATAGAGGATACAAAAGAGTACTATACACACATTTAGCTATCCCTAGAGTATGTGCATGAACCAAATATAATAAATATATGTCTGCTATTTAGCTTTGCAATTTCCACATGCTTTTTAAATGATGGAATTACTTACCATATAAGACACTAAAATATTTTTTTAGCAATATATATACTGGTAATGTTTTTAGAACCAAATTATCAAAATAATTAACCAGTGGAAAATTTTTTTTTTCTGCTTCCCTAGTTCAATCCTTTCCTGAAAAAATTTTCTACTTCCTGATTTGGAAAATGAATTTGGAGCCAAGATTTACTTTCTCTTAGAAGGAAACCTTCAACAAAGCTTTCTCATCCTTTGATCCTCTTAGAAAAATGAGGCTATCTCTCTTCAGAAAACAAAATTCTTTGATTATTCATTTTTCAGTAACTTAAAAGTGTTTGGAGTGCAAAAATAAAATCATAGTTTTAAAGTGGTAACAGAATGGCTAAATTTTAGCTAATCTTTCATCCAAGTAGATCAAAAAGTTTTAACAGGCCTGTAAAATGCTTCCACATGTTTCTAAGCAGAAAGCTGAGGATGGATACTAAATTGTGACATTTTACAGTTTATACTGTCATCAGTATTTTGTATGTATTTTTTATTGTTGCTGTTGTTCTTTATTTCAAAAAATGAGGTTTTCCACATTTTGAATGTGTTGTTTTAGCAACAGTTCCCACATTCAAAACAAATTCACATAGAGTCTAGTCAACAAACATGATTGAGTGCTTGCTATGTGCAAAACACTATACTGTGCTGTTATGAAATTTTCCATTTGAATTAAACTTTTATATTGGTTTATTTATGTGCTAATTTTACTGACTAATTTTTTGGAACAAATTTTCAATGTGATTTTCCTTATTCTAGTTCCTCACTATCCTACTGTGCAATTGACCATGTACCTCTGAAGTCTCAATTAATATATATATTATGCATTCGATAAAATAAAAAATGAATTATGTTAAAAATGTGATATAAGATTAAATATTGAGTGAAATTGGAAATATATAGTTACAGTATGTGGACTAAGAATGCTGCAATATAAACAGATATGTGAACACTAAGGTATCATGGTAGATTATATCATTGGCCCTGATTGCTCTGCCCTACTCTCCCTCCCCGGCATCTACACTCTTTACCATGCCACTTTGCAATGCTTTCCCATAGTAGACACAGCATAATTCTCTATCTTAGGCTTAGTCATGTGAATTGCTTAAACCAACAGAATGAGACAGAAGTGACAGTGTGCTAGCTCCAAGATTAGGTCTCAAGAAATTTTGCATGTTTCCACTTTCTCTCTTGTGTTCTTGCCATCCATGAGAAGGATATGCCAGAGCTTGAAGTTCACAGGTGCTTGAAGAAGAAATTTAGACATTTGGAGATGAGTTCCCCCAGCTAAAGTACCCTACACAGATCTAGCTTAGAGCAGGTCTCCTAGTCAACCTATAATGTGACCCCAGTTGATAGCAGCTTGTGAGTTTGCTAGGGCTGCCATAACAAAGTATCAGAGACTATGTAAATTAAAACAACAGACATTTATTTCCTAACAGTTCTGCAGGCTGGAGATCTAAGATCAAGGTGTCAGCAGGTCTGATTTCTTCTGAGGCCTCTCTCTGTGCCTTGTAGATGGCTGTCTTTATGTTCACATGGTGTTTTCTCTATGCTCAGGTTTGTGTCCAAATCTCCTCTTTTTATAAGGATACCAATCTTATTGGATTAGAACCCACCCTTATGACCTCACTTTACCTTAATTACCTCTTTAAAGACCCCATCTCTGAATACAATCACATTCTGAGGTACTGGGGATTTGGATTTCAACATATGAATTTTGAAGGCCATAATTCAGTCTATAATGTCAGTGAAGCTCAACCTAAGTCAGTCAATACTTAGTCCTCAGGTGTCCCACAGATTCATGGGCCATAATAATAAATTACTACTTCAAGGCTTTGTTATAAAACATTAGCTAACTTATACAGATAGTATGAAAAGGTATTTAAATAATTATTGGATGATGAGATTTTTAGTAAATAAAAATTTTTTAAGATTGCTGCTACATATTATTTTAAGCTAGTTACATTTATTTCAGAATGTAAACTAATACTTTTTCATTACTATAAAAACAGAAAATGTAGTAATACATACAATATAGAAACAAATATCACTTATCATCTGCCTCCCATCTCATCCATGGAAACTTGTGTTGAATATCTTCCAATTATTTCCTATTTACAAACACACACACACCCATACACATTTTTACACATATACCCATACATTTTTTTTTACGAAAGGCATTATATTAAACATATTTTAAACTGTTTCTATTTTTTAAATAAGTTTTTTTCCCAAGGATAATGTTCTATGTAAATAAGTATAGAGCAACATCGTCTCTTTAATGACTGCATAGTATGCCATTTTACCATAATTTACTTTTTAATGACTATTATTTAGATTGCATTAATTTTTCAGAAGTTTCTTTTTTCTATTTTTTTTTAAAGATGAAATAGTATTTCTTCCTAAAATGCTTTGAGGTTTGGAGTTGAAAGAAATAACACATGCAGAGACTATTACCATCTCTTGTTTACTGTACAGTTCGACTTCAGCCAGCTTTACATAGATGGCTTTAACAAAGCCTAAAGTATAATGTATTTGGCCTTGGTGCAGAGTTCAGCGAATCGAAATGAGGATGATGATAACAGCAGAGCTGGTGTTCTCATTTTATTAAACATTAATTCAATCAATATCTATGAGTTACCTATAATATCTTTGAGTTACCTACAAAGTATATGACACTGTCCTACCCGTGACAGAAATGAAGTAGACACATGTGGTTTCAAATCTCCTCCTGCCTAGCAGGGGGAGCAGACAGGGATGTTCCTGGGTAATCCTAAGGACTCTCCACCTTCAATCCACAAGGTTGCATATGAGATAATGAAAGAAGCTCAGTGTAAATGGTCAGAAGAAACATTTGCCTTTCAAGGTTTTCTAATTTTATAATGGATAACATTAAAATAGCTTTTCTTAAGAGCACTAATTTTCTTTTTGTTTTTTCTTTCTGAGTAAGAGAAAGATAAAACTCTCGTTTTCCTAATAACAGGATATGTTTAACAACCCTGAATATCTTTCCAAGTGAGAGCCTCCTAGGCAAGTATTTTCTGAGAAGTCTTTGGTGTAGTCTCTGACCCTTCAACTTTGGCCAGCCATCTGTCAATTGCAGCTCTGGTCTCTTTCCTGCTTTCTGCCATCTCATCTCTGTCAGTGTGGCCACAACAGGAAGTCAGTGCTGATAACACGAGGACAACCTCTGCTTTTACAGCCCACCCGAACCAAGGCTGGCTGCATGGCTGCTGCCATTTGTTCTATAGTTTTGGAACCCCACCTTGGTTGTGATTTTGTGCCAGAGAATCTTTACCTCTGGAGAATGCAGTGGAGACATTCTTGTGTCATTTCACTTCCAGAATGCAAGGCCACCCAGCTACCCATTGTGTTAAGTAATGAGCTAAACAGAGGTATTCTTCTCTGCAAAATTGGAAACCTCATGGGAGGAAACAATATTTTTATCTGAGCACACACTGTCTGAATTCAGATCAGTGTGATCCATAAATTGTATAAACTCCATGCCAACCTACTTTCTTCACGTCCATCAGTAAATTTAGAAAGCACAGATTAGTGCAGCTATATTGAGTCTTTATTTCATTTAATGCTTTTAGCAATGCTAAGTGTTTTCAATATTAGGTTTCTAGGAAACCAATACTCATGCTGACAGATAATGTAAATGACAAGCATACTTACCACATACTTACCTCTGGATACACACTCAGTGGATCTGAGGTTCAGAAGAGTGAGGCTGGGGACCAACAGGTAAACATCTTTTCAATCAAAATGACAAAGGTCTGAGTCAAGGAGCAGGATCAGATTTGATATTGAAATATTTGTTGACAGATGAAATACAGAAAGTTGTAGATGTTAGTGTCATAATAACAACAATAGCAACAACAATAATGATAACCCAACCACAACTAATTATTGAATGCTTCCTCTTGCTATGATCCTATGTTGGCCTGATACTATGTTAAGTACTTTATCTATATTAACTTGTTTCTTCTCCACAACAACATCACGAAGGCAAACATTATTACTGTTATTATTATCAGTATTTTAGATTGAGGCACAAAGCTATTAAGTGATTTAGGTTATTAAGTGACAGAGTTGAGATTTTTACCAGGCTCTTAATTACTGCATTATACTACTTATGTGCATTTATCTTTCACTGTCCTTTGCCGTACTGTCAAGCTATTATGACTTTTATAATAAAATAATGAGTATGAACACTTATTTAACAGGAAGGGTGGATTTTTGGCTCAAGATTCCTTATTTGAAGAGGATCACCACTGGAGGCAGCTAAGACCCAGCACTGCCAGTGGGGGCTTTTAATACCCATTACAGCTGTTGCCACATTTCCTATTTGAATCCTTCTAAATTAATAATGAAACAGGATTTCTAAAGAGTTGCTTTAAGACTTTTACACAGAGCTTTCTGTTGACAAAATGCATTGCATGTGCAGAGTGCACCCTCTATAATGTAGGCCCTGGGTTGTCCGGTATGGTGTGCTCACCACAGGTAAAAAGAGATCCAGCTTCACCATCCATACCTTCTACATAGGTAACCCCCCACGCTTTTTCCTAGGCCCATGACTAAGTCTCCCTTTCCTCCTTACCTCATCTTCTCTTGGCTCACTCTAGGGGTGTTACTGGTACTAGCTGTGCATACACCTCTGCCTTCACCCTCCTTGAGAGTGGTGTCACCTTCAATCCACAGATAACAAACACAGCAATGCAGGCAGCCAGGGAACTGGAGGCAGATGACAAAAGACACATTGCTATTCTCTTACCTGATCTATCAGGTCAGCAGAAAATACCTTCTTGGGAGCACAGCAAGATAACCAACAAGTCGGGAGGGAGGGTGCAGTTTCCGTTGCAGCTGAAGAAACTTCAGAGTGATGAACAAACTCGACATTTCCTACTGAAGCCATGTCCACACTCATCTGTATCCACATTTGCTTTTCCAAGTCGTGAATCGAACAGAGTTTGGTGTAAGCGTTGCATGTCCCAGTAATTAAATCCCTCTCAGCCTCCTCATTAAGGCCAGTGAAGTCTGTGATAACTGGTATTTTAGTTGACTGTAGACGAGTCTTTCAAAATGCATTGTAATTTGTCCTTCTGTGAATCCAGGCAGCGATCAACTACAAGTAGAAACTATGTCAATAATCCCATGTTTTCAACAGTAACCAATGCCTCACCTGCTAAGGGCCAAGAGTGCACAGTAAGATGGGCTTGGCTGCCAGACACCAGAGCTACTACACAATTCACTGAATGAAGATGTGAATTCTAAAGTCACAGCCACTGCTCCTGGCCTGGATCTGTGCACGTGTCTAAAGCCACGTGTTGGGCCTTGGAATCTTAAAATTCCCTAAAGGAAATTCTCTACAGAAATCAACCTTTCTCTTATTCTGAGAGTTGCTTTTATTTTGCTTTTTTTTTTGAGTTCTGTTGACCAGGCTGGAGTGCAGTGGCGCAATCTTGGCTTACTGCAGCCTCAACCTCCTGCACTCAAGTGATCCTCCCACCTCAGCCTCCCAAGTAGCTGGGACTACAGGCATGTGCCACCACACCCGGCTAATGTTTGTATTTTTTGTCAAGATGGATTTCACCATCTTGCCCAGGCTAGCCTTGAACTCCTGAGCTCAAAAGATCTAGCCATCTCGGCTTCTCAAAGTGTTGGGATTATAGGCATAAGCCGCTGTGCCCAGCCTAAGAACTGTTAACAATTGCTTCCTCAATTAAATATGCAAATTGTTTTTCTATTGATTTGTAATACAAGCCATTATTTTAATATAGGACTTTATTGTTTTTACTGAATACTTTGAATGTAGTACATAATACATTCACATTGTCTAAAAATTTTAAAAAAAGAAATATATAAACTTTCCTTCCTATTTTGCTTTCCCAACTCTTCCTTACCACCATGGCTAACCATGTTTTTCAGTTGCTTGTATTGTTGCAGAGAGTTTTAATGTGTAGAAAAGTAAATAAAAATACATAAGCACATAAGCACATAATCTTTAAGAACAAATAAGGTAGAATTCATTCATTCATTCACTTGTTAGTCAACAAAAGTGGCATCATCATGTGGCTAAGAGCATGGACTTTAAAGTCAAGTAGACCCAGGTTTGGAGTCTGGCCCTATCCCTTACCAGTTGTGCCTTACAAAGTATTTATAGCACATATATCCAAAAAAGCCCTGGTCTTCAAAATATATAAATACTAGTATAAATCAATAAGCAATAAGCAATAAGCCATCAAGCTACGAAGCCTGTGGCTTCATTTACTCAACAGCAAAATGAGGATAAGAATATCTACTTACAGGTATGTGAGGATAGAATGCAAACAAAAATTTGAAGCACTAATCACAGTGACTACCACATAATTGGTCTCAGAAAGTTACTAATTATTGTTACCAGGTGCCTATTATATGCTACATACTTTAAACATGTCAGTCACAATTTCCAACCTTAAGGAGCTTGCAAAAATAACAAGGAAGATGGATGTCATTTCAAAATTTTAAAAAATTCTTAGAAAAGCACAGTTAAGAAACAAAAAGGTAAGCCATAGAGTTGTAGAAAATGTTTGCAAAACATCTGACAAAGGACTTGTAACCAGATATATAATAAATCCTTATATATATAACCAGGTATATAATATAAATATATAAATATTTATATATTTATATATAATATTATATATTTATAAGTATATAAATATATAAATAATAAATATATAATATACAATATATAACATATTAATATATTCATATTAATATAATATATCAATATAAATATTAATATAAACATATCAATATAAATATTTATATATAAATATAAATATTAATATAAATATATGTCAATATAAATAAATATATTATATATTAATATATAAAATAAATAAATATATATATAATAAATATAAATATATAAATAATAAATCCTTATATATAACCAGATATATAACCTTATATATATAACCAGATATATAATAAATCCTTATAACTTACTAAGACAAACAACACAATTAAAAAGAAGGCAAAACACTTAAACAGGTATTTCACCAAAGAAGATACAGTAATAGTTAATAGACACTGTGAAAAGAAGCTCAACACAATTAGTAGAGAAATGCAAATTAAGACCAAACAATACACCACTACACACCCCTAAGTATGGCTAAAATTAAAAAGACTGACCAATATTAAGTGCTAGTGAGGGTGTAGAGCAACTGGAACTCTCCGATGTTGCTGATGAAATATAGTCTGGCATTTTCATATGATCCAGCAATCCCACTGCTAGGTATTTACTGAAGAAAAATGAAAACATAAGTTTATACAAAGACTTGTATGCAAATGTTCATAGCAACACTGTTCACAGAAGCAAAAGAGAAGCAATGCAAATGTCCATTGACTGGAAATTCAATATATTGTAATAAATTTTTATAAAATGAATACACAGCTGATATAGACAACAACTTGGATGATCCTGAGAAACGTTATGCTAATTGAAAGAAACCACATAAAAAGACTCCCTACTGTAATTGATTTTGCCTATATAAAATTCCAGAAAGGACAAAACTATAGCAATAAAAAGAAAATCAGTGGTTGTCTTTGGCCAGAATTTAGATGGAGTTGATTGCAAAGGGGCATCAGGAAAGTTTTTGAGATGATGAAAATGTCCTACATCTTGATTGTGGTGTTGATGATATGAGTGTATGATATAACAGATATAATCAAGCTATGAAGAAGTCATATTGGATTAGGGAGTGTCCTAAATCCATTGACTACTGTCCTCATAAGGAGAAAATGATTTGGAACAGAGAAGACACACCCAGAGGGGAATATGGCCATGTAGAGACAGAGGCAGAGATTGAAATGATGCAGCTAGCTACATTGCCACCAACCACAAAAGCTAGAAGAAACAAGGAAGAATTTGTCCTTAGAGACCTTGGAGGGAGTATGGTCTTACCAATACTTTGATGGTAGGCTTTTAGCCTCCAGAACTGTAAGACAATAACTTTCTATTGTTTTAAGCCACTTGGTTTATGATAATTTGTTATAGCAGCCCTAGTACACTAATACAGTAGTTGTACTGAATTCTATTCTCAGTAACATTGTATATTTCTTTTCATTTGCAACTCTTCAATAATTGGTATTATCAACCTTTTTACTTTCTGTAATTAAGACCATACACAACTGGTAAGGAATAAAATATTAGACCAAGAGAACAGAAAAGGAGACTCAAAAATAAACTGTCACATTTATGAACACTTGACTTATTATAAGAATATACTTCATAGCAAAGGGAAAGGCAGATGGACTTTTCATCAAATGTTGCTGAAACAATTATATATCCTTATGGGAAAAAAATGTAATTGGACCTCAATCTTACTCTATGCTCAAAAATCAATTCCACATGAATGGAAAACTTAAGCAAGAAAGGCAAAACTATAAATCTTTGAAAAAAAGCATAAAAGAATATCTTCATATCTTAGGGTAAGCAAGAAAAGGGTTAACTAATTTTAGTAGTTCAAAATTAATTGTTTCAGTCTTCTGCTTCCAACCAAGATGGTATAATATAGTGCCAGATTTACCCTCTCCCCCAGACCAACTAAAAACTAGGCAAACATATGAAACAATAGTTATCAGACATTGGGCTGTGCCGAAGAGTGATCCATGGGAGATAGCAAAAACAGAATGAGGGCAGCACTACTATTGTGGACTGAATTGTATTCCTCTATAATTAGTATGTTGAAGCCTTAACCCCCAGTACCTCAGAATGTGATGGTATTTGGAGATAGGGCCTTTAAAAAGATGATTAAGTTAAAATGAGGCCACTAGGCTGGGCCCTAGTCCAGCCTGACTAATGTCCTTATAAGAAGAGAAATTTGGACAAATAAGGAGATTCCAGGGGTGCACACCCACATACAGATAAATGATCATGTGAGGACACAGTAAGAAGGTGGCCATCTGCAAGCCGAGAAAGGAGACCTTAGTGGAAACAAAACCTTACATCTTAATCTTGGGCATCTAGCCTTCAGAACTGTGAGAAAATACATTTCTGTTATTAAAGCTGTGGTTTTAGTACCCAATCTGTGGGTATCATGTTATGGCCACCCCAGAAAATGAATACACCTATGATTGCTCCAGCTTACTTTCTGGAGAGAGTTTGCAGGCCACAGTACGTGGAAGGAGGAATCCAGATGGAACCCAGTGGTCTTTCTGAGCTGAGGAGATGGAGCTGGGAGTCTGAGAAGATCAAAATGGCTTGACTTCATAGAACAGAGTACTGGAGAGGATAGAGCTATACAGACAGAGTTTCAGATATCTGTAGCTAAGTCTTCGACTATATACTGATCAGCATAGACATGTAACCTAATGGCTGAGGTTGGAGAAAGAACCATCCAAAAGTATCAGAGGGAACAGTACTTGGATCTCAAGTAGGGCTGGAAGTAGTTTGTGTTTTTATCAGTCAGATTACAAAACCACATAATTAATGTAGCAACAGGTAGAGTTCTCAGCAGGGCATTGCCTATAGTTGGAAAAAATCAGCTCTAGACTAATGGCTGCTTTGATCTCATATAACAAAACTTAAAAGGAGGTCTAGAGAAGGTCAAGCTGTTTCTATAAATTAACTGGCTTTTGGAAAAAAGCTTAAGATTTTTTATAGATATAGAAAAATCTAGCCTCTAACAAGATAAAATTCACAATGTCTGGCAAATAAAACAATGAAAAAATAGACAATTTTATTCTTATTTTGCATCCAAAATAAGGAGAAAAAAATCCAGTCAGTAGAGACAGAATTCATAAATTATACGAGTGGTAAATTAGATGTGTAAATAGGCACATTAAAATAGTTATCGTAACTATATTCCACATGTTTAAGAAGATAGAAAATGGATTTTTCAATTCAATAAGTGAAAAAAAAGTAGAGAAAAGATTGAACACGTTATATGATGACACTAAAGACATAAAAAAGATCCAAACAAACTTCAACAGATGAAAAATACAATGTCTAAGATAAAATAATAATGGATAGGACTAAAATCAGATTAAATACTGCAGAAGAAAAGATTAGTGAACTTGAAGACACAGCAATCAAAACTATTCAAAATGTGACAAAGAGAGAAAGATTGAAAAAAAATAAAGAGAGCATTATTGAACTGTGGGATAGCATTAAGTAGCCTAATACTGTGGTTTGGCTTTGTGTCCCCAACCAAATCTAATCTTGAATTGTAATCCCCATGTGTCAAGGGAGAGACCTAGTGGGAGGTGATTGGATCATGGGGGTGGTTTTCCCCATGCTGTTCTTGTGATACTGAGTGAATTCTCATGAGATCTGATGGTTTTATAAATGGTAGTTATTCCTGAGCTCTCACAAGCTCCTTTTTCCTGTCACCATGTGAAAAACGTCTTTGCTTCCCCTTCGCCTTCTGCCATAATTGTAAGTTTCCTGAGGCCTCCGCATCCATGCAGAACAGTGAAAAGAACCTTTTCTTTACAAATTATCCAGTCTCAGGCAGTTCTTTATAGCAGTGTGAAAATGGACTAATACACCTAATAAACCTGTAATAATAGCTCCTGAAGGAGGAGAGTGAGTGTAGAAAAAATAATGAACAAAATATAATAACAACAGAAAAAATTTAAAAGTTGATGAAAACTGTGGGCCTACAGATTCAGGAAGCTCAAAGAATCTCTAGCACAAGAAACCTGAAGAAAATGTTACAAGAAATATAAAGATCAAATTGCTTGAAACCAGTGAGAAAGATAAAAATCTTAAGAGCAGCTAGAAAGAATATACATCATGTACAGAGAAAGAAATATTATATAAAAATGACACCAGATACCTCATTAGAAGCAATGGAAACCAAGAGACAGTGAGGCAGCATCTTTAAAATATTGAAAGAAAAAGACTATCAAGCCAAAATTCTACACCCAGTAAAACTAGCTTTCAAAAGCAAAAGGCTACATACTTTTTTAGATGGTAAATTTAAAATGTCTGTTTCTTTAAAAACTAAAAACAAAAACAAAAACAAACAGAACAGAGAAAGTATTTATAGCACATATATCCAAAAAAGCCCTGGTCTTCAAAATATATAAATAGTAGTATAAATCAATAAGCAAAATGGCCAGAAGACCTAATATGTACGGTACAAAAGAAGAAATCAAATGGCTAATAAATACATAAAAGATATAAAAATCTTTTAGTAGCCAAATTACAAATTACAAACCACACCGTTAAATACCTATCTTATTGGCTAAACAATGAAAAGGTCACATCTTACCTTTTCTTTTATGATTTATAAGGAGAGAGTGACAGCGATATTATTTTAAATACGTTTCTATTCAGTAAAAATAGATTTTTATTTATCTCCCTCATACGGGATAACAATGTATTGAAATGATTGAGGCAGTTTGTATAAAAACAGTTACAAATTGGTTTTCTTATTAATGAGTTTTCAGATGTCTTAAATTAGAACCAATGAGTCAGAATATTATATAAATTAAATTATGTTAACTTTTATTAATAATGTTAGCAATCATGGAACTAGAATATCCAAAGGAATATTCTTAATCTGGTAATTAAATTTGAAAGAATTGTTATAGAAAGGCTTTTGTATTTTTTTAGCTAATTAATTTTATGAGACTAGAGAAGATTGTGGTTTCATTGTGTGAGTTTATCTTATCAAAAATAACTGTCACTGTTTGAATGAAAAAAAATTTCTCATTTAGAGTAAGAACTGTATATTACTTATTTCTTTGTCCCCTGTGCTTCTGGGAGTGCCTGGGAAATAGAAGGTTGCTCACAAATGTTTTTTTGGATAGAATTTTGATGTTCTAAGATTTTTTTTGTAACCTTTAGGATAGGTTAAACTAAACTCTTATTAGAGAATTTGATTCTCTCCTCTTACCCTTACATTATCCAGTATGTTTATCAATATTGATCAACATATATCATTAAATGCTTGTCTTCAAAATTCAAATAAGTGAAGCTATAATTAAAGTCTAGCATGTGTTCATTTAAGCTGAGATTCACTTTAGAAACCCCAAGTAAGAACAATTCTACTCAGCAAGATGGAAAACTAATGATCAATGTCATAGGATATGAAGTTATATTAGACCATTCTTGCATTGCTATAAAGAAATACCTGAGACTGGGTAATTTATAAGAAAAGAGTTTTAATTGGCTCATGGTTCTGCAGGCTGTACAGGAAGCATAGCACCAGCACCTGCTTCTGGGGAGGCCTCAGGAAGCTTCCAATCATGGTGGAAGGTGAAGGGGAGCCGTTGTCTTACATGGCAGGAGCATGGGCTAGAGAGAGAGTGAGGGGGTAGGTGCCATACACTTTTTTTTTTTTTTTTTTTTTTTTTTTTGAGACGGAGGCTTGCTCTGTCACCCAGGCTGGAGTGCAGTGGCGAGATCTCAGCTCACTGCAAGCTCTGCCTCCCGGGTTCACACCATTCTCCTGCCTCAGCCTCCCGAAGAGCTGGGACTACAGGCGCCCGCACGAACGGCTAATTTTTTGTATTTTTAGTAGAAACGGGGTTTCACCGTGTTAGCCAGGGTGGTCTCCATCTCCTGACCTCGTGATTCGCCCTCCTCGGCCTCCCAAAGTGCTGGGATTACAGGCGTGAGCCACCGCACCCGGCCGGTGCCATACACTTTTAAATGACCATATCTCATGAAAACTCACTCACTATCATGAGGACAGCACCAAAGGGATTATGCTAAATCCTTCATAAGAAATCTGCCCTCATGACCCAAAATCATCTTTCACCAGACCCACCTCTAACACTGGGGATTACATTTCAACATGAGATTTGGAGGGGACACATATTCAAACCATATCAAAGTTGATTGTTATTCAGTGGAACCACCCATGAAATGCCAACTAGAAAGATGGAAAGAAAGGTGGCCAAATTATTTTCTACAACTTTAAAAAAATGTGAATAAGGGCTTATGAAACAAGATTCAAATCAAGTACAGTAAGTATTTATTGAACATCTACCATGTGACAGAAGCTGTGCAAGTTATAGCTCTTGTTTGATTCTTACAATAGCAACAGTGTATCTGTCCTAAATTAGTGATATGGTTTGGCTGTGTCCCCAACCAAATCTCATCTTGAATTGTACGCCTATAATTTCCACGTGTTGTGGGAGGGACCTAGTGGGAGATAATTTGAATCATGGGGGAGGTTTCCCGCATGCTGTTCTTATGGTAGTGAATAAGTCTCATGAGATTTGATGGTTTTATCAAGGGTTTCCACTTTTGCATCTTCATTTTCTCTGGCTGCTGCCATGTAAGAAGTGTCTTTAGCCTCCTGCCTTGATTCTGAGGCCTTCCCAGCCATGTGGAACTGTAAGTCCAATTAAACCTGTTTTTCTTCCAAGTCTCAGGTATGTCTTTATCAGCAGTGTGAAAACAGATTAATACAGTAAATTGGTACCAGTAGAGTGGGGCGTTGCTGAAAAAATACCCGAAAATGTGAAAGCGACTTTGGAAGTGGGTAACAGGCAGAGGTTGGAACAGTTTGGAGGGCTTAGAAGAAGACAGGAAAATGTGGGAAAGTTTGGAACTTCCTGGAGACTTGTTGAATGGCTTTGACCAAAAGCCTGATGGCGATATGGACAATAGGGTCTAGGCTGAGATGATCTCAGATGGAGATCAGGAACTTGTTGGGAACTGGAGCAAAGGTGACTCTTGTTATGTTTTAGCAAAGAGACTGGCAGCATTTTGCTGCTGCCCTAGAGATTTGTGAAACTTTGAACTTGAGAGAGATGGTTCAAAGGGCATCTGGCAGAAGAAATTTCTAAACAGCAGAGCATTCAAGAGGTGACTTGGATGCTATTGAAGGCATTCAGTTTTACAAGGGAAGCAGAGCATAAAAGTTTGGAAAATTTGCAGCCTGACAATGTGATAGAAAAGAAAAACCCATTTTCTGAGGAGAAATTCAAGCTGGCTGCAGAAACTTGCATAAGTAGTGAGGAGTAAGAGAGGATGTGAATGCCCAAGACAATAGGAAAAATGTCTGATGAGGGTGACCCCTTTCTTTAAGAAATGATGGGATCTGGATGGGAAATGTGCATCTTTGGAGTTGTTTCAACTTGAACTAATTTCGAGAGAATATGCATTTATCAACGAGGACTTTTTAAAGTGTTTATTTATTTAGAGACAGAGTCTCACTCTGTTGCCCAGGCTGGAGTGCAGTGGCATTATCATAGCTGACTGTAACCTCAAAATACTTGGCTCAAGTGATCCTCTCTCCTCAGCCTTCCAAGTAGTCAGGGCTACAGGTGCACTAACATGCTCAGCTATTTTTTTTCTTTTTCTTTTTTTTGTAGAGATGGGGGTCTCAGTATGTTGCCCAGGCTGATCTTGAACTCCTGGCCTTAAGTGATGTTCCCGTGTTGGTCTTCCAAAGTGTTGGGATTATTGGCATGAGCCAAGGATCATGGACCAATGAGTACTTTTTATAGTGATGAATAATAATATTACTTCCTTTGAACATTTATAGTAAATTAGCTGATACATTAATCAGGTGATAATTGCATTTTGGTACAGTCAGAAACTCAATAAACATTATTGAAAACTGATAATTACTAATTATAACAATAATACTAGATCCTAGATGTTGAGATTCATCATGAATATTATGGAGCCTATTTGGTAACAAGCAAGAAAAAAATTGAAAGTGTAAGTTCAGTTGTAGCGGAAGATAAACTACTCATTAAAATAAATATAAATGTGTGGCAGATTTGATAAAGCAGTAAAGATGATTTTTGGCCACTAGAGGGAGCTCATACTTTAAAAACTGTTTGGAGCATCCATCGTGTTTCAAGGACCACCGCAGGTTTTAAAGATCAGTCATGATTTGCCCTCAATTGTTTTTGGAGGCTTCTTACACGCTAACATACCACAGGGATGGGTAAATAACAAAAATTGTAAGTCAATGTGACTATTTCAGAACGGGCTATAAATGTTCAAAAAAATAATCTCTGATCATACTTATTTAAAGTTAGGGATTTAATTTACTCTTCTCCCCCTAAAGTATTTCTTTGAAAAGGTATTTTCTTTGAAAAGCCACATTTCTCCCAAAAGTAAAATCTGTGGAATTATTTGTTTTCACTTATTCAGGGAATAGGAGAATTTGGGTTATAATTTTGTCCTTATGTGTATTTCACACTCTTATCTACCTCTGGAATGTCTCTTATGCCTCCTCCCTTTAACCTCAGTCCCATGGCCAGCCTTATTCACGGGCTCATTGCTTCTCCCCTGGCCTGTCATGATAGTTTCTTCACTGGTCTCCCCATCCTTCCTGACCACCCCGTCTAGTGTCTCCCAAATGCAATTGCCTTTTACGTCCATTATTTTCAGAACAATATTTTCATGAAACATATTTTTGATCACATTCTTTTCTGCTCAAAACTTCTTAGTAGCTCCCTACTTCTACAAAACAAAAAAACAAGCCCACAAACTTCTACTTGGCATTTAAGGTCCAATTCATTTATTTTATTTTATTTTATTTTATTTTATTTTATTTTATTTTTTGAGACAGAGTCTCGCTCTGTCGCCCAGGCTGGAGTGCAGTGGTGCGATGTCGGCTCACTGCAAACTCTGCCTCCCGGGTTCACGCCATTCTCCTCCCTCAGCCTCCCGAGTAGCTGGGACTACAGGCGCCCACCACTACACCCAGCTAATTATTTTTCTTTCTTTTTTTTTTTTTTTTGTATTTTTAGTAGAGACAGGGTTTCACTGCGTTAGCCAGGATGGTCTCGATCTCCTGACCTCATGATCCACCCGTCTTGGCCTCCCAAAGTGCTGGGATTACAGGCGTGAGCCACCGCGCCCGGCCTCAAGGTCCAATTCAATGCTACCTCCTTTTCAGGCCCACTGGCTTCAGGCTGGAATAATTCTGTCCCTCTCTTTTCTGAGTTCTCATGGTAGCTATTTTCTGTACAGACCTTGTGGCATACCTCCTTACTGCTTTATTTTATAGTTGCTTATGAGCATGTCTTATATCACCTCTATGGCCAACTTCCTTAAAGCATGCCTACTTGCTTGGAAACCAGAGAGGAAGCTTTGCTTCAGCAAGGAAATGATGTTGAAGGCCAATTTAAGAGATCCAGATTTGGGAGAAATTCTGATGCGGAATTGATAGAACTGGATGTTCTGGCTGCATAACAAGCCACCGCAAAATTTAGGAGCTTCAGATGAAAGCTTATTATTATCTCTGAAGCTTCTAAGGGTTGACTAGACTCAGGTGGTTCTCACTTTGAGTTTCAAGTGTGATTGCAGTCGGATGGTGGTTGGACTGGGGTCCTGTGAATGCTCAACCAAGCTCAACATCCAACACGGTTTCTTCACTTACATGTCTGGACCCCTGGGCTGGGATGGCCAAAATCTCTACAGTTTGGCCAAATATCTTGCTTTCTCCACATGTTCCCTCCATGTGGCTAGCTTGGGCTTCCTCAGTGCATGGTGGTCTCAGGTTAGATGTCTTATATGGTGGCTGACTTTCCCTAGAATAAGGAGGGAAAGAGCCCTATTCCCTAGAATAAGGGCCTTTCAAAAGGCCCGGGTAGAAGCGGCAAGGTTTCCTATGCCTTAACCTTGGAAATCCCACAGCATCACTTCCTCCAAGTGCAGCCCAGACCCAGTGTGGGAGGAGACTGCACAGGAGCATGGGTGCTAGAAAGGGTGGTTCCTCAGGAGGCCATCTCTGAAGCATGGCTACCTCGCATGCTAACATTTTCAATGGGAAAAACATCCTGCTCTGAGGAACGGAAGGGATAAGCTGAAGACACACCAATCAGAAGAATGGGAGAAGATCAGGGTGATACAAACTTAGTTTCAAGAGAAAAAAAGGTGGTCAGTCACTACTATTTAACATGTCTGCAGACCTTTTTACACTATTCTCACCGAGAGATGGGGCTATGTTTCCTCCCCTTGAAACTGGGCAGGCTTTTCTGAACGTTTTATCCAGTAGAGTATAACAGAATTCATGCTATGCAGCTTCTAAGATAAGGTCAAAACAGGGGATGCAGTTTCTACCATGCTTTCTGGAATATTTGTTCTTGAAACCTTCAGCTACTATGTGAGCAATCTGATTTTTCTGAGGCTGCCATGTTGTGAGAAGCCCAAATTAGTCCATGTAAAGACCACATGGAGAGGTTTTGAGACTACATGGAGAGATGCACAGCCAACCCTTTCCCAAAACCCTGACCCACAGAGGCTGTGAGAGATAGCATGACTGTAGCTGTTTTAAGCTGCTATGTTTTGGGGTGGTTTTGTTGTTGTATTTTGTTTTTAAAAGTCAGGGTCTCCTCTCCCTCTGTTACCCAGGTTTGAGTGCAGTGGTGCAATCATAGCTCACTGCAGCCTCAAACTCCTGGACTCAATTAATCCTCAGGCCTCAGTCTCCCAGGTTGCTAGGACTACATGTATGCACCACCACAGTTGGCTAATTTTTTTAGTTTTTAATTTTTTTGTAGAGAGGGGTTCTCGCTATTTTGCCCAAGCTGGTCTCAAACTCCTGGGCTCCAGTAAGCCTCTCACCTCGGCCTCCCAAAGTGTAAGCTACTATGTTTTGGAATGACTTTTCAGGCTGCAAAGTATAACTGGAACAGGTGAAGACTGAAAAAACCTTATATACAATGACTACGTGATTGTCTTCCTGTCCTTCTTTCTGTCTTTGCTTTTAACAAGACAGAAGCTTCTTATGATGCAGGTGTCATTCCCCACCTGCCTCCTTCTAGACAGGGGCTGGGGCCCTCCACATGAGGCCTGCTGTCCGTAGCCCCTCCACGTGAGGCCTGCTGTCCCTGGGCCCTCCACATGAGGCCTGCTGTCCCTGGGTCCTCCATGTGAGACCTGCTGTCCCTGGGTCCTCCACGTGAGGCCTGCTGTCCTTGGGTCCTCCACGTGAGACCTGCTGTCCCTGGGTCCTCCGTGAGGCCTGCTGTCCTTGGGCCCTCCATGTGAGGCCTTCTGTCCCTGGTCCTGTGGCTGCATCTTCCGGTGGATGCAACCACGGCCACATATCCATCTCATCTCTACCACATCTGAGTCACAGTTTCTAGACCAGAAAACTCTTGCTAACGTTTAGGATTTAGACAGCATCTCTTTGCTTCTCTTTTCCCAATTTTAGACTTCCCTTGTAAGGAATGAAAACCATTATAATTCTGAGAAACCTAGGCCAGACAAAGCCTCATGGCCATTTTCCTCAGCTCATAGTGCCCTACTAGGCCAGGGGCAAGGTCACTCTCCCCGCAATCCACCCATCCTGCTCCAAGTCAGGAGCCCTCACAGAGTTTCTCAGCTTCCCACTAGTAGGTCTTTGTTCATCGCATTCTCCCACATTGAAGCAAATTGGAGCTACCTTCTTTTTTCCCTCCTCTTGGGAGTTGCTTTATTTTGGGTTTCTTTGTACAAATTGTTGCCATAGCCCTTGATGGGAAGGATCAAGATGGATCCTCTCATCCTTCCCCTTACTGAGCAGAAGTGTCTGACCCTCTGGCCTTCTATGAACCATTGGGACCCACACACAACATGTCAGATCCAAAGAGCACTGGCCTCCGAACATGGAAGTAGGTGGGCAACTGAAGGAAAGGTGAATAGTGAGAACAGGGGAGGGGAGGACAAACGGAAGAAGGGAAGGGCCGGGAGATAAGACATTGACATGTGCAGTGAGCTTAGCTGGGCATGGTGGTGTGAGACTGTAGTCACAACTCCTTGGGAGGCTGAGAGGAGAGGGTCGCTTGAGCCCAGGAGTTCACATCTATCCTGGGCAACATAACGAGACCCTATCTTTTAGAGAGAGAGAGAGAGAGAGACCAGAAGTCCTGGACATAGCCAGGCTGTGGGCAGCCCACGGATGAGGTGAGATGTCAATGTGATCACCCCTGGAAGTGAGAAGGAAGGTACGGTGGGGTTATTGAATACACTGTGTCATTCAATTACTGTCATCGTTTGGATTTTATATGGGATGGGGGCTGGGAATTCCTGGTCTACTTGTGCTGGAGAGATGTTTAGGCTTTCTCAGATGGTTAATAGAGGGCACCAGCAGTTGTTTGGTGGCATTGGAGGAGCAGCTTTTTGTATCCCAAATGACCCTTTTCAGATAAAATTGAAGCTGGATTGAGACTTCGGGAGGATAAGTATAAAGTTGTAAGTGGGTGGGATAGAGAACAGCCATGCGAATGTCAAATCTCCTGTCTTTTCACTCCTGTCTTAGGCCGAATGTGAGGTGCCCCGTTCTTTCCTTTGGTGGAGCCTTTGAAGATTTTTCTTTTCTTTAAAGCTCACTTAGCAGTTAAAGACTTGAGATGGGCTGTAAAGCTGTGAAAAGCCTGGGAGGAAATGGTGTTGACATGAAGGGGTAAAGCCAAGCTTGGAGGGGTGCCAGTGGCAGGGACCCACACTAATTCCTCTTGTTCTTATGCCCTTCTAAATATGTCTCTGAAGCACAGGAGAACATTCCTAGGGAAAAACAACGTCCACTCACCTCATTCCAAGAAAATCTGTAACAACGTCCAATTGTCTTTGAGAGGAAAGAAGATGACATTGGGAGACACAGCATCTAGAGGAAAAGCGAGAACCACTGGTCTTCCTTTCAGACTTCACAGTGGGATCTTGGCGCCTCGGATAAACAAAGGCACTGGCAGGAAGGAAAGCGAAAATCAGAGGAGAGGTCTGGCAGGCCACAGCCAGAGCAGAGGCAGTGGGTGAGAAAACCCTGGGTTTGAGGACCCTGGTTCTCTTCCCTAACAGCCTTTGGGTCCCTCTTTCTGAAACAAGGCTTGAGAGCATGTCCTCTGGCCTGGGGGACTTGGGTGAGTCTGAGGCACCCCAGGTAGCAACGATGGCAGGTTTTGCACTTGAGCTGGGGAGAAAGCCAGTGGTGCTGAAAGCAATGGAGATTGAGGTACAGAGATCTTCCTGCCGAACCCATTCCCAGGCTTTCTGCCTTTCTAGGAATGGAGAGAGAGAGAGAATGCCTTGGCTGGTTTCCTGAAATCCAGTTCATGGAGCCACAGCCCCAGTGAGTGCTCACTCAAGAAACAAAGGCTCAAGAGAGGACAGGCACCAGCTAGGAAACTCCACTCCGAAAGGGATCAGCTGTTGCACTCACAGGCACACTGCTTTGGTCCAGGAAGTCAGTAAAAGGCAAACAGGATCCCAGCGAGGTCATTTGTTTTGGAGAAGACAGAGGGAGGAGGAGGGAGGGGCAGCCGTGTGAACGTGCAGTTATGTCAGGGCCTCCCCAGATCCCTGGAACGTCCTGCCTGAGCACAACAGGGAAAACCTCCCCCTGCTCACTAGCCCTCGGGAAGTACAGTTCTCACTGAATGTCTGTCAGCATAATTAAAAAATGAACACCCTTCCAATCGCAAGATCAACGCCAAGGGTTACCTTCCTGGGGAGCTGTCCAGGGGGAGCATGGTTTCCTAAGAAAACTTTTGTGATCTGTGTAGAATATTTTTGCCCCTATTTTTTTTTTTTTCTTCTGAGACAAGATCTGGCTTTGTTTCTATCAGGACATGTTTGGATGTTCTTCCAGAAAGTCTACTGGTAAGAGAGCTCAGTTGGTCTTCTAGGAGAGATAATTGTTGACATATCAGGGGCCAAAGGCTCATCTCTTCATTCCCTGCACTTGGGGAAGAGGTGGCATCATTTCACCCTTAGAGCACAGGATAAATATTATGATTATTCAAGCAAAAAGACATTCTACTGGCTACTTTTGATTTAGCATTACAGTTTCTAATTTATCCCAAAGATGCACTGACAGAAATGGAAAGATGTATTCACAAGGCCACCTATCACAGCACAATTTGTGTATTAGAAAAAACTCAAATGTCCATCAATAGGGGACCCTCAACTATGGTACATTCACACAATGCAGTAGTACACAGCTGTAAAAAAAAGAAGAAGAATATCTCTACATGCAAGTATGAAAAGATTTCCAAAATATATAGTTGATAAATATTAAGATATAATCGTTAAAACTCAAAACAAAATGAAAAAAGTCAAACCTAACTAGATATTGAGTTGGTGGCACATCCTCTTGGGAGAAAGTATTTCAAGTGACATTAAAACCTGGGAATTGACTGTAGACCTCAAGTGGGATATACCCTTAGAACAAAAGGAACTGCAAAAACACACACACACACACACACACAGACACAAACTTCAAATGTTTCCAGTAATTACATCGTCATGGAAAGTTTTCCTATTATTATTCTGAGACTATTGTATATGTTTCCCAGTATAAAACAAGTGAGTAATATGTAGGTGTTGTTGGGAACCAGAAATTTAGGTTGAAAAGAGATGTAAATTTAAGTGGGGTCAAATAAAAGCCCTATAGTCCTGAATCAGACTTTGAATTGGAAACATTCAATTATAAATATGATGTTTTATCTACATTATCTATCTATCTATCTATCTATCTATCTATCTATCTATCTATCTATCTATCTACAGATCCATTCATTAACCTACCCCTAATCTCCTAGCTTTGTTCCCTGAAAAGGCCTAGAAACAAAGAACAACCTGTTAGCAATGATCATCCCTAACACACAGATAATGCTCCCCTACGAGTCGGGGCTCCTTAGAGAAATACCGAGCTGCAGGTCTTAGTGAAAGATGTGCAAGATGCACCTTTAACACGTGGTCCTACCTGAAAACAAGTATACTGTTGAAGACTACCATGGTTGTGTCACAAAGAGTCAAGAGCCAATTTTCAGGGATTCCCATTTGAATATCGGAAATAATAACTGCAATAAGTTAAAGCACATCAATTAAATGTAAATTTATGGGTTTATAATGAGTTTATAAAAAAAGAAGTTCCCTGGGACATGATATCCGTGTGTCAGTGACAAATCGCAATGATAAGTCCAGAGTAATAGTGTGACCACAGCAATACCAGCAGTAAGGCAGCAGAGCAGGATTCAGGGATTGACACTGGTGTAGCTGTGGCAACAGGAGCCTGAAGGCCTTGAGGAGAATGGGTGCATGATGCTGGGGCCTGGCCAGTGGACAGGAAGGCCGAGAAGGGCACAAGTGGGACTGAGGTCCAGGGAAGACCGATGGAGACTGCAATCTACAGGGAGGTCTCACTATTACATTCACCTCCACGTTGTTGCCTTCCTGGTGCTATGACCCAGGAAATTTTATGTTAGCATTAAGGAAATTGAAGTCTGTCACCCCGAGAATCTCATATTACTGTAGAAAAATCTAAACTCAGAGTTTTATTATTAAAATCAATCAATTTTATTAGAAACCAAAATGTTTTTCTGCTCTTTTATTTCAAGTAGGAAATTTGTTTGAAAACTAAGATCCTCTGCAGCCATCTCACTGGGATTCGTATCTGCAAGAGGGTTTTCTCTTGTAATTTAAACTCTCCACAGTCCACCAATAATTCCTCTTGCTCCTGCTCTCCAAGAGCTAAGTAAGTGACTCATTTCAGTTTGGCTTTAAATTTTCTGTATCAGGTCCTTCTGTGGGGGTGTGCCTGAGCAATGATTGAGGCTAAGCTTGCTTGGCTCAGGAGGCCTGATGTTTTTCCTGACTGAGGTGCCGTGATTGAATTTATGTATTTTTATGACTGTAGGCTTATTTCCTGGTTTTTCAGGTTTAAAAAGTACATTTGAAATAATAAGCTTCCTTGTTTTCTTTTGATTGAATCTATGGTGGTAATAAAAAAGTAAAGAACAGCTGTGCGGAGAGGTAACAATGACTCCATAACTTCTAGCCAACTTTGGATAACAACAAAGGCCTACAATGCAAGAGAATGGAGATATTCCTTGGGATAAACATTCTGGAAAAACCTAACCCTAACCTTTATGGTTTCCGTAATGTTCTTATTTGTAAGAGAGAAGTGATCCACAGAGTTTAAAGCCTGGAGACCCAGGAGCCGGGGGAAGCAATTTGGTAGATTTTCCTCTTACTACCCGGTCTGATGTACTGGTAAATCTAAAACCCATCATTTCTCTCTTATCTTCCTCTGTCCACGTTACACTGCTTTGATCCCCCAATGCAAGTGAACCTTTCAACTGCTGGCCTCCCCTCAGACCCAAAGCAGAAAGGGGTTGAACATTGACTAAAGGATTTAGATTCCTTATCTTAGGTTGGGAGATGCAAAGTGCATAAAAACGGACAGTTTTGTTATTTGATATAAATACCCAATTTGACCTATATCTAGTGGTGGGCTTTATGTTATACTGCCACGTGAGTCTTAAAAACAAGGTTCTGGAATGTCATTCTGGCTTGCATGTTTGATTCTATGAAAGGTGTTTGGGAACTGAAATTCTACCTCATTTTCCCCACTAAATTTGCATAGTTATACATAATTTTCTAAAATTGTGCAGGGCCAATTTCTGATGCCTGCACATGGTTCATATTTATACAAGGACTCAGGAGATTGCTGAAACGGCTGTACCCTGGGAAAGCTTTATAGGATAGATGATTTATGAGAATTGGTTGAAGAAGGAAAAGGGTAGGCTGGTGGAAAGGAGAGGCCAGGGAAACGTTTGGAGGGGAGTAAAAGGCTTGGAATCACCAGAATAATGTCAAGCGATGTGGAGGGATAAGAGGAATTTACTGGCTGGAACAGAGAAATCCAACTTATGTAGGTGGGCAAAGGGATGCTGTGGAAATAGCCATTGGTAACTAGCTTTATTTAACTAAGCATAATTAGAAACTTAAATTTAAAGTAGTGGAAAACTGGTAACTTGGATTTGTTGAATGATTGAGTGGTAGCCGTTGGTAAGTTTCTGAGTGGGGATATATGTTTCAGAGTGGTGAATTATGTCATTAAAAAATATATGAGGGCTAGGTGCACTGACCCATGACTGTAACCCCCAAATTTTGGGTAGCCAAGGCAGGAGGATTCTTGAGGCCAAGAGTTTGAGACCAGCCTGGGCAACATAGGGAGACTGCATCTCTACAAAAGATTAAAAATGAGCAGGGTGTGGTGGTACACACCCTGTAGCCCCAGCTACTGGGGAGGCTGAAGTGGGAGGATGGCTTGAACCTGGGAAGTCAAGGCTGCAGTGAGCTGTGATCATGCCACTGTACTCCAGCCTGGGTGACAGAGCGAGACCCTGCCTCCAAACAAACAAACAAACAAACAAACAAACAAACAAAGAGAAAAGAAAAGAAAAAAGGGATATGAGAAAGTTCTTTCTTAGTCTCGATAAGGGAATCTGGAAGAAAGGCATCTAGAGAAGGCTGAGGAATCTACAATGAAGTCCAAAGGGCCTTGAGTCAGGTCAGTAGTTAAGTCAAGGGCTCAAAGTGTATGTAGGAAAAAGAAGTATTGTGAGAGGGCAGCTCCAGGGCTAGGTTTGAGGCAGAAGAAAGTTTTTGGTTGAGGGGAAACCCAAGATAAAAAGTTAGGAAAATGTGAAGAACATAATGCCACTTCTAACAATGAAGCAAATGAGAAGAAAGAGGGATTGCTGCAGTAGAAAGAGTGATTGCTGTGAGTAGAACATGGCATGCAACAGCTTTTTGAAAGGTAAAAATTAGCAGAGAGTTCTGGTGCATAAAACATTTTGCAGATGCCTGAAGATTATTTTTAAGTTTTATTGGGATGGTGTAAAAGAGTTTTCAGAAGGATATTTATTTTGGTCTTTGCCTTACCGATGGCAGTTTGGGTTCTTCCAGTGGCGTTGGGGAGGCACAGTAGGAGACCTGCAAGGAGTGCACCATGCGGGCACTGAGGCACATCCACCAAAGTAGAAGAAACTGGGAAAGCAGGCCAGGTAGAACAGAGGGAATAAACCACACCAGGAGGTTTAGATTTTACTCAACAACTAATGGAGGAATTGCTGCAGAAATTGCTAAGATGAAGACAATTGATGCTTTTTTAATCCAGAGAATGAATGGCATGGTCAACTGTACATGTTAGAAAAATCCAACTGGCAGCAGTAAGGACGACAGACTCAAGGCGAGGAGACCCTACAAGTGAGACCGTCACCTAGAAAGGAGTTATTTAAAGAAGGACCAGAAGTCCCATTTACTAGAAAATGTTAGTTATGAAGATGCCAAGATGAGGACAGTTCAACAACATGGGCTAAATTCCCATGACATTTAGACTTAATGCCATGGCATCTATTGTACAGCTAGAATACTGAGGGTTTTGAAACAGCTAGGGGTTAATTTGCTGCAGAAATTGCCAAGATGAAGGCAGGAAAGCATTTGAGTGAGCAGAACCTTAAATGAGAAAAAGATAAAGAGTATTCTGGTTAAGACATAAATTACAAAAACTGCCTGTATCAGTCAGGGTTCAGCCAGAGAGGCAGAATCAATAAGATACATATGTTTATAGGAATGGATTTGACTTAAACATGCATGAGGGCTGGCTAAGCAAGCCCAGAGTCCATAGAGCAGGCAGCTGGGAAGGGAAGGTCATAAGCTAGCTGGAATCCCATGAGCTTGAGCTGAAGCTTGGAGTCTCTGAACTTTAGGAAGAGTCTAGTTGCTCCTTAAAAGGGCTTTGGCTTGACTAAATCAGGCCCAACCAGTATGATGCCCCTTTTTTATTAGCTCAAAATAAACTGACTTGGGACTTTAATTATGTCTATACAATCTCTGCTCAGCAGCACCTAGATTAGCATTTGGCAAAACAATTGGGATAAGGTGTGGATAGTCCACAAAATGGCCACTGCCCCCATCCATCCTCCAACTCTGAAGAGAGAATATCCTTGTGGTCCACCCTATCCAGAAACATGCTAGAGAGGGAATTCTGGGGGGTACAGTCCAAGCCATAACACTGTCATTCTAAGACAAATTTTCAGGTGGAGGATACAATTCTTAAGATTCTGAAAGTTGAAAATACAAATTATATTCTGTCTTTAATAGTCATAAGGTATAAGTTTCTCCATGAAGTATTGCAGGACTTTATTACTATTAAATGAGAATGTCTTATTTCAGAAACCATTCACATTTTAGTTATATTTTATTTTGTATTAAGTAATATACACATTTAATTTAACAAAGTAGAATATACATTTATAATTTAAATAAAAGATATTCATAAATAGGACCAAACTTACAATCAGGACACTAATTTTATAAGGAAAAGTCAAAGGACCTCTGTTTTCATCCATGGCTTAGCTTCTAATTAGCTTAGTCTCCTTGGCCAAATCAGATCTGAGTTTTCTCATGAGTAATATGAGGTAGCTGACTAGACTCACTCCAAGATCTTTCAAGATCTAGAAGTCTGTTGGCAGCATTCGCAAAACAAATGATAAATTATTTCTTAAAATTTGTCTCTTCTTAAAAACTGTCTATATGACATTATTGACTACTTACATGCAAATTCACTCAAATGATTCAATATCTCCTGCAAAATTAGCAAAAGTTTCTATTGTTTTTTATATTCATTACTTTCTAGAAATCTGTATTTTATCATGGACCATTGACCTCCTTCAAGCAAATCCTCTTAGGCAAGCTTCAGAATGCGTCAGCCTTCACTGGATGGAAAATTTGAACTGCAGTGGGCTCCCTATACCAAGGTTGAACTGACAGGCTGGTTGTGGTGGCTGACGCCAGTAATCCCAACACTTTATTTGGGAGGCCAAGGTGGGCAGATTGCTTGAGCCCAGAAGTTCAAGACCAGCCTGGGCACATGCAAAACCTCATCTGTACAAAAAAAAAAAAAAAAAAAAAAAAAAAGAAAGAAAAATTAGCCAGATGTGGTGGCACACACTTGTAGGTGGAATTAAAGCTGTAAAACTACATTCTTCAAATGGAGCCCCAGATGCAGTCCATGACTAAGATCTACCACAGACCACTGGACCGGCCTGCTAGCCCATGCTCCAATGTTAATGACATCGAAGGCACCCCTCCCGAGGAAATCTCAACTGCAAAACCCCTACTACACCCCAATTCAGCAGGAAGCAGTTAGAGCAGTCGTCGGCCAACCTCCCCAACAGCACTTGGGTTTTCCTGTTGAGATGGGGGACTGAGAGACAGGATGAGCTGGATTTCCTAGGCTGACTAGGAATCCCTAAGCCTAGCTGGGAAGGTGACTGCTTCCACCTTTAAACATGGGGCTTGCAACTTAGCTCACATCTGACCAATCAGGTAGTAAAGAGAGCTCACTAAAATGCTAATTAGACAAAAACAGGAGGTAAAGAAATAGCCAATAATCTATTGCCTGAGAGCATAGTGGGAGGGACAATGATGGGGATATAAACCCAGGCATTCAAGCTGGCAATGGCTACCCTCTTTGAGTCCCCTCCCTTTGTATGGGAGCTCTGTCTTCACCCTATTAAATCTTGCAACTGCAAAAAAAAAAAAAAAAAGAAAGAAAATGAGGCTTCTGAGTGATGGTGGAGAACAGTGGCTGGAAGAATAGAACATCTACATGTATCAGTGATTTCTTCTGCATTCTCTATATCTCCCTGGAGCCCTTCTGATATGAATTAATCTCTCTCCCTCCCTCTCTCTCTCTCTCTCCCTCACTCTCTCTCCTCTCTGGCACAGTTTTTTTGTTCCAAGAATTTAAGTTACTATTCCCTCATCTTTTAGAAATGTAAAGTGGTACCTGGTGAGGCCTGTTCTGCATCCTAGAAGGAAGCAAGCAGCACACTGCATCTTAGAAGGAAGCAAGCAGCACACTGCTTCCCACTGTGACCCACAGCAGGTCATTTAGGCCATGCTCCCCATCTGACATTTGTACCTGGAGTAGTTGTTGTGTCTTCATGTGACAGGCAGGGCCAAACCAGGCCACTATCTTTGCTGAGAGCTTCTTCTTGGCAGACTACAGTATAAACACTTGGGGAAAAGGCAGTTGTAAAAGAGGAGAGGAAAGGAGGGGAAGGTGTGTGGAGCAGTCACAGTTCTGAGTTGGAATCCTCCAGGGAGGATCACCCTTAAATCATAGTGCATCAGCCTACAAGTGTGAGACCTAACAGAGCCAAGGTGGGGGGTACATGGAAAAAACAGGGATGGAAGGAGGTAGAGACAGTGCCCAGCATGATGCAGGAGGGCTGGGGTCCTTGAAGGCAGCCAGCCAGCTTGCTTTGCTCACCTGTTTTTCTGCATGGACCTTTGGATTATTTTAACACCAGATAGTACAACACATCCTCTTTTCCTGCTCCCTGAGCTTCCAGGGCAGCTCAATAGTTCAAACAGAGATTGGGAGCTTTGGCTTTGGAAGCCAAAGCAGTCATTTCTCTGAATGTCATTGTCTCTAGATTCCCTTTTCTACTTGAAGAGAGCTTGGCTGGTGTCTCTACCCTGAAGAGTTCTCTACCTGGATTATAGGCTCTCTTGCCATGGTTAGAAGCCCCCAAATTACAGAGGGGTTCATTATTAGTGAAATTGAGGCCCAGAGGGAGGCCAGGAGGACACTTACCAGGATGAGCTCTGTGATCATGGGAAATAGGGATTACATTGTCACTTTTACAGAAGAGGAGAGGGAGGCTTGCAGCTTAAGTGGCTCGCCCAGAACAAAGCTAGTAGGAGCTGCAGCCAGAATTTAAAACCAGGGCTGAGTTCAAGACAACACACTTTGCCTCCAACTCCAAACGTCTGCTTGTTCACTGTTACCTGTCACTTTGCCTTGTCCTTCCCCCCAGTGCACATGCATGAGCACAGATGCACACACCCCTACAGGGAAAGACTCGGCCTTCAACTTCCCTGATAAAGTTAAATGACCCTTCAGTTCGTCTCCACACCTCCAAATTTCTGAATGTCCTCATTCTTTTATTCTTCCTTTCTTTCTATTTAAAAGATGAAGTGTATTTCAGTCTTATTACATCATCCTTTTTAAGGTTAGACCTGTTCCCTTGGTGCCCCACAACTTCTCCAAGATCTGGCTTTACTTATTAATCTTCTTTCTGGCACCTTCATTTCTCCCCTGTCCACTCATCCTTCCTCTTAGAACTCTAAATATGATAAAAAATATCTTCTTAAACACCAAGATAGCATTCCTATAACCACACTGCCCCCTCAAGCATCTGCCCTGTCCTTCCTATCACCAAACATCTTGAAAGAATAGTTTGTACTGACTTCCTGTCACCCACTCTGGCCTTTCCAATGAGGTCTCTGCCTCTGTGCTGTAGGTTTTTTTCCTAACAGCTGGGTTAATTCCATCTGTTATATTCAGTGGCTTCTTGCCTTCCTCTGACCAAAAGTTTTATGTTAAACTCTGTTTTCATTTTGCATTGTCTTCCTCGACAATTTCACCCTTTCCTAAGGCTTCTAACATTATCTCTATTTCTATAATTGCCAAATCATATCATCATCCCTGAATTCTCTTCATAGAACATAGGCATGACTCACGGACTGCCAAAATGAAAAAATGTATAAAACCCTGAAATGAAAGTGGAGGCAGATGGTCCTAGATGATAGATGGCAGGTATGATTAAAGCTGCCGGGGATGACAGAAGTATGGAGGGATCCCAAGCCCTTCCTCCCCAGGTCAGCTTTTCCCAGCTTTATATTATCTGCCAAGACACTCATGCTGCGCTCACATATTCTTTTCTCATCAAGACTATCCTTTCCTCTATTCCATCATGTTCTTCCTCAATTCTGAGTTCAGATAACTCTTAGACACAATTCTCAATATTCTTGGCCTTGCCTCTTGTTCTAGCACTGTTTATAACATCCATTTCCACAAAGGCTTGGACTGACTTCAGGTAAGAGCAGGAAAACCCAGTGCCACTACCTGGGATGACTGTGGGGGAATGGCCAGCACAGTGCTAGGGCAAAGTGTGAATGACAGAATGCCCTGTGGGACAGTTGTTGACCCACGGAGGATGGAAGGTGATGGATAAATTCTTCCCTTGTCTTCTTATTTAGTAAGTCTTCTCAGAAGATTCCTGTAGAATTGAGCCTCCACAATGGTGGCTACCTGATAAAGCATCTTTGTCCTGGCTTCCTGCTTATTCCCTTTTGCATTTTCTCATTCCTCATTCCTACTCCCTGCAATCACATTACCAAATAAACTACTGTCAAATGACAAAATTACAACAAATTTACTTATAAATCATATGGGCTTTCATTTGTGATTCATGAATCCAGTCAGCTTCCATTCTAAAAAATAGGATGAGAGTTCCCACTGGGCAATGACAAAATACTCGGTTAGGCAGAAACAAGGAAACAGAATAATGAGGGGAAAAAAAGCTGATTGGTTAACATCGGGTTACTTCAGGCTACTTTTTTTGGTGAAGGTTAAAGCATAGGGAACTTCCCAATTACACTGACTCAGCAAGACTGGAATCTCCTGTTTTCAGGAAAAACTGATCTGTTTGGGGATCTGTCTGCTTCCTTAAAGTTTCCGTTCAACTGTGTGGCATTTGGTTTGTTCTGTACAACTGGGGCCTCATGGAGGAGCTCAGTAGAAAACAGTGGCTTCCCACAATTTTTGTTTGACATCGCCCACATGTAAGTCTTTCTTTCAGGCTCCACTTTGGGGAAATCCAAGCTAAGATTTGGAAAAACAGTTAATTATATTATGTAGCCTGTAAGATATGTTATGATAAATATGTATTACAGTGAAAACACAAAGGAAAGCACCAAAACTATACATAGGAATTGGGGAACTCTTCCCAGAGGAAGTGATGTCCACTTGACAGTAAAGGGTAAATAGCCAGAGGGAGTGGGAGGAAAATATTGGGGGCTGGGAGAGCAAACTTACAAGACAGAAAAGGATGTGTAAAGGCCTGGAGGTGATAAAGAATATGACACACTTTTATTAATGGTGGGTGTCACAATAGTCCCAGTAACCCAGGCTCAAAATCCCCTTGTGACCCTTGATTTTTCCTCCACCCAGGACCTTGACTCCTGATAATCACAAGGTTCCACTGGTGCTGCCTCCTCCACATTCGTTCCACTACGTTTCCTTCTTAGGGTGAAATCCTCGGTTCAGGCCCTCCTCCCTCCCTGTTGGCCATTGCTACAGCCTCCTAACTAGGATCTCATGCTCCTCCACCAATTCATACTGCACTCTGCAGTCAGAACAATGTTCTCAAAACTCTGAACCACCTCTTTCCTATTTGAACACCTCCAGTAGTTCACCCAGTTATGACTGCTTTCCCCTCAAGTTTACTTTATTGCTAAAAAATGCTAATAATTATCTGAGCCTTTGGCAAGTTGTAACCTTTTTCTAGTGGAGAGTCTTGTCTTGATGTTGCTGGCTGCTGATCAGCGTGGCAGTGGCTGAAAGTTGGAGTGGCTGTGGCAATTTCTTAAAACAAGAAAATGAGGCTTGCCTCATCAATTGACTCTTCCTTCCACAAAAGAGTTCTCTGTAGCATGCAATGCTGTTTGATAGCATTTGCCCACAATAGATTTTTTTCAGAATTGGAGTCAGTCCTCTCAAACCTTGCTGCTGCTTAATAACTAAATTTATGTAGTATTCTAAATCCTTGGTTATCATTTCAACAGTGTTCATAGCATCTTCACCAGGAGTAGATTCCACCTCAATAAATAATGTTATTTGCTCACCCATAAGAAACAACTTCTCCTCCATTTAAGTTTGATCATAAGATTGCAGCAATTCAGTTACATCTTCACATCTTCATCTTCACTTCTAATTTTAATTTTCCAGCTATTTCCAACTCAATCTGTAGTTACTTCCTCCACTGAAGTCTTGAACCCCTCAACATCATCCACGAGGACTGAAATCAACTTCTTTCAAACTTCTGTTAATGTCAATATTTTAATCTGAATCTAATGGCATCTAGAATGGTGAATCATTTCCAGAAGGTTTTCAGTTTAATTTGTTTATCAGAAGAATCACTATCTATGACAGCTATAGACTTATGAAATGAATTCTTAAATAATAAAATTTGAAAGTCAAAATTACTCCTCAATCTATGGGTTTCAGAATGAATGTTGTGTTAGCAGGAATGAAAACAACATTCATCCCCTTGTATATCTCCATCAAAGCTCTTGGGTGACTAGGTGCATTGTCAATGAACAGTAATCTTTTGAAAGGAATTTTTTTTTTCTTCTGAGCAGTAGATCTCAAAAATGGACTTAAAACATTCAGTAGACAATGCTGTAAACTGATGTGCTGTCATCTAGGCTTTGTTGTTCACTTACAGAGCACAAGCAGAGTAGATTTAGCATACTTTTTAAAGACCCTAGAATTTTTGGAATGATAAATGAGCACTAGCTTCAACTGAAAGTCACCAGCTGCATTTAGCCCCACCAGGAAAGTCAGCCTGTCCTTTGAATCTTTGAAGCCAGGCATTGACTTCCTCTCTCTAGTTATTAAGTCCTAGATGGCATCTTCTTACAATACAGTATAAGGTTGTTTTGTCTTCATTGAAAATCTGTTGTGTTCAACCTGAGAAAGCTGATTGAGTAAAAAAGAAGGAAATGTATTGTTTAGTGTAGTCACCTTCATCAGTGACCCTTGGATAACTTGCTGAAGCTTCTTTATCAGCACTTGCTGTTTCACCTTCTACTTTTATGTTATGGAAATGGCCTCTTTCCTTACACGTCACAAATCAACCTCTGCTAGCTTCAAATTTTTCTTCTGCAGCTTCCTCACCTTTTTTAACCTTTATAGCATTAAAGAGAGTTGGATTCTTCCTCTGGATTAGGCTTTGGCTTATGGGAGTGTTGTGTCTAGTTTGAACTTCCATCCAGACCACTAAACCTTTCTCTATATCAGCAATAAGGCTGTTTGGCTTTCTTTCTTTCTTTTTTTTCTTTTTTTGACAGAGTCTTGCTCTGTGACTCAGGCCGGAGTGCAGTGGCACAATGTTGGCTCACTGCAACCTCTGCCTCCCAGGTTCAAGTGATTCTCCTGCCACAGCCTCCCGAGTAGCTTGGACTACAGGTGTGCATCACCATGCCTGGCTAATTTTTATATTTTCAGTAGAGACAGGGTTTCACTGTCTCTACTAAAAATATGGAGTTTCACCATGTTGTCTAGGCTGGTCTCGAACTCCCGACCTCAAGTGTTCTCCCGCCTCGGCCTCCCAAAATGCTGGGATTACTGGTGTGAGCCACTGTGCCCAGCCTTTCTTTTCATTCTTGTGTTCATTTGAGTAACACTTGTAATTTCCTTCAAGAACTTGCCCTTTGAATTCACGGCTTTGCTATTTGGCGGAAGAGGCCTAGCTTTGGCCTATCTTAGCTTTGGACATGTCTTCCTCAATAAGCTTAATCATTTCTAGCTTTTGATTTAAAATGAGACACATAGAACTCTTCCTTTCACTTGAATACTTAGGGGCCACTATAGGGTTATTAACTAGCCTACTTTCAACAGTGTTGCATCTCAGGGAATGGGAAGTCTTGAGGAGAGGGAGAAAAATGGGGAACAAATGATCAGTGGAGCAGTCAGAACACAAAACATATATCGATTAAGTTAGCTGTCTTCTATGGGTGTGGTTTTTGGCACCCCAAAACAGTTACACTATAACAGCAAAGATCACTGATCACAGATCGCAGTAACATATATAATAATAATGAAAAATGTTTAAAAGATTGAGAGAATAATCAAAATGTGACACAGAGAAATAAAATGAGAACATGCTGTTGGAAAAATGGCTGTGATAGACTTACTCAATGCAGGGTTACCACAAACCTTGAATTAGTAAAAAACGCAGTATCTGAAAAGTGCAGTGAAACAAGATATGCCTGTATATATATGTGTGTACACAAAGACACACACACCCCACTTTTCTGCAGCTTGGATTTTCTCTAACAGTGTACCTTGGACATTGTTGTGTTTATTCTATTTTATTTTTATTTATTTACTTTTAGCGACAGGGTCTCACTCTGTCACCCAGGCTGGAGTGCAATGGTGTGATCAAGCTCATCTCCTAGGTTCAAGCGATCCTCTTGACTCAGCCTCCCGAGTAGCCAGGACTACAGGCATGTGTCACCATACCCACTAACTAAAACAATTTTTTTTGTGGAGACAGGGTCCTGCTACGTTGCTCAGGCTAGTCTCAAAACTCCTGGCCTCAAGGGATCCTCCCACCTCAGCCTCCCAAAGTGCTGGGATTATAGGCATGAGCCATGGTACCCAGCCTGTTTTTTCTTTTAAGCTATCTAAACAGCTTAATTTTATTGATATGCCATAGTTCGTAAACAATTACCTCAAGATGGTTAAGTTTTTCTGATCTCGTGCTACAAAAATGGTACTGCAATGACTATTATTGAATCTACATCACTTTGCTCATGAATTAATTTTTTTTTTTTTGACCGAGTTTTACTTTGCTGCCCAGCTGGAGTGGGAGTGCAGTGGTACGATCTCGGCTCACTGCAACCTCTGCTTCTTGGTTTCAAGCAATTCTCATGCTACGGCTAATTTTTGTGTTTTTAGTAGAGATGGGGTTTTGCCATGTTGTCCAGGCTGGTCTCAAACTCCTGGGCTCAAGCAATCCACCTGCCTCTGCCTCCCAAAGTCCTGGGATTACAGGCATGAGCCACCGCACCAGGCTGAATTGAATATTTGATCAACAATTTAGTGACATGGAAGAATTGCATTTAAGATGCTGTTCAAGCTTTATGTTTTGCTGAGATATCGAAAGCTATGAAATTCTCACTGTATAACGCTACTTTTTTCATCTTTTGCATATGCCTGACTCATACAACTAATTGTTTAGATCCTAATATAGCTTTGACAGATACAAACATGTTGAACATCCCCAGCATCTTTCTCCTTATCCAGTTTTTTTGATGAGGACACACTACAAAGTTCAGCTTAAAATCAGTGAAATAAAGGAGAGGAGAAATCACAAAGTCCCATGACTCCATGACTCCAGGGTGCTTCCTACTGAGTGGCCCTTCTGGAACACAGCAACCACATGTGGTTTTCAAAGTGTTACTTTTCAGATGTAAGAAAATAGAAACACATGAAAACAATTACACAGGGAAAAAAATCAAGAAAAGTTGGAAGTATTTTTAGGATAACATAATGCAGCAAAAACACAAGTTTAGAAACATCTTTGAAATTCAAACTAGAATTCTTAGGTTATTTTTGAGTAGCTGAAGGCAGTTGAGAAGAAACAAACGTAAGACACCTACAAATCCCATAATTCTGTCACTGTGTGGTAACGGATAGGTGTGTGTGTGTGTGTGTGTGTGTGTGTGTGTGTTGCGTTTAAGAATATAGTGTTCAAGAAAAAATGTCAGGCCAACCATGTGTAAACAAATCTCTCCAAGTTCCAAAAATTTCCTGATGGAATATCTTACATCATCTCAGAATTTCAAAGTCCCTGAAAATAAGCTAATTAGTTGAAGGCTGACCTAAGAGGTTACTCTCTAGGCCAAGTGTTTCAAATGCCCATTGCAAAGTGATGGCAGTGCATGTCTGAAGGCCATTTCTGCACTTGTCAGGGTATTCATCCCTTGGTAGCCTCTTTAAAAATGCAATCTTAGAAGAGGAAGATTCACCTTTGAAGGTTACTTACTGATCTTTCTCCAGGCTTGGTCCATGCAGGAGAAAAAAGTCAGATGCACTTCTGGGTTTCACTTGGAAGAAAAACTGAAGCTCTACCTGCTCTCCTGCCTCTCAGATGAATGAATGTGGCCCTATGGGCTCAGTCTACCCTGCTACCTTTGATCTTAATCATGACTCATAGTGACTTACTAGGAAAAGCCTCTGAGCTCCTAGATTGCAAGGCATATAGTTCCCCAGTTTGAGGTGAGGCTGGGCACCTGTCTGCAGTTGAGCACACATCATTTGTGGCTCACCTCCTGATGTTCCTGGACTGGGACCCTTTCTCTGGGTAGAGCCAAATATGCAATGCCTGCCTTCTTCCTGCTCCCCTTATCACTCACCTCCTCCCCTCACTTAATTTTTCTTTGACCTCTAACTCCATACCTCTTCAGTCTGACACAATGGACCAGATACCAGCTTTGGAAACAAACAGATTTAGTTCAAATCTGGCTCTACCACTGAACCAGTGTGTGGACTCGTTGTTGCCTAGAAGAGTTAGCTCCCGCCTCCCCTCCCAATACCCTAAGCCTAAAGGAACCCATGTTACTGCAAAACAGATCTTAATCTTACATGTGCACATAAAACCAGTCCAAAATTATATTTAAGACACTCAAATACAGATTATCTACTGGAGAGGGCATAGGACCTAGGCTATTGTGGGGCAAAGACGGGAAGTATACTTTCTGTTGCATATTTTTTAAATTTTAAGTATTTGAATCATTTGAATATATTATCCACGCAACAAAAGTATAAGAAGAGAAATGAATAAAAATACATCTTAGAAAATTTTTATGCAAATCAAATGACTTTCCCATAGATAAAATATAATAAATTTATTTTATTTAATATAGAGTTTGACAAATAAATTTACTGAAATAGCCACAACTATGAAATGTAATGAACTGTATTATATCTGAATTATAATCTAAGGCAATGAAGAAAAACTGTATTATTTCAATTCTCTTTCCTTATTCCATCGAATGTGTGATAAAAATTTATTGAGTAAAATGCTAACGTTTATAGAGCACTTAACAGTTTACAAAGTCTTTCATGCACTCCAATTATGATCTTCCACTCACAGAAGCAGCCAGGGCAGGCATGATTATTTCACTTCCCAGCTGAGGAAATAAATTCCCATTTGTCCAAAGTCACAGAGCAAACAAGTGGCAGAATTGGAATGTGAATCCAGTTCTCCTGGCTCTGAATGAGGCCATAATGTTTCCCCTAATTTCAGGCAGAATTCATACATTAACTGTTTAAATTTAACTTAAGAGACTGGAAAAAGAAAAGTAAAATTTAAATAACTATCCTATTGACATCACCACCATACTCAAACATACTATGTTTTACACCTCACTAGTTCAACTTTTCTATTCTGAGACCACCAGTGTATTGCTCAGGAACACCTGACACCTTCTCAGACCGCAAAGTGGACATATTTATGGTGCATCCCTACTTTGAATGGAGTCAAGAGTAGAGAGTTGAAAACAGATGGTCTAGGTAAGAAATGAAAATCAAGGCCAGGAGCAGTGGCTCACGCCTATAATCCTAGCTCTTCGGGAGGATGAAGTGGGTGGATCGATCATGAGGTCATGAGATCGAGACCATCCTGGCTAACATGGTGAAACCCTGTCTCTACTAAAAATACAAAAAATTAGCTGGGCGTGGTGGCACATGCCTGTAGTCCCAGCTACTTGGGATGCTGAGGCAGGAGAATCACTTGAACCCAGGAGGTGGATGTTGCAGTGAGCCGAGATTGCACCACTGCACTCCAGCCTGGGTGACAGAGCGAGACACGGTCTCAAAAAAAAAAAAAAAAAAAAAAAAAATCAAGACTTTTCTTACCCTGAAGAGCATGATGAACTAATACTGATACTATACGATGACAAGATATGCTATGTTGCACATTGGAAAAAGAGTATTTTTACATATTTAGTTTATTTAAGGGAAAATGGTAAATTGAATTATGTGTGCACCATGGTATGAAAAAATGTGAAAAAGGAGAATTTCACTGTTTTGTTTTTTTCTCCCACTCCCACAAGCAATTCTCTTTTTAGCAGTAACTAAAGAAAGCTAAACATTTATTTTTATCTTTTAACTGTTCCATTTTGTCTTGTCATCATCTTTTGATTGCATATAACTGAGTGTTTTTTTTTATTTAATCAGTAAGTTTAGGGCGATCTAACTGCAGGCAATCTAAATGCATGCATGTGCACACACACACACAGACACACACACACACACACACACACACACAAGAACTATTATTTCATAGCATAGTTGTTGAAGGGCTTTGGAATCAGAAGGCCTGGATCATGCCCTGATATTTAATACCTGTGAGACTTTGGGCAAGTAACTCAGTCATTCTAAAGATGACTTCCTACCTTAGAATGATGTGACAATCCGCTAAAAAACATAGGTAAGTAAAACTGTAGTTCTTGGAACATGACATTCATTTGCTCACGTATTCACTCATCATTTGTTCATGAATTCATTCGATGACTAGTTACTAGCACCTATTTCATGCAGGCCCTGAGCCAGGTCCTGGAGATACAGCAGGGAACAAAACAGAGCAACTCTGGCCCCAGACAGTTTATATTTTCTGAAAGGAGACCAACAACAATATGTAAGGTAAAATTTTAGAGTGGCAATTAGTCTATTAAAAAAGTAATAGGTATAGGGGACAGTGTTAGGGGTGCAGTTTTAATTTGATTGGAGAAGGCTATGCTAAGAAATAATGGGTTTAATTCAAGTTAGTTGTTAAAATTATTATAATTGTTGCTGGGCACAGTGGCTTCCACCTGTAATCCCAGCATTCTGGGAGGCTGAGGCGGGCAGATCACTTGAAGCCAGGAGTTCGAGACCAGCCTGGACAACATGGTGAAACCTTGTCTCTATGAAAAATGCAAAAAAATTAGCCAGGTGTGGTGGTGCATGCCTATAATCCCAGCTACTTGGGAAGCTGAGGCAGGAGAATCCGTTGAACCTGGGAGGCAGAGAATGCTGTGAGCTGAGATCGTGCAACTGCACTCCAGCCTGGGTGACAAAGCAGTACTTTGTCTCAAGAAAAAATTATTATAATAGTAATATATTCTATATTCATATATCGTATTTGCAAGTCTTTGTGAGTAAACTAATGACTGTGATATAATTATAATAGCAAGCACAGAAGATCATTAAACACACATGTACAATGGCCACGCTTAGCTTTCCTCTCTGAAAAGAATTTAACATCCTAGAATTGTTCTGTGGGTCCCTATTATTAAACACTTAGTTTACATAAAATTTTATAGCAGATCTTGTATAAAAGTTATAATAATATTATGGTGAAAACTAGCCTGAATTTACCAGGCAAATGAAGAAAATAGATCTAATTCTTCAAAATAAATGCTTTCTGTAGTGTGGAGTGTCCATTTTGCAGTTCCTTGACTTGGCAAAGTTACTTGCTCCTGGTCTGAAGCTTCCTTTGAAGCAGTTATTACATCTGGAGAAAACAGGCCCCTGTACCTGGGGTCAGGACATAGTGAAAGGTATTTTATTACTCTTCAGAAAATAGAATCTTTATTCAGATTCCTTTTATTCTCTTGGCCCCACTAGTTCTTCCCTTTATTTCTTACCTTTTAGTTTATTTTCTTTCTACCTTTTCCTTTCTTCTTTACTTTCTTCTCTCAGATTCCTCCTCTTCTTCCTCTCTTCCTTCCTTCTTTTTGGTAGCTCTCTTCTCAGTGCAAGCTATGTAAAGAATAGGAAGCATTTTACCGTCAAGTGAGAACATTTCAGACTACACAGAATGAGAATCTTCATAGTCGATAGGCTCCCTTCACTCAGGAGAGCTTGAATCATCTGAAAGCTTTGCCCAAATCTCCAGTAAGAGGAGGGGTGCCATGCAGCAGCTGTGTGTCTCCAAGAATTCAACCTCTCTGAATCTCAGTTTCCTCAACAACCGCAATTACACATTCTGGTGGAAGTTTGTTTTATCTATTAGAAATACTAGATGAAAGTGCTTGGCCCTTTGGCATTGCAATGCGGCAACTGCTGAGTGATGTCAATGCATGAAATTTGAAAGGATGGTGATCGATTCATTACATGTTCCAATAAAAATATTAATGAGTTATTTTTAAAAAGTGCTTGGCATTCTATAGGCACTAATGAGTTATTGTTTCCGCACTTGGAGGTGTTCTCTGCAGTTTTCTCTTCGAGCCCAATCCTTCCTTTCTGTCCTCTCAGATGTGTCTGTTCTTCTTCTCAGTCTAATATAAGCTTTTCCTCAGTTTCTTTGGGTTACCACAGCAGCAGGTCCTTTCTCTCTGATTCTAAAGATCTTTGCCTAGGTCTGTGCATGCATGAGCTGATCACTGTCTTTCTCAGTTAGTTGTTGGCAATGCCAGGGCAGGAACCAGGGCTCCTTGACTATGGGTGTGCGGCTTTTCCTTCATGACACCATATGGCCTCTGAGAGCTGGCATTTGATTTTCATTTAATTGAAATTCTCGTAGAAGATCATCAACAATACTATTAGCAGGAACCAGCTTTTTAAATGGTCAGAATAATCCTTGTCTGTTTTTGGAGATGTTGTCTTGCTCCTAGAACAGCTGTGAGTGTGTGAACTCATCAGTGATGTGGACACTGCCCAAATAGTAATCAGCAAAGAAATCTTATAAAATTACCAACAGATTACTGCTTCAGCCTGCCAGCACTTTCAGTGCCAGCCAGCCTGTTTTTGTTTTTCTTTGTTTGTTTTCCACTGCAATAGGTTGCAATTTAGAGTAAGTCTTTGTGGACTATGAATGAAAATAGAGTTTCACACTCAATTGATAAGCTTTGACAAATGAAAAAACACATACATGGTATATTTGGGACAATAAACAGGAACCTAGAAAACTAGGGATTCATCTCTCCCTTTCCTTTACCTTAATAATATGAGACAAATGTAATAAAACTCTGTCCTACCCCCATCATAATGCTGTACATGTAAGGAATGCCAAAGAAGTATATGATATTTCTTGCCCTTCATGGTGGATAAATGTCAGAAATTGTATCACAATGACCATGGTACAAATAATTCACCAGGACAGAAAAGAAAAAGAGGTTAAAAGTTTCTATTTGCATATATTTCAATGCATTTTGAAGTCCAAAGGATACAAGTTACATAACATATAAGTTAGATGCATTTCCGCAAATGCAAAAATAAATATCTTAGTGCTACCTCTGCTTGCTGTTGCTCACATTCTCAATTTTCCCCAGTGTCTCCTTCAGCTATCGCTCAATGACTTCTCTAAGTTACATTTTATAGATTCCTCAAAGAATCGTTGCTTCTGTGAGGTTACCTAAACCAGGATCCCATAAAATTAAGACAATGAGACAGGAACTGCTGAGAGCACCGCAGGTGGCAGAGCAGCTCTCAAATCACCAGAGGTTGATGCCACCAAATGGCTCCAGGCCTGAGCTTCTTCCACGTGCTCCTACCTACTTTCTACCTCAAGGGAACTGTTCATTTTTTAAAAAAACAGGTTTACTGCTATTGCTATCCAAACAGCTATGCACTATTTTTTCTACTCTATTCTATGTCCTTCCTCTGGATGCATTTTGAAATTCTGTTTTGAAAGCATTTAGATATTTGGAGAGCATAAAGTTTTTAAGATTTAAATCAGTTTTGTCTTCACTAGTGATTATTTCCTTTTATTTTTAATTGACATAATAATTGTACATACTTATGGGGTACCATGTGATATTTTGACACACCTACACACTGTGTAGGGATCGAATCAGGGTAAATAGCAAATTCATCACCTCAAAACTTTATTTCTTTGTGTTGGGAGCATTCAAAATCCACTCTTGTAGGTTTTGAATATAAATTATTCACAAAAATTGAAAGTAAATTTTTGTTAGTTATAGTCATTCTATAGTGCCATAGAACACTAAGATTTATTCCTCCTATCTAGCAGTAACTTAGTATTTGCTAATCAACCTCTGGCTAGCTCCCTACCACCCCACCCCTAACACACACAACTTTCCCAGCCTCTAGGAGCCACTATTCTACTCTCTACTTCCATGAGGTCAACTTTTTTGCCTTCCATAAATGAGTGAGAACATGCAGTATTTGTCTCTCTATGCCTGGATTATTTCACTTAATATAATATCCTCCAAGGTTCTCATTTTAACCAGACAACATGTCCTGGTATAGAATGTGAATTTAGATTTAGCAGGTCAACTTTTATTTCAACACTGTGGAGTTTGGAAAGCACCCAAGAAGTCAACAAGAAATCAAACATTTTAAGAAGCCTGGGGCAAGTGCATTTAAGTCCATTTTCCCATCTATCACCAGGGCACTGGGCGAGGCCACACAGGCTCTGTCCTGCACAACTTCAAGGAACATGCAAAGAGGCAGCCTGTGTATAACATGACGAAGGATGGACAAATTAACTGATCTTCAAATCCCTTTGAACTGAAATTAAATCATTCTGACAATGGATACTCCAGTATTTCTCTGTATCTTCTTCACATTTGCTTTTTAAAATGTCATTTTTTAACATATATTGTTTTAATAACTGTTCTGGATTAAATTTGGTTTAGAAATAATTTTCAGTTTGTTTGTGTGCTGCTTTATGTAATAAAATGAGATAGTAAATATTTAAAATGTTAATGAGTTTTAAAACATTATAAACCTCAGGAAAATCAAAATCTAGTAACTCATCTGTCAGGCCATAGGCACGGTGATTTAAATTGAGATCACTAACAAATGTAAATGGATTATTAGATGTCAAATACTTTTACTTTCCATTGTAATTCAAATTGAATGTGGGTAAGGCTTAAACATCACCATAAACACTATTTGCTCTAGAGTGAACCTCCTTATAAGAATTACTGGTCTTGGAACTCAACCAAGGGAACTTAGTTACTGAATTGCTATCAGGAGACCCAGGGTGAAGTGATTCTCCCTGTTAAGTGACTCTAATAGTGGTAGAATCCAGCTCTTTTGTTTTAGGCAGTAGTATATTTATGTCAAATCATTATACTTCATATCCAAAAAAGATGCAGGGAAGCTTCCAAGTTTACTAATGCCATCTTGACTGACATTGAGTAAGTTCTCCTTTCTTTGCAATTTTCAGCTCAATAGTATCTTACAGCGCAATGTGCCAGGAAGTCTACCAACTTGAAACTAAGCCTTTCCTGCTATAAATTAAACGTGTTTCCTCCTTGGTACAAACCAAATGCTTAATTATCTCTCTCCTCTTTCACAATCCCTTCATAGAGGCCAGGGCTCTTTGATCTTGCTATTTTTTTCCACCTCTAGAAATGGGCATTATTTTAAAACTTCCACCAGTTTTATGGTTCATCTGGAGTCTACACCAACTTAAAAACTGGGCAGAGTATTCACGTTGATGTCTGAGTGTTTACTATGTGCCAGGATTAATGTTCACAATATCGTGTGATACATATATTATTACCTCATGAATCCTCACAGCAATCTTAAGAGGTAGTTCTGTTATCCTCCTTTTACAGGTGAGGAACTTGAGGCAGAGAGAGGCTAGGTAAATTGCCCAAGGTCACGTTGCGCAAATTCCCCAAAGCAGAATGTGTGCTCATAACCATTGCTCTGCACTCCTTGTCCGTTACTTTAAGCTTGCTGGTTTGGTTACCCAATTCCTAAACACTGATGACCAACATATACTAAATTGCCTCTGGAACATTATTCTGGTAAGTAGTATTATTGAAGTCTAAAAGCAGGTTTACCCATGAAACACATTCAAGTAATCTGAGAATTTATGCTCTAGGCCTGGCGTAGCAGCTCACATCTGTAATCCCAACAATTTGGGAGGCTAAGGCGGGAAGATCACTTGTGCCTAGGAGTTTGAGACCATCTGGGGAACACAGCAACACCTCATCTATACCAGAAAAAACAAAGAAAGCCAGGAATGGGGGTGTGCACCTGTAATCCCAGTTACTTGGCAGGCTGAGGTGGTAGGACTGCTTCAGCTTGGGAGGTCGAGGCTGCAGTTATCCACGATCGTGCCACTGCCCTCCAAACTGGGTGACAGAGCAAGCAGAGACTCTGTCTGAAAAAAAAAAAATGAAAGAAAGAGAAAGAGAGACAAAGAAACAAAGAAAGAAAGAAAGTAAGTTATGCTCTAAACACATCTCCTCATCCAGCACAATCTCCTCCCAGACCACTCCCACCCAGTTTTGTGGATTTCTTTTTTCAAATGATGATTTTGATATTCCACCCCTTTTTCATGTTGAAAATATGGTATATATACACCAAGGAATACTATATGGCCATAAAAAAGAAGGAGTTTGTATCCTTTTGCAGAGACAGAGATGGAGCTAAAGGCCATTATTCACAGCAAACTAATGCAGGAACAGAAAACCAAATACCACATATTCTCACTTATAAGTGGGAGCTAAATGATGAGAACACATGGACACACAGAGGGCAACAAGACACATGGGCCTTTGAAAGGGTGGAGAGAGGGAGGAGGAAAAGGATCAGGAAAAATAACTAATGGGTACTATGCTTAATACCTGGGTGATGAAATAATCTCAACAACAAAACCCCCAGGATACAAGTTTACCTATGTAACAAAGCTGCACTTGTACCCCAGAAGTTAAAAGTTAAAAAAAAAGAAAACATTGAATTCTACTTTAACTATCAGATATTGTCTGTGCAGCATTTAAAAATGTACTAAAGCAGCCAAGCCAAGTGGGAGATAAAAATAATAATAATAAAGGTAAAAAAATGTAATGTACTAAAAATATGGAGATTATATAGAGATTATATAGAAAACCATAGAAAATTTAGAGTAGCATTGGTAACTGAAAAGTAAAATAACAATCAATAAAATGATAAATATAAAAATAATATATTATTCTGAATTGTTCATAAGATAGACTAAAAAGATTTCCTAAGGAACAATTTTCTACACATTATACTCAGCCACTGCATAGTATAAATGTGTGTTTTCAGATAATTGGGACAAACCTAATAACTTTGAGATAATAGAAATCAAAACAAACTGAAATCCTAGTTTGAAGGCTAAGACTATAATTTCAGTAAGTCTAAATTTAGTGCTTAATCCACTAAGGAGTGTCCTTGGCAGTGAAATTGAGATACAGTACACACCAGTGACCTCTTCGTGTCACTGGTGAGCTTTCCTTGGCTCCCTTCTACCTATCTCTTCAACGGGTTCCCACTCCAGTGCTATCGGTGTGCTTGCAAAGGCAAGAGCTAAAGAGAACAGGTTTTTTAAAAAAATTTTAAATCACAGCTAATCTTTTCCCAAGACAAACAGTATTCAGTGTGAAAAGAAAGCTCCTGGTTAATTTATGTCGCTTAGAAAACTGAAACAGATAAAGGAATATCCTTTAAAAATCACCACCTGACTGTAATATAATCAGGAACTGGGTAAATTCAACAATAGAAGGAAGTCAAATAGACTGACCTTTCCCAAGTTGTTTTAAAACTGACATGTGAGTGGAAGTTACTGGTGTGGTTTTGTTGTCGCTTCTTGTTTTCCTAAGGAATTTGGAATCTGAGCAGGGAAGTCGCCTGTTCTTTAAACTAGCAGTAGAACAAGAAAGAATACACCCATCCTTCTGGGGGATAAAAAAATTAAGTTATTCTAGCTGGAATGCACCTCCCCAAAAGAGATAGATAAAATCACCAACCAAGAATTTAAACAAGAAGTATTATTTATCTCTTACTGTTGGCCCATACTGTCCTAAATATTGGTAGTGATGAAGGGAACAATTGTGCAAAAGGAGTATTGAAACACAGGAGTTCATAAATGGTCTCTTCTCTCAAGAAGTTTACAGTCTAACTCAAAATTGTTGTATTTTAAGCATGTTTGGAAGTATTTAATTTTTTGCCTCATTGTTATTTGTCATTCTAAAAGTTACTGCTATAATGGCTACAGAAACTGTGGTTCCTGAGTTTTCTGACATAGAACCAATATATTGTTATATGTTACATATTATTTTGTCTTTTCATATAAATACATCAACAAATTACCAAAATGTAGGGGCTATTGCTAAGCCATCTGCTTTAATTTGGGTTTATAAAATATGATCACTAGAACTATGCCCCAGGTTTTTAAGGGTGCCTATCCAATTTATATTTTTCAGTCAAAAAGTAATGTCTCCAAATAAAACAGCATCAATAGCTTTCCAACAGCCAGTATTAGAAGCAGAACTCCATGGTCAGTCATTCTAGTCTAGGTTGTATCTTCACCCAGAATTGTTTCATGTTTGAAATCTTCAACTTCAAACCAATAATCAAATTATTTTCTGTTCATCTAACTTCACTACCTCCTCTCCCATTACCATCTCTGAGTCTGTATGGGTGCTGCTGAGTTTCCATTGTCTCCTGTTTCTTCTGGGTTTCCATGCAGGACTGCATGGTCAATGGCTTTTAACATCTCTCACATCAGTGTCCTTTCACATTCCTTCATCCTCCTCCCACACCTGTGCTGTTCATCCTCAACCCTGTGTCAGTTCACGATCTGTTTCCTCTGTAACTGAGTAGGCAGACAAAAATCTCATCGCTGTGTTGATGACAGTGTGGCAAATTCATGTATTTTTTGACCTGGCTATTCTACTTGTTCTTACTTTTTAAATTCATTTCCTATGGAAATGCTGTTAACCTTTTTCATTCTCTTCAAGTCTTCCTCTTTATTCTCAAAAAATCATATTTCAGAGATAACTTTGCCTCTTCTTTCACATAAAAAATAGAGGCTACATGCAATGGCTCATGCCTATAATTTTAGCACTTTGGGAGGCTGAGGCAGGTGGATCACCTGAGGTCAGGAGTTCAAGACCAGCCTGGCCAACATGGTGAAACCCCATCTATACTAAAAATACAAAAATTAGCCTGGGGTGGTGGCACTCTCCTGTAGTCCCAGTTACTCAGGAGGCTGAGGCAGGAGAATTGCTTGAACCTGGGAGGCAGAGGTTGTAGTGAGCTGAGATCACACCACTGTACTCCAGCCTGGGCGACACAGCAAGACTCTCTCTCAAAGAAAAAAAAAAGAAAAGAAAAAAAAGAAAACCATCAGGTTCGATCCTTTTCAGTCTTCTTACTGCAACTTGCCAATATTTATAGGTCATCATTTCACTCTTCAAGACCTAGCTCAAAAGCCATCCCTTTGTTGTGGCCACCCTGGATCATTCTCTTCCTCTGTCAGTCACATTGTGAATATAATCACTATCAAAATGATAGATATTTTAGGAATGTATTTCAAATTTCCTGCTTTCTACCAAATATCTCTTAATTTTTAGTTCAGGAAATGTAGCCTATAATACTTGTTATAATTTTTAGAGTTTAACTTTTAAAATAAGGTAATACATTCATATTATTCAAACTTCACCAGGCACAAAGATAAATTAGTGACCATTCTTACACTCTTGTGCTTAACTACACAGTTTCTTGTGTATTTTCTAAAGATATTAATGTAATATGTAAGTAATTAATCTTGCATCTTCCCCTGTGCCCATACTTTTTGCATACATACATAGTATATTATATTATGTACGTATCACTATACTGTACTGATATACACCCATCACTTAACAATAGGTACTAGAAATGATTCCAAATCCATACATAAAGTATTACCTCTTTCTATTTTATAGATACATAGTATAGATTAGAGACTGCCACAAATTCCTGGCCACTTCTCTAATTAAGAGGTAGAGTCCACTTTTCTCCCGTTGTATCTGGGCTGGCTCTGAAACTTATTTTTCTCTATAGAATGAGGTAGCAGTGATGCTGTATAATTTCTGAGATCTACAGCTTTTGAGATCTTAAGATATCTACAACTTTATGTCCTGAGAAAACTCTCTGTTGGAAGCTAGCCACCATGCTGGAAGAAGCCCAAGCTATGAAGAGAGGCCACATGGAAGAAAGCTAATGCTAAAACCCTCCAGTTCAACAATCCATGCTGATTTCCCGTCCAACAGCCAGCACCAACTAACAGGCATGTGAGGGAGCCATCTTGGATATTCCAGCTGATTTAACTCTCCAGATGACCCTGTGATGACCCTAGTGGACATCACACAGAACAGAACTTCTCAACTAAGCCCAGTCACCCATGGAATTGTGAGAGAAAATAAATAATTGTTATTGTTTTAAGCCACTATGTTTTGGGTAGTTTGTGACTATCAATAGATAACCAAAACACATAGTAATCCGTCATGTGGGTATATGTTGTTTTATTTGACCCAACCTCTACTGATGGACATTCAGGTTGTTTCTCCTCTTTTGCTATTATAAACAATGTTGTAATTAATAATGATGTAAATATGTCACTTTTCATGTGTGATTGTATCTGTGGGATGAGTTCCTAAAATTAGAATTTCCGGATATAAGAGAATATGCACTTACAGTTTTGATAGATATTACAAAATGGTTATCTGGGAGATTTCACTAACCTACACACTTCCAGCAGTAATATATGAAGTCACTATTCTCCTACACCTTGACTAATACTATGTTATTAAACTTTCTGATTTTTGCTAATCTAATTGGTAGAAAATGGTATAATTTTAATTTGTATTTCCATTTTTAAAATAACATTGATCATATTTTAATATATTTAAGAGCCATTTGTATTTTCTTTTTTCTAAATAGTCTATGTTCTTTGCTTGGGTTCTACTGGGATGTTGGTTTTTTAAAAAATTGATTTATAAAAACTCTTTAGGGAGTTTAATCATTGATTTATGAGTGGCAAACATTTTTTCTCAGTTTGTCATTTTTCTTTTGGCTTTACTTAGAGTATTATTTGCCATGCATAACTTTTTACTTTTATGTTGTCAAATTTATCAAAATTTTAACTACTTTGATAGTTAGAAATTCTGCCTTGGATTCTTCTAACACTTTTTCTTCACATTTAAATTTTGTTGTATCTTTTAACACTTAAATCTTCTCTGAGATATGAATTTCCTTTTTTAGGTCATTTTCTGTTATATTTAATTATGTTTAAAATCTTGCCTATTGCCTGTGTGCTTCTCAAGGGCAGGAAACCTGTCTTTTTCATGGCTGTGTCCTGAAAACCTAGCACAATGGATCATATATAAAACACTCTCAGTAAGTATTGATACCATATGAAATAAACTTTAGGCCTGCACTGGGTTCCAAAGATAAAGGCACTCTTTCTGACATCATCTGGGAGGAATTTGTTGACCACGAACAAAGAAGCTACATTTTGAACAAGCATGTTTGAAACTCTAGAACTTAAGGCTCAGCAATACAGAAATATTTTTGAGTCTTTTTTCTCCAGCTATATTTACTGTCTACCATGTGTGACTTCTCTCTCTTCTGATGCTAATTAATTAATACCCCACACGCCAAACCCTTATTTACCACCCTGCACACACAGATCTCCATTAGAAGTCTGGAATGTTGATGGTTGGGTAGGTATTTTAACCTAGCTTAACCTCTATCACAATAATTAATTTTAATTGCTTTTCACCTTGGTTACGTGATCCCCCAACTCCATGGAAATGATATAACCTTGTAAAAAATAAAAAATAATAATAAAAATCTTGACATGAGCTTCTTAAAGAAACAGACGTGAGATTTGACTTTAGCATTCAGTAACCAAAGGTATAAGATACCCAAAACAAAGGAAATGTGGTGCTTTCACTGCTTGTTTTTAGTGCTGCCACTTCTCTCCCAAGGAATGTCGCTGCCTTAAACTCTGTTCTGTGGCAGATACTTCCTGCCCCTATACATCACCTTCAGATGTACTATATGATCAAGATCTTTACCATCTGGCCACTCCTCTAGCTCTAGTGTTCCAAATGGCTTACATTTTTAATGGTTCTTTGTGATCTCCCTGATATAGAAATACAGGTATGCAAGGACATGTGCACTCATAAAGAGTCTATCTTCCTTCTTTGCATTCCTGTGTGCTTTAGCCAGAAGAGATGTTTTAGGATGGTGGTACAGTGAGAAATTTATGAAACAAGGGCCACTGGGCCACCAAGATGACTATTTATGGTTAAGTGGAATCCAAAAGGATGATATGGGGTATCTCTTTCTTTACAAGTAGTAGCCACTGCCATTGAACAAATATTTAAATAATACAAACAATTGTTAATAATTATTTAGCTCCTCTTAAATGAGTCACGTGTCCCCTTTCCATGTATAAAAACCGTATTTATACTTTGTGTTTCCCTTGTGCTACTCAAAAGATCACAATAAAAACATTCTCTTGAAAAATTTACTTAGTTTATTTCACTGACTTAAAAAAAATTTTTTTTTACTGCATTTTATGCTAGATTCACACATTTCACATGGTGGTTGAACATATAAGGAAAGATATATTTTTACCACGGCTTGATAACATTTCTTCAAGATGCTATCCTCACAACAGATTATATTTATTCAGAAAATTTGAAGTGATCTATTTGAAATTACCTCTAGTAGTTTGTTAAAATGTAACAGATCCATTTATAGACTTTTAAAAGATGGAATTTTTATAAAGGTACAGTTGTTTGTTTGTTTTTTAGACAAAGTCTTGTTCTGTCACCAGGCTGGAGTGCAATGGCACGATCTTGGCTCACTGTAATCTCCACCTCCTGGGTTCAAGCGATTCTCCTGCTTCAGCCTTCCGAGTAGCTGGGATTACAGGCGTGTGCCACCACACCCAGCTAATTTTTGTAAAGATGGGATTTCACCATGTTGGCCAGGATGGTCTTGATCTCCTGACCCATTGATCCACCCACCTCAGCCTCTCAAAGTGCTGGGATTACAGGCGTGAGCCAACACGCCTGGCCAAAGGTACAGTTATATGTGAGTTATACAATAGATTCCCAATAGGGTAAGACCCTGGGGGAGTAACATCACTAGAATCCGATGTGTCCATCTCAAATAGTTTTTTACTGAATTGATTATGTCTCAATAATATTTTGGAATCTTGATAAAAACTTACTTGGCTAAAGTATACCATTAATATAAATAAACAATATAAATATAATATAAATAATATAAATAAACAATGGTATTTACCATATTACCTTTACCATGTGTATTTGTATCCAAAACACACTCATTTATACCATATCAAGGCATAGCAACTCCAGTTTGTTTGAAGAACATTACTTGATAAACAGCAACGAAGACAGAAGAGTTGATGGAAATTCTGATATTACTACCACCTCCTTTCCCTACTATTGCCCTTGTAAAACACAGAAATAGTTTGTTCATGTGACCAAATTGAAGTCTTCTTTCACTCAGGAATATAGAATATCCAACATGCGTTGTGGTGCTTTAAAGATGGTCAAAATTCTTTGACATTATCTCATCAAGAGGTGGTGTCAATGTCCTTCTTTCCCAGAATCTGGGTGGGCTCAGAGACTGCTTTGACCAATAAAGCATAGTGGAAGTAAAACTGTGCCAGTGTCTCGGGCTCAGGCTGAAAGAGACTGGCAGCTTTCACTTCCTGTCTTTTGAAAGTCTCTTGAACTTCGGACCTGGGGGAAGCCAGCTGCCGAGTGAGAAGTCTGACTATCCGGAGATGGCGGTGAGTATAGAGAATTTCTGCTAGGTCTCCTGTGTTTCAGCCATCCCAGCCCAGGCACCACGACACATTATCAAAGGACTATCTTGGACCTTCTCATCCCAGCAAACATCCAATGGAGAAGAATGAAGACTCCAGGCATATGATCCCACTCTAGCCATCCCAGGAGCCCCCAGCTATCCAAACAACTACAGCTGTGGCCAAAAACATCGTGTATCAGGGACAAACTCTCTGCTTATGGCTGCTCTAATCCTTGACCTACAGAATCATGAAATTTGTGGATACGGTCATGATCTTGATTTTGGCGATGGTTTCACAGGTGTGTACCTATGTATGCTTATCAAAGTGTGCACTTTAAAATGTGCAGTTTATTATATGTCAATTATATATAAAGCTGTTCAAAAATTTAAAAATAATTGTTGTTTTATACGACTGAGTTTTCAGGTGGTTTGTAATATGACAATAGATAACCTGAACATGCACTTCCTATGTTTTATGTTTATTTCTTCCTGATATTTATTAAAATAAAAATATTATTAAAATACAAACTTGGCATATAAAACTTTACTAGGTATATTAAGTACTTTTTTTACAAAATTCAATTTGTTTTTATTAAATGTCTATAATCTAGACTATAGATTATACAGTCTAGATTATAATCTAATCTATTATATAGATATAATAGATTAAATGAGTTGGCTTTAAAAAATCACATTATGGATTATTATTGATAATATTAGTATTGTTTTTTACTGAAGTGAATTTCTTACCAGAACAGATTCTAGGCATTTGCACATTCACTCTTAAGTTTCTAGATCCAAGTCCATTCCCTAGAACATATTAGATATTCAATAGGTGTTTGGTAAAAATATAAATGAAATATGGAATAAAATCTAAACCTTTTCTTTTGTTTTAATATCTTTATCTAGTATATCTTAGTTTAAATGTATTGCAAATGATTTCAGGACACCAGTGTCTACCTGAGCTAGATTGCTCTCAAGTTTTAGTTTAATATTCAACCAAAAACGCACATTATAAAACAATGTACCTTCTTTTACAAAAAGTTTGCATGTGATGGAGCCAGGTCCCTTTGAGTCCAGCACCTAAGTGTCTAATCACTAATTCATCCTCGTGACCCCAACAGGAAATAGCATGACCTCAAGTCTAACTGACAGGAATGAGACCTACAGAAGAACAAAAAAGGAAGAAAAGTTAATAATCTTTTTTCTGTCCATTTTCTTCTTTATTGTAGGTCAGATGTACGTGATGGTTACCATTATAACTACATACTATGAAAGATTAATCAGTGGAAAAAAACAAGTTAAAGACACACAAAAAACTTCAGAGAATCAACTTCTGGTCAAAAAAGCCCTCCTTTAGCCAACTCTAAACCTCATTCAACCAATATTCTCTATAGTCTTAGAAAGCATTCAGAAGACATAATATTTTTTAAGGACTTCAAGCAGCAAATGGCAGAAGTGACAAGAATTGAAAATAGAGGAAAATTTTGTTTTGTTTAAAGAATTCTAATTTTAATAATGGGAAGTATGCATCCATATTTATGCCAGATTCATATATATGAAATATATATATATATATATATATATATATTTCATGTAAATGTACTTTTGCTAATGAAATAGGAATTCAGGACAATAAGAAGGTCTAGAGGAAGCACCCTTTATGAGTAATTGGTTTCAATGTTCGTATTCTTGATCTAAACAATAAAAAATCAAAACTGCATTTTCTCAATGAATATGTTTTTCTCTGTTTTAAGTCTCAAGAAGTTATGGTAGAAATGCTTTACAGAAAATATTTTTCAAGCCCGGCATGGTGGCTCATGCCTGTAATCCCAGCACTTTGGGAGACTGAGGCAGGCAGATCACTTGAGGTCAGGAGTTCAAGACCAGCCTTTCCAACATGGTGAGAACTTGTCTCTACTAAAAATAAAAAAAAAAATTAGCCTGGCATGGTGATGCACACCTGTAATCCCAGCTACTTGGGAGGCCGAGGCACGAGAATCACTTGAACCCAGGAGGTGGAGGTTGCAGTGGGCTGAGATGGCACCACTGCACTACAGCCTGGGTGACAGAGCAAGTAAGACTCTGTCTCAAGGAAAAAAAAATCTTTTTCATATGATAATACTACAGCTAGAAAGCTAGAATTCTTTCTTACTGATTGTTATATTAAGTCCTTCCTGTTCACTAAACATTACTAAGCATGAAAAAAATCTTTGTGCTGTGGTAAGAATGCTGAAAAATGTATAATTCAAATCCAGATATATGAATAACAACTTCTCACTATAGTTTGGAAAATAAACTAGTATTGGTATATTTTTTGTTTGTTTTAAATAAACTCATCACTGGAGTTCTAGTAAATTTTGCTTCTAGACCATGTGAAAATTTTAAATTAGAAGCTATATAGCAACTAATTTTTTAAATTAACATAAAAATTCTCATTTAAAATGTTCTGAAAATTTTTAAACATATGCAGTTGCTGTAATTTAATACATTCCTCTGTCTTCTACTGTCACTTAATACATTTCTCTGTCTTTTCTGTATCCCTTGTTTCCCGGCAGTAACTCATGCTTTCAAAATATCAGGAAGCAAATGAGAAAAGGAAAAAAAGACATTCATTGTATATGGTAAGCCAAGTAATGAACTAGCTAGATAGTACCTCAGACACTGGAGGAAAATGGCATTGTTAACATAATTGTTTTTCCAGTTAATAATTAATATTGTATAATCTGACCTTAATCTATAGGCTTCTTTTTCATTATAATCTCACCAGAAGTCCTTAATTCTATTCAAATGTTACCTATTTTAGATGATCTATTGCCTCATCCAATGGCTCCCAGTTTCTCAAATACACTAAAATAAATAGCTCTAGTTGGTGATTTACTTAGAAAGAAATGTTACCCCGTGGTCACTTAAATCTAACATCCTCAAAAATTCTTTTTTTATATAAAGCTGTGAAGTAATCCTGCCAAAGGACACTTTGGGCTCCGCAGTGAGTATATTTTTTCCTTAAAAATTGCCAATTTCTTGATCTATATTCTATGATAAAAGTTTTAATATTTTGCTAAGTTAATTAGTATTGCCTATTGACCAACATGTTCTATTTAGTGTACTGCTTCACCAAGTGCCAACATATACGTCTCCAGTGACTGCTGATGGCTGAGTCTCCTTATGTTAGTAAATTTCTAAACATTTTTCTTAGTACATGGAGTAACGTGTTATGTTGATCAATGTTTGATGACACTTAAATGTAACTACAATGCAGTAATTCGAAGGTAAGAAAAAGTTGCCATGACTCTCATTTCTTTGAAATTGTGTACAATGAAAGGCTTCTCAGCATGATACCCCAACTAAAATTTAGGCGTATGACAGCACTTATAAGTAAATCCATTTTATTTGAGTAAATATTGAGTTTCATTTACCTTTTAGCAAATTCCGAAGTAGCATCTCCATAAATTTAAACTGATTTTACTTATTGAGTCCTATTACTAACTTTAAAAGACAATCTACTTTGGATCATTTTGAGCATCACATATTGCTTACGTAAAATAAGTTTAAATCTGAGTCAATAATGATACTAAGCAAACAAATAAAATCATTGGTCACTGTATTAAGTCTGTTTTCATGCTGTTGATAAAGACATACCCATGACTGGGCAATTTACAAAAGAAATGTTTAATTGGACTTACAGTTCCACGTGTGGCTGGGGAAGCCTCACAATCATGGTGGAAGGCGAAAGGCACATCTCACATGATAGCAGACAAGGGAAAAGAGCTTGTGCTGGGGAACTCCTTTTTTAAAACCATCAGATCTCGTGACACTTATCTACTATCAGCACGGGAAAGACCTTCCCCCATGATTCAATTACCTTCCACCAGTCCCTCACATAATATATGAGAATTCAAGATGAGATTTGGGTGGGGACACAGCAAAACCATATCAGTCACCTTTGGAGAATACTAGAGAATTAACTAACTATTCTGAAAATCAGTAATTAAAGGGAAAGAAGCAAACATTTTTTCTGTCTTTCCATAAAAAATTGTACTTTGAACAACCAAATGGGTGATAATGAAAGAAAGTTCCTCTTTATAAAAGTAACTGAAGAGGCCAGGCGTGGTGGCTCATGCCTGTAATCCCAGCACTTTGGGAGGCCGTGATGGGCAGATCACTTGAGCCCAGAAGTTTGAGACCAGCCTGTGCAACATATCTAGACCCTGTCTTTAAAAAGAAAGAAAAAATTTAAAACAGTAACTGAGCATCAGCTATTGTGGGCACACTGCCTATGGGTAGCCCTGCTCCACAAGGAGCAGTTAAAAAAAAAAGTAACTCAGTAGATAAATGAGAAAGGAATGATAATTACAATAACAAGATGTGGCAATCCTGATTTAATTAATGAATCTAAGCAAAAAGCAATGGCTTTGAATAGAACACAGAAAAGAAACAACTAAATATTATGTGCCTCCTGGTTGAAATATACACAATTATCTATGATTTCATCTTTTGAACCTGAATCTGATCAAGCCTCTAGATCTATTCATCAATTTATATAAAACACAAGAGACACAGAAAAGACAAAGGAATGTACTAAACTACAGCATGAGGTACAATCAAGCAAAATTCATACCATGGAAACTATAGAACAAACAATTTAGTTTCTTGCAGAAATAAATTGCAAGGGAAAAATAAAGACATGGTTAAAGACACTTCGGAGATATGCTTACCAGATGCAATTTATGGATGTGTATTAGCGTTCTCCAGAGAAACAGAACCAAGAGGATATATATGGGTATATAAGAGGGAATTTGTTATGGAAGCCAGCTCACATGATTATGGAGGGTGAGAAGTTCCACAACATCCCATCTGCAAGCTGTACAACCAAGGAAGCCAATGTTGTAATTCAGTCTGAGTCCGAAGGCCAGAGAAACTGGGGCCATTGGTGTAATCTTGGAGTCTGAAAGCTCAATGAAGTCAGGAGAAGATGGATGTCCCAGCCCCAAGAGGGAGAGAATTTGCCCTTCTCTTTTTATTCTATTGGAACCCTTAACAGATTGGATGATGCCTGTCCATATTGATGAGGGTGGTTCTTCTGTACTCAGTTTACTGCTTCAAATGCTAGTCTCTTCTGAAAATTCTCTCACAGACCCACCCAGAAATGTTTTACCAGCTATCTGGCTATCCCTTAACCCAGTCAAGTTGACACATAAAATTAACCATCACAGAATGTTATTTGGATTCAGATTTTAATCAACAAAGTGTGAAAAAGTAATAAGATTATTGGAGAAATTTGTGTGTTGGCTGGATATTTAATGATGACAAGAAAGTTTTCATTTTTGCAGGTGTGCTAATGGTATTGTGGGTTTTGTTGAGTCTTTATCTTCTAAAAATACTTCCTAAAATAGTTACAGAAGAAAAGATTTATAATCTGAAATTTGCTTCCAAATTATCCAAGAGTCTGGTGTTGGGGTTGGGGACTGAGTGGAAGTACAGACAAGGCAATCTTGGCCATGGGTTCATGCCCAAATTTCTTATTCTTATTATAAGGACACCAATCAGATTAGATCATGGACCACTCTAATGGCCTGATTTTAACTTAATCACCTTTAAAGTTCTCTTTCCAAATACAGTCACATTCTGAGGTACTGGGGGTTAAGGCATTAGTGGGAATTTGCAGGGACATAATTCAGTTCATAACAAGTCCATTCAGAATCTTGCTCTGTTTATTTGTGATATCAATGCCATATAAACTGCTTAAAATGGTTACCTTCAATATTGGCTCAAAAGCTAAACTTTGTAAGCTCCTGGCATTAATCACCATGCTATACTTTGCAAAGTCCACAGCCAAACAATCCTAACCACTCCTTCACTTTCAGACTAATTCTATAGTTCTATTTTCTCCAATATGGTAGTCACACATGAACTAGTAAACACTTGAAATGTGGCTGATCCAAACTGAGATGTGTTGTAAGTATACATTACACTGGATTTCAAAGACTTAGCAAGAAAAAAAGAAAGATATCTCGTTACTAGTTTTTGTATTGATTACATGTTGAAATGATAGTTTGGATATACTAAATTAGATTATTAAAGTTAATTTCAGCTGTTCCTTCTTCCTTAAAAAATATGGCTAGTAAATAACTTTAAAATTATGTGCTCACTTTATATTTCTATTGGATGGCACTTTTCAAAAGTACAGGTACCTGTCATTTGACCTAAGATTCGCTTCAAAGACTTTCTTTGACTTCCAATTTATAACTCTCCCCAATAATCCCTTTCCTTTTTGCACCACACATTTAATAACCTAGGTGCAGAATTCTAGCGCTATATGCAGTCCTTAATTCACATTTCAAACCTGAAGAACATGTGCCTACTTCTCAGGCAGACAACATGTAATGCTAACTGAAAAAATGTCACTGAAATTTGTTATATTTATTGAAATCCTAAGTGATGGATAGTTCTGTTGCCTTTTACCATTTCCAAGGAAAAAGAGAAGCTATAATAATAGCAATTGACAAAGATACTCTCATTTTTCCTTTACCAGTGGTACTAGATATTCTCAGGCTGCCGCAGTGGCTTACACCTGTAATCTCAACACTTTGGGAGGCCAGTGTGGGAGGATCACTTGAGTCCAGGAGTTCAAGACCCCATCTCTACAAAAAAATAAAAAAAATTGGCTGGGTATGGTGGTACACGCCTGTAATCGCAGCTACTTTGGAGGCTGAGGTGGGAGGATCACTTGAGTCTCAGAGGTCGAGGCAGCAGTGAGCCATGATTGCACCACTGCACTCCGGCCTGGGCGATAGAGTGAGACTCTATTTCAAAAATAAATAAATAAATAATGTAAAAAAGATACTCTCATATTTCATTTATAAACAACACTAGAAAAAGTCTTATGCCCCAATTTTACCAAAACACTAGAACTGGGCTTAATACAGATTTCTAGAAATTTTTGCAATACTTACATATTTGCAGCTGCTAAATTTTGTGACAAAGATAAATACTTCATTTTGCTTAAAAGTTGATGCTGAGAGGAGGAATTGTAGTTAGGAGTATTTCAGCATCAGTAATTTTTTACTTTTTCAGGAACATAAAATATGATTAACATCCACTGCTTGTATTTCTTGGCAGGCTCAGTTGTATCTTACCCAGATTTTCATTTTAGTACAATTAATCCATACAGGTTTAATTAGGTAGATTTAAATGCTTATCAAATGAGTATACTTATTTGGCAGCACAACAGTGGCTCGAAACCTACAGGATTAAAAACTTTGCATTTTGGCTTATCATCTATATCCCTGAATGATAGTTTCCACAATCATCAAAGTAATCTTTAAGAATTGCCAAGAAATCAAATAATGAAAATGTCTGTTTTTAAAATAATTTTAAGGCACTGAAATAGGAAAAAAAAGGTTTTTGGAGAGTCAAGTTTTTATCAAGACTCCTTGTAATTAGATCTCTTTTTCACATCCTTAATTTTGATTGTCTCCTGTAAAATTATCCTTATTAAGTCAACATAGAATCTCAGAATAATTATTTTTATAGTTGAAGTATCCTTCCAAACATTTCCTCAAGCAGTACTTTTGCAGCATTTTGGGGTAATTGGATTACCCATTTGGAGGATTGAGATGGAGGAAAAAGGGGAGAGGGAGAGTACCCTGTTACAGAGAAAGCAAAATACTATAGAAGTGGATTGCTGAATATCTTGTTCCTTGAATGCACTTCAACACTGCACATTAGTAAGCATTATAAAGAATCAATGCAAACATTAATTTAGCTTTCTCAACATTACAGTCTGTAAATGAAATTCTTTAGATTTAAATTGATTACTATAAAAGGTTTACTTTTTTTCCCTTCTTGTATTTCCAAGGGCATACTATGCCACTTAGCTGTGTATTTAACTTCATTTAGCCTCTATCAAGGACCTGAAACAAAATGCTTATAAAGAATGCTATTTTGTCTTGGCGCGGTGGCTCACGCCTCTAATCCCAGAATTTTGGGAGGCAGAGGTAGGCCTGCTTAGGCTGGAAGTTCGAGACCAGCCTGGCCAACATGGCAAAACCCCGTCTCTACGTAGAACACAAAAATTAGCTGGGAATGGTGGTGCATGCCTGTAATCCCAGCTATTTGGGAGGCTGAGGCACAAGAATTGCTTGAACCCAGGAGGTTGCAGTGAACTGCACTCCAGCCTGGGCAAGAGTGAGACCCTGTCTCAAAAAAAAAAAAAAAAAAAGCTCCTATTTTGATACTGGATGGTTGTTAACTTTGTAATGTGGAGTTTGAGACCATAATTACCCCAGAATTCTATAAAGAGTTACACAGTTTATTTTTGAACATTCAAATTTCAAGTCTCATAAGCAAAAATTTAAAAAAATGTTTCATTTACATTTTCAACACCAATCTATAAAGAATTTTCTTTCTTAAGAATGAAATACAACTTATATATCTAAATATGGGGCTTCCCTTACAGTGGTCTTGAAAGGTTTATTCATTAATTTAGTTGATGCTTTTAAGATTCAAAGTATTTTTAGAATTTAACAAGAAATGCCTATTATCCAGAAGACAGTTTTTCTAAATGATGCCAAATCCTCATCTTTTGAGAAAAGGTATGGCTTACAGTAAGTCATTATCACTCAAAGTATTAGGCAAGAGATCAAACTATGTATTATCATTTTTTCTTAAATATGAGCCATAACTATAAATAAGGAGTGATTTCCATATGTCTCTGAAAGAGAAATTTCAGAGAACCTTTTGGGTTGAATAAATTCCAGACAAAAAATTGATCTGTTTCACCTACCTACAACTTAAATGAAGAACATATGTAAACAAGTAACACTGAAAAGATTGCTTTTTATAATTCATTAGTGATTGGCATGTTACTAAAGGTAAAATAGAAAAAAAGATAATCTCATCAGTTTTAGTCAACTACACCCAAGTATATCTATTGAATACTTTTAAAATATTGAAAACATATAGGAAATCCTAAAGTTGTTGAAATTGACACCTAATCTTTTAAAAGTATTTATTTTCCATTTTCAGAATAGCATTCTTGAGTATAATTTAAAAAGAGTGCTGGAACTTGAATCCCCAACAGGGGGGACTGGAACATTTACAGATTAAAAGCATTTTAAAATTCCTGTGTGGCACACTCTACTTTCATAGGATGTGGAGAGGGGAAAAAAATGCTCAATATGCAGTGAATGATTAAAGGGAAGTTAAAATCTAATAGATCTCTTACTTACTTTTAAAAATTTTCAAACTTGACTGAGGCTACATTAAACTATACTCCCCTACCAACTGCTAGTCAAGGATCTATCTAAAAAATATGACTGCATGTCCAGGGATGTGTGGTGGCTCATGCCTGTAATCCTAGAACTTTGGGAGGCCGAGGCAGGAGGATCGTTTGAGCCCAGAGTTCAAGACCAGCCTGAGCAACATAGTAAGACACCTGCCTATAAGTAAATAAATAAACATATATATATATATATATATATATATATATATATATATATGGCTGTGAAAAGTACCTTACCCCAAATCCTTAACTTTAATTGAAAAGATATATTGTTTATATTCATATGATAAAAAAATTGCATTGTTTCTCAAATATGTTATCAAGTTCTATCGTTAAAATTTTTAATTGGCTTGGGGGCATACAACTCACCTTCAATGGATATAATTTTATTTGTTAAATATAATGCCAAGCATATCATTTAAATCTCTTAAACTGAATGCTTACCTTTAACACTTAAGATTTAAAAATTTTCTCTAAAAATATTTGCATTTTAAAATAAAATTTGTAAAAAAAAATCCTATTTTAGCAGGCTTGATTATATCAACTGGTAAAACTTTATTTTACAAGCAATAGGAATTGGATCAAATGATTATTATAACCCAGAGGAAGTATTTTGTAACCACAGCAAATGCCATTATACATACTGCCAATACAGATTTAATAGACAATACTGAACTGTACAAGAGTTATTTATTTTTCCTTAATCTCAAAGCTATTTTTAGTAATACAAAAAAGCCATATTAACATTTTTTTCCGTTAGAAAACATGATGTACAAAACTTTGGATGAAAAGATACGTCAAATTTCATTTAATCACTTGGAGGAAAATCCACCAACTCCATCAATACCACCCAAAGTGTTTTAGGCAGTGAATAAAATCAAAATAATGCATCTTAATAAATTCCAGCTGTTAAAAGAACAAACTTAGCAATATATAACAGTTTGCTAACAGGATTTTTGACTATTCACTTTGGGAGTTATTTTTAAAAATCCACTTTTTTACTGAGTCTTACTACATACCAGGCACTGTACTTGGCCATCTAGGTAACTAAGAAAACGTTGGTTAAGATAGGAAAGACCCATAAATCAGTCCTTTGGTTACCAAATTCAATTTTTAACTTTCAAACATCCTCCAAGATCAAGAAACCCTAACTAAAAATACATACCCTTCTAAGTGTTATTTGATTTTATTAGTAGCAAGGGTGTTTGGTAAGGTCATGAACCACTATTTTTGATCCATTATTCCAATTAAGAATGCGTGTCAAAACCTAATTTGTTATTTTTCTAATGAGTTTAAGATTTGGCATTCAGTTGTTACACATGTGGTTCAATGATTTATCATGAACCCTAAACTGCACACTGCTCAAAAACAGCAAAACAGATGTGCATTAAATGAAATAATGTTTTTGATACATATCTTAAATTTCAATCAGTTTAGGGTCCTTTGAAGGAAAAGATATCCAGTTATCGGGTGGCAAAGAGCAGAGGAGGTAAACTAGTAAAGATTATTAAGATTCAGTGAAGTATTATTGTCTGTCTTATCCTTTGAGTAACAAGATGCTAACACACTTTCAAAAAAAAAAAAAAAAAAGGATGCTTAAAACTATGCTAAAGGCCCATGAACTGACATCATCCATTCAACACCATTACTTTGTTACATAAACCTGTTTTCTTAAGGTAGAACATATTATGCAATAATTTGGAAATTAGCCAAGCACTAAGCAATTACAATAGCAGGTAATACACCATCAATTTTTGAAACACATTTGGTCACATTTCATGACCCATCTGCAGTATGGATTCTATAGACTCTCACTCAGTTTAAAATTTGTTTCTGGACCTGAATGACAAGAGAATGGCTTTATGAAATTTTCTCATAAGACATTTAAATAGTCTTAGGTTCACACCCCTTTTGTTGTAAATGATTTAATCTGACATGCTATATAGCTACAATAAAAATAATTATGTTCAATTCTTAAATGAAAACTAAATGCCAATAAATGGTAACAGATTTGACATGGAAATGTTGTAAGATCTTCCTCTACGTAATCTGACACTGCGGATTATGAATTTCAGAGCTTGAAAACTTCAGATTAAGAACCACAATAAAATTTACTCCTGATGGCATGCAAGATCTTCCTAAAAATTAACCTAAGACCTAGAAGTCTCAGTATTATTAGAACATAAAAAAACACAACAAATTTGTACATTTTATTCACATTTATTTTTCGCTTTTAGTGTGCTCACAGAAAATTAGAACACCTTAAGCAGGAGTTTAATAGCAATTTTTGTAAGCAAAGTTACATTCCATCTCTAAGTCAAATTGGTCAAAGCTTCTCCAGTATTTACAAAACATGATAGACAAGATGCTACACAAAACCATTGCATCTGAAGATTTTTTTTCCTTTATTCTCAAAGACGACTGGAAAAGAAAGCATTATCTGCTGTAATCAAAAACATACCACAGTATAAACAGTAACCATTCCACTTATCACAGCTTGGTTGAGTTTAAAATTTGTGTTTTAAAAGGTCCAAGATGACTGCAGTTTTACAAAAATGGGCAGGGTGGAAAGTTGCAAACTTCATGTGCTTCTGGATATCAAGATTTGTTTTTATACAATAGTCACAGTTAAAAACACCCTGCTGGTAATACATAATTACACTTTATTAAGGTCATAAACCAGCAATAAACAATAAAGCCTATACAACTTGTAGTTCTACTTAATCACTGACTGGTACAGCTAACATGAGATAAGTGAAAAGTTCCTATGGTTTAAATGAACTCCTAAGACTATGATCGTTTTTTTTTTTTTAAATCTGGGTATTGGTGTTTTTTCTTTTTTCCTCTTTCCTTCTTAACTCAAGACTTGTAGTGTTGTAAACCTGCCTCACAAAATACATGGTAATAACTTTTCTTTTAAAAAAAAAAAAAAGACAGCCTTTACACCATTTCTAGTGGCACACTATTTTGGCAATGTTATGCACCACTTCAATTTCCCCATTGTGACCCCATCACTTCATTTGATATCCCTTTTTGACCCACCCATCTCCTTCATATATGGGCATGTCCATAGATTGACAAAGAAAGTTTACACTTTTGAATAAAGATGCAAAGTATGCAAAAACATTAATACTGATGCGAAAAAATAAAAAATAAAAGAGAAACAAGGCAGAGGAAGAAGGTGTTTAAGCTCTCCTCGACCTGTTGGAATGGTGGTTAACAGAATGATTTGAGATGGGATCTGTGGGGAGGGGAGAAAAAAAAAAAACAACAAAATTTGGTGCTTAAAAAAAAGTAAAATAAAAAAAGACATCTTTAAAATCAATCCCTGGTTGTAGACAAGTTCTCCAAAACCAGTACCTGGCACCACTCCAACAAACAAACGGGGGAGAAAAGTTCTTCGATTATCTCACAAAAGCTTGCTCTTTTACTCTGCCGCCTCCGCTGGGGGGGCTTCTGGACTGCACTCGGGCTGGGCCTCCTGTGAGGGGGCTGCGCAGGCTGACGAGGCTGCGGCGGCCGCGGGCTCCTCCGCGGGGGCTGCCTCCTGCTCCGGGGGCGCGCCGGGCCCGGCGGCGGAGGGGGCCTCGCAGGCGGCGGCGCTGGCCCCGGCCTCCTCGGCCTTTTTCTCCTCCACCTTGCTGGGCTCCTCGGCGGCCTTGGTCTCGTCGCTGGCGGGCGGCTTCTCTGGCGCGACAGCGGCCTCCTGGGGCTTGGCCTCCTGCGGGTCGCCACCCGCCGCCCCCTCCTCGCCCGCTGCCGCCTCCTCGCCCGGCGCCGCTGCCTGCTCCCCGGAGGCCGCGCCCGCCTCGGCGGCGGCCGCAGCTGCGCCCCCGGCGGCCTCGTCCTTGCCGCCTTCGGCAGCGGGCGCCTCAGCCTCACCGCCTTCTCCAGCCTCCTTCTTGTTCTTCTTGAAGGAGAAGCCGCTCAGCTTGAAAGACTTCTTGAAGGAAAAGCGCTTCTTTTTTTTTTTCGGGGTCTCGTTGCTGGGCGAGGGCGTGGCCCCGTCCTCGGCCTTGGGCGAAGAAGTCGAGGAGGCGGCCGACGCGGCCTCTCCCTCCGCGGCCGTGGGCGAGCCGGGCTCGGCAGCCTCGCCTTCCGCGGGGGCCTCCTTCTCTACCGGGCTGGCCCCGGCCTCGGGGGCAGCGGCGGCGGCCGGCTCACCTTTCTCGGCCGCGGAGGGCGACGCCGCCCCGCTCCCGGCGGCCGCGGGCTCCTCCTTGTCGGCGGCCGGGGCGCTGCCGTTGGCCTGCAGCTCCTCCTTGGCGCCCGACTCGGCGGCCGCGGGCGAAGCGTCGCCGTTTACCTTCACGTGGCCATTCTCCTAAGGGGCAGAGAAAGCGGGAGCGTCACTGAAGCGGCCGGGGCGCCGCCATTCCCGCCCCCAGCCCTGGACCGGGAGTGCCCCGCTTCCCCCTAAGGCCCCTGTGGCCATCGAGACCCCACCCCCGCCGTTGTGGGGAGGGAGGCGCGGGTGGATGCCCAGAAGAGAGCCCCACGAACGAGGAAATGGGCACCGCTGCCTGGAGACCCCCCGAAAACACAACTGTAGCCCCCAAGTACGGCAATGGCCTCCCAGCCATTCAGCAAGTGCCCTAAAGACGAAGTCCGAAACGTAGCAAGCAAAGGCTAACCATGCCAGCCCTCGCTTTATCGGGGGCTTGGGGGAAAAAAGGTGCCAGGGACTAGTTGACACAGCAAACGCCCTTTGGAAGAAGGCACAGAGCCAGAGCTGGTGGTTCGCGCCTACGTTTCACATCCCTCTTTCGCCCTAAATACATAAAGGCCTCTTCAAAATACCAGGAATTCCCAGGGGGATCACAGCACTCGAGCCAGGAGCGCCCGCGCGGGGCCCTCCGAGCTCCTGCGCCCACCCAGGCCTTTGGCACCGGCAGGGGGCGCTGTGCCTCCACCGCGCCGCGTTGGGCGCAGGCAGGCGAGGAGGGGCGGAGTCGCCGGGCCACCCCGCCCTGCCCAGCCGGGCCCTGCCCGCAGGCCGAGGCGCCCCCGAGCCCGGATCGCGCAGCCCAACAGTCCGCAAACAAAGCTCAGGTGGTTTCCTGGCCTGCCGGTCGGGCTGAAACCAACAAGGCAGGGGGAAACCCATTATTTCTGAGGTCTCGCCTCTGCTTCCACGCCCACCTTCCCCTGCGATTCTGCGAAGCCTGGGCGCGCCTCGGCGGCTCATTTTGCATTTTTAACGGGTTTAAAGCCTCTTGGCAGACCTCGCTTTCCCCAGTAGGTTAGAGCAGGCGAAGCGACACGATCTCTTCTCTAGGAAAAGAGGCGTGGTGGGTGCCCAGTGTTTGCGAAGCAGCCACCCATGGCCGACCTCTCGGGTCCACCCAATCGTGGCTATCTGCCTGGGTCCGGGCAGCGCCGGGCGGCCCCTCGCGGGTGGTCGAGGCGCCACGCACAAGAACAATCCCGACCGAAAGGCACGAACCGCCTCTTTTTGACCATCTGGAAAGGTTCTTAAAGGACCCACCGAGTGTTCCCACCCCACAGATACCATTTAAAAATCAAATGGATGTGTAATTCCACAGACAGCTACGAATAAAGATTTAGGACAGTGGGAAAGCCTCATCAAAAGGTACCGAAGCCCTCTGTCTGGCCCCAGCCAGCCACCTTTCCAAGAACCCAGGGCACGCCGCCGCGGCATACAATAAGACAGCCTTTCCCTCCTCGCCTTTCTCCACCACCATCCCCATTGCGCCCCCCTTTCCCGACTCCCCCCCCCGCCACACACAATCACACCACCAGTTCAGAAATCTCGAAGACAATCCAGCTTCGACAACAAACCCGAGAGACACCCAAACACCATTGTGCCCCCAAACACAAATGAAACCTGGCTGGGGGCGGGGGAAGGAGGGCACCTAGCTAGTCACGTTCTGCCAATCTCCAAACCACGCCATTTTAGACGATTTATCACTCCTTTCCTCCCGTCTACTCAAGAATTCTCCAGGATTCTAAGGAACCACTCCTTTGGTGTGGGGGGACCCCGGCTATGAAAAATCCACAATTTAGGCTATCCATTTCCATTCAACTTTCAGACTAGAATCCAGCCACACTCCTCTCCACGAATGAGCCTTGGGAGCCACCAGGAGGGAAGGAGAGAAAGACACGAAATAAATGACCACAACCACAGGTAGAATTTACCTGTCCGTTCGCTTTGGAAGGCGACGAGGCCACAGCCGCCTCCCCAGGCCTCTCCGCGGCGGCTTCTCCCTTCGCTGCGGTCTTGGAGAACTGGGCACCCATGCTGGCTTCTTCAACAAAGAAACTCAACAGATCCAAGAGGGGAAACAAAGAGCCTCGGGTTGGTGTAACGACGGGGCGAGCAGCAGCAGCAGCGGCGGCGGCAACAGCGGCAGCGGCACACACACCGGAGGGAGGGGGGTGGGGGTGGTGGAGAGGACAGAACAGAACCGATTAAATACACTCCGGATAAAAAAATTTTAGTCGAAGAGATCAAAAAGCAGCAGCACAGGAGGGAGGGAAAAAGGGTGGAAAAGTCGAGCACAAAAAAAGGAGCCCAAGTGTAGTTCGAAAAAAAAAGAAGTAATAAAAAAATCCCAGATTTGTAGCCGCACTGTAGACAAGAGGAAAATGGAGAAATCTCCCTGGTTGCTAATAAGATGCGGGGTCCAACGCCCAAGTGCACAGATGAATGGGCTCGCGGGCGCTGACGCGGCCCCCGCGCGCGTCGGCCAATCCGCGCGCCGCACACAAAGCAGGGGGCGGGGTCTGCGCGCCTGGCGAACAATGGAGCCGCGCTTTGCAAACGGTTTGAAAATCAGCCTCAGACCGAGAATTAATGTCCTCCAAATAAATAAATCAATTAAAAAATACATGGCACTCGTCTCTCTCTGCTTGAAAATAATAATGCATTTCTTGATTGGCTTGCTTTGTTTGGAATTAATTAACACGGGAGGGGGGTACTTGTGCATCGGGGCGGAGAAAGCGTTAACTTGACTCGCATTGACTCTCGTCGGTCTATATCCGTGTGTCTCTCTCTCTCCACTCGCTCCCCTCCCCCATCTTTCCGTGTGTTTATGTGTATGTGTGTGTATGCGAGTGTTAAAGACAATGGTTGCGATTTGTGTGTTTGCAGCATGTTTTCTTTCTTTTTTCCATATTGGTTTTACAGATAATGCTCAGGGTTTGTTTTTTGAACTGCTGCAATGGTTAAATCGTCCCAAATTGAAAGGTATTTAAACCACGAAGATCGAATTTCATCAAGCGAGATCGCAAGTTAGAATTAGGTCTGTAGGCCAGATGTGGAAAATGCAAAAGCGGCAAACAGCGAAGCCACACTCCCTTCCCTCTCCCACATTGGCATGAAATAAAATATTTTGAGATTGGCCTTGGGCGCTCAACAAATTCCCCCTTCTCTGGCTATTCCCAATTAGTGATTTTTTTCCCCCACAATTCAAAGTGAGAGCCATTTACAGAAGATCGAAACTCTTCGCGTTTTATCACTGTTTTAAATGACATAATTTTCCTCTATGGTGAAATGAGACACAGCCTCGAGTAGACGAATCCATATTTACAGTTGGGATGTTATTCGCGTCAATATGGATCGTTTTCAGCCTACTGCCAGAATCGAATGGACTCTTTTTGAACGTGTGTGTGAGTGCGCACGCAGGCGAATGTGCTCCTGAAAGGAAGGGAGGCAGCAGCAACGATGACATTCTAAACCGGATTGCAGTTCTAAGGAGAAATGTTCTGTATGTTGAGAGATAGCAAGATCCCTGAGCTCTCCAAGTCTAACTTGGGTTAGAGGAAAACCTTCTATAATGGTACACAGGATACCTCCATCTGTCACTGCACTCCTTGCCACCGAAGTACCAGACGCTTTTTGTGCGTGAGAGACAAGGCACTGACTTAAAGTATGAGGGGTGAGGGGAACCAAGGAAACAGCTTAATAAGCATTTTCTTCCCAAAGTTTTCACTCGTGGCAAAATCAGACCACCTTTTCTCGTTTACATTTGGTGATCTTGCAAGGAATAATCTTTCGCTTATGAAGGTGAGAAGCAGTCGAGGGAATGGTTCATTTCTCCTGGTGCTGGCTCTGAATTCTCAAACAGTTTTATTTTCTGCTCATTGTAGGGAAATAGGTCACACTCTGAGTGAAAAAGACGGTTGGTTCAAGCCAGTAACTCTTTGTTCAAGCGTTGCTTTAAAAATCACCAAGCTGAACATTGTTACGTGAAGCTTCGTCTTCTCACTGTCCAGTTCCTTCAGATGCATTATTCGACCATGGTCATATTCCCCAGAGCTGATGTAAAGACGTTTCCGTAGAAATGCATCTTGCCAGCAAACGTGTTATTACCCTTAAGAGAGCCCGCTGGCCTGGCCCACGACCCCAGCCGCCAGGATGGACGCAAATCCCTTGTATTAGCAGTTCCAACTTGAAAAGCCAACTGGGCTGATCCGACACCACCATCCAGGCGATTCCCAAAAGCCCATTTAAGGCTCTTGATTTCCCCCCACCCCCAACGTGAATCATGCCCCTTCCTCCGCATCCCCCTCCTATTTTAAATTGGGGTGACTGCTAGCTCGCTTTCAGATTTTCTCCCAGACGCGTCCTTAGCCCTCCATTTGGGGGCTGCTTTTATTGCTCCTTTGTTACCAGGCTGCCGTGTAGCTTTCCCCCCTTTTCTTTCTGGTACGCCTATTTGCCTGGTATCGGCTGGTCTCCCTGGCAACGGCCGGGGAAGATTCGGAGCACTGGGCCGGGGAGGGGGAAGAGGCGGAGCCGGCGCTGGGGGGTGACGGTGGGGGAGACGGGGGCTGGGAGTGGTGGAGGGGAGAGGGGCCGAGTGAGAGACTGGGAGACAGACTGCGAAGCAGATGGCCGCGCGAGGGGGCGGGGTGCGGGCGGGGTGCGGGCGGGGCGCGGCGGGGGGACAGTCCCAGCGTCAGGGGCGCAAGGGAGCCAATCAATTCCCGCAGCAGCTCCGGGGCAAAAAAAAAAAAAAAAAAAAAAAAAAGTGTAAACACATAGATTCCCTCCCCACGAGCGGTCTCGGTCTCTAGTTTACAGTAGAAAGATGATTTCTTTTTGATACGCAAGCGCATTCTACGGTAGCTGGAAAGCCGACAGTCCCCAGCAAGTGGCAGGCGGAGGCTCCTTGGGGGCGCTGCCGGCGGCCGCTGAGGGCTGGGCCACCCTTTCCCCAACCTCCCCCAGCGACTAGCGTCGTCCAAGCAAGGGATTTCTTCAGCTTATAGGGAAGGGGGTCCCGGCGGAGGATGGGTGAGGAAGAACGGGCTGGGAAATGGGAAACGGTTGTGGTTCTTCTTGAAAACCTGCATAATGACAGGGAAGGAAGGCCAAGAACGTGGAACTAGTAGGGAAGCAGTACAGTGCAAGTGTGGCTCGCTCCTCAGGAGTTTGGTGTTCTCACACGCAGAGTTAAAGGTTTCAAATAAAGCGCCAAAAGTGTTTATATAAATATGACTAAAGAACCCAAGAGTTCATAGTGAAAATGTAAAACCGGTGTCTGTAACCAAATCAGCAGGAAGAAACGGTCATTTATTTTTTATTTGTACTCCACTTTCACCCTGCCCTAACATATTTGCAAGATAATAATAATCGGTGTATAGGTTTCTTTTTAGAAAAAAAGCAATTTATTTAAGAGACCTGTTATTTTTCTGCAAAATGTTAGCGTTGGAAAGAATTTTAGAGACCATTCCACAAAATCTTGAGGGCCCAGTGTGCCAAACACAATAATCTAGATCTTGTTTTCATATCATTGAACAATATAAACTCAGTCTCTGACCTTCAGGGGCTTCCAATTTAGAAGATCATCTAGTGAAGTTGAACTGGAGCACCTGGCTTCCCCCTCTCAACGATGAAGAAATAGGCACCAGAGCGTTGCCAGATTTCTCAGATGGTAGAGCCACGAATAGAGCTCAGCCCCCTTGATGATTCTGAGTCCTGGCTTTTTCCACCACTGCCAGTGCTGCCATCTTCCCTTGATGGCACAGATTCACTCAGTAGGTCAGTCATTCATTCTTAAAGTATTTATTAAGGTCCTCCTAAGTGCGAGGAAAAAGGCTTTAGACATCAGCTTACACCAGGGACAAATATAGACATGGTCTTTCCTCTCATGCAGCTTACATTTGTATTATTATTTCTTAAAACTTCTTAATATGTGAAGAAAGAAAGAAAAACAAGATTAACTGTGTGCTTAAAAAACAATACAAAAGATGACAGCCACTTTGTAGATTCCAAATTAAATACGCCTTTTTCACCTGGAAGCATTCATGCATTCACAACATATGCAATCCCACTGTGCAGGCAGTGTTCTGCTCCATCCTTCATCTTAGATTTTATGCTACTTGAAATTTAATTCCACAGAAATTGATTAGCTTGCAATGTGGTGGGGAGGAAAACAGACATAGCCCCTCAGTTCACTCGGCAAGCATTTATTGAACTCCTATCATGTAGTAGGCATTTGGGATATGTCAGTGAACAAAACAGACAAGAAGTCTTTATAAAGCATACATTCTTGGGTGGGGAGAAAAGCACAAGTTAAAAAAATGTAAGTCAGCAAATTATATGAAATGTTAGAAGTCTGTAAGTGTTGTGGGAGAGGTGGAGTGGTGGGGGAAACTAAAGCAAAATAAGGGAGATGGGAGTTCAGGGGAGAGTTGAGATGTAATTCCATATAGGCCGGGAAAGGCCTCATTGAGAAGACAAACTTCGAGCAGATTTGAAGAGGTGAGGGAATTAATAATGCAGATGGCTCACTCAAATGCTTCTAGCCTAACAAGAGAGGGGAGAAGCCAGCATTTAACAATGAGATCACAGACTGAAATATAACTTTAAACCGTCACATGTACTTTTAACGAAAATAGGGAGTACATGTGACCATTTGAAGTTCTATTTTGTGCTATAAGATAGTATAATTTCATTAGGAGGGTTAAAGAAGGCCTTTTGAAATAAGTAACATTTAAGTGGGAACCTAAGGGAAGAGTAGGCATTAGTCAGGTAAAGAGGTGAAGAGCTGTGTTCAGATGGAGGAAATAGCAAAGCCCATGAGGAGGAAGAGTTCAGCATGGATTTGGGAGGAAGGTAGAGAGATGAGTTAGAACATATTTTCAGATTCCTGTAAAACGTCTCAGTAGAAGAGTGAAGTTCACAGATGTAAGTCTGAAGTTCAAACTACAGTTTTGAATGTAAATACTGATTTGTGATCATTCCACATGAAAATATTTTTAGAAGCCAAGTCACAGGAAAATGCAAAAGATAAGAGATTACAGAATGATGCCCTGAGTAATTTCTGCTCTCAGAGGATCCGTAGAAAAGGAGCCAAGATGGCAAAGAAGACTGAGAAGGAATTCTCAAAGAGTAGACAGAAAGCCAGGAGAGTGTGGGGTCAGGAAAGTCAATAAAGACAGTGTTTCAAGGAGGAGTAGTGAGTTTTGTCAAATGCTGTTGAGTGTTCAAATGAAATACTGAGATGTTTCCATTGCATGTTGTAGGACAGAAACTACTGGATACAGGCTCCAGAGCAGTTTTTGTAGTATGTTGAGAGTGGAAGCTGGATTTCGTGTGTTGAGGATAAAATGGAAGATGAAGAAGATGATGGCATAGTCACCTCTTTATAAAGCTGGACTCAGTAAAGGTTTAGGGAGACAAGGCAGTAGCTGGAGAGGGCTGGGACGGGTTGAGCATCCCTGATGGGAACATCTGAAATCCAAAATCTGAAATTTTTGAGTGTTAATATGACACCACAAGTGGAAAATTCCACATCTAGCCTCATGTGAGGGGTCATGGTAAAAACACACATACATGACACACAGTTTATTCAGTGTCTCCAAGGAGAAAAAACATCCCCCCAGCCCCTGTCAGCTGCAATATATGTTTTCTTTGCACGTCCAGATTCCCCCATGCAAGCACACCACAAAGGGTACTAAAGTAGTTCAATGTACACAAATTTTTTTCACAATGTACATAAATTTCAATGTACACAAATTTTGTTTCATGCACAATATTATTTAAAATATTGTATGAAATTATATTCAGGCTATGTTTATAAGTATATTTGAAACATAAATAAATGTCGTGTTTAGACTTGGGTTCTCATCCCCAAGATATCTCATTATGTATATGAAAACATTCCAAAATTCAAAAAAATCTGAAATCTGAAACACTTCCGGTCCCAAGAATTTCAGATAAGGAATGCTCAACCCACTTAATGTTTTTTTGGCTTGTGTTATGCTGTCTTGGATGGAAGGCATCAGAGCACATTTAACTGATCTGGAAACTAATACAGTAGAAAGGAAAATGAAGATACAAGAGGAAAAGGAATAAAGAATGGAAAAACATTTCTGAGAAGGCAGGAAGGGATGGGGATATAGGGCACATGCTGAAAAATTGGGTTTTAAAAGACATTCTGCTTTTTAAAATATTCTGTAATGAGAGAACAAGAGGATGGCTATAGATTTGCTGGTGGGAAGATGAGAAAGTTTCCCTCTGATGGTTTCTATTCAGCTAAGAGGAAAGAAGAAAAGGGAGAGTTGCAGTTTGATGACCTTATAGAAGGTGTGGAATAATGACTGGGAGGCATAGGATTGAGACTTTTGGGCATGGTAAGACTTTAGAGCAGTAATGAGGGCCCATTTGAGGTTGATAAATCTCAAGGATGCTTAATCAATATATCAAATATATCTTTCTACATCCTCTTTAATATTACCAGCCATTCACTCTTTTAACCTATGCCCAATTTTGTTATATCTATAAGTCAATATTTGCACAAAAATAGAATATAGATTAAAAGACAGTGCTATTACAAAGCACAATGTCAGTTAATCCTATATTATTTCATACAGATATACATAAAGAGGAGGAGGGAGGGAAGATAACCTACTCTGTACCAGGGACAGCACTGTGTGAGTCCGCTAGGCTTGTGTTTCACCCTTCCAACAGAACCTGAACTTGTATCATTTTCCCATTTTACAGATTTGGAAATTGATGCTCAGGAAGGTTTGGAAAATAAAGTTCAATAGTGTGTTAGCCGTTGTTCATTGAAGTCTATCTGCCATCTAGGAATCCAATAAGAGCTCAAATGGTTGTAATAGGCACAGAACCTTATATGTAGTTGGAGTTTTTTTTTTAAATTAAAAAATAGAGACAGGGTCTCACTATGTTGCCCAGACTGGTCCCGAACTCCTGGGATCAAGTGATTCTCCCACCTTAACCTCTCAAAATGCTGGGATTACAGACATGAGCCACTGCCCCCAGCCTGTAGTAGGAGCTTTATTAGTTTTTAAAATTGATACTAAAACTGCAAGCTTCTTTACTTTTAGACTTTGCTTTAGTGCTCTTTATTAACTATCCAGTAGTACTCAAATAGAAAGATTCTTTCATAATTAGGAAACATCAGAGTCACTGCTTATCTGTCTGAAGAATCAAGAACTAACACATCTACAACAGGAGTGATGTTTCTGGCATGTTAGATCTCCACATGGTCGGAATAGGTGATCACTACAAAACCACTATAAAGAAGAGTGTATTTTTTGGTTATTGCTATTCAGGCACACCAATTGAAATAACCATACATATATATATATACACACACACACATGCACATGTATATACATATATGTATACACACACATATATACATATATACACACATACACATATATATATACATATACACACATACACATATATATATACATATACAAACACACACACACACTCAGATATATATATATTCTTTTTTTTTTTGAGACAGGGTCTTGCTCTGTTGCCCAGGCTGATCTAACTCCTGGGCCCAAATGATCCTCTCACCCCCTCCCCAGCCTCCCCAGTAGCTGGAACTATAGGCATATACCACCATGTCTGGCTAATTTTTGTATTTGTTGTAGAAACAGGGTCTCCCTATGTTACCCAGACTGGTCTCTAACTCCTGGGCTCAAGCAAATCTTTCATCTCAGCTTCCCAAAGTGCTGGGATTACAGATGTGAGCCATTATGCCTGGCCAAGATTTTTTAATATTTGAAAGAGTAATCAAAAAGTAGGACTTAATATTAGAGACAAATAAACAAAAAGTAGGAAAATCTTTAAAGAAAAAGTTTTCTCCAGAAATTTTGAATCAAAGCTTAACCATAGTAGCATTTCTCAAAATTTGCAATATTTATCCTCCAGGGACAGGCTGAAAACTTTCCATATAAGCTTTTGGAAGAATGGAATGAAGGTGGAAGATTGGGGAGGGCACGGGGATAATTCCCTTTCCAACTTTGTTCTCAGAGATAAGAGGCAAGTAAATAAAGAAAAGCAATCAAAGTTTTCATTAAAAGGATCAGGCGATCAGGTTCCTGGTCTTATAGAGTTACCTAGTCACTTTTCTCATTGTTCTTAACTGGCGGACCAGAAGTGGAGGTAAAACATTCACATAGAAAAAGTTGAATCTTCAGCATGATGAGTATAGGGACCATACAAGGGGCAATTTTTCATTGCTTCCTTAGTCATAAATACTTTCTGATATTAAAAAGGAGACTTAAACAGTGGCTGAAATGAGCTATTTGAACTAATCTATGGTTCTAGAAATTAAAGCATAAAATCAAACACTTATCTTTATTCCAAATAACAATGCACTTTTAGAAAAAGATGTATTAAACTCTTAGAAATAACTTGTTGCAATCAATAAATAGAAAGTTTTTATTAAGCTACTGCTAAAGTAGAACTTTAGTAAGGGCCCCTCCAGTCTGACGGACTTTTCAGTGCCTTCAACACTCTATTAGGTTTTGTGATGAGATGACTGGGAAGGATTTCATTTGCTCAGCAGATATTTATTAAGTACCTACTTTATACCAGGCACTGGCATACAGTGATTTGCCTCCATTACATATTTGAATCCCTACAGTAATCTTATAAAATAGAAACCATTACTCCCATTTTCTTTGTAAATCAAATCCCTGAGGCATAACATAACATGCTCAAGTTTATGCTGCTCATGAGAGTGGTCTGGACTGGGTTCTCAGTCCAGCTCTTGATAATTCCAAAGCTGTGACGCTGTTTCCCTGACTATATCATACTGCCTCAGATAAAGTTAAGAATTTTATGGGATGTTTCTAGTTTTTGTGAAGGTTACAAAAATGATCAAGATACACTAAAAATTGTCTGAAATATATTAAATATTAAACTTTATCTGTTGTAAGAGAAGTATTTAGGGCTACATCTGCAAGGTGGGAATTAGCATTCAAAGAAACACACACACACACAAACAGAATCTGACAGGTCAGATTCTTGAATCTGGAAACATCCTTAGTAACTTTATCCAGAATATTGTCATCACAAAACATATTTTTGGACAACTGAATAAAAACATAAATGGTTAAGTTGTGCCAAAAACTTACCTCTACCTTTCCTGGGGCAAAAGTGTGAGTGTTGCTTAGAGCAGAGTGAAGCTTTTTGGAATGTAGGTAAAGTAGGGTGTAGAGAAAGGGAGAGAATGTTACAGTTGGAAAGAGAATCCAGATGTGAGATGTGGCTGAGAGATGAGATCAGAGATAAGAAGGTACAGCCCTTCACAGTGCCACTGTGAGAAAACTGTAAGGATTCCTGGGATGGAGGGGACTCATGGCTGAGAATGTAGGGAGTGATGAAAATGTGACATTCTTCCATTAAGGCTACAGTTGGAATTTGATTTACATTTTGATTGTAGGTGTAAATACTTGACAGTTTTAAAATTTCAATCACTATTGTATATATTATTTCATTTAATAGCCACAGTAAATTCAGAGATCAATTAGATCAATTAGGTGAATTCCCAGTTATAAGGCTGTTAAATAATTTGCTTAAAATCCCAACTACAGGCCGGGCTCGGTGACTCACGCCTGTAGTCCCAGCACTTTGGGAGGCCGAGGCAGGCAGATCATGAGGTAAGGAGTTTGAGACCAGCCTGACCAACATGGTGAAACTCTGTCTGTACTAAAAATAAAAAAATTAGCCAGGTGTGGTGGCACGCGCCTATAATCCCAGCTATTCAGGAGGCTGAGGCAGGAGAATCGCTTGAACCTCGGAGGCGGAGGTTGCAATGAGCGGAGATCACGCCACTGCGCTCCAGCCTGGGCAACAGAGAGAGACCTCATCTAAAAACAAAAAAATTCCCAATCTCAACTGTAGCTACCCAGACCAGCCAGTATCTTGTGGTCTGCTGGGACAGACAGGGACTTTGTCACTGCCCTATGCTGAGGTCTCTGTCTCTTTTACATGTCTTCCACTCCCCTTCCTCTCCAGTGTGTGTGCGCGTGTGTATTTTTTTTAGATGGCTTTTTGCTATGTTGCCTAGCTGGAGTGCAGTGGCTATTCACAGGCCTAATCATAGCTCGCTGCAGCCTCAAACTCCGGGGCTCAAGCTACTCATCTTCTTGAGTAGCTGAGTCAACAGGCATGCATCACCACACTCATCTCGTCTCCAATATTGAGGAAAAGATACTTAAGGCAAGTTTTCAATTGACTTTGGATTTTTTCTCATTGCTTTAAATATTGCTTTTATGCCAATGACACAACAATCAGAATTTCCTATCCTAATGGCTAACTGAAATTCCAGCTCTGTATTTTCCATTGTCTCCGTACTGATCTGGTAATTGCTGCTCGTATATTTCTCACCACTTTCTTAAAGTCAGGTTATTGTTTTCCCATCTAAACCAGCTCATCTTCTGAGTGATCTAGTGTACCATGTCTTACACTTTCCACTCAAGATACTTTACAATGAGTCCAAAATGTCTCCAGGAAAGCTAATGATTTCCTTCCCTTCCTTTCCTTCCCTTCCTTCTCTTCCTTTCTCCCCTGATGATTTCTTCAGCTTTCTTGGAGACATTTTAGACTCATTTCTCTCCATTTTTCAGGCTAAGAATAGAACCAGATATAAGGCCTCCTTAGGTTTCAGTATGGTTAAACACTCCACTACCAATTAGAATGTAAAACAAAAAATAAAATAAAACAAACCCTGAAGTTTTTGCCCATTTGTTTAGTTTATAAACCTCTTTTCACCTCCATTATCTTTCACGTCTCAGGCACATATTACATTATGTTGCTTTTTTCTCTAAAATTCCTATTGATTAGACTTTACTAAATATAAAAATAATTGAGTATCAAGGAGAAGACTGGAATTCTCACTGTATAATTTGTTATCAGCTCAGAACACCTCATGGATTATCCTTGTCAAGTTGTGTTGATTTATTTTCCTTTCAAACATCTCTGGTATTTTCTCCCTTCCAAGGACTAAAACTCAAGTCAATGTTCTTGATATTTTCTGCCTGAATTACCTACTAGGTCATCATTCCCCTCTCCAGGGCATTCAATGCCACAAATATCTCTCTTGTCACATCTCTGATCAAAAATTGGCTTCTAGTTGCCTGGGATCTAACCCTCCCTGCCTGACTTCCAAGGCTGTTTATAATCTGTCACCATAATCTCTAGACAGAGGACCAGTTTGGATCACTGAATGATGATTTATTAAACTCTTCCTTATAATTGTTTTAATTTGCCTCCCAATAAAGAACTAGTAGTTACAAGTTTTTAATATAGACCCAATAAATATACTTTATAGAGAAAAGACTGAAGAATTCCAAGATATTTTATAATTTAAAAAAATTTAGGAAGCCAGTTTTTCACCAGTGTCTCTCCCTCTCTCCTTTCTTCCCTAAAAACTAAGCAGATTTCAAGGAGGTTATCAACTGATCTCCCTTTTTACTGAGAAGAGAGCCTTGTCTTTGAACTTCTCAGGGTCCTGTCACAGTCTTTTATGTTTGTCTGACTCAACCACAGCAACAGTTGCATCAGTAGGGGCAAAATGTCCTCCTAAGAAGCAGAGAAGAGAAAATGACAATTGATAAATAATAGATATTTCCTCCTGATTATGTTGACAAGACCAGTTTTCCTTCTTGATCAAAATACTTTTTTTCATGTCCTTAACATTTTATTTTCTAACACTAACACTTAATTTCTTTATCTCCTGCTTTTTCCTACTGTAACTTTTTTTTTTTTTTGAGAAGGAGTCTTGTCTCAGTCACCCACGCTGGAGTGCAGCAGCGCAATCTTGGCTCACTGCAACCTCTGCCTCCCAGGCTCAAGTGATTCTTCTGTCTCAGCCTCCCGAGTAGCTGAGATTACAGGCATGCACCACCACGCCTGGCTAATTTTTGTATTTTTAGTAGAGACAGGGCTTCACCATGTTGGCCAGGCTGGTCTCAAACTCCTGACCTCAGGTGATCCTCCCACCCCGACCTTCCAAAGTGCTAGGATTACAGACGTGAGCCACTGTGCCCAGCCTCTACTGTGGCTTTAAATGTCCTGAATACTTAAACTATAGAATGGCCATTAATTGAATAAAATGGGTAGTAATTTTCCCTGCATCTACTTTTATATTCTTTTCACCAAATGACCAATAAAAAAAATTTTTTTTTACAACTTTTCATTTAAAAAATCCGTATTATTGTAATTGTGGTGTTTTGAAAATATTCAATAACAAGCAGGATAAAGAACTATTATAGTCTAGGCATCATCACTACTTTTTGAAAATAATTTGATTTTCATTTTAACTTCATTTTATTAATACAATCAAAAGATTCATTCAATTTACTGGGGGAGAATTGTAAAAAAATTTATTGGATATCAAGTAGGCAAATATCTAGTTAAATTGTTTGGTCCATATCTTTTTATTTAATGCTTTATTAAAAACTTTTAAAATTCTTAATGAGCTCCTCAGGACTATTTCATGAAACATATTAAAATGCAGCTTATGTCATTTTATACATAAATACATATATATATAATTCCTTATCACAGTGTATATATATGTGTATATATATATATATGCATGAACATGGCAAGAATATAAAGTTGAGAATGTTGATTTCCATTGTCATTGTATCAGAACTCATGGGAACAAGCAACTATCCTTTGTAATTATCACTTTATCAGAACACCCATCAGACCCATGCCAATCTCCAAATCAATTTAGGGGGGCATTCCTCTTTGGGACTGGCCCCAGAAGCCATATAAGAAACTGTTTCAATACTTTATGATTATATTTTATGACCACTTTTCTTACTGGAAACTGTGTTACCCACTTTGATCACTCTTTAATAATACTAACACCGCCCAGGTGCATTAAACATTTCAGTGTTCAAACAGCTTTCAAAATACAATTTTATTCACTGTGCTTTTGGCTGTTGCTAAAATAATATGGTACTTGTCTTTGGGGAATTTGCTCCCCTGGGGTGAAGGAGCTACACTGTAGTAGGACTACACTATGTGAAGACATGGGTTCAATTTCAGGTTCAAACATCTGGTGGCTACGTTGTGAACTAATGCAGTTGACTTCGGTTCTCTAAGCTCAAGTTTCTTCCTTTGTAAAATGTAGATAAAAGTTTCCATCTTAAAGAAAGAGTTCTAGTTCTAAGATTTAATAGAGATATCTAAAGGTAAGGTATGGTGATGTTGTTGTTTTAGGTGTTCTTTTAAAAAAAAATTATTTATTTATTTTTGAGACAGAGTCTTGCTCTGTCGCCCAGGCTGGAGTGCAGTGGGGAGATCTCACTGTAACCTCCGCTTCCCAGGTTCAAGTGATTCTTCTGCCTCAGCCTCCCAAGTAGCTGGGATTACAGGCGACACCACCATACCTGGCTAATTTTGTATTTTTTTTTTTTTTTTTTTTTAGTAGAGATGGGTTTTTGCCATGTTGGCCAGGCTGGTCTTAAACTCTTGGCCTCAAGTAATCTGCCAGCCTTGGCTTCCCAATGTGCTGGGATTACAGGCATGAGCCACTGCTTTAAGCGTTCTTTGTAAGAAGTTTTCTGGTGCGATTTGGATGAAAATGGGCAGAAGCTGTAATGAAAGTTTTGAGCTTTAGTAACCCCAGGCCCCCGCAATTAGCGGGTCCTCAATAAAAGCTGGTTTGCCTTTCTATCTTATCATCCGGGAATAAGATGGGTTTGGTGAAACCCTCTGACTAGATTTGGAAGCGAAAGGAAAATAAGAAAAACCTGTAACAGCAGAGCTGTAATAAATTACTCACTTGTAAAGTAAGCATTTGCAATGAACCCATTTTTTGACTCCTCCCTTGGGAAGAATTCCCAAAGGAATTCTGAGACACTGACCAGGGATTACTGAAGGCGCTAGACGGCCTGTAGAATTGGTGATTCCAAGTTGTCCTTTCTTTCCAGTAAGCCAGCCTCTCTCTTGAGGGAGGTGGGATTATAGTTCTTAATTAATGTCAATTTTAATTAACGTTTAGACTTTTACGTGATTAAGCAAATGCTGTGTCCCCACATTTTGCATTTCTTAAGCTATCTTTTCTTAGTCCCTGCTTTTCCTCAAATATTTTACAAGCCAGAGCTGTTTAATGTAATTGGACATTTCATCTGCACTTAGCTAGGAGAGCCAGCCTTGCTGTTTATCTGGGGGTAAGCAGCACTTTGAAAAAATTTACATTAGATTAAAAAAAAAAATCTCATCCAGCCTGGTGCAGTGGCTCATGCCTGTAATCCCAGCACTTTGGGAGGCCGAGGCAGGAGGGTCACTTGAGGTCGTGAGTTTGAGACCAGTCTGACCAACATGGCGAAACTCTGTCTCTACTAAAAATACAAAAATTATCCAGGCATGGTGGCGCATGCCTGTAATCCCAGCTACTTGGGGGGCTGAAACACAAAAATCGCTTGCAGAGGTTGCAGTGAGCCGAGATTGCACCACTGCACACCAGCCTGGGCAACAGAGTCAGACTCTATTTTAAAACAACAACAACAACAACAACAAAACAAAAGAAACCTCATCCTTCTCACAGAAAGTCTAGATAGATAAATGAGCTTTCTTCGGGTTCTCTTGTTCTCTCTCTTTTTTTTCTTAAGTGCTAATTACCAATCTTGTTAGCAGTAGCATATTAATAATTTATTTACACCCTGAATTTCTTTGGGCAATATTTTGTTAATACCTATGCAAATTTTATTTTTGTAGGCTTGCTTTTCTCCCAATTTTGAAAAAAAATTGTTGAAAAGAGATAATTTACAGCAATTATAATTCTCATAATAGTTATTATCCTCATTGGTATTAAAAGATATGAAACATCAATATACTGGGAGGCAGTGCTCTGTTAGGAGCAGCAGTTAATAATTTTGGAATCAAATAAATAGCTTTGAATTTAGGCTTTACTATTTCCTGGCTTTGTGACTTGGGGTTAGGTACCTAATCTTCTTCCTCATCTGAGAAATGGGGGTAATAGGAGCATTGCCTTCCAGAACTGTTTGAGACTTTTCCTAAGGACCTGAATATAGGAAGTTCTCATTAAATGATAACAAATCTGAGTCCAGACCATACAAGGGTAAGGGTGGGGGTAGGAATATCAAATTGATTTGTGGAAGATCAACTGTTCATATATTGGTAAAAACAATGTTTTACAGCAACTTCATAACTTCCAAAGCATTTTTGGATCCATTGTTTTACTTAATCTTTATAATAAATGGCAGGTGAGAATTAGTTTCATTTGAATGATGAAATAGATACCAAGGCCTGGAAATTTTTCTCTAGATTATACTGCAGATAAGTTGCAGAAAGTGATTTCAGATGCCTGATAACTGCATTTAAAAGAACCCTCAAGAATCTTAGAACTTCATAGATCAGTCATCAAATTTGAATGGAATTCTCATTATGTGGTCACCAGTATCATGTGTTTCAAGGTTGATGTCCTGCCCAGTGCATGGCTGCACCGCATCATTTTGACACAGCATCTTTTCCACAGTGGTAGGTCCTCTGGAGGCATTCAGTCCTCTGGGAAAAATTATGGACTTTTAGATCATGCTTATATTAAAAAGCCAGCTTTAAAAGTTGGCTTCGTGTATATTTAAAAGGGGTACAGAAAAAAACTTTGATAAAATTTTTAGTACCTTTGTAGCTGAGCTTTATAAAAGCTATAGTTATTTACATAAATACAAAAATTAAGGAGGCAAAATGAACATGTAACAAAAGAAAGTTCTGGACTTTGTAATTCTGCTGTTTTTTATATTACCAAGTAGTTCTGGATAAGGCAGGAACAACATTAATAGTACAGTTTGCTAACTCCTATTTTTTCCATTAAAAATTTTAATGAGAAAAAAATGCATTCTTGTAACGTTTTCAAATAGAACAGGAGTATATAAAATAACTGAAGTAAATTCCTTTTCATTGATCCTTTTTAAGAATTCTACCTCCTGTTAGCAAGTTGTAGTGTATTTTTTCAGGCTTTATTTTATTCCCATGCTTGCTCATGCACAGATATATACATGAGTTTTACAAATGGGATGAATGACATTATTGTATGCAATCTAGATGCAATCTATCTAGATTGCTTTCTGACTTCTTTTTTGCACTTTATATCTTGAAGAATTTCCCTAGGAGTATATATAAAACAACCTAATTCTTTTAAACAGCCATATAGTGTTTCATTGTTCATATGGAAATATTAAAACTTACTTAGTCATTTCTTTCATTGATGAATGTTCAGGTTGTTTAAAATTTTTCTCTATTCTATCATTAATATTCATATATATATTTGTCCACATGTGTAAGTATTTTTGTAGAATGGATTGTTAGAAGTAACATTGTTCCATCAAAGGGCATAATCTTTAACATATTGATGAATGTTGCCACACTGACCCACAGAAATGCTATGGTTGTTTATATTCAGATGCATAGTGATGAAAATGCCCTTTTCCTTATACCCTTACCAAAACTACATACTATCAATTGTTCAATTTTCTTTAATCGGTGGGAAATCATGAAAAAATTATTGATCTTTATATTCATTGATCACTTTTTTCTTTTTATTTTGTTCATTTTTATTCTTTTACCTTATTATATTGGATTGTCTTTTCATTATTTAATTGAAGGAACTCTTCAGTTTTTACATATTATAGCAGTTAATCCCTTTCTGTTGTATGTTACACCTATCTCCTTTCAGTCTGTTTTGTCTTTTATTAAACATGGTTTATGTGATCTTTTCCTGGGCAGAAAAATTGAAAGCATCATGTAGTTATATCTGTCCGTTGTTTCCTTGTGTTCCTTGTGGCTTCTGAGTTGTTTTTTTTTTCCTCCCCAAGTTCAGGTCAGATGGGTAATGTGACAAGATTGTAGTGCATTTCACAGATGCATGTGAACACCCAATCATCATCGCTCATGAGCTACAAAAGGAGCAGGCTTCTAAGTTTTCTATCTTGTTTAGGAATGATATTTCCTTAAGAGTACATATATATTCGGGTTGGGCGAGGTGGCACATTCCTGTAGTCCCAGCACGTTGGGAGGCCAAGGAGGGAAGATCACTTGAGGTCAGGAGTTAGAGACCAGCCTGGCCAACATGGTGAAACCCCATCACTACTGAAAATACAAAAAATAGCCGGGAGTGGTGGTGCACACCTATAATCCCAGTTACTCGGAAGGTTGAGGTGGGAGGATTGCTTGAACCCGGGGATGCAGAGGTTGCAGTGAGCATAGATTGCACCTGGGTGACAGAGCAAGACTGTCTCCAAAAAAAAAGTACATACATATTCTTATGGTTTCCTCATATTTGTCAAAATTTTTAATCTTATGATTTAATTCAATTGGAATTTATGGCCGGGCGCAGTGGCTCACGCCTATAATCTTAGCACTTTGGAAAATCGAGGCAGGTGGATCACCTGAGGTCAGGAGTTCGAGACCAGCCTGGGGCAACATGGTGATACCCTATCTCTACTAAAAGTAAAAAAATTAGCCAGGCATGCTGGCATGCACCTGTAATCCCAGCTACTCGAGGGGCTGAGACAGGAGAACCGCTTGAACTCCGGAGGCGGAGGATGCAGTGAGCCAAGATTGCACCACTGCACTCTAGCCTGGATGACAGAGCAAGACTCTGTCTCAAAAAAAAATAAAATAAAATAAAATAAAATTGGGAATTTATTTTGCAGTATAGTGTGAGGTAGGAATCTCATTTGATTATTTTTCCCTTATGTTCTACCAGAATTGATTTGAAATTCTTTCATCAGTATGCACTACAGTTCCCATGAAAACATGGGTCTATTGCTGGATTCTCTCTTCTGTTTAGTGAACTATCTTTTTAGTCCTATGCCAATACATTTTTGTTTAATTACTATAATTTTGTAATGTATTTTGATATCTGGCATGGAAAATCATCTTTATTTTTCTTTTGCTTTAAAAGTCAGCATTCTTACTTATTTACTCTTCCAGAAAAAATTAGGATCAGCCTTTCAATTCTAAACATATTTTTTCTCTGAGTACTTGATGCGATTATACTTAGATAATAAATTGGCATACAATTGATATCTTTATAATGTATTTTTTTTTTAGAAAAAACAAGCTTGGCAAGTTTTATTAAAGGAAAATTTTGCATAGTTTACTTTCCACCAGTCTGTTCTGGCATGCTTCTAATGATAGCAGAATCACCTGGATCAGTGAGCGCCAGTGTGCATACTCTGTAGTATTTTCCGCATGCTGTTCCCAGTTCAATATTATTGCCACTGTAGTGATGGACACCAATTTTGGCCAACATTGCATAGTACTCTACTTCTGATTTCCGCAAAGCTGGGCAGTTGTAAGCAAGGATGACCAATTTTGCTGTGCCTTGTCTGATCATCTTTAAAGTCTGCTTGTACCCCAGCATGTACTTTCCACTTTTCATGAGTTGGAGCCGATAATTAATTGACTCCAGTGAATTTTTCATCTCCTTGGTTGGGATGGCCCCAGTCAAGAGCAGCTGCCAAGATGGCTGGGGAGTAAGAAAGGTGATATCTGTATAATATTATATATACAGGTATTCAGGTCTTTTTTTCATCCTTACATATAGGTTTACAGTTGTCTTCATTATATGTTATGCAAATTATTCCTAGATAATCTATAATTTTATCTTCTTCCTGTTGTTTTTAAATGAGTTACCCACATATGTGCCACATGCAGGAGGAGATGGCAGAAATAGTAAGTGATTTGCCTAAGTGCAACTAGTTAATAACAGAATTTAGATTAGAGACCAAGTCTTCTGACTGGGACTCCCCCCACAATAAGGCAGATTCTTTTACCACTGCCCCATTCTTGTTGCTATCTTTCTCTCTCTCTTTTATTTTTTATTTTATTTTATTTTATTTTGAGATAGGGTCTTGCTCTGTCGCCCAGGATGGAGTGCAATAACGCCATCTAAGCTCACTGCAACCTCTGCCTCTGGAGTTCAAGCAATTCTCCTCCCTCAGCCTCCCTAGTAGCTGGGATTCCAGGCACCTGCCACCATACCTGGCTGTTTTTTGCATATTTAGTAGAGACGAGGTTTTACCATGTTGGCCAGGCTGGTCTCGAACTCCTGACCTCAGGAAATCCACTCGCCTTGGCCTCCCAAATTACTGGGATTACAGGCGTGAGCCACCGCGCCTGGCCTCTCTCTCTCTCTTTGAATGTAGCTTATGTTGAATAATGAATCTGAGTCAAGAAAAATATAGCCTAATCCCATAAATTTGACTCATAAGAAATTAGAATAAATGTGTAAGGTTCATTTCTCAAATTCTATTCATGTTCGAAGTAAGTAATATTTATGTTGATGGAATTTAGGGAGTCTGTTTTTAACCTAACATTTCTTTAAAGGCTTCACACAAATGAAACCTAAGCAAAATTTCTTAAATAGTAATCTCAAATTTTATCTATGAAATAAAGCTCTAAAAGGTCATCTTATTCATAAGTTTTATATCTCATTAAAGACTGAAAAAACTTAATCTCATTATAATTAAACTTTGCATTTTGTCTTTTATTTAGTGCAGTTGCAAAACAGAATTGTTTGATCACTGTCAACAGTTGAAAACATGATGGTAGTTTCAGCAATTATTGGTACATTGTGAGTCTATCATCAAATATTTTAATATCAGTGCAAATCAGTGATTTCAATAAATAAATTTTGAAATAAATAAAACCAGAGTGTTTAAACAAAACTTAAACTAAAGGCACAAAATGTATAGATGTGGGCTTAATGGTATACCCTAACAAACGTTTCTGCAGGTGGCTTATCAGGAGGAAGCTTGATGCATTCTGTCCCTTGAATAGGCAAAGGTCTCCAGCCACTTTCTTTAAAGTTAGTAGGTGTGCCGACTAATTCCATTTCACAAGGAGAATCCTGAAAGATTTAACAAACTGCATCTTTCCCCCCTATTCTTAAGCACAGTGCCTCAAACAAGATTCTAGTTATGCCTGTGAGATCAGATCAAATACATAACAGTGAGAAATTGAAATTCATAGTCAGTCCACTTAAATGCTCATCCAGTCAAAAATAGATTTGGTAAAGTATAAAAACATGGCTTGTTTTAAATAGAAAACATTTAGAAAAGGAACTGACTGAGAGGATCAAAGATAAGTGGAACCAAGTTTCATGGTATGGAGGCCAGTTAAACAAGTAAAGAACACAAAATAAAATACAGACAGTTTTCTTCTTGATTCAGGAGGTAGCTGAATTTCCTGCACTTGTGGAGAAAATCATCCATGCTTGAAAAGGTCTAGGTGTCCTGGTTGAAGCAGTATAAAAGCTGAGGATTCTGACACTCTTGTTTTCGTGGTAGGCTCCTGACTTGATAATGAGCCAGTTGGATATGAACCCTTTTTGACATCCATTGGTATGCAGATGCCAGCTGTGGAGTCTCCCACAAGTGAAGAGAAGGACTTGAGTAGGTCTTACATGTTAGTAAAATCTTTATGTTACTATTTATAGAGGTCTCACAGAATATATTTGCCTTCTACTTTTAGTATTTGTTCCTTCCTTCTGGTGAAGAGTCCTGGGAAGACATAGTGCTGATAGTGATCCGGTACATCAAATACCATGACTGTTCTTTGTTTGTTGTCCTCAATCCGGGTCCTCTTAACAGAAAATTTATTATTTTTTAAAATAAAATGTCTTCATTTTAAAAATGAAAATATTTTCCACCATTACATGTAAACTTCAATATATTTACCATTTGTGTCTCATTCTTATTGTTGCCCATATGAAACCTGCAAGTTCTATCAGACAGGCCTCCTGTCTTCGTTCTTGCACAAGGCAGCCACACCTGGAATGAGAGCCACTGGGATCCAGTGCTCAGCCACAGGGGCTGGAGGTAGCTGTGTTAGGAAGATGGTGCCCCAGCTTTTCACCGAGGCATTATGCTTCTTTGGCTGACACAAATCTGCTCTACTGAAAAACATTTGTAAAGGAGCTTTGCAGAATGTAACTTGCCTGGTTTGCAGTCTTGTTTCTTTCTTAGCCAAGAAGAAGCAAGGGGCTCATCAAACCAAATTTCAACCTTCAGCTTCACTTGAAAAATCATGGTGGTTGACATAGGGATCAGCAAAGTCTTTGAAGTTCTTTGGCATGCAAGGCAAATTATAATTTGGTTCTTAAGAGAAATGTTTTTCCTTTTGTGCTGTTTGGTATCCTGGGCACAGAATTCCTTCCCAGTTTTCCATAACCAGCATCCTGGGTATTTTTGTATTAAAATTATACCTTATGTTTTATCCTTCTCTTACTGGATATGTTTCATCCTTTTTACTTGAATAATTAGGCCGAGAGAATAAAAATCTAGTCTTGAGTCAAATAAATTAAAATTAAGTGGTTATTGAGAAAGGGGCATTTCAATTTCTTCGTTTGTGTTTTTATTTCCAGTGGAGCACCATCAATAAAGACTCTTACAATCAAATATGATAGAAATTCAGGACCAGGCAAGGTGGCTCATGCCATTAATCCCAGCACTTTGGGATGCCAAGGTGGGCAGATCACTTGAGGTCAGGAGTTCAAGACCAGCCTGGGCAACATGGCAAAACCCCATCTCTACTAAAAATACAAAAATCAGCTGGGTGAGGTGGAGCACACCTATAATCCCAGTTACTCTGGGGGCTGTGGCATGAGAATTGCTTGAATCTGGGAGGCGGAGGTTACAGTGAGCTGAGATTGAGATCGTGCCACTGTACTCCAGCCTGAGAGACAGAGGGAGACTCTATCTCTCAAAAAAAAAATATATATATGTTTTGGTGAATTTCTATTTTATATATAAATATATATATGTTATTTTCTTTATTTATCATGTACATATAACAGAAATTCACCAAAAACCTGACTCTTCTTTAAATCTTACCAATTAATGGAAATAAATGTTTAATTGATCAATAAGCATGTATTTTTGAGCGCCTCTGAGTTTAAAGATATTTAAAGTACTGCTGTTAGACTGTAGTGGTGGTAACAGTTCTTCCTAGAGCCTGGAAAGAGGTGGCATTCTTCTTGCACCAGGTTCAGACTTAGCTATTTTGAATCATTCCTTACTGAGAGTCAGCTAATCCCTCCTCAGTTCCCTCTTTATCACTAGTCTCGAATACAGTGACTGTCTATTGCACTTATGGAAAATAGATCAGTGGGGTGCTCCTGAACTTCTTTATAAGTTGAAGTGCCATTGCTGAAATTCATGCAATGCAACATAATAATGTGTGATTGGCACTAAAATAGGTGTTCAGCATTTTGCATTTCTGTAAGTTTCAGAAAAACTGTAAGGTTTTTGTTGTTGTTGTTGTTGTTTTGTTTTGTTTTGTTTTAGAGACAGGGTCTTGCTCTGTCACCCAGGCTGGAGTCCAGTGGCATGATCACAGCTCACTGCAGCCTTGATCCACCTGGGCTCAAGCAATCCTCCCATCTCAGCCTCCTGAGTAGCTGGATTTATAGGACCATGCCATTAGGCCTGGTATATATGTGTGTGTGTGTGTGTGTGTGTGTGTGTGTGTGTGTGTGTGTGTGCGCGTGCATACATACATATGCAGTGAGACAGGGTTTCACTATATTGCCCAAGCTGGCTGGTCTTGAACTCTTGGGCTTAAATGATTCTTCTGTCTTGGACTCCCAAAGTGCTGGGATTACAGGAGTGAGCCACCATGCCTGGCCTAGAAAAACTGTAAGTTAAATGAGAGCATGTGTGATAAGAACTGCCCTCTCCTATAATTCCCCTATAGTCTCTTAATGCTTTTATGCCTTACCAGGCCCCGCACTGCCCTGGTTTAGTTGACCTAGGGTAACTTAACTCTGTGTGAGTTTTCTTCCGGAATACAATCCTTTATACCAGGGCTCTATACCAGGGGTCACCAACAGTTTTGGGTAAAGTGTCAGGTATTTCAGACTTGGGGAATGAATTAGTTTTCTAGGCTGCTGTAACAAAATGCCACAAACTATGTAGCTTACAATAACAGAAATGTATACCCTTGCAGGTCTGGAGGCTCTGAGAGAGAACACATTCCATGCCTTTTTTGTTGTTGTTGTTGAGACAGAGTCTCATGCTGTCACTTAGGCTGGAGTGCAGTGGCATGATCATGGCTCACTGCAAGGCCTGACCTCCTGAGTCCAGGTGATCCTCAGGCCTTAGCCTCTTAAGTAGCTAGCACTATAGGTGTGCACCACCGTGCCTGGTTAATTTTTGTTTTATTTTTTGTAGAGACAGGGTCTTGCTAAGTTGCCCAGGCTGGCCATGCCTCTTTTCTAGCTTCTGCTGGTTGCTGGCAATCCTTGATTAGTAGATGCCTCACTCCAATTTCAGCCTCATTACAGCATGGCTTTCTTCCCACTGTATATCTGTGTTTTTATATAAGGACACCAGTGATTGGATTTAGGACCCACTCTAATCCAGTATGGCTTCATCGAAACTTAATTACATCTGCAAAGATCCTATTTCCCAATAAGGTCACATTCTGAGGTTCTGGGTGGACTTGGGAGACATTATTACTAGTACTCCTGCAGAAAGTCATCCAGTCTCTAGTGTAGCAGCAAGGCAGCCATGGGCAATGCATAAATGAATGAGTAGGCTCTGTTCCCATTAAAATTTTATTTATGAACATTGAAATTCGAATTTTATGCAGCAATTTAAAAGATCATTCTTAGTTTGTGGGTCTTACCAAAAGAGGGATGGAGTGCAGGGGGAAGATTCAACCCAATGCCTGTAGTTTGCTAACAGATATGATATAGTGATGGTGAGGAGGTAGATGTAACTTTAGGGTAATTTTTCTTCTTTCTGCTCATAAACAACCACATTCTGAGGAAACCTGTTTGTGATTTGCATCAAGAAACTTTCAATGGCCTCATGTTTTAGCAGAGAGGAAACCAGACTGATGCCTGTTTGGCAGCATCATTCCTGGTGTGCTTGCCAAAATTTTGGTGAGGATTTTGCTGTCAAGATTAAGAGGTGATGCAGGCTTAAATGAAGAACATGACCCGGAGTCCTTGTGTTGAAGGATTAGGACATTTCCCTCATGGGATCATAGCATTCTCTGTGCCAAAGGTTTGAGTATACTTTTGAGGTGATTTTAAATTAAAGGCATTTTATGACTCAATACTACGTGGCATTCTGGTAAGATGTTGTCATTCCCTAGGTACTCATTGAAGACTAGATATTAGATAATATTCTGCACATCTGAACAGACTTCATCTTCTAATGCTAAGAGCTGCTATTTTATCTTGAGGCAAAATAAATCTAAATTTTCTGATTTATTATGCATATGCTTCTAATGAGATTTATGTAATGTAAAATTTGAAGTTATTGTTAAAGGTTGTGATTTACTTGTTTTTTCTAATTACAAAACCAAAACTGGCTCATTGTAGAAAATTTAAATAATGCCAAAACAGATAATATAAAAATAGGAAAATTTCCCATAATCTCAATTCTCAGAGATAATTTCTGAGATTTTGGTATGTATTTTTTCTTTTTTTTTGAGATGAAGTCTCTCTCTGTTGCCCAGGCTGGAGTGCAGTGGTGCAATCTCTGCTCAATGCAGCTTCTGCCTCCCAGGTTCCAGCAATTCTCCTGCCTCAGCCTCCCCGGTAGATGGGATTACAGGCACGTGCCACCATACCCGGCTAATTTTTGTATTTTTAGTAGAGACGGGGTTTCACCATGTTGGCCAGGCTGGTCTTGAACTCCTGACCTCAGGTGATCTGCTTGCTTTGGCCTCCCAAAGTGCTAGGATTATAGGCGTGAACCATCGGGTATGTATTTTTTCAAACATTCCTCCTACCAAGTAATTATAAAAGCAAGTGAAAAGATAAACACTGAACAGACATTTTCCATGTTTTTAAGAGATTTTAGGACAAAGTATATGAGCAAAGTATCATTAGTTATTATACCTAATTATGCATTAGACTCATAGCATGCTAATAATAGAATATGAAATAGTTGTACCTCCTAATGTTAAGGGATATGTCTTTGTTTTGTTTTTGTTTTGTTGTCAACAAGCAGAGACTGACCTCGTAGAAACAATAACATCCATATACATATATAGTAAAGTCCTATTATTCAGAAACTCACTAAGCCGTGGGTTGAACAATGAGTCTTTTCTCCTTACTAGAGAGACTTGAAACAGGTATCCACCTTCTTCAGTAATAACATCAATAATTTTATAGGGTTTACCATCCACAGCATTCTGGAAGCCTGTTTCATTTAGGTAGGAGTTCACCATCAGGATCTCCAGTGGATATCGTAATGACTGCTGTGGTTTATGCCCTTAGCAGCCCAGAACAGAATGGTTGAATTACTACCCTCCTTAGACAACACGGAAATCTTGTGTATAAAAGTGGATAATCCTCCACATGTATACAAAAGTGGCTAGATAATCTCAACACTTGGGTTATGCCTACAAGATGCCAGCTTACTTTAGTGTCTTGGGAGGTAATACGGGCTTTGGAAAGACACAGACCTGGACATGAATCTTACCTCTATTTCTATAATCCATGGGGCCTTAAACAAGTTACTTAAACTGCGTTTTGGTTTTCTCATCTACAAAATGGAAATAAATAGTAATATGTCCGGAGTTGGTTCCTTCTGGTGGGTTCATGGTCTCGCTGACTTCAAGAACGAAGCTGTGGACCTTTGGGTGAGTGTTACAGCTCTTAAAGATGGCACAGACCCAAAGAGTGAGAGGTAGCAAGGTTTATTGTGAGGAGCGAAAGAACAAAGCTTCCACAGTATGGAAGGAGACCCAAGTTGGTTGACGCTGCTGGCTGGGGTGGCCAGCTTTTATTCCCTTATTTGTGCCCTCCCATGTTCCATTTCTGTCCTATCAGAGTGCCTTTTTTTCAGTCCTCCCCACGATTGGCTACTTTTAGACTCCTGCTGATTGGTGTTTTACAGAGCACTGATTGGTGCATTTTATAATCCTCTGGCTATCTACAGAGCACTGATTACTGCATTTTTACAGAGCACTGATTGGTGCATTTTGCAATCCTCTTGCTAGCTACAGAGCGCTGACTGGTGAGTTTTACAGTCCCAGCTACAGAGTGCTGATTGGTGCGTTTTACAATCGTCTTGTAAGACAGAAAAGTTCTCCAAGTCCCCATTCCACCCAGGAAGTCCAGCTGGCTTCACCTCTCAGTAACACTTTGCAGGAGTGTTAAGGATTAGTGTTGATGTGTGTGTAAAGCACTGAACCAGTATCTCATATTTAGGAGGAGCTCAAAAATACTATTTTTTATTGTTATTACTTGAGTTTTTTTTGTCTTTTTTTTTTCCTTTTTGTAGAGAACAGGGTCTTGCTATATTGCCCAGGCAGGTGTCAAACTCCTGGGCTCAAGTGTCAAACTCCTGGGCTCAAGCTCTTCTCCTGCCTCTGCCTCCCTAAGAGCTGGGATTACAGATATGAGCCACTGTGCCTGGCTACAGAGAGATCTTTTGATGACCCAATCTGACTCTCTTATTTAACAAACGAAAAAAACTGGGTTCAGAAGGCTTACTGCTCTTAGGTTATTCACGTAGTTGGTGGTAGACCAGAAAGGACAATTTTGACACTATGTTTCTTACTCCAGTCTTCCCTTCCATCATTCATTCTTTCTTTTAAAATTTTTATTTAATAGTCCCAGACACTGATAAATTCATTCATGTCTGTAATTTCTTTAGCCATACTGCTTATTACAAAACATACTGCTTATTACATAACTTGTTATTACATAACGAGTTCTCATTCAATAAAAAGTCTGAAGATCTATACATTGCTTTTAAAGAAAAATGTGTATATAAATGATGTCCTCATTAAAGACTCAGTGAATTCTCATTTTTTCTGTCTGTCTTCCATTTCTGGTGTTTGCTGAGATTTATATTCAGTTTTTTCCACATTATACTTACAGGTTTACTGAATTTCATAAGACTGGCTCAATTTCACAAATTTGTCTGGACTCGAAATATTAGCAACTGCTGTGTTCATTGTTACTGCAAGAAACACTTTTATCGTATATTTTCATATAATTTCAGTATACTACATATATATGCATATATATCCATGTGTACATACACATCTGTGTATATATGAAAGCTTTATGTTTTATTTTACACTGCATGAGCATGATTCTCCAACAGAACACGTAGATTTTTCGAGCACCCTAGGCATTAAATTGACACATAGGGTCCCAAAGACTTCTTTAACAAGAGATCAATATTCTTTAAGCCTATACTTTTTACACAATAATTGGAGAATAATGGTCTGTTCTTATCTGGTTTTCACTGAGATCTTCTCATACAATGACTGGTGAGATGTGCAGTCCTGGGCAGAGGCACAATGTGCAGCCAGCAGCTAATATGTTCCTTGGCATAATAACTCACCTTGCCAGAATGACCCAAAGAAGCTCTGCCTGGTGAATTCCCCTGAGCCATATGGGCTGTTAGTTGACCTTGTACTGGCTGCTTACATTTTCTTAGCTTCATTAACTTTGCTTACATAGTTGGGGAAGGTTCAAATGAGGTAATCCAGGTAAAAACCATTTGTAAACTACTAAAAGCTACAGAAACACGAGCTATTAATATAAACACACTCTAATAACGTACCAATAGGAGAAACCAACATAATTATTTAAAATTTTTAATAATTAGGTTCATAAAAATTCAAGGATTTTGGAATCACTCTCTGTACCTTTTCTGTATCTTTAGGTTTAGCAATACTCAAGAAATATCCCAATTATGGGAAAAATCACAAATGCTACTGACTGCACAAAGCCAGGAATTCAGTCTAGTGGTGAAATTCTTATGGTTAACCTTTTGTCCCCATTACTAAACCTCACCCCAAAAGAGAATGGAGTGTGTGGAATCTCTTCGGGAGTCTATTCAAGAGGAAGTAACATTCCTACTTGTCCATTCTCTGCCTGCTTCCCCACACTGCACAGTACTTAGGCTCCTCCTCATCCTTGGTCTGGATTCTTTTAGTGATTCTAATTATATGCATGACCTTGGCTTTCAGGCTAAGGTAAGCTTTATGGCCAATTTGTGGGCTATTTTCAAAGAAATTTCCTGGTGTTTTACAGGGACTTTATTTACTTTCACAAGACCTCATCCATGTATTCATTATAAAGAACCGTATTGGTTTGCTTTTCTACTCTTTCCTGCTCTGCCACCTCTACAGGAAATTACATTGCAGGCAGAGGCATCACGCAGAGAAAAGACACCTCCTTATTCAGTGGAAGCAATTTCTGTCTTATGTGTTACTTCAACTGTCATAACATTCTCAGGCATGAACTTCACTCTCTTGATTAATATTTATAACCTCCTCTTTAGACACCTGTAATGTCAGTGCCTGTTGGGGTAGGAAGCTCAGTACATGGCAGGCAGGAGAGTTAATACAGTCTGTTAATACTTAAAGAGACGAGGGTTGTCTAAAGGTTCCATTGTCAAAGGAAGCCCGGGGATGGATTCTGGCTACAAACCAGGGAGGGACATTTCTATCCAGCCTTGCACTAGTCCTAATTGGAAGTGGCATGACCCACTGGACTCAGAGCAGGAGTATCTACTTGCTGCTGGCTTGTTCTGTGAGTTGAGGCAATTCCCTGATGTCTGATACCTTTATTTCCCCAACTGTAACATGAACTAACTGAGTGATTGCCTACATAGGCTTGTTATAAATAGGACAAATGGCATGTCTGTGCAGCTGCTTTCATTCTCCTACTCTCAGAATGGTTAAAACCAGGGTATTTAATTTCCCTTAGAAAGAAAGATTTTCAGGAGCAGCTTGGAGTTATAGGCACTGAAAAGGAGGATCGGTGCCCATCACTCTATTGGCTCTCAGACACTGCCCACCTCTAGAGCAACACAATATCACACAACTCTGGTAGATCATGATACAGGATCTGAGAAGACTTGAAGATTGCAGGAAAAATTAAAGCTGGGAATGTCTATTTGGATTGAAAATGGTTCATGGGGACTCCTATCAGGACTAAGCTCCAGTTCTGAACATTTAACAAACTGTTTTCTGCCTGCATCTTCTGCATCCAAACATTCAATTGTATTTTCAACCTGAAAATGCCTAAAATGGAATGCATTATTCTATAAACTTCTGTAATCTTTGTCATTAAGTTAGTGAATGACTTTTGATAACTTACATTGTTTCTTTGTGTCCATTTTTATCATTCATTAATTCATTTATTGTGATTTAGCCAATCAATTTGTATTCCTGGAGAATCTAATACGTCTAAGACATAGAATGTTATCCAAACATAAGGTTGCAAATGCTGCCTTTTCCACAATTTTTTTCTCTGGTACTCAGTTGCAGGTAATCTTCTTTCCTTGGCTTCACTGCTTTCTAACTTTCTTACAATACTTATCATGTGCTGATACATATAATGTTATTTGTGTACATGTTTTATTTCCCATACTATAAGTTTTATTATCTTAAAACCTTTAAACTGTCTACACCATCCCCTTGTATTTTACAGATAATAAATATAGAATGGAAGACAGATACAAAAATAACAATAATGTAACACAATATATAATGACATATGGGCATATGGGTGGTAGACATTAAAAAGTGCTCTGGGAATGAAGAGATGAATTGATCAGGGAAAAGCACTTGGAAGTAGGGTGGTTGATATGGTTTGGCTCTGTGTCTCCACCCAAATTTCACCTCAAATTATAATCCCCATAATCCCCACGTGTCAAGGGATGGAACAGGTGGGAGGTGATTGGATCATGGGGGTGTTTTACCCCATGCTGTTCTCATGATAGTGAGTGAGTTCTCACAACATCTGATGGTTTTATATGGCAGTTTTTCCTGCTCTTGCTTGCTCTCTCTCACCTGCCATCATGTAAGATGTGCCTCTTCCCCTTCCTCCATGACTGTAAGTTTCCTGAAGCCTCCCCAGCCATGCGGAACTATGAGTCAATTAAACCCCTTTCCTTTATAAATTACCCAGTCTTGGGTGTTTCTTTATAGCAGTGTGAAAATGGGCTAATCCAGTGGTCATGGGAGAGGTGGGGTGAAGTCATTCCAGGTAGAGAAAAAATATTAGCAACTGGTGCCCATAGGAAAGAATATATCTTTGGGAAACCAGGAGTGATGATGATGGACAGTAAACTAGAGGAAGGGATGTTGCAAATACCAAACTAAGATGATTAGGCTCTTCTATAAGCAAAGATTAGATACAAAAATTTTTTGAGCAGTTGAGTGCCATATCAAAGAGACATTTTCAAGAGATTTCTCAGGTGATGGCATGTGAGTTGGTGAGAGAGCTTGGAGGCAGAAAAAATCAGAAGAATTAGTTACTTGTGCAAGAGTATGTGAATATCTTGGAACAGATATAAAGGTGTAAGGCAGAGAAACTAGAGCAGGAGAGTGGAATCCTCAGATTATAAAGAGATGACCAATAAGACATTGCAATTGAGTTTGAGGATAAGGAAAGGGGTAAATAAAAACCCATTTCTAGGTCTTGTGTTTAGATTATGTTAAAAATTGTGATACCATTGATAAATGGTGGAAAATCAATTTTGGAGGAAAAATAATGCATTCAGTTTTAGGCATTTTCAGGTTGAAAATGCAATGATGGAATGTTTGGGTGCAGAGGAGGCAGGCGCTAACCAGTTTGTTGAATGTTCAAGACTGGAGCTTAGAAGGGAGATCAGAGGTTAGAAAGTAAATACAAGGCCTACATGTTAGCTCACACTTGTAATACCAGCATTTTGGGAGGCCAAGGCAGGAGGATCGCTTGAGGCCAGGAGTTTGACACCAGCCTGGACAACATAGTAAAGACCTATCTCTACAAAAATATAATCAAAAAGTTAGCCAGGCATGTGGTGCATGCCTGTAGCTCTAGTTACTCAGGGGGCTGAGGCAGGAGGATTGCTTGAGCCCAAGAGTTTGAGGTTGCAGTGAGCTATGATCATGCCACTGTACTCTACCCTGGATGACAGAGTGAGACTCTGTGTCTAAATAAATAAATAAAAAGGAAAAACATATAGATGAAATGATGAAAACATATAGATGAAAGTAAAAACATATAGATGAAATGATGAAAAAGAGTTGTCCACTTACTTCCTTTGTTGTAATTTCTCTGTTATAAGCTCCTTGAAGGTAGGACGAAGTCCTATTTGTTTTTGTTATCTGGCTTTGCATGTGAAGCACCTGGTACATAATCTGCATTTTATGAGTCATTTTTCTGGAAAGCTACTTAGACCCATATGCAACCCTATGTTACTTGTGCTAACGAGATACAAAGAGAACACTTAGGTGTAAAATTCACAGACAAGTGAAATTTTTAGGTAATAGCCTCAATCTTCCCTTTCTCCTAGAAAATAATTTATTACTACAAGTTACCAAACTAAAATTTATATATATTTTTTCATCTGATGATAGGTTGAAAGGCTTTAAGCCCATTACAGATAGGAAGTCTTAGTTAATTGCTATTTTGTGCTTGCTGATTTCTCAGGTCCCTTAAAATTTTAAGAAATCTAAGTTTAAGTTGGGTGAGAAGGAACTAGATAAAGCTACAAATCCTTGACATATTAGGAGTGCACATTACTCCAAAACCTCTATTTATCTTTTTCTCCATGTTTCTCTGTAAATTAGCCCAGCACTGAGAAATGATGGCTGAGCCTTGTAAAAGAGTACCTTCTGGTTCAACTTCTGTAGCTTAATCTGCTTCTCCCCTCCCAGCATGGGAGAGCTCAAGTAATGCATGTTTCCAAGTGTGGAGGGAAAAAGTCAGGGCCCTGTCTCTGCCAGCCCAGCAGTTCTCAGAGGAGCTGGAGCGTTGCCCGGTTGCTCCTGGGAATTGTGCGGTCGCCAGTGCAGCTGCACTCCTCATTACATGGTGGCCAAGAAGAGTCTCTTTCTATGCGCTGATTTTTCAGCTCATAGACATTGAGGCACCAGGATGTTGTAGGGGATTGGGGAGGCACTCTGCCCTATAAATATGACTTTCCCAAAGTTGCCCCTCCTTCTCCTCACTCTGGCCACAGTTTACACAGGAACACAGCAGAAAGATTGCATATTTAAGTCTTTTCTTCCTTCAAGGGAGAGACAGTCACCCCTGCTTAGGTGCAGAGAAAGAGAGGAGAGTGGAGAGCAGAAAATAGGCCTCCTTTAGTCTCCCTTCAGTGGCTGGAGGAGGTGTGGCACAGTGGGAGAGCCCCAGACTCAGAGGCAGTCAGAGATCTGCTACTGGGACTCTATCACCCTGGACCTTCATTTCCTCTTTGCAAAATGAGGGGCTCTAACTAGATCTCTAAAATCTCTTTCCTGGCTGGGCGTGGTGGCTCACACTTGCAACCCTAGCAATTTGGGAGGCGGAGGTGGGTGGATCACATGAGGCCAGGAGTTCGAGACCAGCGTGACCAACATGGCAAAATCCCATCTACTAAAACTACAAAAATTAGCCGGGCGTGCTAGTGCACACCTGTAGTCCCAGCTACTCGGGAGGCTGAGGCACGAGAATTGCTTGAACCCGGGAGGGGGAGGTTGCAGTGAGCTGAGATCGCACCACTGCACTCTAGCCTGGGCCACAGAGTGAGACTCTGTCTCAAACAAAAACAACAACAACTCAAAACAAACCAACAAAGAAACAAAAAGAAAAGTATCCTTCCTGTCCTAATATCCTATTTTTTTTTTTATTTCATGAGATGAAAAACAATACACACTCCAAGTTATTCTTGACGTAATTCCACTAGAGTACTGGGCAACATCTAGCTCATGTATAAACACTTCTCCATGCCTTTTGAAATACTTTGGAGGAGAATACGGAAAAGGTAAATCTGAGAGAACACAATTAATTCTGACATTTCTGTTAAATTTGGAAAACTACAATCTTGAACTAGAGTTTGTAGGTTGGCCAGAACCTAAGTTTTGAGGAGGTATCTTCTAGGCTGGACTGATTTATGCTGGCCTTGAGCATGCAAGGACTCCCAGCCTGAAGGACTGCGATACAGTTTGGAGGCAAACTGTCTTTGATTAAACTGTTCCATCTAGTCCTGCTCCTGGTTACTGAGGGTGTGCTGTTAGTTACCACTGTGAGTGAGAAGTGGAGTCCACGTAGATACTTGGCAACGGTTGGCATCTATGTGGTCATGTGTGTTGTTTGTGCTGAAATCCCATAATACCTCCAGGCAGTTTAATTCTGTGGTGGAACCAACTTGAATAATTAAACAAAGCTAAGATTTGACAACACTGCACTTGTGGTACAACACAGCTGTGATTCCATGGGCTCAGCAGGGAGAAGGAGTTGGAGGAATCTGTCATAGCAAAAGCATGCTTTGTAACAAATAACAATTTAGCAGACATCCAAAGTGCTATGGAACAGAGGCTATAAAGAGTATGGTCTGTCAGGAGTGAATGGGTCATGGTGTCTGTTCTTGGGGGGTGATTGATCACGTCTGCTTGAATCATGGGTGTCTTATGAAATGAAACTTCTTGCCAGAGATGGATCGCCCCGTGATGCTCTCTCCTCCTATAAACACTTTTGCCATCTGATTTATAAATTGTCAGTAAGTAAACATTTTTGGGGAGAAAAGATCACTTTTGGGAACAACTAAAAATTTGATACTTTTTGTGTGTGTGTGTGTGTCTGGGATAGCCCTAGGGATTAAGGAAGACTAAAGACTCTTTGTTTATTAGATACAATAGAAGTTTGTATATTTGAAAGGATTTGTTTCCTGCTGCCTTCTCTTGTTGGGTAAAGCTTAAAAAAATAAAAATACTTTTGAGAAGTAACCAATTTTCTGATGCTAGACTTTGGGATCTCTATTTTATCCTGAGTGTGATGGCTTTTTGTGTTCCCAAGTCATTCAGGGGATGCTTTTCAATGGCTGTTTCCTCGCCAGTCACATTTAGTCCTGCAGAAGCCATTTGTATAGCTAACATGATCCACTCAGCAAGTGAGAGCTGGAGCATATTAAGCACTGGAATCATTTTACTGCAGAGCAGAAAAGATCTTGGATTTTAATGTTTAAGACTTTTGAATTGTGGGGCTCAGCTACCCAAATAGATTAGTATGTGATTCTGAAGAGCAGTAAAATTGGTATGTGATTTGCATGCTTCGACTTCAGAAGTCTTCAACATAAGTTAAATTACTATTATGCTTTTGTTTTGTGATTAATGTAACTGCAATTGCAGATGTTTTCTCAAAAGATCAATTTACCTCAGAATTCTCTTTTCTCTCTCTCTCTCTTTTTTTTTGAGATGGAGTGTCACTCTGTTGCCAGGCTGGAGTGCAGTGGCACGATCTTGGCTCACTGCAACATCCACCTGCCAGGTTCAAGTGATTCTCTTGCCTCAGCCTCCCAAGTAGCTAAGACTACAGGTGCGCACCACCATGCCCAGCTAATTTTTGTATTTTTAGTAGAGACGGGGTTTCACCATGTTGGCCAGGATGGTCTCGATCTCTTGACCTCAGGTGATCCACCCACCTCGGCCTCCCAAAGTGCCGGGACTACAAGCGTGAGGCACCGTGCCTGGCTTCTTTTCTCATTTTTAACATGGGCAATTCATTAGCTTAAAATCATAATAAACTTCTAGAATGATATATTTCAGATTTTATAGAAGATGTGTGAAAACAAATATTAAACATTGATTTATAAAAAACTGTTTAAAATCTTTCTTTTAATCTGATCTGTCTTGGCATTTTTTTTTTTCCTGCTTCTGTTTCCATTAATTTTTCCTGTCTCATCTCCGGATTCTTCTTCTTTTTTGTTTTTTAAATACAGAGACAGGGTCTTGCCATCTTGCTGAGGCTGGTCTTGAACCCCTGGGCTCAAGCAGTCCTCCTGCCTTGGCCTCCCAAACTGCTGGGATTACAGGTGTGAGCCACCATGCCCAGCCTGATTCTTCTTTTGGAGACATTTCCTTTTTGTCTTCTGAAAGAGATTCCACTGAGAATCCACCCCACTTTCCTGTTATAGTTTCTTCACTGTCCAGTGTCTTTATACTCTTTTTTTTTTTTGAGATAGAGTCTTACTCTGTGGCCCAGGCTGGAGTGCAGTGGCGTGATTTCGGCTCCCGCAACCTCTGCCTTCTGGGTTCAAGCTATTCTTCTGCCTCAGCCTCCGGGGTAGTTGGGACTACAGGGGTGCACTGCCACGCCCCCTCTAATTTTTGTATTTTTAGTAGAAACGGGGTTCCACCACGTTGGCCAGGCTGGTCTTTAACTCCTGACCTCAGGCAATCTGCCCACCTAGGCCTCCCAAAGTGCTGAGATTCAGGCATGAGCCACAGTGCCTGGCCCTTCATACTCTTCTGATGACCACTGCACAACCCAAATGTCTGTCCATCGCTCCAGTTCCTTCCTTCGTCAGACTTCTAGTGTCCCTGCTACACAATAGCTGCCTGAGAGGTCAGCCTACACAGAGCCTAAGTCATTTTCTTCATAAAGTACTTATCTTCACTCAGTTCCTCCTGTTAGTCTCCCTTCTCAAAACTCTACTCTGTATTCTAATTCAGTCACTTAGAGAACTCTGGTATTTATTCTGATGGCTCACCCTCCCATTCTCAGGAATCTCTTGCCTGTATATCAAGCTTGTCGAACTCACAGCCTGCGGGCTGCATGTGGCCCAGAATGGCTTTGAGTGTGGCCCAACACAAATTTGTAAACTTTCTTAAAACATTATGGGATTTTTTTTGGCTTTTTTTTTTTTTTTTTTTTTTTTTTAGCTCATCAGCTATCATTAGCATTAGCATATTGTATGTGTGGCCCAAGACAATTCTTATTCCAGTGTGGCCCAGGGAAGCCAAAAGACTGGACACCCCTGCATATTTTTGCTTGATTTTCCTGTCTGAAGTTTCTGGATTTTGGTCACCATAAAATGCTTCAGTGCAAAAATTTCTTTGCTTTCTGGTGTATTTTTAACTCACTTTGCTTCAAATTCTTTCATCAGGTTTCTTTTATCTTTACCTGTAATTTATCCATTGGTAATTTTTAGGATGAAGCTTTCAGCCTCCTGTTACTTGTACCCTTTCTATAAAGTCTTGTCCATTGTCAGCCACATTCTTCCCACAGGCTTATTTCCAAATATGCTTAACATCTTTTCCTGTGTTCTGGAATACACTCCTGTCTCTTCTTTGCCAAACCACCTCCTGTATGGGGTGGTGGTTTAGAGTATGACCACTGGCACCAGAGTGCCTGGTTTCAAATTCTAGCTCTGCCACTCACTAACTGATTCACGGTTGTGTGGGACACTTAAGCTCTCCAAGTCTCAATTTCTTCATTTGTTACGTGGGGATGTTAATGATAGACCTGATCATCATTGATAGACCTTAGTAAGGCTGTTGTTAGGATTAAACGAATCAATACCAATGGTCCCCAACTTATATGGTTTGACTTATATGATTTTTTGACTTTATGATAGTATGAAAGCAATACACATTCCAGTAGAAACCATGCCTTGAGTATTCATACAATCATTTCATTTTTCCCTTTCAATCCAGTATTCAATAAATTACATGAGATATTGTACACTTTGTTGTAAAATAGGCTTTGTGTTAGATGATTTTGCCCAACTTAAGCTAATGTTAAGTCTACAGAGCACGATTAAGGTGGCTAGGCTAAGCTATGACGTTTGATAGGTTAGGTGTATTAAATGGATTTTCAACTTATAATATTTTTAGCTTATGGTGGGTTTATTGGGATGTAACTCCATCATAAGTTGGTGAGAAGCTATACACATAGAGTGATTAGAATAGGTTCTGACACAGAGTAAGCACTATTTAAGTGTCAGCTCTTAGTCATTTACTCATATTCAGTGTTTCCAGTCCAGTCATCTCTCTCTGCAGCCCCTTTTCATTCCTCTAAGGACCTACCCCAAGAATCTGCACACAAAAGTTGCCCAATAAATCTTTGTTGAAATCATCTAGACAGCGTTATGAGAGAACTGAATTCCATGGATCTCGAATGTGACTCAGTTGCCTTAGCACAGTCCGAGGCACTGTCATTTGTCATATTAGCTTATGCTGTATCCA